>NC_000007.14:33365242-33990242 GCF_000001405.40 Homo sapiens | reverse complement strand
GGAAGGAAGAATCAATATCATGAAAATGGCCATACTGCCCAAGGTAATTTACAGATTCAATGCCATCCCCATCAAGCTACCAATGACTTTCTTCACAGAATTGGAAAAAACTACTTTAAAGTTCATATGGCACCAAAAAAGAGCCTGCATCGCCAAGTCAATCCTAAGCCAAAAGAACAAAGCTGGAGGCATCACACTACCTGACTTCAAACTATACTACAAGGCTACAGTAACCAAAACAGCATGGTACTGGTACCAAAACAGAGATACAGATCAATGGAACAGAACAGAACCCTCAGAAATAACGCCGCATATCTACAACTATCTGATCTTTGACAAACCTGAGAAAAACAAGCAATGGGGAAAGGATTCCCTATTTAATAAATGGTGCTGGGAAAACTGGATAGCCACATGTAGAAAGCTGAAACTGGATCCCTTCCTTACACCTTATACAAAAATCAATTCAAGATGGATTAAAGACTTAAACGTTAGACCTAAAACCATAAAAACCCTAGAAGAAAACCTAGGCATTACCATTCAGGACACAGGCATGGGCAAGGACTTCATGTCCAAAACACCAAAAGCAATGGCAACAAAAGGCAAAATTGACAAATGGGATCTAATTAAACTAAAGAGCTTCTGCACAGTGAAAGAAACTACCATCAGAGTGAACAGGCAACCTACAAAATGGGAGAAAAATTTCGCAACCTACTCATCTGACAAAGGGCTAATATCCAGAATCTACAATGAACTCAAACAAATTTACAAGAAAAAACAAACAACCCTATCAAAAAGTGGGCGAAGGACATGAACAGACACTTCTCAAAAGAAGACATTTATGCAGCCAAAAAACACATGAAAAAAAGCTCATCATCACTGGCCATCAGAGAAATGCAAATCAAAACCACAATGAGATACCATCTCACACCAGTTAGAATGGCAATCATTAAAAAGTCAGGAAACAACAGGTGCTGGAGAGGATGTGGAGAAACAGGAACACTTTTACACTGTTGGTGGGACTGTAAACTAGTTCAACTATTGTGGAAGTCAGTGTGGCGATTCCTCAGGGATCTAGAACTAGAAATACCATTTGACCCAGCCATCCCATTACTGGGTATATACCCAAAGGACTATAAATCATGCTGCTATAAAGACACATGCACACGTATGTTTATTGCGGCATTATTCACAATAGCAAAGACTTGGAACCAACCCAAATGTCCAACAATGATAGACTGGTTTAAGAAAATGTGGCACATATACACCATGGAATACTATGCAGCCATAAAAAATGATGAGTTCATGTCCTTTGTAGGGACATGGATGAAATTGGAAATCATCATTCTCAGTAAACTATCGCGAGAACAAAAAACCAAACACCGCATATTCTCACTCATAGGTGGGAACTGAACAATGAGATCACATGGACACAGAAAGGGGAATATCACACTCTGGGGACTGTTGTGGGGTGGGGGGAGGGGGGAGGGATAGCATCGGGAGATATACGTAATGCTAGATGACGAGTTAGTGGGTACAGCGCACCAGCATGGCACATGTATACATATGTGACTAACCTGCACAATGTGCACGTGTACCCTAAAACTTAAAGTATAATTAAAAAAATAATTAAAAAAAAATAAAAATACCAAACACTTCACTGCATTTTTCCTAGACCTTGGTCAAATTATTTTACTTAATGATAGAAGTTTGAGATAAACACACAGTTTGGTTATAAATGAAATCTTGCTTCAATCTCTGAAAATTTCTGTGTTGGAAAAAAAAATTCTCTTACAATCTGATGTTTTTCTGGGCATATGTTCTGTCCATTCAGTTAGTGGGCTTAGTTATTAAAGACAGCTGTGTCTATTGTTTATGAATATTATGGATGCTGAAAACCTAATAACAAAATCCAAAATTCTCAAGAGTCCCCTCCCTCTCCTGTTGTTGAACTTGACACTGAAAAGAAATGCATTTCCCATCAATGTCAAAAAAGAGTCACTCCTAGCATTTGCCAATCACATTCATCACCCCAACTGGTGGGGAAAAGATCCCTAAAGTCAACACAGCCCTATAATCCAATATGTGAAAGGACACTAAACACTTGTTTAATAAAATGACAGCATGAAAAAAATTAAGATATATATCAGTATGAATAATGTAGTGAGAGTAATTTTTCATATTCGTTTTGAAATTAAAAAGTAACTTTTCTATTATTAAATGTTAGTTCTTAAAATATGACCAAAAGATACTCCTTCATAATGAGTAACTGCTTTTGTTAACGCTTGACTACATTACACATTTATATCTAATCAAGTCAGAAATGAAACTGGTACCTCCTCCTTTTGCCTAAAGAGAATGGCATGGATAAACTATAGTTTTCCTTTTTATTCATTATGAATATCAAGTTTTTTTCTGCTGTTTAATTCTAGCAATAGTCAGAGGTTTAAGAAGTCCTCACATAGTTTTGTAATTTAACATCTGGAACATAATGTGGTTAATCATGATCACATTGTCTGACTCTGTGTATCACAGAGAACAGAAGAGAGGCACAAGAGGAAAAAAAAAAAGTAGTAGGATTCTGTGATAGACATGTTTGACACTGGAGCTGACTCCTGGTCACTTATACCTGCCATGGGGCCCCTTATATGGAAGGTGCACCCAGATCAAGGAGGCCGTGTCCTCTCCAAACAACAAAGTCTGCTCAGTATTTCAAGTTGGCTCTTCTAAACCACAGCTCGAGATCTTAGGTGGATTTCAGAAGGATGAGTCACTGCGTATGACTCAGTGTAGGCTCAGAGATGGGCTTGAGAAGGGAATGTTGGATGGTGCAGAGGAAGTACTCTTCTCCTTGTGTGTTTGTGGTTCAGCATCCTCCAATCTTCAGAGAGGATTGTGGCTCCCTGAGATGCAAACACATCGCGGCTCACACACCAAACAAGTGGTACCATTTAAAATTCCACTCTGAGGGAATGGTGGTAATTGAAGCCATTCACAGGCCCACAGGAGCACTGCCACCCTCCAAATCGAACATTTGAATGACATTTAAAAGGTGCCAGAATGTGTAATCAATTCATTCAAAAGATATTTCCTGAATATCTAGTGTGTGCAAAATTCTGGGATAGTTATTTGAGGAGAGACCAAGATAGCAATGAAAATGACTCATGGTACTTTACTAATACCAGGCTATCGTGCAGAGCGCCTGATGGGAATGGAAGAGGGGAAGCTCAAGTAGGACCAGGGACAGGGAAGTGGAAGCAGGCGGGGAAGGAGATGGAACAGAAGGGCACAGGAGGGGAGGGGAGCCACGAAGCACAAACAAACAAAGGAGCAGGGAAAGCCGCAGGCCCAGAGGTACCAAACTGGTTTTTTAAATGAAGTTATCTGGCTAATAATGGACAAAAAGATCAGAAAGTTCTGGAAATGTCCTAAAGTACTCTGAGACTAATATTTTATCCTATTTTGTTGACTAAAAAGGATATTTCTTTTATTTTCATTAATGAATATTTCCATTCTCGTCCTCCCACAACACAGAATGATACATTCTTAGACTTGCTGTCCCCTGAGCTCACCCCCCGTTCCATCCTCTTCACACAGCTACTCTTAAGTCTCCTTACCAGCTTTTTGCAATGGTTGTGGTTGGAGCCTCTTCCTCTACAGATTTATCATGAATCTTTCATGTAACCATGCTCATTAAAACCATGAATATTTTCCTACTGCCTTCAAGATGGGCATCAAGACCAAAGTAGGAAGGTAGAAAAGTTCTAGATTGTATAACTCATTTTCAAGAACATGGATACTCAAATCAACAGCTATAAGACTAGTTATTTAGCCAAATATTCACTGTTTCCTATGTGTAAGACACTGTACTCAAGCTGTGAGGTACATTATCCCTGTCTACTAGGACTTTAAAATTTGAAACCCAGAACAACATCCTAGGAAAAGTAGAAAGAGATGGGCAGAGGAGCCCAAATGAGAACCAGACTTGGAGAGTAGGGGGATTCTGGATAGTTCTCTTTCTGAGCCAAGAAGGAAAGAGAGAAGACTAGGGAGGTTAGGAGGCTGCAGAGCCATGAGTATGAGAGGAAGCACTATAGAAACTCAAAAGAATGAGTCATATCAATATGGGAGCAGGTACAGAAGGTCGCAATCTCAAAACGAAGGAGTTAGAGATGGAAAAGAAGGAGTTTAAATAATGAAAAGTCTTGGACAAAATAAATGTGGGAACTGACAATGCTGACTCACTTTTCTATTTTTTAATATATTTGGATCAAGATTTGAGGGGTAAAGATTGGAAGAAGACATGGGATTTTAGCAAACTATGCAATTATCTACCATGCCATATGCATACTAAGGTCAAATGGCACACAAAGCAGTTTCAGTGTTTTTAAACGCATCTTAACATATCTAGCCGAGGATTAAGATCCTTCATACACATATAAACTTCAATAATACTTTAACTACCCAATAGAAACATTAGAAATAAAAACACAGACAATTTACAGAAAAAAAAAAACACAAATGGCTGATAAACATATGGAAAATGCTCAGTTTCAGAAGCCAAATGCCATGAAAACAAGATTTCCAAATGGAAAATAGTTATGGTGCAGGAAATATGTAGTATACACCTATATACTGATTATTGGAGTGGGAATTAAGACATTGATTTGAAGTACTTCAGCAACACACACACACCCCTTAAGATATTTGATTCGTTGACCCACTAATTATAGAACTTAGCCAAAGAAATAATCAGAGAAACAAAAAAGATTAATTTTCAAAGATATCTGTCACATTATTCAAAATAGTAAAAACTGAAAATGTTAATTTTTAACAACTGAAAATGATGAAATTATGGTTTTATGGAAATATTATGTAGCTTTTAAAAGTATTCTCAACTTTTTCATGAAATGGAGACATATTCACAATATAATGTTAAATGAAAATAACAAGGATATAAAACTACCTACAGAATTATAGGTACATATGGAGGGAAAAAAGTTAGAAGGAAATATATCAAATCATATTAACAGTAGTTATCCTCGAGTTGTACAATTATTTTAATTTCTCAATATATCTAGGCTTTTTGAAATTATCATACAATGCTTTATATGTGGCACAAGAAAGGCTGCATTATGGTTTTATTTTCACAAGTCAATAGATTGTATTTGGCTGAAAAGGAAAAGTGAATTCCTCTTCATTTTTGAATGCCCAGGGCCTAACATAGTGTGTAACACAAAACAGACAAACATGGTTAAGCTAACAAAGGACTGGCTGGCTGTACAGGCAAGACAGAGATATAAAGATGGAAAGAGGAATGGACAGATAGTTTAAAAAGTCTTCAGCATTTAGTAAAATCCATATCTGTTCTAGGATTTTTAGGGGATAAAAGGAACACATGATTTGACAGACCTTAGAGAAAATAAAAGGATGAAGAAGAAAATTAAAGGAATGATCTTTTCTAGGATACAACGAAGTGAGATTTAAGCAATTGAGCTAATTCTTCTACCAACTCTAATCCCTATTCCAAATTTCACTCAAATCTATAAACACATCTGCTTCTTAGACAGATAAGAGAAAGTAACTTCAAAAGCAATGACACAATTTCTCCTTCCATCTACCAGGAGGATAAATTTACAGTCACACAACACTGAAAGCTATGTCTAGGTGAACCCAACTCCTCCATAAAATTTCCAAGGAAGCTATTACAATTAATGCTTAAACTTCAGTGGATCACTGCAATGGAGAGATAAGCCCACTGGATAAGCACTTTTTTTTTTTGAGACGGACTCTTGCTCTGTTGCCCAGGCTGGAGTACAGTGGCATGATCTCGGCTCACTGCAACTTCCACCTCCAGATTGAAGTGATTCTCCTGCCTCAGCCTCTTGAATAGCTGGGATTACAGGCACGCACCACCATGCCCAGCTAATTTTTGTATTTTTAGTAGAGACAGGGTTTCACCATATTGGTCAGGCTGGTCTTGAACTCCTGACCTCGTGATCCACCCGCCTCGGCCTCCCAAAGTGCTAGGATTACAGGCATGAGCCACTACACCTGGCTGGATAAACATTTATTTTTATCTATTTTTGGGAGCAGAGGCAATAAGGGTGGCTCTGCCCGGAAACTATCACATTTTCTTTGTTTATGCATATTTTCTTGGTAAGGAGATGCATTATAGATTATGTCTCAATTTTCCAACTTACCTGAGGATAACAGATATGTGTTCTTCATTCACACTGGCATTATGGAGACAAATGCTTAGGCTCAATGCCCAAGGCTGAAATCTGGTATGAGTTTAAACTTGCTTAGACGTGTGAACTTTGGAGAGAGGAAGTGTAATTTATTCTTTTATTGTGTCAATATTTCTTGTACCAGATTTGGGTTTTTTTCCCCAATGCTTGCATTACCATTATTTCTCCCTCAAAATGGCTGGTCGTTCTTCACTCCATAGACTCAAATGCCATTTCCAAGTTTCAAATCTCCACCAACAATTATAGATAATATCTCAAAATTACACTGGTTGGTGCAGGGAGAGGATAGACAGAGAGAAATGGCATGTAGCGTTATAATCAGGCAGTTTATGGCTTCAGTTCTTGCTAGTTTTTTGACTTTAGGCAAGCCATTAAACTTCTCAGAAGCTTGGGTTTTTGTTTGTTTGTTTGTTTTTAAACAAAAAAGAAGCGAAGACCTCCTAGGTTGCAGAACAATTGTGAAAATTAACATTATATACTATATGTACCTGGCACAGGGTACACATTCAGTAATAATAACCATTATCAATAATTCCTCTGTAAATAAATCATTTGTGGATTTCTTTTCAAACTATGCATTTTCATATAAATGCTCAAATGTCAAAGAAAAACTTTCTTTTCCAACTTTTTTCCCTGTTGTGCTCAATATGAAGTCAATGTCTCCCTGTGTAGAAAAATAGCTTTACAGAATATTTCAGCTACAAACAAATTATATAAAGAAATAATCATAAGGAATCTTATAAGCCATTAAAATAAAAACATACATGAGGGTTAAAATTTAGGATTTGTCCTGCAAACATTTAAGTCCAGGATGAGGTAGAATTTAAAATATAGAACAGTTATTCCCAATATTTTTAATATAAAAAAATTGAGCCCCCTACTGGTTTCAAGAACTTGCTAAAAGTACTTAACTTGCTGAAACTACAGTCTAGTAACACAGATAACTCAACTATGCTCATGAACATTTCAAGATGTGATTTGAAGCTCTTGCCTTACCGTTTTCTGCAACTCTAAACTAACATATTATGAAATTTTCCCAGTCCAAATCAAGCCCTCACACTGAATGACCCCTCTTAAGCCAGATCCTCTAAAACCTCATCCCACCTTTGCCCTCTTTCTTCCAAAAAGCTACAAAAGCTTTGTCTAGGTAATGATCAATGACTGTGGTAGGCAATTAATTCAGCTTTGCCTTATAAACAGGTCATTTTGGTGGTATTTTCAAGAAACCAGAATTTGATATCCCATAACAATAGTTGTGCATTTATGGATTCAATCTAATGACAATGGCATTACAATAGACCTTCCGCTAGAAGCCTTGGCTGACAGGTAAACCACAACTATTCGGATTCTTTCTAACATAAAACACCAAGATTCACAAGCTCATTGTCCAGTCACAAAACAAGCAGAACACCAGCTACTTTTCTAAGCAAGTTGAAGGCCCCTCCTAGTGGCCAAGTGCTATCCAGCCCTTTAAGAAAACTTTTTTTTTTTTTTCAATTGACTGTTCAAAATCAAGATGGTACATCCATAGTGCAGAATGGAACACTGCAGCAATTACACCAATATTTCAGACTAGTTTTGAAAACTCCTCTGGGGCTTTTTGGCCCACACTAGTTAGATGAACTGCCCACATTGATCTAATTTGCTCAATAATTGCTCAATTCTCCAATTTATTGCCCAGATGTAGCCAAATTTCTCCCCGTGGACAGGGAAGATATAATGACAGCTTATGACTAAAATGCATCAAATTGCACATATTATTGCAAGTAAGGCAGAGGGCATGAGAGAGGGTTCAGGCATCGAAGTTCCCAAGTCCCCATGTCAAAGGAGAAACAGCACAGTTGGGCACCACGTGACCACAGAAATGATGAGGCATCTCTTTCCTTCCTATTGCAGAGAACTGCAATCTGAGCTGGAGATGCTGGAGCAGGAGGAGGTCAGTCATGTCTCCTGTATTTTTCAGAGCAAGGTCAACTCTGAGGATAGTGGATTCTCCTCTTTTAAAAGCTCTGCCACAGTGAGTGGCCCTGATTGTTGGTGACTGCTTCCTGCCACCACAGCTTCCTGCCACCAGAACTTGTGGGGATCTCTGAGGCTTAGGAACACTTTTCAAACAAGACATTCTCAGGGAAGTCATTCACATTCCATACCAAACAATTTATCATAAGCTCTACAGCAGCTGAAATGAATCTCTTTTTCTTTCTGAGCTCATCCACAATGACGTGCATCTCTCTATTCTCTGCCGAATTGGTAAAGACTAAATGTTTGGTGTGGGTGGGGAAAGTAGCAGAGAGAGAAGAGAAGCAGTGGGGGAAGAGAAGGAAAATAAAAACCAGCATCCATTTGTTCATGAATTCAGCAGATTATTATGTATACCCATTATGAGCCAAGCACAGAAGATACAGTCACCATTTTATCCTAATGGATGGAGTTAAATAAAACCATCACAAACAAAAATATCTAATTACAAATCATTTTAGATGTTTGGAGCGTAAAGTATGGGGTGCTATAAAAGAGTTTCCCAACAGGAAGTGATCTGGTCTTGGGAATCAGAACAAGCTTCCCTAAAGAAGGAATGTCTGGGCTTTGCAGTGCTGGATGAGTGGGCGGAGACTGTCTAGGTATAGGAGCGATGGGAAGGAGGAGAAATGGGAAGAAAAGGAAAAAGCTGCCTAGGTAAAAGCCATGAGATATAAGACCAGTGCTTCTCAAACTTTATTTGGCACATGAACCTCTGGGATCATGTGGAACAGCAGATTTCAATTCAGTGGGCCTGGAAGAGGGACAGAGATGCTGCATTTCTAATGAGCTCACAGGTGAGGTCCACGTTGCTGGTGGGAGTCCTCCCTTTGTGTAGCAAGGATGGAGAGGTTCTGTCTGAAGGCCAGAGTGGCCAGAGCAGAGAGGACAAGGATGAGGGACAGTGATGAGGTCACAGAGTTGACAGAGGCTGGACCCTGCCTGGCTGCTCAGAACATCTTCAAGAATCCAGTCTAAGAGACAGGGAAGCCATGAGGATCTCCATTTTCTTTGCTTTCTTCAAATACCCTTCCTTGGAGTTTCATTTTCCCTGGGAGACAGCACTTTGCAATATCTAAAGTGTAAGTGAGAGCAAAGGTGTTTATGGACTTCAGGGCTTCTAAGAGCCAGTAAAGCACAGCTCCTTCATCACAGACAGCCCATTAACAACCCATGTTTATTGGTAAAAATCCTCTGAACTTAATACGCCTTTGTCAGCCAAAGTAATTGATCTTGGCCGGTTAATTTGGCTGGTTTTACAGACAGAGGACTTGCTGCTCTTTTAAAAGCATCCTACCACTCTGTGGGCTATACTCCCTCCCGTAAGCAATTTCCAAGAACACTGAGCCCCTGGGGTTCTTAAAATAGTTTGGTAAAAAGAACACAAACATCTCTGATTGGCACCTTGGTCTTTAGTCTCACAACATTGAAGACAGGTTTTACAGAAATGTCTGTGCCAACTACCACCATCCTGTTTCCTGAAAAGTTGACTGAACAAAGGCACACAAAGCTGTTTGCTATACAGTTAAGCAGGTAGGAAGCCAAGGTGTGCTTTAACCAACACTCAGTATACTTTATAAACTATTCTTTGCTTCAGTGGTAGGAAAGAATCCTCTTTCCATTTAAACATGAATATAGTGCTTATTCGCACTGAACACATCTCATAAAGAATGCACTCTGGTATGACTCAGACCGCTATATGGAACAGCTAATAGGACTCAAGCTGTCACTCCCCTGATGAATATCGGGACTCTGAAGAAGTGATTCTCTTGGCTCTTTTATTTCTACAATGGGTAAACAGGGATGATGCAGTTTAACAAATGATAAGAAAGCACTGCATTTTCTGAGTGAGTCATGATGATAGTCACACCTAAAAACGTTAGGTCTGCTTCTGGAATGGATAAGAGCAAAAGGTTGTGAAATCCTCTCCAGATAATCCTCAAACATTATCACGTTCTCAACTGTCTGGAATGCCATAGAGATGGACCAGCTGAAACCAGGATGTACAATCATGTGTGAGGCATTTGTTTCGTTATCTTAGGAATCCATCTCCATAAGACGAGTGTCTTCCTGATGGTCTGCCTCTCTGTCACCACATCACGAAAACATCAGTACACAGATTTTCACAAATTCAGAGAGTGTAACTAAGTGGGTTGGACCTCAAATACAAGCCACATGGCGTATACAAGCCACTTGCCAGTGGGGACACCACGAAGAGTTTGCAGTTCATCCATTGGAGCTGGATAATACCCCCAAGGGATGCTTCACACACCCACACAACTCCCTAGGGTGTGCCCCCAAGGCAAAGAGTAAGCTAGTGATAAGGGGATATCTGACCAGATTTACTCTCCCAGACGAGAATAGGCTGGCCAGCTTGGAAGGGCAGAAGTCTCAGGATGGAAGAGGAAACATTACTCTTTCTCAGTGTACTACATCAAAAGACAGCAATAGGAAAGAAGAAGGGTGCCAACATTGCTGAGCGCCTGCCAGTGGTGCTAAGCACAGAGGAGGAGGGAGGGAAAGATGGCAGGGAAGCTATAGCAAACGAGAGCCATGGAGCCATCAGGAATACAAAAGAGAAAACAGTTGCTTCTCCTTGGGGGAATCAGGTTCTCAGGGAGTTGCAGGGGGGTGGTGGTAACAGACTTGGAAAGATCAAGCATTCGCCAGGTGAACAAGCAGAAGAAAGGAATTACAAACAGGGTAGCAGCATGAGCAAAGGACTGGAGGCAAAACAGAGTAATAGGTTTGGGAAAAAGCTAAAGGTTTAGTATTCCAAACGTGTGTATGCATATGCGTGTATGCATATGCGTATGCACATATACGCATACATATTCACAAATATATGAATGTATAGATGTTTACGTGCATATATATGGACACTTATGCACACATATGTATGTTGTAGCTGACTCTGTCGCTGCGGACCCACATCCTCTCACCCTTACCACTTGGGTGTGTGCACATGCCCACACTTCTAACTGCCAGTACAGTTAGTCCCTGATGATATTTTGACTTAAACGATATGCATTCAGTAGAATATGTACTTTTTAGTACTCGTACAACCATTCTGCTTTTCACTTTAAGTATAGTTTTCAAGAAGTTTAATGAGCTATTCAATAGTTTATTATAAAATAGGCTTTGTGTTAGATGATTTTTTCCAACCATATGCTAATATAAATGTTCTGAGCAGGCTGAAGACAGGCTAGGCTAAGCTACGGTGTTCAGTAGGTTAGGTGTGTTAAACGCATTTTTAACTTAAGATATCTTCAACTTACAATGCATTTATCAGAGCATAACTCCACCGTAAGTTGAGAAGTATCCGTTTTTGTGTTTCTTCCTCTTGCTGCTAAAGACCACTTTGCCACTTGAGGGGCAGGCTGGAAATGCTACCCAATCAAGACCTCCCGGGAGCAGCCCTCAACCAAACCCTGGTTGGAGTTGGTGTGTAGATATTTCAGTTCTCTCACTCCTTCAGTGAAAACATTCTGAGGTATGAATTTTACACTGGCTTCCAGACTTTCCCCAGCAAGACTAAGCTCTGGTCACACACAATGGTAGCTCACATGGTGTCAAAGTCTATTCGTACTATTATAACAAAATATCTGAGAGTGGGTAACTTACAAAGAACAGGAATTTATTTCTCACAGTTCTGAATGCCGGGAAGTCCAAGATCAAGGTGCTGGCTGGTTTGGTGTCTGGCAAGGGCTGCTGTCTCTGCTTCCAAGATGGCGCCTTGTTGCTGCAACCTCCGAAGGAGAGGAACACTGTGTCCTTACATGGCGGGAGTGATGGAAGGGCAAGAGAGATGAACTTCCTCCCTCAAGCCCTTATATAAGGACACTTGGCCATTCATGAGAGCAGAGACTTCGTGGCTTAATCACCTCCTAAATGTCACACCTCTTAATACCACCACAATGGCGATTAAGTTTCAACCCATGAATTTTGGGGGACGTTCAGACCATAGCACTTGGTGACATTCCCTCAACTGGCTGCTTCTTCATCCTTGTCTCCCCTCCGCACTCTTCTGCCAGAGCCTTCTGTATCTCCCAAATAAACTACTTACACATATATACTTATCTCAGGGTCTGTTTCTGGGGCATCCAATCTTAAACATGTGTATGTTAGAAATGTGTTGAGAAGTATCTGAGAAATGTGTATGTTTGCATTTGTATTTATAAGCATGTTTTTATATATTTTTATTATTTTTATATATGTGTGTATAGATACATGCAATTACAGATATAGAGATATACAAATATATAGTCACATAAATACTATATACATGCTCAAATGCATAATATGTTTATATTTCTCTCTATATATATCTTTCTATTTTTACCAAAGCACAACAGGTTATTACATGCAGTCTTCATTTGTACAGGGGAAGCTGCAGCCTAACATTATGAACACCCCTCTGGTAGCCTCCTCAGTGGAGCATTTGGCCTTGCACAGGTCCTGTCTAAAGCCCTTCTCCAGCTTTGCCCTCTCACGCAAGATGGCACCTCACACCTGCACGCACCTCACATGCCAAAGCTTCCAAGCAGGCTGCCAGGGCAACACTGGCAAACTCCATGCCTCCTAAACTCCATGCCTCCAGGCCATGCATTTGGAATATTCCACTCTAAAGTGAACATCTCCACAGTTACCATCCTCAAGAGAGGGCCATTTGCTGCCAAGACATTACTTTTTTTTTTTAGTGTACTCCATCAAAAGATAGCAAACATGAAAGAATATTAAAAACCAGATTATTTTACCAACAAGCTACAAAAAAGCTTACACCTCAAATGTGTGTGTTCATAAAAGAAAAACTGCTCTTATGACACTCCCCATACCCAAACTGACACACAAATGTCCTACCTTCAAGCAAGAACTCCATTGTTTCTCCCATTTATTCTATTAATCTAAAGGCTGATATCGGGAACATAATCAAAGTCATTAGTTGCCCTTTGAGTGCTGAGGATGGCACTGCAGAAAACTAGACAGAATACAGGAATATATGAAATTAGAATACAAGGATATGAGAAAGGAATAGACTCTAGGTCTGGCAAGAACTCACTAGGCAGAAAAACTTGGTGTTTCATTCATCATGCATTGTGTTTAAAAACATATGAAATCAGAATGCCTGCAGTACATTTTGGTTTGTGACCCCTGTACATATCATCTCTAAGCTCATTTCCAGTTCCAGCACTGGATAACTCTGGCTGGCTGTCACTGGTACAGCTGCAGGAACTTTCCATTCTCTTTACCACCTTCTAAATTTCCTCTCCAAGGAGGCTCAGCTGCGTGACCTTGGCACACCTTTACCTGGAAAGGCAATTCATTCAGATGCACATTTATAATTTCCTATTGAAATATGCCTTATTTTTCCTCAGTCTACTCCCAAAAGCATAAGATTATTTAAAAAAAATTATCAGAAAGCTTTATAGTTTACAGTATGGAAGAAATAAAATTGAGAAATGGGTAATATTTAATGGCAAATATTATTTACATAAATCATTTACATAAAAATAAAACTATTCAGGCCAGGCATAGCGGCTCACACCTGTAATCCCAGCACTTTGGGAGGCTGAGGTGGGTAGATCACTTGAGGTCAGGAGTTCGAGACCAGCCTGGCTGACATGGTGGAACCCCATTTCTACTAAAAATACAAAAATTAGCCAGGCCTGGTGGCGCACACCTGTAATCCCAGCTACTTGGGAGGCTGAGGCAGGAGAATCACTTGAACCTGGGAGTCAGAGGCTGCAGGGAGCTGACATAGTGCCACTGCACTGCAGCCTGGGAGACAGAGCAAGACTCTGTCTCAAAAAATAAAAAAATAAAAAATAAAGCTATTTAGTCATAATTAGCAGGAGAGGAACAACATGGAGGTTGAGTTGGAATATGCAAGCTCATGCTCATTTTCATGAGTACATTACTTTGTGTTTTTTATATATTATTATATACCTGATGTATATTATGTATATTACATATGTTTTATATCTAGATATATAGAGATATACATATATACTCTCTTCCTCCCTCCCTTCCTTTTTTACCTCCTTCTCCCCCATACAAAAGCCATCACATTTCGTCATATTTCCTCTAATCTGTATTCTCTAGGTTGGGTGCATGTGTGCTGAGGGAAGGAGGAAAGATTTTCGAAAAGACATGTAGAGAAATGACAAATGCTATGGTTTATGATGATCCAAATATGATTCTGCTTTGGTGAAATTAGCATGCTAGAGTTCCCCATGTATTTTCCTTTTAATATTCTGAGATGCATAGTGAGTCACAAGTGACTTGGAAAATGTATGTTCTTTATTATAACAGATTAAAAGCTTAAAAAATAGATGGTTGTACTAACTCCCTACTGTAAATGACTTGGAGCAGCTGGTTAAGACTAGATTCCCCATCACTACCACCACCACTGATTTCACCCTAAATTTAACATATATTAATTAAAGAGATCCCTTTACAATTGTAGCATGTGCCAAGTTCTTTTTTATATCTAAGCATGCTGGAGAGATCGTTAGTATATGGCTTAGAATTCAGCAATGCTTAGAAAGACAAGCCTGTGACTTTGTCTCACTGATTCCTCCTATCACCATTTCAGGCGATTTCCTCCTATCCACTCTGCAACCTGTAACTGATCAGCCCTCAGACCAGGTTCTCACCCCTCAGGACGCACAGAAGCAAGCTGTGTTTGTCCCCATTGCTTCTTATTTGGCTGCACTAAAGAACCAAGCAGCTGCCTCAGCAAGAAGGTCCTCAGCCCCTGAGGAACAGAAAATCCATGCTTTCCCCCAAAAAAGGAGGCACGTGGAGGAAAGGCAGCCTCTCCCTCATGCTTCAGAGCAGAGTTCCTCAATCAGGAGCAAGTTTGGCCTCCATGGCCCATTGGGTGGTCTGCAGACATTGGTGGTGATATAGCTGGAGGGGTTTACTGGCATCCAGTTGGTGGAGCCAGGGGACCTTGCTAAACATCCTGCAACACACAGGACAGGCCCATGAAGAAGAATTTCCCAGCCCAGAATGTCAGTAGTGCTGAGCCAGGTGGATGAGCTTTTCCCTCGGCTCCACATCAGGAGGGACGGACTTTTACCCAGAGAGGAGACGAGAGAGAGGCTGTAGAGACCGGGGGTGCTCTTGGTGAGTACAAGAAGTGCTTTGCCCAAAGGACACCCTGGGAACATCCACAGCAGGACTTACAGTGCAGGAACACTTGGTACATTTGCTTCCTTCTGGCTGAAATTCCTCCCCTTCTTGATACTGCACACCCTCAAACACACAGCCTGGAAAGCAGACAAGAGTTTAGAATTAGGGCAACAGCCATCATCGTTCAACCTGACACAATCCTTCTATCCACAGTTCATCCGTTGCCCACCTCCACACAGCTGAGTGTCCTCTTCAACCAGTGGACAAGATTGCTGCATAGTGAAAAGAAAAAAACAGAGGCAAACGATGGGCATGGGACCTGAAACCCCAAAGATGCTGGAAAACAAATAAGACAGTGGAACCCAGGTCAGCCCAAGGGGAAGTAGTGCAGCATAGAGAGCCGTGCTTGGGGTCCGGGAGCTGCATGGTGATCATGCTGCCCACTGCCAGAGGGACCAAACCCAGGGGGGCCAGAGGAGGCAGATGGAAGGCCAAGGGAGAGAAGTCAACCATGGGCTTGGAGCAGATGACACCAGGGGCCCCATTCAATGAGTACCTAAGAAGGGCACAGCCTCTATCGCGTCCTAGGTACCCCAATCTCACTCCACATCCCCAATGATCCTACAAAGTAGGGACTTTCATCACTCTTTTCACAAATAAGGAAAACGTGGCTCAGAGGGGAAAGTAACTCACCCCAGCTGGCAGGTGGCAGAGCTAGAATTCAAAATCAGTTCTGACCCATCTGCTGCACTGTTCAGAGGGCCAGGTACAAAGGCAAGAAGGGGCAGAGGCAGGACAGGAGGTATCATACGGGTTTTCAGCCCCACGCTCTCTGTTAAAGGGACTGTGGCCCCCTCCAAGTTTGAGCTAATAATAGGACCAAAACCCAGGAGGTGTTCCCTATTCAGAAAGATGCCCAGGACACTGCCAGATTCCAAAGAGAGGTCATAAATGGCACGATGCACAAACCAGACAGGAACCCCATGTCACACAGGCCATGGGATAACTATGAGTTAACAGCAAAGCCACATTCCTCAGGACTGACCTCACAAGGTGCTGGACCAGGACAGCTGAGGTCACTTTCTCCATGGAAGACGGTGCTGGGAGCAAAGCTAGCAGTGGGCAAAACTTAGCCAAAGCAGGGTCTTGTGAAAGACTGCTCCATGCCCCTGAGAATGAGTGTTCAAGGCCTGCCAGCTAAAGCCATCTGCAGAACCCACCAAGCTCTTGGAGCAGCTGGTTCTTGACAAAGAAGAATGGGCATTACATCCACCTGATCTGGCCACTGACCTTATTCATCTTAAGCTGGATACAGAGCCCTTTGTTAAATGGAAGACATGCAGACAAGTGCTACTGAGCCTGAAGTTGCATTACCAAGTGAAACCGTGGTTTAAAAAATGCCCCAGGCATAAGATCTGTATGCTACTGACTTGCAGAGTTAGCAATCAACCAGCTCCTTGGTATTCTCAGTGATGCCAGAAGGCCTGGTAAGTGTGGGGCCCTCCTAGTGGCTGTATCTCAGCACTGTTACTATGGCAGATGCCCACTCGTCTCTCTTTAAGGTGTACTTCCAACAAGGCAGCTTTAATTCTTTCATACAGGTTTGTAGCACTGATTTTGTCACACGGATTGCCAGATTAACTACAACAATCTACACCTGACCACTTAAATGAATTTTAAATGAAAATTCTATGCAAACTGTTTCCATCACAACCCACCATTCCTGAGCAAAGAGCCCAATGAAAAGGAAGGAGCAGTCGACCAAGAATGCCCTAAAATCTGCTTCGGGAAGAAACTGACCACAGACTACGTGTTTGTCATTACACAGAATATCATTCCCTGGTCAATGCCAGTCCTTCTGAGTGACCAAGGAAGATACCCAAGGCTTCTCTTGACTCTCCCTCCCTAGATTTGCCTGAAGCCTCCCTCATAAGACAAAAGATAATGCCTTGTGGATACAGTTCCTTCTGGATCCTCCAATTTGCATCCCAAAGGTTGGCCTTTGGAATTAAGGCGAGGGAATGAAATTGATTCATGATCCCGTAATTGAGGACACAGAGCCTGCCAAGGTGTCAGGGGGCTGGTGGGTGGCACTGGCATGCCAATTCTTAAAGATTTGCCTTCCAGAACACCTGGACCTAAGCTTCTCAATTCTCGCGGTGTGTGTGGGCATGGGAGGTAGTGCCCTGTGGTGGCCAGAAAAGAGAAAGGGCCAGATCCCAACCTCACCTTTGGCCCTTACTCACTCACGGACCTCAGGCAGGCGCTTACTCTTGGTGGGCCTAGTTTCTTCTTGTGTATAAACAGTGGATGGCTGTGAGGACTTAGCACTGTAATATGAGCAGTCATGGAGTTCAGCCCTTTCCTTCCTAGAAACTCAACCAAAAAGAGAGTGGAAGAAATAATGGCTCAAATACAACTTCAACTGCTGAAATAGATCGCTCTGCTGTTTGTGTACCCACAGTTTCAAAGGCAGCCTGAAAATATGACTATCTCCTAAGTGAGGAGAATGTTCTACAGGGTGGGAGGTCTTGGGCTTGAAGTGTTCCATTTCATTATTGTTGGTCCATGACAGATCCCATGGTTATGAGGAGAGGGCAGCTCTGAGTTGATTCTGTGTCAATAAAGCCATAGTCGGCCGGGCGTAGGGGCTCACGCCTGTAATCCCAGCACTTTGGGAGGCCAAGGAGGGTGGACCACGAGGTCAGGAGATCAAGACCATCCTGACTAACATGGTGAAACCCCGTCTCTACTAAAAATACAAAAAAATTAGCCAGGCATGGTGGCGGGTGCCTGTAGTCCCAGCTACTCGGGAGGCTGAGGCAGGAGACTGGTGTGAACCAGGGAGGCAGAGGTTGCAGTGAGCCGAGATCACACCACTGTACTTCAGCCGGGGCGACAGAGTGAGACTCCATCTCAAAAAATAAAAATAAAATAAATAACAAAGCAACAGTCTACTCAACACAACTGAACTCATATTTAAGAGCTATGATATTTTTAAATCTATATGGTGTATAAAATATGCTCTGTTATCAATGTCAGGGTTGGCTGTGTACAGAAATTATCTGGGAGATCTGAGACCCGAGTGTTCCTCAGAGATTCTGATGGAATTGGTCTGGGATGCAGCTTGATCATCAAGATTGATTTTTTTAAGGATTTTTCAGGTGACTCTGGTGTGCAGCCTGGACAACTACTGATCTCATTGAATAAAGATACTGTAGGCATCTAAGGATACGGTTAGGCAATACAAACCTTTCACAGCATTCAGAGAGAAAAGCACTCAAGCAATCTCTGCTTGATAGACACAGAACAACTGGATAATGGAAAAAATAATTTTACTTTCAACCAGTGTTTGGCTTTCATGTAAGCTCATGAACAATACAAGCTTTACAGAAATCCCAGTGTGAAAAAGAGGCTGAATAAAGACAGCCCAGGTTGCTGAGGAGGGTTAGACGTAAGTGGAAGCTGGCTATCCTTGTCATTCAAGGGTGAGAAAAGGCTGAACTCTGAAAGGGACCATGCCTTTGAGACTGCATGGAGGAAAGTGACAGGTGCCTGAGAATGGAGCAGGAGCTCATCTCTGCAGAGCGTCCAGTGGTGACTTAGCCACTTCACAGGAAGTTTCCAAGAACAGAAGGCCCTTTGGAGATTAACCTCAAAAGCAGAGCAGTAGTCGTATCACCACTCTTGAGGAAAAGCACTCAGAAAAAAAAAAACAAAAAAACAAAAAAAACAAAATGCAGAACACCTGTCAGAGATTATTGGCCAGTGGCTTAAGAGATCAGAAAAAAATCTCTCACCTCAAAAGCCCCAGGCTTGTATGTAAGGGCAGGAAAAGATGCAGGAGGCCTTTGTAATCCTGTTCAGAAAAGTAAAAGGAAACGTTCCAGCCGCTGCAAAGGAAAGATCCTTTTGCTGTCAGCTAGGAAGCAGGGCCCTCTAAAAAAGACAAGAGGGTCCACCTTGTTGAACCACATGGAAAACTGAGACCAGCAAAACCCTAAGCTAAATTCACTTAGGGACACAGCTCTCAGTTTTCAGAAAACATCTGGTCACCTCATCACCATGGCGAGCTCTGGCCAGGATTTTGCAATATGAAGCAGTAAAAAGACATCTCTGGAAGCCAGAGAAAGCCACAGCCTTTTCTTCCAAAATAAGCATTACCTGTGGCCCTGTGGAGTGGAAAGCAGGCCTCGGAGCCTGGAGAACCCCCATGCCAGGACCTCCAGCACATTGCATTCATGCTGGGCACACCGAGGCAGCCAAGCGGATATTTCTATGCAAAGGAGCTCGCTCTCTAAACCCATTAGGTACACAGATGTAAAGTGAGGAAAATTTCCAACAAGAGGGGTTGGGAGATTCATGCATTCCTGAAAGAACACACAGAGATTTCCAGCCTCCCCTTCCTGAGAACGTTACCTGGACATGTGGGGCAGCACATTCCCAGATGCTCCAAAGGGTTTTTACAATGAACAACACAGCGCACCCCAGACTCTGTGACAACGCCCTCCTGAAACACAGAACAAAACAAGCAAAGTCAGCCCAGAATTCCCACGGAGTTACTACTTTTGGAAAGTGACCTAAGTAGGAGAAGTGCTCAAGCACAAAAACCACAAGGTTTGGTGGGTGTCAGGGCGAGAGGTATGAGACACCAACGAGGTGAGATCCAGGCTCACCCCAATCAATGCTGTAGAACTCAGTGCAAATCTGTCACCTCTTATTTTCCCCCGTCTTTGCTTTCTCTTTGGCCCTAATTTCTTGCTTCCTTTTAAATCTAGTTTTTAAGACCTTCTTGCTGTCAGTAAGTACCCAACAGAATCTAGCTGCTCATTCACAATTGTTTTAGGTTTTCCACACTTCCTGTACTTTCTATCATTGTTATTCATGTCAAGCCATTAATGGTGAGGCACAGCATATAAGCATCTTAACCCAGACTAGCACCTGGAGATCCTAAATCCTTACCAACCTTCTAGAAATAACTAGGCCAGCTCTGCAATCTTAGAAATGTCACTCTGCCTCACACAGAGCCTGGGTCTCAGTCTTCCTCAAGCATCAAAGGAAGGGATTAGACAAAACTATTTTTAAGTTCATATTATATATGTCAAAATAGGGACTTTAGGGCTTAATAATAAAATCAAGTGGCCGGACGCAGTGGCTCACGCCTATAATCCCAGCACTTTGGGAGGCTGAGGCGGGCGGATCACGAAGTCAGGAGATCGAGACCATCCTGGCTAACACAGTGAAACCCCGTCTCTACGAAAAATACAAAAAATTAGCCGGGCGTGGTGGCAGGCGCCTGTAGTCCCAGCTACTCAGGAGGCTGAGGCAGGAGAATGGTGTGAACCCAGGAGGCGGAGCTTGCAGTGAGCAGAGATTGCGCCACTGCACTCCAGCCTGGACGACAGAGCGAGACTCCATCTCAAAAAAATAAATAAATAAATAAATTAAGTGAGTCATTTGCAAATTGATATTGGGACTCTAATCACCTTAATGTCAATTGAAATATTTTTAGAATTAATTTTCACAGTTGGCCTTTGAAGGGCTTTCTCCAGATTCTCCACCCATTTTGTAAATGGATTTGTGTTTCATTTTTGGTTTGGTTTTTGTTGCTGTCTGTGATGGGATGGGTGGCACAGGATGAAAACAAATATAACAAATTAACAACTAGGTCATTTTCTTCATCGTGTCTGCTACCACATCATCTCAACCCAACAAGGAGGGCTACATCCTTAATGTTTTCATATCATGTCAGGCCTGAGGTTTCCACTCACTGGAGAATTGGTTATGGCTTAAATCACATGGGAAAGAATAAAACAACTAAAGTACTAGCAATATATAACATCACAAAAAGATCCATGCTTTAGTTACATAACTGAAGCAATGCAAAAAGCTATGCATGGCCCCAAACCAATTTTTCTTTGGTATCTGCAATCCAGATGGAGGATTCAGGTTAGTTCCCAGCATGAATTTCCTGTCCATGATCTTCAAATTTTCCTCTTCCCATAAGAAATTAAAAGCAGGAAAATAAAGGTAAATTTCTCACCATCAGAGCTCCCTTGGTAGGAAGATATAAGAAACAGGTAGAATTCAATTCAAATGGAACTAGGCCAGATCATTAGACTTCCTGTCATCTGTCTGAGACCTTGTTGTACCCAGTCCATGCAGGCGCTCTACCAGAAGCATTTTTAACAGTTTGGCTTTCTGCTTACAACTCTCCCTGAAGAGAGTACTATTTCTGTTTTATAGGTAGTTAAAGTGAGGTACAGCGAGGTTAAGTAGCAAGTTATGTGAGTGGCAGAATCCATATTTCACCTACTGCCCTACGCTGTATCCTCTGCTACTGATTTTGTGCCCTGAGAAAAGAAGAGCATGCAAAGAGAGGTTGCCATTGTGCCATTCTGCAGAGAAGCAAGAAGACTTCCCTGACAGGTGCCAATAAATGGTAATTTCCTGCATTCCAAGATGAGGTCTCATACCTAAAGAAGGAAGCAAGTCAGGAAAGGGAAGGTCCCAGCTGAGCAAAGGAGCAGCCTTTGGTAGGTCCCTTCACCGCAGGTTGCTTTTCTGCGTATTGAATAAAATATTATCCTAGCTAGCAGGGCACAGGCAAGGTTTTAGAAAGGAGGAAAAACTGAAAGGCAAACTTCCTCTTGGGTAGGTAACATCAACTTTCTCTTCCCCATTTTACAGGTCAGCATCTCCTGACTCCCAAGGCTGCTGGACTTTAAGATCTCTTTCAACAGTAATTAGAGATTCCTGCATCACTCTTTCTGGGCCCTACTGACCAGAGACGCTAGGCAATTGGAGGTTCAGGGTTAACAATGGATAATGGCTTAATGTGTTATTCAGTCAACAAAATAGTCCCTCCCATATAATAGCTTCTACTTAATTTAAACAAAGTCTTCATCCAAAGGCAGCAAAATTCACCCATGACTGGTCCATGCAACTTAAGGAACTTCAAAACCTCTGACTGTTACATAGGAATACTATGCTAGACTCCAGAGGATATGTGATTGTCTTGTTTAGCATTGTAACCATGGCTTTGGTTTTCTGAGTGCTCTACCAAAGAGTGGAAATTTTGCTGGTCAAGAGGCAGGGCATGGGTGAAGTGGTATAAATTTTGAAACAAATGTGGGATTTTGATGTTATGGAAACTTATTGCTCTCATCCCTTTGCAGTATGACACTGATTGAACCTGCAACAACCTGGAATAAAAATCCAGCAAATATTTGTTGATTTAATAATGTATTATTTATATGTGTTTACCTACTGCTTATTTTAACAAGCAACAGATTTCCTATATAAATAAGCTGAATATTTAACTGAATAAATAGCTGAAGGTCTTATGAATGAGCATACCTATCATGGCATATAATAGGAATATAACTACCTAAAATTTAGATTTCAGTAAACTAAATGTCACTATGCTTAAGATAAGAGCAAAGAGAAATATCCATTATTATACTAACCTTTCAATTTCCTTTAAATGCAAAAGCATATCCTTGGACAACGAAATAGGGTTAGGGATAAAATGATTTAACAGCACCTTTTCTACGAAGAAGAAATTTTAAGTTTTGTCAAAATTAGATGAGCATAATTTGTGGCAGATTATTTATAAAAAGTTTTTGTTTGCTTGTTTTTTTAAAGGAGGAGTTTGAAAATTTAGGCTTTTCATTTCTGCTTTAGTTTATCTTGCTGTGTTTAACACCTGATGGGGTTAGAGCCATGTGGAATCACTGCTCTTTTCAGAGTTCAATAGGATCAACCACAGTGGACTCCCTAGTTGCTGAATTGGTGGTTTTTTAATTTGTCAGGTTGAAATCATCGAGTTACAGTATACTAATTGCTTCAATGTAATAGTTTACAGATTGGATCCAGTTCAAAATCTTTCTAAATCAAAGAAGTGAAACATACATCCTTTAACAATACCCGCTTTCTGCTAAGAGGAATTCATGTTTTGCTCAAAGATGACTTCACAGGAAGACATGAATTTTCCCCAAGGACATGTGCATCTTCCTGGAGTTTTCCCAGGCACAATTTAACAATGGTGGACAATTCCACTGTGTGTTTCTGGAAGCAAGTTCTACACAATATCTATGCTGCACCTGTCTCGTTATGGTGACACAGTAAGTACACACAAGGATACAGTTGCTTTTTCATTGTTTTTTTCATTTCTGTTTGGCCTTTTTAGGGTTTTGTTCTATGTTGTGTGAAGGGGTGACTAAAGAGGACTCTATGGATTCCTTTTTACTGGAGAGAGAAATAATTGAACTTTACCTGGCACTGGCGTAGAACACAAGGCTCAGCCGGGCTCTGCCATTTGAAGGAGCTGTTATAGGTATTTCCTTCATAGGTGCAACCTAGACAGGAGACACAGAAGCAGGAAGAAAGGCCAAGAATGGGTATGGGTTTCCTTTACCTTTTGGAGCAAAATAAGTTATGTTCTCTAAGCCCAGATTAGCGATCAAAGGAACCACCATGCTCTTTGGCTATTTTTCCCCAAAACACAACTAAGCCTTCTAAGTATCCACTTGACATTCACTTACATTAATTCATTGACTACTGAGAAGATTAACCTCCTGAATTATATTATCAAGTGCAAAGCCATAGATTGATGAACTCTCATGGCCAAAATGTATAACCTCGTGACTTGATTTATGCCTAATGATGTATGAGGAGTAACAGAGCTAAAAACACCACTATTAAAAGGGATCTTACATGAGATTAAATTAATTCAAGATCAAAAGTGAAGCTTAAAACATGATAGAAAATAAAAGCAGAAAATTAAAATATAGGACTTGAACGCAAAATTCTATACTCATCTAAGATTGTTGATGAGCTACTGTCTTCCCTAGATAAAACCTTCCAACCCTTACCTCCAATTCTAAGAGCTATAATTTCATACTTACTTTTTATATTACTTTTAGGTAGTAAATTAGACTAAGCGAATCTGAAACTACCCATCTAAAGTATGGATTATCACATGTTATTCATTGGCAAAAACAGAAGTCAAAGGCCAGAGATCTTCAAAAGAAGAAATAAGCCAGTTAGCTTGAGTCTCTGTGGGAAAAGGCCAAAGAAACAATAGTGTGGAAATCACAGCCTAGGTCTTGAGTCAGTTTCTACAAATAACCCTCCACACTGTGGGTTACACGATCTAGGAAGACACACTTGGCGATGCCTATAGTCACTGTATCCTTAGAAGCCCACTAGGCAAAGAGATTTACCAATACATAGTCTGGATTGCTTAATACAAAAAGTACAGAAGCAGGAACACACACATGTGATAATGCAGAAATAAAAGGGTCTGGCTCTCTGTTTCAATGACTGATTTCTGGCAAGCTAATCAACCTCAATTCACATCAAGTTTTTCTTGTCCAAGACAGAAGAGAGACTCACTCCTTCCATGAGAACTTTTAGATAATGCTGTGGTTAAAAAAAAAAATCCCTGTTAATACATTCAAGCAGAATAACAAAGGACTTAGAAAAAATTCAATAGATGTTTTCATAAACTTGGAACTATGATCTGAATTCCCAAAGAATTATGAATGATTGAAAAGGGCTCAGTAATACTCTGCTCTCTAGTTCCTACAAATCAAATTACTAAAGTACACAGTTGATTGGAAACACATTAGGGAAATGCTTTCACTATATATTTTTTAATTTCCTTTGCATGAAGTGTTACAGAGATAAAATGTTCAACCACAGGAACCCCTAGCACACTACAAATACTTATGCCAAATCGAGAATGAATACAGTAAATTTTCAACAATGAAAACCAATATAAAACAATTTGGGCTAGCATAAATCTTACTGAACAAACGCGCTTACAAGAGACGTGCCATGTGCATGTCTGATCCACTAACACAGACTCATTCAGATAATAAATAACTTGTTCCGAGAGATGGAGGCAGGGAAATCAGAGAACCAAATCCAATTCATGTTAAGTCCAAGTAAATATGAAACGCCTGCCAAGTCTGCCAGTGGAGTTTCCGAATATGTTATATATTTTCATTATCTGAATTAAAAAACTGAAAGAAAGGGTGATTTTTTGCTGCTAATAGTGCAAGCAAAGATCCTGCCTTTTTTGTTTTAGAGGAGGAAGTGTGCTACAAAATCCATGTGAGCCAGGGTTAACAGGCTGTTCCCAAGCAATGCCAGGTCATGTGCAAAGGGCTCCCAGGAGGAGCACCAGGCTGTCTGGATTATTCCACTCTTTATGGGATAAAAGGTATTGGAATAAATGGTCCACAGTGCAAGGAACCCAACAGTGTTTTCTGCTTCAAATAACTGTCAGTGGGAAGCCTTGTTCCTCCACCATAATTTACCACATAAAGAAAGATTGGACAATAATACTGGAAAATTGGACGAAGGTCACATTGTGAAGTGCCCCATTGCTTAACCACCCTTGTTTACGTGTCATTCTATCACATCTGAGTCCATATAACAAACCTTCTCAAATGATGGATGAATCTGACTGACTAAATAGACTCCAAAACATCTGTGAAAATCTCTTTAGTATATGTAATCCACACCTTTTCATTCTTCACCTACCCTCACTACCATCAACTACTTATGGAGACTTCAGTATATCAAGCACTAGAATGGATTTCATATGTAAGGACTCTCAGAAAAAAAGATAATTAAAGAAAGGACATTCTCATCACTCTTTGGGTTTACGTTCTAAGATACACATGTTATTTTAATTCATGAAACTAACGAGCTAAATGAAGACTCAGATATAGATACAATCAAAGAAAACCTTATATGTACTCCAAAAATAAATGACTTATTTTCTGTTAGATAAATTTCTTTACAATTAATTCTATTTGCCACCAACTTTATGCTGCTAATAGGGTAAACAGACAATATCTTGCCCTATTTTTATTTAAATTCCAGAGAGATGGAATATACTATCTCTTATTGGCCATGGTAGAAAGAGATGCACACAAAATTTTCCATCATACATCCAGGCATTGCTTCCCAAACTCCCTGTAGTGAGAGACCAGTTTTGTTTTCATTTTTGTTTGTTTGTTTTTTGTTTTGAGACGGAGTTTTGCTCTTGTCTCCCAGGCTAGAGTGCAATGGCGCGATCTTGGCTTACTGCAACCTCCGCCTCCCAGGTTCAAGTGATTCTCCTACTCAGCCCCCTGAGTAGGTGGGATTACAGGCACCTGCCACCACGCCCGGCTAATTTTTGTATTTTTAGTAGAGACAGGGTTTCACCATGTTGGCCAGGCTGGTCTCGAACTCCTGACCTCAAGTGATCCGCCTGCCTCTGCTTCCCAAAGTGCTGGGATTACAGGCATGAGCCACCGCGCCCAGCCTTTGTTTTTGTTTTTTAATCCACTGTGGACTGATACTTTTATAAAATATAATAAAAGTGACTTACTAGAAAAAATTGAATTTCAAAGAGACAAAATATAAGCCCAACTTTTATTATTACATGTAATAGGCACAGAATACACTACCAAATTATATTAAACATTTCTGTTTACTGTCCATTTTTGTACTCAACTTATTGTAGACCAGCACCATGGACCACATTCTGGGACACATTCTGGGTTTAATTGCATTGAGAGGTATATTATGGGAGCAGGAGGAACAACTCAATGAAATAATATAAATATATTCAAGTGTTGACGTTTAGAATAGAAGCAAACTTACAGATATTATAGTTATCTCCTTCTTTTTACAGATGAGAAAATTTGCACAAAAAGGCTAAAGGGCTTACTCCAAATTAGAAGAAATTAGATATGAAACTAACACTAGAATCCAGGTGCCATGTGAAAATTACATTTTTACATCCAGGTCTAAATTGCTAGTATTATTTTAGCATTTTCTAATTCAGCATAATATCCTTTGCTTTGAGGACTTCATGGCCCAGGAATAAAACCAGCATTTGTCCATATAAAATTAAATCATAGCAGATCTAGTAATTAAATAAAAGAGTAAGTGACTGGAATAATTAGATGACTGGTCAGGTAAATATGCAGCAACCAGTAAAGCAGCTTTTTTTTTTCTTTAAATATTTAAAAGAAACTCCCTACAAGGGATTTATAAACATTCATTAGTTTTCTTCTAGTGACAAAAAGCATTTGAGATTTTATAAGCTTCAATAAAACCATCAGTACTGCAGCGGGAGGTGTGGTAATGTTCTGATAAAATCACTACGATATCTTTAAACCAGCAGTTCTCAAGTGAGGGTGATTTTGCCTTTCACCCTAAGCCCTACCCAGGGGACTCTGGGCAACATTAGGAGACATCTTGGGTTATCACAGCTGGAAGATATGGAGCACTATAGGCATCTAATGGGTAGAGGCCAGGGATGATGCTAAACATCCTACAATGCACACCAAGAATTAACCAGCTCAACATTTTCATTGCGCCAAGGCTGAAAACCCTGATGTAAACCATCAGACAAAGCTCAATATGGTTCTTCCTTACATCTAAAATAATACAACAATGAGCCTAAACCAGCTACACTTTTCTTTTGTATATATTTTGGCTTTTTTTATGTTAATTATTTTCAGGGTGGAAAAGAACTCCAGAGTATTTGTCCTAACATTCATATTCTTGTAGAGAAGCTTGGCTTAGCCAACTGAGAACACGGGGCAATGAAAACAGGAAGAGCACAAATTAATTGAATCCACAGTTAAGCAATAAAACTCATTTTTCCTATTAGTTCTGACCTTTTTCAGTGGCCACATTATCCCAAGGGAGAAAGAATACCACACATTTTCATCATTCTGTTGTTAAAATAGCTGTTAAAAATCATCAGGACCATAAAAAATGGCATTGGCCTTCTAATGAGCCTTGGCTGTGCCTAGTTTCTCCTATTTAGTCTTAATCCTCTCATTTTTCACATTAACATCAGTCAAATGGCAAAGAACTGGATCTTACCATTATGAATAACTTACCCCTGGTACCCAAAGCCTTCACAACATGCCCCCAACCTACCTTTCCAGTTCTTTCCCTTCATCCCTAGAACTCCATGTCATTGCCTGGGGTTACCTTCACAATGAACTCACAAGCTTCTGAATGCATGTTCAAGTTCCTCAACTAAGGCAATCTGGCTTCTGACCCCACCATCCCTCCACTAAAACTTTACTCTCTTGCGCTACAGCTGCCTTCTAAGGGCCCAAGCAAAAGACACTCAGTCGTTATTGTCTGGAGCCTCTTTGTGGAGGGCTGACCGGGCTTTCCTTCTTCAGTGCCCTCCCACACCTTCTAGATGCTTTCTCCCAGTTACCTCTCCAACCTCTCTACTCCAGCCTCAGCTAAGCTGCTGGTTATTTCTCGCCTGCCTGGACTATTGCAACAGGCTCACTGACTGTTTCTCCTGGCTGTGGTAGGGACCTTTCTTAAGCCATCTTCCTACACAGCTGTCACTGTGTGCTCTTTCTGGCCTGCTCATGTCATTCACAATGACCAATGGTGCATAGACTGGCTGAGGTACAGACCAGGCACCCACCCCTAGCCCTTTTATTCTAGACAAATTGGATCAGAGTTTCCAAAAGTAGGAAGTGGAAGAGGAATCTAACATGTAGCCAGGATTGAAAACCATAAACCTTTACTGTAAACATCAAAGATATCCCGGGCCTGGCCTCAACTCACCTCTTCATCCTCTATTCTGCTGTTCCCAAACTTGTACTCCCTCCATTGCAGAGAAGCTGTACTTAGAATTCTCCAAAACATGGCCAGAAGATCTCAACCTGCGATTTTGCACATGCTGGTCCCTTATTGAAAAGCCTGAATCTCATCCATGTTCTCCTTCTCCATTACCCCACAAGGAAACCTAGGTCACCCAAACTTTCCTTCCTTGCCTCACTCATCCTTTTTCAAGACTCAGCTTAAAATCATAGTCTCTAGGAAGCCTTCTATGAAACTTCCCCACTCAGAGTATGCTCCTGTGTTCTTTCTCCATGCACAATGTGAATTCCAAGTCCCTTTGTTTGTGGGAAGCACTTGATAAATGCTTAATTTCATTGGTAAAAAATACTAGGCACCAACATACAGCTATTCCTACAAACTACAAAAATAGAATATAGAAAGGGTGACATTCACTGGATCTCCTGTTTTCTCTTAGGTATGTGGTCCCATTCAACTCCTCTTCCAGAAACAGGAAAGCTTTCTTGGAGCTATTCAGATAAGTGAACTTTCAGTAGAGTGCCTTTTCCTTTCAAAATCTATTTTGGTTCCCTAACTACTGGTTTATTCTCAACTGCTTTTTTAATAAGCACACAAACAGTCATATTTATTTAAATTAAACCAAACTGGGAGTCTTTGAAGTCATTTCATGCCACATGGCACAAGGAAACAGAGCAGACAGGTCTGCCATGCTTTGCTGCTTCCAGGCCACCTGATAGGGCACCCCTGCTCCCCTGGACTTGGTCAATAAGCCCCAAATTACCCCAGCCCAATACAATTTTTTTAATGAACCACTTTTCAGACACTGTTCTCCAGAAACATATGGAAGTATAATCAAAAGGGATAAACATAAAATCTGACTATCCATTCTAGGGCTTAAACAGTATCCTTAAGACTTCATTTAAAACAGGCTTTTATTACTCTTCAAGGCTGTACCTACCATGAATCCTGGAGGCAATTGTGCTTATTTTTGGCTAATGGGAATTTTATAGCCAAACCATTTCCTCAGTCCCAAGAGAAAGAATCAGGCCCATGAACTGAGTTCTTAAATAGTAGCGTGTGCTCCCTCACCACAAAATTTTTTTCATTGCTTTTTTAGCTTCGCTTCCAATTAGGAATTCAATATGTGATTGAAATGAAATAATTGACAATAGAAAAAATGATAGAAAGCTATTTCACTTAATTTTTGATGATTTAATGAATAAACCCCAAATATGCAGAAATTTCAGATGAGTACAGTGAATCACTTGCAAATTCAACTGACTTCACCAGTATAAAGGAAGAAAAAAAAGCTTCCACATGACTTGCTTGGATTTCTAATGTTTGTGTTTGTTGGAGACTGTAAAGTGATGAAATTGTGGCTCAGTCGCATAACTTTATAGTATCATAATAGATACAGTATCTGCCATTGACCATAAGGTAATACAATACATTCTATGAACCACAAATAAATTGGGATTCTAGTCAATAAAATATGCTTTTGAATTTTTAATGTAATTAATACAATAAAGGGAATATGCAATGCATTAAGGGAGAAAAATCCTTGCCGCAACTTTTTATACATCACCCACCATTCTTGCATTTGCTCTCTACTTAGCATAAACACTTCTAAATATGGGAGTGCCTATTGCTCAGGGCTGAATCCCACTGCAAAAACCATCCTATCTTCAGCACCCCACTGTCAAGCAGTCAGCTCTCATTGCCTCTCAACAGGCAAAGAAGGAAGAACTAAGTTGAGCTCATGCTGAACAAAAATGGAGAAAGAAGGAAAATAATATTACACCAGGAGAGACAGTCCTGTGAGATTATAAGGCAGGAAAATGTCACTAAAAGCCACCTCCAAAGATGAGGTACCAAAAACAATTTGAAAAATATTATACAAATAATCTTCCAACAGGAAAAAGGGGAAAAAAGGAAAGAAAATTTAAATAATTGCATAATTATTATAGGTGAGGCATTGAACTTAGAGTTTTCACATAGGACTTAATTTTATTCTCATAAAAGCACTTGTATTAATCTGTTCTCACACTGCTAATAAAGACATACACGAGACTGGGTAATGTGTAATGAAAAGAAGTTTAATGGACTCACAGTTCCACAGGGCTGGGGAGGCCTCACAACTATGGTGGAAGATGAAGGAAGAGCAAAAGGACTTCTCACATGGCGGCAGGAGAGAGAGCGTGTCCAGGGGAACTCCTCTTTATAAAACCAGCGTATCTTGTGAGACTTATTCACTACCATGAGAGAACAGTATGAGGGAAACTGCCCCCACCATTCAATTATCTCCACCTGGCCCCACCCTTGACACATGGGGATTATCACAATTCAAAGTGAGATTTGGGTGGCGACACAGAGCCAAACCATATTAGCACTATAGAACACATAACAAGGACCTCATAACCCAAAGGTAGCACATCTAACTCCACAACAGATAACATTTTACCCCCAGTATTTAGAAATGAGGGAACCAAGCTTCAAAAAAGCGCAATTACTTTGGGAACAAACGGCCACTCTTCTGCCTTACTCTAAAAGCCATGTTCCATTCACTATTTGAGTTGTGCTAGACACAAAGAAGGAGCTCAGAAAGTGATAGCTTCAGTAGTAAAAATGTTGTCTCTGGGGAAGATGGCATGCTGCCTTTCAATGATACTTTAAAAGGATGTTCCAGCGGTGGTACAAAGCCAGTATTTAAGGTTACATGCAGATTTTGTGGCTGGAGTGGTAAGAGCTGATGTTGAGGATTTATGTTTGAACTCTGTTCTAAATGTGTTTACATTTGGCTACCAACTATGCTAAGCCTTGGGCCTTTCAACATTAGGAAGCAACAAATAATGAGGGCTCAAAGCATCAACTTCAAACATCTAAGGGTGAATTCATACATTTTTCATAATAAGAACATGTTTTGCAATGGGATTCAGCCCTGAGCAATAGGCACTCCCATATTTAGAAGTGTTTATGCTAAGAAGAGAGCAAATGCAAGAAAGGTGGGTGACGTATAAAAAGTTGCAGCAAGGATTTTTCTCCCTTAATGCATTTCATAATAGGAACATGTTTCTAGTCTGGGGTGCATAGTAGCAGCCTAAGAAAATAAGATTTATTTAAAGACAACAAACAACCAACAACCTCATAAGGAAAATTACGGTGGCTATAGACAAAAAGTCAAGAATGGAACCCTCCGTCTCCTCAAAGTAATTTCAAAGACATCAGTGACAGTGTAAAGAATAAATGTGTTATCTACAACACACGTATGAAACACCATCTGTGTCACTAATGCATTATCCTGCATGATTTTTATACTTTAGAAAACATATTACTTAATGTAAACTTTCTGGTTGATTAACTAGGGTGTTCACGGCTCATCAGGAAAAATTGTCAAAAATATTCCACCATCACTCTTTATCTTTTATTTTTAATTCTGAAATATAGATTCACAGAAAGGTGCAAACAAATATACAGGTAGGTTCCATGCACCCTTTGCTCAACCTCCTCCAGTGTTAACTCTTGTATAACTACAGGACAGCAGCAAAACAAGGAAATTGACAATTGTGCAATCTACAAAGCTTATTCAGATTTTACCAGTTTTACATACACTTATTTGTGTCTGTCTGGGTGTGTGTGTGTTTCTGTGCAGTTTTATTACGTGTACATTCTTGTAACCACGTAACATACAGAATTGTTTTATCACAACAAGACTCCCTCAGGCTATTCGTTTATAGCAACACTCAGTTTGCTTCTTGCTTCTGTCTCTAATCCCTGGCAATCACTAGTCAGCTCTCCATTTCTATAATTTTGTTATTCCAGAATATTAAAGGGATCATCTAGTATGTAGCCTTTTGAGGTTGACTCTTTTCTACCTGAATAATTCTTCTGAGCTCCAACCAAGTTGTTGCATGTATCAATTGTTTGTTCCTTTTTATTGCTGAGTATCCATATCATTCCTTGGTATGGATATACCACAGTTGGTTTAACCACTCACCTACTGAAGGGCATCTGGGTTGTTTCCAGTTTTTTACCTTTTACAAATAAAGCTGTGATGAACATTTATTCATCACAGCAGGATTCTATGTGAACACAAGTTTTTGTTTCACTGGCATAAATGCTCAAGAGTGCAATTACTGGGTCATGTGGTAAGTGTTATGTCTAGTTCTTTAAGAAACTGTCATACTGACTTCCAGGGTGGCTAAACAATCATTTGACATTTTCACCAGCAATGTATGAGAGATTTTCCACGTCTTTGCCAGCATTTGGTGTTATCACTCTACAGTTGACCCTTGACCAACCCTCTTGAAGTCAAAAATTCAATATAACTTTTCATTCCCCAAAAACATACCTAATAGCCTACTGCTGACCAGAAGCCTTACCAATAACATAGTTGATTAACACATATTTTGTATGTTATGTGTATTATACACTGTATTCTTACTAAAGTAAGCTAGAGAAAAGAAAATGTTATTGAGAAAGTCATAAGGAAGAGAAAACGTATTTATTATTCATTAAGTAGAAGTGGATAATCACACACGTCTTCATCCTCATCACATTAACGTAGGTGGAGGAAGGGGAGTGGTTGGTCTTGCTGTCTCAGGGGTGGAAGAGGTGGACAAAGTGGAGGAGGTAGAGGAGGTGGAAGGGGAGACAGGAGAGGCAGGGACACTTGGGTATAACTTTTATTGAAAAAGATCTGCATGTGAGTGGACTCACAGAGTTCAAACCCATGTTGTCCGAGGGTTCGATGTTTACATTTTTAGCTATATTGATAGGTGAATTAATATTTTATTGTAGTTTTAACTGCATTTTCCTGATAGCTAATGATGTTAAACATCTTTTTATGTGCTTCATTGCCACCTGTATATACTCTGATGAAATGTCTCTTCATATCTTTTGCCTATTTCTAATTAGATTTTTTGTTGTCCTCACAAAGCTTCCATAGAACAAATGATTGTTATATTGATGAGGTAAATTTATCAATTTTTCATTTTTATGAACAGTGCTTTTGGTGTCAAGTCTGAAAACTCTGCCTAGCTCTAGGTCCCACATATTCTCCTACATACGTTTTCTACGAGTTTTACAGTTTTCCATTTCACATTTAAGTTTGTGATTAATTTTGACCTAATCATATGATGTATAGTTTAGGTGAGGTGTTTTTTTTTTTGTGGTTTTTTGTTTGTTTGTTTGTCTGTCTATGAACAGCTCACTGCTCCAGTGCCATGTGTTTAAAAAGCTAGCCTTCTTCCATCACATTGTTTTGGCATTTTGTTAAAAATCAGGTGGATATATTTCTGTCTTAGTCCAGGTTCCCCATTCTATTCCGCCGATCTGTGTGTCCATCCTTCTGTCTATGCCATTTTGTCTTTATTACTGTAGCTGTACTACACGCTTTGAAATTGGGTAGACTGATTCCTCTCACTGTATTCTTGTGTTTCAAGATTGTTTCAGCTATTCTAGGTCCTCTGCCTTTTTATGCAAATTTTAGAATAAGCTTGTCTATGTCTACAAAATACCCCTGCTAGGTGCTTTTTAGACCATTTTAAAAATTACTTATATGGAAATATCAGGCTTTATCTATGCCTCATTGAGAAGCCTCTTTCACTGTGGGATGAAGCCGGCCTATGTTTGCTGAGTACACTTTTGGGAAGCGTTTTTCCACGAGTAGTCCAAGGACTAAGGGCATTCCTAGGGGGCCTGTGAAAACACACATTCCTGCACCCATATTTTTCTTCCTATCTGCCACCTCTTTTACCTGGGCTCTTTGCTGGAAAGTCTGAGCTGAGACTCATTTGCTTGGGATGATTTTAGAACTGTGCAGCCAGCAGAAGAGACGTCTGATTCAACAGCGCAACGTTGTACAGAGTCTTCTGGAAGTCTGTGTGGCTGCCTCTGCTTTCATGCCATGAGATCAGAGGGGTTCTTTGTTACATTTGAAGCATGGGTAGATAAGTGATTAAAGAGAAAAATTCACCCATTCTAAAAACAGGACAAAATTGATAAAGGCCTTGGCCAGGCACAGTGGCTTACGCCTGTAATCCCAGCACTTTGGGAGGCTGAGGTAGGCAAATCACCTGAGATCGAGAGTTTGAGACCAGCCTGACCAACATGGAGAAACCCCGTCTCTACTAAAAACACAAAATTAGACAGGTGTGGTGGCAGGCACCTGTAATCCCAGCTACTCAGGAGGCTGAGGCAGGAGAATCGCTTGAACCCGGCAGGCGGAGGTTGTGGTAAGCCAAGATCACGCCATTGCACTCTAGCCTGTGCAACAAGAGTGAAACTCCATCTCAAAAAAATAAAAAAATTGATAAAGGCCTTAACCTATGGGCAGGAACTGTGGAAGAGACTGCCAAATATCTGTCAAGAAAAGCAGCTACTGATCCATGTGATCACACCGGGAAAGGAATGAGGAGAAACCTCCACACCATAAGCCCACACCTCATCCAAGCTGGAATTAAAGCAGGCACTCATGGGAGCTGTAGTGGAACCTCCTGCACTCCCTGAATCTCAGAGCAACCATTGATTTCTGAATTTTAGTTTATCAACAAAGGCTTATACTTTTAAATTATATTTCTTTCATTAGTAACTCTGGTTAAAAAGAAGAGAAGTATCAAGCACCTGGCTTGTAGTCAGTGGTGTGCTGCCCATATTTAACAGCCAGCTCTCTAAGAGGAAAAAGCCCTGACTTTGAAATGCATTCTGATTTCCAAGGTATGAATACTTCCACCGTGGTCATTCCTGGCAACTAATGTGATATCAACAAAAACAGTGCCGGGAAGATAACCACTTCAGCACATCACAGTTTAAAGTACTATATATTTTAACATTAGACGCCAGTGGCTCTGTGAAACCTTGTATCTTCCTAACAGGAGACCATGAACTTTCAGGTAGAGTTTAGGGTATTTTATTAGCATTAGAGGTCATGCTGTTAATCCCATATACCTAGATAAAAATACTTAAGCATACCAACAGTCACATATTTTCAGTTTATGGCATTATGTCTGGCTCTCCTTCTCCTAAACTTGGTACATACAACACATCATTTAACCAGGAGAACATTCATTCCAGGGGATCCCAAGCCTGCTGAACATCAGAACCACCTAGGGGGCTAATTCAGAATATAGATGCCCAGTGGAATCAACACAAATGTCTATCAACAAATGAGTAGATAAACAAAATGCAGTATATTCATACATGGGCTATTATCTAGCCTTTTAAGGAATAAAATTCTAATACCCGCTACAACATGGATAAACCTTGAAGACATTATGCTAAGTGACAGAAGCCAGGCACAAAAGGACAAATATTGTCTGACTGCACATACATGCGGTACCTAGAACAGGCAAATTCATAAAGACAGAAAGTGGAATGCAGGCTACCAAGGGCTGAGGGGAGGAGAGAAAGAGAAGATATTGTTTAATGGGTATAGAGTTTCAGTTTGAGATGATGAAAAAGTTCTAGAAATAGATAGTGGTAATGGTTGCTCAACAATGTGAATGTACTTAATGCCATCAAATTGTATATTTTAAAATGATCAAAATGGTAAATTTTATGTTATGTGTGTCTCGCCATAAAAAAGAACACAGTTGCCTGGGCCTCACTCATTGGGGATTATGATTCATTTGGTCTGGAGTAGGGCTCAGGCATCTGAGTATTTTACAAGCAGTCCTGGCAATTCCAAGACACAAGCAGGTTCAGGACCCACTAATCTAGTCCAGCCCCTGCATGATACAGAGGGGAAAACAAAGGTTCTGAAAGAAATGTCTCGGCCAAGGTCAAGTAACTAGAAGTGGCAGAGTCAATAATTGATTCCCCATCTACTTCCAAGTCCTGTCTTCTTTTCACTTCATTCTTCAAATAACTGAGGGTCTTTATGACTATTATACAATCCTCAGGCTGCAAGGCTTAGAAGTTCCCTGTCTAGATGTCTGAATATATTAACCAGGCCAGGCTTTTGCCTTCAGCTCCTCTGTGTGGCCTTGCCTCTGGAGGTTTGAAGATGTTTGCCTTGCTTCTTCATTCACAGCCTCATCAAGGTGGCCATGCCACAGTCCCCGGAACCCAGTATATTAAAAACTCACAGTGCAGGTTCGGAGAATGCCTGGACACTCTCCGACAGTCAGAGGACTGCCTCATGTGTTCAGCATCAGCCAGTCAATGCCCAAGCATGTCTGCAGATAAACATCTTCAGCCCTCCAACCACCAACCTACTAGAAACATAATTAGCTGGCTCTGATGTAAATAAGCTCATACTGAGAGAAGGAGGCACTCAAGTTCATGAACATACCAATGTACATTGTTCACCTTCATTATCATATTAGTCTTGTTAAACATCAATCTCTCTAGCAGACAGATTTCTAAGTCAATACACATTAGCTCTAAGATGAGGTTCCTCTCCAAAAGAAATATAGAACATTTAATTCTAAAAAGAAAATAAAGGAATCAACTTCTGAAGAAACTACAAGAGTATTCTCTGATCAAAGTCCAGTGGGAACATTTACCATTCAGCATCATGATCATTTTTAAAATAACAATCAGATGCCTGCACACTCATGCATCTTCCTCAATAGATGCATGTCACATATATGGACATACTTTCAGTTTCAGAGTTGCTGAATTTAAGCAGCAAATAAAAGCGAACCTAGACAGACTGCAGGGGCTTCGGTGTCAAATCATTCCTTTGCCAGGGTTTCTGATGATGCACCCCAAGTTTCTACCTAGAATACCTCACTTTATTCTCTCAGCTTTATGGCCCTCCATGAAACAATGTCATTAGAAGCCTCAGAGGAGATAAGAATATTTTGGTTCCAAAACACTTTGAGATGATAAGCATCACTGTGATTTTATTCTCACAGTGAAATATACTATAAGACAGGAGGGGGAAAAATCATCTTAAAGTGCTGAGCAGTTTACTCTTCATGATAGGTATGCTATAAGCAGACGCAGAATCATTTTAAGAGCAGCTGCAGAAAACCCAAAGCTACATTAAAGGTTCATTCTATATGATGTTATAAAAGAAAGCAGATAATCACATCAAAATTATGGTACCTTGGAAATCCGAAGTCCTAATTGCAGAATATTACTGGTGGCTTTGCACAAAAAATTGAAAGATCTACTAAAAATTACATTTAGGTGATCAGTAAGTTTATTAGTACTATACTATACTACAGCCACTACCATATGAAAATACACTTAAGCTGTGGTGGTTTTAATTATCTTTTTTAACCTCTATGGAATTCAAAGAAGGAACAATAAAATATCAAGGGCCTAGAACTCGTTGGTAGACATTCAGTCATTTTTCATCCCTATTTATCCATTCTCATTCGCTCCCTATCACTCTCACTCAACTTCAACTACCACCCTCCTCCACCATGGCCAGGAACAGTTGCAAACATTTAATGTGAGCCAACAGTACTACACTAAATACACTCATGACATCATGAGACACATGCTGAACTAGGAAGATTGAAACTTAGTTCCAATTTTCCCATCTTTCTCTTATTCCCTTTTATCCAACATATATTCAGGGGGCAGCCAGTCTGTACCAGGCACAGTGATCAGAGCTGAAAATACTATCATCCCTACCCTCCCAAAACTTCCAGTTCAGCAGGAGTTCCGGAAAATCAAAATGCTGAATCACAATTGAGGTTAGTGTTAAGAAGAAAAGATACTTAATTGTACAGCAAGTACCCATGGATGCCGGGAAAGAATGTCCAAAGTGAAATGTAAAAAATGGGTCAAAGTCAGCTCTACAACATAGGGTAGAAAAGCACTCCAAGCAAAGGTTAGAGTATGTTCAAAATTCCATGGCAGGAAGTGAGCATAAAACATTGAGAGAAACAGAAGAAACCCTCCCGTCCAGGTGCAGTGGCTCACACCTGTTATCCCAGCACTTCAGGAGGCCAAGGCGGGTGGATCACTTGAGGTCAGGAGTTCAAGACCAGCCTGGCCAACATGGTGAAAACCCATCTCTACTAAAAATACAAAAATTAGCTTGGCGTGGTGGTGCATGCCTGTAGTCCCAGCTACTCGGAAGACTGAGGCAGGAAAATCCACTGAACCTGGGAGGCAGAGGTTGCAGTGAGCCGAGATCCTGCCATTGCACTCCAGCCTGGGCACCAGAGAGAGAATCCATCTGAAAAAAAAAAAAAAGTCCCACCAGGAGAAGTGCAGAAGAAGATGGGGAGACAGGGGAGAGCAAGACCCAGATCTTGCAGGGCTTGGTGGCCACCTAACCAGAGGAGGAGAGGGAATGGCCAAAAGCAAGCAAGCGTTTGCTAGCTTGTACTGTGTGTACTGATTGGGCAAGCTATCTTCTAGCTGTAAGTATCATTCTCGATAGATGCTTCTACTTACCATGTGTCCCAAAGCTGCTCTGGGTATGGTTGGTAGAATTCTAAGCTGTATCCAACCCCTGATACACCTACTTTGTGCAATCCTTCCCTTGAGTGTGGGCAAAACCTGTGAATGTGATGGATGTCACTCCCGTGATTAGGCTGTGACCAGAAATTGTGCAGGTGTAACTTGAGTTATTATCCTGAGTGGGCCTGACCTACTAAGTGAGCCTTAAAAAGGGTCTACAAGCCATAAAGGTCCTCTCTTGCTGGCTTTAAAGAAGGAAGCCACTCTGCAGCTGCCAGGAACTGAATTCTGCCGACAGCCACGTGAGCTTAGAAGAGGGCCCTGAGCCTCAGATGAGACCAGCCCTGGATGACATCTTAATTGCAGACTTGAGAGACCCAGCTAAGCTGTGCCCAGAGCCCCAACCCACAGAAACTGTGGGTTAATAAATGATGTTATTTTAGGCCGTTAAGTTTGTCATAGCTTGTTGTCTATCAATAGAAAACTAGTACGCTGGCCATCAGCAGCAGAAGGAAGCTCTGTGAGGCTGGGAGCCTCTGAGACTACCCCCATTCTGATATGGCTGTCAGGCACTTTGCATATGAGACATCAGGGAGACCAGAACTACCACCCTCCTCCACCATGGCCAGGAACATTCGCAACTTGGCCCACTTTAGAAAGTGAAAATGGAACCACCAGAAGTCCACAACAAGCCCTAGAAATCTAATCTTCTAACTTAAAGGCAACCACAAACTTGCCCCTTAAACTGCCTTCCAGAAGTCTACAAAATCTAAAAAACAAAGCCCAGGAATAAATGGGTTGAGATAAATTTGACAAGGAAAGCTGATCTCTGTTTTAAGTTTCCTTACTAATTTTAACAACAAAAACAGCTTTTTGTGAAGCATGATTTTAATGTTAACAAGGTCCTTTTAGACAAGTAGGGTCATTTTTATTGAAATGCCAAAATAGCCTGGTTTATATTATGGGTAGCCAATCTATGAATTGTAACATTTTATACATCTTTTTTTGGTTAGAGAAAAAGAGCAGGGGAAAGAAATCCCTCTTGTTTTTTTGTCTTGTTTTTTTCTTGTCTTGAAAAACGTATTAACAACCTCCACTCAAATTTCTGAGGCCAGGTGGATAAAATTAGTTAAACTGCATAGGTTAAAACATCTATGCAAGCATTCCAGAATCTAACAACTTTCATCAAGAAGCATGTGAGAAATTCTCTTAAGCACAAAATCATGGGGAAAAAAAAAAACACAGTGGCACTAGAAGTGAGTAGCTCAATGGTGGGGAGGGAATGCAATCTCCAAAGATGTTTTAAGTTACAGGTTAGAGTCTCACCATTAAATTAGCTAAGAGTAAAGCTAGAGACTCCTATTTGGTTAGAAATGAAACACACACACACAAAGAAATGAAACATGCACACAGAGAGAGAGAGTATGCAGAGGCTGGCTCTGGAAGGATCCCAAGAACCTGGTACAAAGATTGTCTCCAGGACAAAGTCGCTGGGGTTAAGAGTGGGAGGGAAACTTACTTTTACTGTAGATATTTTTGGGTGCTTTTAAGTGTGTAATTGCATGACCTATTTAAGATATTGTATGCAGCCAAGCACACACATACACACATAAGAACAAAGCTCATCTCAATTGTCTCACTGGAACACTGCTGCAGTAATAAGCAGTCATGAGTACTAGTGAGGAAAAAAAAAATTGAGTTGAGGGTTCCCAGATAAAGGACAATTAGTAAGAAAAGCCACTGGTTCCTAAGCTACATGTTGTCAGTCACCTCCAAAAGCCTCTCTGCCTACATACTTTCTTTCAAATTGTTGGTCCACCCAGACTATAATCAGTCCTGGAGGGAGAAGGGGGCTGTGCCCGGGTGAAGAACTGCCGAGTTCATTTCTCTCTCTCTCTCTCTCTCTCACTTTCTCTCTTGTTTATCTCTAGAGCCATCACAACTCATCTCTCCTCCTTCCTGCTTATCTCACAGGCAGTATGATACTGTATTAGTCCATTCCCACATTACTATAAAGAAATACCTAAGACTGGGTAGTTTATAAAGAAAAGAGTTTTAATTCACTTACAGTTCCTCTGGCTGTACAGAAGGCATGGCTGGGAAGGCCTTAGGAAACTTACGATCATGGCGGAAGGCAAAGAGGAAGCAGGCACCATCTTCACATGGCCAGCAGGAGACAGAACAAAGGGAGAAGTGCCACACAATTTTAAACCAGATCTGGTGAGAACTCACTCACTATCGTGAGAACAGTAAGTGGGAAATCACCTTCATGATCCAATCACCTCCCACCAGGTGCCTCCTCCAACACTGAAGACCAATTCAACATGAGATTTGGGTGGGGACACAGAGACAAACCACATTATATGCCAAGCAAGAATGGGACAGTGGGAGTCAGAAGACCCCCTCTGCCTCTGAGCATTTGTACAATCTCTCTCATCATATAAGTTTTCCCATCTGCTAAATCAGAAGAGTAATCACCACCACCTCAGGTCTGAACACAACTCTATCTCTGAAAGCCTAAGATTGGAGGATTGTCTTCTCTTCCAAAGTATTCTCTAAAATCTTTCACAGTGTAGTTTACATGATTAGCAGACCTTTTAGGGGAAGGCAACTCATTTCTTATTTGGGAGGCAAAACCTGGGGCAAATAGCATCCAGGCTGATTAGATATAATAACTACCAGAGAATTTGGCCATGTCTAAAAGAAAGGAAAGCAGAGGTTGAGGAAAGAACCACGCTTTTGTTTGGGCAGCAGACAATGCATGGTAATGATTGCCAAACTAAGTTTGGTTAAAAGTAAGCAACCAGACTGGCACATGGCTAACTCAATCTTTCCATCTTAAAACATTTCAACAATAAAACAATTCACTCTGTCAACACAGAAAGTGTCGTTATTTTCATATAAGAGTTTTTTTAAATGTTTGTTTCTATATATGGTAAGTAGCTGGCTCCCTCCGAAACAACCACATAGCAATATTCTGAAAGCCATGATCATCTTCCAGGTCATTCTCGAAGCAGCACTGAGGAGAGGTCCCTTATTCATAACCTTATACTATACAAAAGGCAACCTATAATTAATAATGCTTAATCTATTACCATTATTCATAGTCCCCCTTTACATTGGTCAGTAATTGGTCTACAGACATGAGCTCAATTCTCTTAAATTTCACAATGCATGTTTTGCTCTTTAATTCTTATTTATCAGAACCTAGGGCAGTTGACCTCATTTTGGAAATTGATGTGCAAATATTTATATTTTGCCTTTTTCTCTTCATGAGACATCACAGGATTTTAAAAATCAAATATAAAAGTTAAACTATTAAAAAATGCAACCCATGGGATCATAACCCATAGAAAAACAAGACAAAACACAGAAAAATCAAAGACAAGAAAAGGTTATGGAAAATAAACCCCACTTGACAAATGAAAGACTTTTTTTTCAATCCTTCATCAAACTCTTGTGGACAATTAATATTTCATGCTCTATATGAGGAAAGAAGATGGAACTTGACCTATAAATGTCTGAAACACACCTTATTCATTTATGATCTACTAATAGCAAACATATATTCAGATAACAAACACATTATTGTTCATGAAAGAACCCTACATTAAAGGGTGATTTTCAGTCCAAGTAAATACAGAAAAGCTGCCAAAACCATCTGTTTGACTCCTGATGATCTCATTTGTTTTCATCAAACAATATTGAGTTTTTTCAAATTAGATTAATCTTCTGCCCAGTTGTTAGGCTATTTGGATAAAAATGTATAATTATTATTAGCATAAAAATAATCTCAAAAGCACACTGAAATATTTGCCTTAGAGAAATTAGTTATAATTTACTTACTTTTCTGTTTTAAAGAATATTCTGGCTTCATAAAAGCTAAGGACAATTTGGTAAGCAGCACTATTCTATAAATACCTGGCCCGTGGATTCACAAATAATTGTTAAATTAATAAATGAATGGAACATATGAGCAATGCAATTAAAGAAAACAGGAACGCAAATGCATGCACACACAAAGCCTTTCTAAGAATACGTCTGAACTATGAGTTTTCATATTTCTGTCCTTAAGCAGATGTACTCTCCTACCATTGCCTTTTCAATATCAGCATCTTTTTCGGAGGAAAATAAGTAAAAGTCATGATAGGATTCTGTTATCTTTTTGTGTGACCCCTCTACTCCTCCTCAAACAATCAACAAACAAACAAAAACTTATTACAGATTTGTTTTAAATCAGATTTGTTTAATTCAAGGAAGCCTAGAAACTGGTACCTTAACAAGTTCCCCAGGTGATTTTGAGTGGCAGGCAATGACTAAGACCTATGTCATGCCTTTGTGTGTGCCAGAACCTTCACCCGGGAGCCTTGTGCAGAGCAGCCCTTTTTGAATGTGATTACCTTTTACTTGTTCATAAAAACGCATTGCTCTTCTGGAAAGCCTTCCCAGGCACATCCCTGATTCCTTGCCTGCTAGCTAACCTCCTTCCCTTCTGATACTGTTTGGCTGTGTTCCTACCCAAATCTTATCTTGAATTGTAATGCCCATAATCCTCACATGTCATGGGAGGGACCCAGTGGGAAGTAATTGAATCATGGGGGGCAGTTTCCCCCATGCTGTTCTCATGATAGTGAGTTCTCACGAGATCTGATGGTTTTATAAGTGTCTGGCATTTCCCCTGCTGGCTCTCATTCTCTCTCCTACTGCCCTGTGAAGAGGTGCTTTCTGCCATGATTGTACTTTTCCTGAGGCCTCCCTAGCCATGTTGAATCAACTAAACCTCTTTTCTTTATAAGTTACCCAGTCTTGGGTATTTCCTTATAGCAATGTGGGAAAGGACTAAAACACCTTCCCCCTGCACTCAGGCATGCCTTCCCCAGAGAACTTCCCAACCAGATGGTACTTCTCTGTGTCCCCTTAATGAAGCAAGCTCCTTGAGGACATGGTCACCCTCTGCTTGATCCTGGGTCACTAACATCTTGGCAGATGAATGACTGAACTTCTCCAGGCCCTCATTTTCCTCATATATAAAATAAGACAGAAATTACCTCACTGTTGTGAAGACTTAGTGGTGAGCATAAACCAAATAACTTGGTATCCAGCAATGGGGAACATAAGTCCTTCTGGTACTTCCATGAAGATAACAGATGGAGGTAAAGGTCTTAAAATCAACCAGATAATCACACCTCACAATCCACAGTGCTTCAATACTACATGGACAGACAGATGGATGCCACAGCTTTCATGAGCCTCAGGATGAGAGCTCTTGGTAGATAAAAGCAGTAACACTGGCCAGGGACGGTGGCTTACAGCTGTAATCCCAGCACTCTGGGAGGCCGAGGCGGGTGGATCACTTGAGATCAGGAGTTCAAGACCAGCCTGGCCAACATGGCGAAACCCCGTCTCTACTAAAAATACAAAAAAATTAGCCTGCCTCATGGCAGGCACCTGTAATTCCAGCTGCTTAGGAGGCTGAGGCAAGAGAATCACTTGAATCCAGGAGTCGAAGGTTGCAGTGAGCCAAGATTGCACCACTGCACTACAGCCTGGGTGACAGAGTGGGACTCTGTCTCAAAAAAAAAAAAAAAAAAAAAAAAAGAAGTCCAGGCGCGGTGGCTCAGGCCTGTAATCCCAGCACTTTGGGAGGCCAAGGCGGGCGGATCACGAGGTCAGGAGATCGAGACGATCCTGGCTAACACGGTGAAACCCTGTCTCTACTAAAAATACAAAAAATTAGCCGGGCGTGTTGGCAGGCGCCTGTAGTCCCTGCTACTCAGGAGGCTGAGGCAGGAGAATGGTGTGAACCCAGGAGGTGGAGCTTGCAGTGAGCCAAGATCGTGCCACTGCACTCCAGCCTGGGTGACAGAGCGAGACTCCATCATAAAATTATGTTTGCCTGCAGGAATAATGTTATCTCTGAGGAGCTGTATTCTGATCAGCATCCTGGCCTTAAAGAATAGGAATGACCCATGAAGACCCATAAAGAATGAGCATAGTAGTAAAGACCAATTTACAATATATATAAACTTCTGTAATTATTTAAAGGAATCAAATGACATTCCACATAATTATAAATAAACTATGCACATTAATTATAGAAGTAGCTCACGTAGATAAGTACACATAGAATAAACGATAAACAGAAACTCAACTATAGAATATGAGGAATTTTAAATAACTCAAATTTCTTAAGAGACTAACCAAGAAAAAAATGAGATGATAACATGCCTTCTTCTCTCTTACTTTCCTTGTATTAGAAGTTTCAAAACAAACAAAAAAATTAATAATTTCTGAGCTATTTCAAAGGTTTCTAACGCAGAATATGTTTTATGATTATGATAACAATAATATTTCCCATTGAGAAAATCATTCTTAGGCTGGGCACTGTGGCTCATGCCTGTAATCCCAGCACTTTGGGAGGCCAACGCAGGTGGATCACTTGAGGCCAGGAGTTGGAAATGAGCCTGGCCAACACAGCGAAACCTCATCTCTACTAAAAATACAAAAAAATTGCCGGGCATTGTGGCACACACCTGTAATCCCAGCTACTTGGGAGGCTGAGGCATGAGAATCACTTGGATGCAGGAGGCGGAGGTTGCAGTGAGCCGAGATCACACTACTGCACTCCAGCCTGGGCGACAGAGCGAGACCTGTCTCAATAATAATAATAATAAATTAAAAAATAAATAAAAATAGAAGAAAAAAATCATTCTTAAAAATAAGAGGCCAGTAAAACATTCCCCACATTCTTCATCTAGCCTATATTCTAAATTTAGTCCCTTCTGTCACTGAAGTTCTGCAATACTGGACCAAATTCTGTGAAAACACTACCATTTAAGTGTTAACTTGTTGACAACTGTCAGTGCTTTCTACACTTTATTGTAGAAAACACAACAGCAATTGATGGCACTCAGTTAGGCTCTTTAAATGGAGCTTGATACCACTTCTCACCAAACCACCAAAAGGGGGAGGAACATATCCCTGGTAATAAGGGGAAATCCAGAGCAGGAGAGAACTGGGTCAGGAGTGTGAATGTTGCAGTGTGAAGTGGGGGAATCCGTTAGATGGAATGGAAATGAGGGAAGGCAAAGATATCCAAACAGGTCTAAATTTTGCCACGTGTGACACCAGCTTTCCCTATCATCTTTTACGGAGAAAGGGCTTAAAAACTCTCAGGGAAGAGGGAAAGAAAATAGCCTTGTCTTTTTTGGAGCCATTTAGTAAAAATGTCCATCATAGTTTGACACATGCACACCTTTTCTCCCAACACTGTGATTTCTAGGTCTCTGTCCTTGAGAAACAGACACACATGGGCCTGACAGGAATGACAAGCTGGTTCCCTGCAGCTTGCAAAAACTGAAAATCTAAACAGCTATCAATAGGGAGGTGTTAAATGAATTACTCTATATCTATACTATGGAATCCATACAAGAGTTGAAAAAGCATGAACTGGCCTGGGAAAATTCCTAAGTCACATTGTTGTTGATTTTTAGGTTTTTTGTTTTTTGATGTTGTGGGGTGCGGGGGCAGTTTGGCCAAAGCAAACTGCAAAAGACCATTTCTTTCCATTTATGTAAAAATAAAAGTACACAAACAAAATTATATATACATGTAATAAACTGAAAAAGGTCTGGAAAACACACAATAAATTGGTAACAGTTGTTATTTCTGAGCAGAGTGGGTTTCACAGGCTCAAAAAGAACTTCTTTCTCCTTTCTTGTTTAACTTTTTTAGTACAATAATATATTAATGTAGTGTTTAATTAAATTTAAAATTAAACATGATTGTGCCAAGGAAGGAAAGGAGAAAGAGAGAGAAGTCAGAAGGGAAAAAGAAAAGAAAGTTTCAACAAATCATGGGAGGAAGTGAGGCCAGTTCTTGGGGTTCAGGTCTCCCCACTCCCATTTACTTACACAATCGAATAACTGGAATAGATTTCCAATAAGCATTCCCCAGCACTTCAACATCAGAGTGATGTTTCCTTGGTCATTATCTGCTGTTTTCCTTTATTTCTTTTTTAATCATTCTACTGATTTTCAAAATAGGAAGACAGCAAAGGGTCAGAGAGAAAACATGGCCTCCCACTACAAAAGGTAAAGAGATTTCTCACGCCTACATGGTCTCATGCTTGATTTTTCTCAAGTATATTGACCAGGATAGGTAATGACTATCAGCCTCTAAAAGCTGTGGGATGTGGTTCTCATTTCTCCAACAGGGAGGCCGACCCTCTCTCTTCCTTTCCGTTGTTTGTCTGATAGCTGTGGTCCTCAAGCCTGTCTGCATAAGGGTCTCAGTGGAGACTTAAAAATACACAGTCAGGGGCCCAGGCTGGGTGCTGCTGATACAGCAGGCCTGGAAGCCTAATGGTGAGACCACCTGGGTCTGTCTCCCATCTCTGTCACTTACTAGCTCTGTGATATTGGGAAAGTCACTAAGGCTCTCAGTGTCACCATTTTTCCATCTGTAAAATGGGGCTGACCTTGTGAGGATTCAGTGCCTGGCTCCAAGAAAGTACCACCAGGAGTACTACCTGCTGCTGTTTTGATGAAGAGGATGATCATCTTGCTGACTACTATTATACAGGGCAAGCCCCAGGAATCTGCATTCTAACTGCTGCTTCTGTGATCCGTTACATTTTGAGAAACACCGTTTATACACATTCCCTCAGGTAAAAGGAAGAACAAACAAACAGGAAACAATATTCAAGGGTAACCTGAAGCATCTAGTAAGCTTTCACTATTGGTCATCCACGAATAATACTAGATTCACCTTCCCATATGCTTGCTGATAGAGCCATGCCCTGCACCCATTCTGCCTGGCACCCACTGCACTATGTTAGGTACACGCTGTGTGCACCTCCGCAAGAGGCCTGACCACACAGCCTGGTGAGCAGCTTTAAAAACTGCAAAAGGTATTACCTCTGAATGCAGATACCATTCAAAATACAGGAGAATTCAGTCTATCAGTGCTCCTGTTACAATGTGTTAAGTCAAGGGTCCCCAACCCCTGCCTGGGCCACGGACCTGTACTGGTCTGTACCTTGTAAGGAACTGAGCCACATATCAGGAGGTGAGAGGTGGGCAAATGAGCGAAGCTTCATCTGTATTTACAGCTGATCCCCATCGCTCACATCACCGCCTGAGCTCCGCCTCCTGTCAGATCAGCTGCAGCATTAGATTCTCATGGAAGCACAAACCCTATTGTGAACTGCACATGCGTGTCATCTAAGTGTGCACTCTTTATGAGAATCTAATGTGTGAAGATCTGTCACTGTCTCCCATCAACCCTAGATGGGACCATCTACTCACAGGAAAACAAGCTCAGGGCTCTCAGTGATTCTACATTATGGTGAGTTATATATGACACATTACAATGTAATAATAATAGAAACAAAGTGTGAAATAAATGTAATACGTTTGAATCATCCCAAAACCATCCCCCGACCCCTGTCCATGGAAAGAAAAATGGTCTTCCATGAAACTGGTCCCTGATGCCAAAAAGGTTGGGAACCACTGTGTTAAATGATCTGAAAAAACGAGGCTCCATTTCTTTGCTAAGGAGACCCCATTGTGTATTAAGTTACATATATAAAAATGTATATAATATAAATATATATTTATATTAAAATTATATTTTTATTTCTAACATATATAAATTATATTATATATAAATATATAATATATAAATTATATGTAATATATTACATATAAATATATAATATATAAATTATATGTAATATATTACATATAAATTATATATAAATATATAAATTATATGTAATATATTACATATAAATTATATATAAATATATAAATTATATGTAAATATATTACATATAAATTATATATAAATATATAATATATATAAATTATATTATATATAAATATATATGTTACATATATAAATTCTATTATATATAAATATATACAATATGTAATATATATAAATTCTATTATATATAAATATATATAATATAATATATATAAATTCTATTATATATAAATATATGTAATATATATAAATTCTTTGACCCTGAGACAATCATGCCTAGACATTATTTAGTTCCAAAGTAAACTATTATCAGCAAACTTCTGCATTACTATGATTCCTCACTAAATCACTCTCATTGAGCAAGAACAGTCAAAAGCTTCAGCATGAGCATGCAGGCTCTTGTTAGAGGACTTATCAGAAATGCAGCTGCTACTGCTGTCTCAGAATTTCTGCTACCCACTGATCTGTTGTTGTTTTGTTGTTGTTGTTTTCTCCTATATGAATGCAGAATGCAAAAGAGTTACAGAGAGGTTTACTGGGATTCCTTGGGAGGCCAAACCCAGATTGGGTGAACACTCAGATCTGAGGGGCTCAGGGAATGCCCTCCCAAGGGTCTCCCTCCAGTCCTTATTCCTTTACTACGCAAGGCTCTTTGGCTTTAGCTTCTTGCCTTTACTCACATTCAAAGCTAAAAATCAAAGTATAACCTAACTGCCCAAAAATGTGGTCAGAAACGACCAAATGAATGTTGAGACACTCTTACAACAGAATCTTATGTATCTATTAAGGACGATATGTCCAAATAACAGAGATGTTATGCCCTAATGTTAAGTAGGAAAAAATATAAATAATGCAATATGGGTAGCAAAATATCAACCCTGTAAACACTTTTACATGGGAAAATACAGAAATAAATATATCAAACGATAGCAATTGCTATTTCTGGATGGTGAGACTGTATTTTTTTCCTGCTTTTCCACAGTTTAGACTATTTTTTGAGGCTTCTCCTATGAGCATAAGTTACAATTCCAATTAAAAAAAAAACTCACCAAAATACTGGGAGTCTCCAGTATTTAAGAGTGAACAGGACTGTGTCCCTTAAAACCCTTGAGACAAGCACTGTATTACGAGGTAGAAAGAGAGAAAACAAAGGGTGCATATTAACATCCACCCCAGGGCCCCTGAAAAGTCAGACTCACTGTATTAGTTCATTTTCACACTGCTACATAGAACTGACCAAGACTGGGCAATTTATAAAGGAGAGAGATTTAATTGCGTCACAGCTCAGCATGGCTGGGGAGGCCTCAGGAAAGTTACAATCATGGCAAAAGGTGAAGGGGAAGCAAGGCACCTTCTTCACAAGGTGGCAGGGAGGAGAAGTGCCAAGCAAAGGGGGAAGAGCCCCTTATAAAACCATCAGATCTTGTGAACAGCACGAGAACAGCATAGCGGAAACCACCCTCATGATTCAATTACCTCCACCTGGTCTCTCCCTTGACATATGGGGATTACAATTCAAGAAGAGATTTGGGTGGGGACACAAAGCTAAACCCTATCACCCATTCAGGAGTCCCTCTCATGAAGGTCCACCTTAGAGCAGGGCAGGATTCTTGACCTCCCCCCAAATGCGTTGGGATTTCCATCAGAAAGAGAACTCAGGACACTGCACTCACTGGCCTGTTCTTGGGTCCAGATTGGTTAGAAGAGGCTTATCATCTTAAGCCCAAAAAGAATGTTCAGGAAATGTGTTTGTCTTGGGTATCTCTTTCCCTTGAAAGATTAAGATAAGAGGAGGAAAGGGTGGTGATAAAGGAATTAGCAGGTCAAGAAGGAAAGAAGGCTACACACTACAGCATAAGAAAGCACCCTTCTGCATGACCAATCATGGAGAAGCAAACCGAAAGCTTGTCAAGCATGTGAAGGGCACCAGTAATACTTCTATTACCTGAGAGACGTTGACATGCAGTACGGTAAATGCATCTTTCCAAGTTGGTCCCTCCAACACAATTGTCCTCGTTTTTTGTCTTTTTTTTTGTTTTGTTTTTTGAGATGGAGTCTTTCTCCGTCACCCAGGCTGGAGTGCAGTGGCGCAATCTTGGCTCACTGCAACTTCTGCCTCCTGGGTTCAAGTGATTCTCCTGCTTCAGCCTCCCCAGTACTGGGAATACAGGCACCCACAACCACACCTGGCTAATTTTTATATTTTTAGTAGAGACAGGGTTTCATCATGTTGGCCAGGCTGGTCTTGAACTCCTGACCTAAAGTAATCCGCCCACTTTGGCCTCCCAAAGTGCTGGGATTACAGGTGTGAGCCACCATGCCCAACCTGCTGTCCTCACTTAACAAATGAGGTGATGAGATCAAGAAAGGGTCCATGTCTCCCCCTACTCACATGGAAATGTGGTGGATGAGTTTCCTGAGGCTTAGGACAATAGACATTTATTGTCTCACAGTTCTGGAGACTAGAAGACCAAGATCAAGGTGTCGGCAGGGCATGCTACCTCTGAAGGCACTTGGGAAGAATCACCCCTTGCCTTTCCTAGATCCTGGCGGCCCTGGGCACTCCTAAGCTGGTGGCAGCATCACTCCAGCTTCTGCCACTCTTTGTGTGTCTCTGTCTGTCTCTGTCTCTTCCTCTTCTTATAAAGACACAAGTCACATTGGATTTGGGGCCACCCAAATTCAGCATGACTTCATCTTAATTAACTATATCTGCAAAGGGCCTAGTTCCAAACAAGGTCACATTCTGAGCTTCCAAGTAGATGTGAAATTTGGGGAACACTCTGCCACCCAGTAAACTTGGATTCTGACTCGGCAGGGTGACTCCAGAGCCCACACCCTGAACACTGGGCTAATGTTGCCTCCTGCATGGCCCCACACTGTGAAGCGCTATTGACACATACACGGTGTGAAATCCCCAGGGAGTTGACGATCTACATGAAACCACAGAGGGGGAAAATCACACCACTGCGGTATCCATGTGGGCTTCTAGAGGCCATAGAAATCTAAAGGGGAATGTGGCAGATGAGGGCTGAGCACCTTGAGCACAGGCAGCACCTGGACAGGTTGGGAAAAAAGACCCACACTAAGGCCAAGAGAGAGGTGAGACTAGGAACAGCACATTCCAGAAGGAGCATGTGGCTGGAGGGTGATGGAAAATGAGGCTGGAGTAAGGAGATGTTAGAGATGCTTCAAAGACAGGCGGAGGGACTTAGATCTAATTTGGAAGGAAAGGAAAATTTTAATGAGGACGAAAATGATAAAATACAGGCTTAAAGACTTCTCTGGCAGAGGTGGGCAGGGTGAGTGTGGAGCCTGGAAAAACTGAGTGTTGAAACTTGTTGACAAAATATGCTCATGTGTGTGTGTACAAATATGCAGAGGCATGGTGGTTGACTCTTCTCTACGACATTTTAACAACCTGCCTTAGAAAACAAACCAAATATGAAGATGCTCACATACTTTCATCCCTCCTCCAGGAGAGCCCCCTTCCTTCCAGCCCCAGATACACACATACACACAAACACACACATACACACACACACACACACACACACCCTACTTCTCCTCCCCACCCATGTGCACCCCAGCCAAAAGCTGAGTGAAAAGGAAGGTGAGAGAAAGAGAAATAAAAATGCCTGAAGCAGCAGCCAGAAGAGAAGACGGCCAAGACATCAATCACCTTTGCACTGTTCACAACAGGCTCCCCTCTGCTTGATGGCCAGGGCACAGTCTCGGGACAGCACGGGGCACTTCTCTCTCTTACATGTCACTTCCTTGTTCTAGACAAAAAGAGACACGAGAGATTTGAAATAGACATCAAACAGAATTCCCCAAATCCTAACACACCACAGAGGTTTCCCGAGCCCCACTCTTATCTGGCCTTCACTTGGCAAGAAGACGCTGTGAGAGCAAATAGGATTTTGCCATCTCTGAAACAGAAATACCCATCCAGGAACACAGGACTTTGGAGATCAGAGTCAGATGAGAGGAGATGAAAAGTCCCTTCTTTACAAAGCCAGCTTCACCTAGATAACCGATTGCCAAGGGAGAAGTTCTCTCCCGCTCCTTCAGATTCTAAGGTTTCTTTTTAGTACACACTACAGAAACGATAATATTTGTGTAAACCATATTTTGCCTGTTGGGCTACCTGGGCCAGGACTGCATCGTGAGAACAAAAATATTTTCACATGGCCGTCCAACAATCCTTAATAGTAGAGTGCATTAAAATGCAGCAATCTAAAGTTCCAACTCAAATAATGACAAAGTTGAATATTGGATCGGCTTGGTAAAAGAAAAAATAATATTCTACATGCCAAGCAGAGACATGGACGTCAGTGTTTTCTAGCTGTGGGACAGCTGTGTTATATTAGCACTTATGCTAATGAACATGTGGTGAACATTTGCATCTTTGGTTTTTTCCTGAAAGGTTAGCTGTTAAAATGTCTTAAAGAAGATACAAACATGATGAATATGCCTGTTTGTATATGGATTGTATGCACCTGAACCAAAAATACTGTCTCAAAAAATTCAACAAAATGTGAGATTTATCAAGCGGCGACCACATGCTAGCTGATGTGGCTTTCATTCTCACTAAAATTCTGTGTGGTCAGTATCGTTATCCCCATTTTGCAAACAAGAAAACTGCTGCTCAGAGAAGGTAGCTGACTTTTCCAAGATTACCCAGCTTTCCAGTGGGAGAGATGGAACTCGAGATGAAGATATAAATGTGTGCACACCTATGCCCTTCCCTGGATAACAGCAAGCACTACCAGTGCCTCATCTCGGGGCAGGTTGGAGAGGAGCAACTGGCCGGCTCTGCTCACCTTGAAATGAACCTAGAACTCTCTTGGCATATGTATTAATAAAGAAGAAAACCAAACTCAGCCCTGATAACAAATTTGAGAAAATTCTCAAGTGTACCCAGTATGCCTCCATGTCATGAGACTAAGAAGATCTCACCATTTCTTGCTCAGAACCAAGGAGACACATGCGAGCCTGCAGGTGTGTGTGTGTGTGGGTGTGCATGTGCATATGTGCCTGCGAGCTTGTGTGTGAGCTGAGAGTGAGTTCTACGGGGAGGGTTGGGCCTTGCCTTGCCCACAGCTGTTTCCGTATCAGCCCTGTTATTTCCCTGCCCTCGTGGCTTTTGCAAGGCCAACTGAGGCACAGAAACAATAAGCCACGACCGGTGTTGCTCAAACTTGTCCACTGAATGGCACATATAGAAAATGACACTCACTTCTGTTAAGGAACACTGGAATGAATGTGGTGAATATTCTCCTGAAACTGTCCTAGGACTTGTCTGACACCCAGAGAAAGGGCATCGATCCACAGCCACCTGCACCCCACACCTGCAGGGGCTGCTGCTGCTGTTTTGTTTTTTCATTTACTGGTTGTCCTTATGATGGGAGGGTGACCTGAGTCATCCAGTCTCTCTCTCTCTCTCTTTCTCCTTCTCTCTCTCTCTCTCTCTGTCTCTTTCTCTCTTTCTTTTTTGGGATCTGTTATATGGTAAGTGCCCTCAAGGGGCTGACCTCATTTACTCTTAAAATCCTGTGAGACAGGGGCCCTCATCCTTAGCTGCACATTACAACCCCCTGTGGAGTTCTTAACAAAGACTGCCATGGTCTCCCACCCCCTGAAGCTCAGATCTGGTTAATCTAAGGACCAGGCATGGGTATTTGTTCAAGCTCCCAGGTAATTCCAATGTTCAGCTAGGGTTGAGAACCACTGCCATCAGGGGAGAGTATTTCTGTGGCCACTGGGGCTGAGCTGGGATAAGGAGCTGTCCACAGTCCCTTTGTGAACAGCAGACCTACAATCTGAAGCCAAGCATACTGGCTCCACGCTCCCCAGAACTCCTTCCCTCACCCCCTTTTCTCCATGATAATGGTGGCATCAAGGCTAACTATAAGGCACAGCCCTTAGATTTATTTTTATAATTTTTTCTTAAACTACAAAGGTCATACATTGTTATGGTCACCATTCAAAATAAAGAGACATATTTTTTACAAATTAATAATCTCTCCCAACTCCCACCAAAGTCATCACAGATAGCCACCAGGTATGTATGCTGCTTGGTATTGTTGACAGTGACTTCATTTTGAAAAGCGTAGTTCTTGCAAGCTAAATTTTATACCGACTCTCCCACCCCAAGAGAATTGTGAAAGAACTTCATTAACAGAGCTTCTGTTACCAGGACTGTATGGCTTTATGCATTCAGCAAACCTGGCTGCAACCTGGCTGCGGCCTTAGCCAAGGGCCACTCCCAAGCGCATCTCCTCTCTGAAGGGAAGAATCTTCAGATACAGAGAGTTCAAAGCTCTCAGGGCAGTCAAAGTGATGGCACAATCTGGGATCTGATAAATAGGAAGGCACACATTCGCTTAAATATAGGAACTCTGCTGACTTAGAAACCTGGGAGCCAGTCAAAATCCATAACAGGATCCCAAGATTCATAATAAATAGTTTGTAATTACAGTCCAGCACAAAAGTTATTCCAACCAGATGGTTTGTAGATTCACATCTGGATTTTTTTTTTTTTTTTTTTGTACACACACATAGAACAAACCTAAACCTTAGCTGTAGGTTTAGTGGGTTTTTTCCCCCTGATTACACTGGGAGTTTTTAAATATTCTATCAACGGTCACATTGGTACAGAACTGCCATATCTGATCATTGCCCTGGTGTCTGATTGGTGTGAATGTGGAGTAGTCTTTGGAATCCCAGGCCTTCCAAGAAAAAACTTTAAAAGCTCAGGGAATTGCTGGTGAGAGCCTGATTCCTCCATTTCCTTAATTGAGTCCAGCAGCTACAGAGTAAATTCAAACACAGGTTAATTAAGACCACTCCATTCACTTTCCCAATTTTGCCAAGAGACAAAAACACTTGTTCTTGAGCCAGTGGCTCTGGAGAGAAGTGGCACACGCAAAGCCATGCCTTCAGGACTCCCTCACCCCCTGGGCTGCCTCATCCCCACATGCACTATGTGTCACCACTGTGACTCAAGTTCAGGGCTCATTCCGTTCACATCTTCATTCAAGAAACATTTTCTAATACTGGCTCACACTTACTGAACTCATTCTCTGTGTGTTCAGGCTCTGTGCTAAGAATCTTATGTGCATTTTTTTCACCAAAAATTCCCAATGATCGCCATCTTACAGAGGAGGGATCAATGTTAGGAAACTTGCCCAGGGTCACCCAAGACACAGATCTGGAATACAAATAGAGGCCTGTCATTTAAATGCCTTCCCAGGCATTCAGGATGCAGAAGAGAACAAAATAATGATCCTGCCCTCAGGCCCCAGGGGAGATTGGTGTCTTCCTGGTGGCTCCAGACAGGAACTCTCTAACGAAAGCAGAGCAACTCCAGGGGCCTGTGTCATGGCCAACCATGGGAAGGTCTGCAGACACCAGCTGTTTTCTGGTAACAAGGAAAGTTGTTCCAATTTGGATATCAACAGAGATGTGCCTATCATGCCTCTGAAAGCCAGACTGGCATCCTCAAACACTTTTCCCCAAATCCCAGCTTGAGTTTGAGTCTCTCCAGATCTAAACAAGAGAAATGGTAGCAAAAATACACTCAAGGAAAAGGTCAGAATACTCTAAAAAAAAAAAAAAAAAAAACCTAACCAATGAATAAGAGCAATAAACCTTACTGCATCTTTCATTCTTAGTCTCCCGTGTGTCCCTCTTTCTACGGTTGCCAGCCAGTGGTCTACCTGCTGTCAAAGGCGTCTGTCTGCATTACTGCCTTCTTTCAGGAAGATAGTTAACCGATTCTTTAACATTGACCAAACACATCAAAACCCAAAATGTAGCCTCTGGAGGCACATTAAATGAAGTGCCAACATGAAAAACTAAAAGGGGGGCATAGGGAGTAAAACATTTTTTAAAAATCAACATGACTGGCAACAAAGCTCTATAAGGATTTGAGCCAAACCACAGCTCCCGCCGCAAGCCAAGTTCAAACAGGATTCCGGCAGCCAGCTTGCTGTGTCTGAGATCTGCCACGAGATGGCAGCACAGAGTCCCCGGTCTCAGGAATTGCAGCCTTGAGACTGCCAGAGCCTTGGGAGTATTTCCCAGTGTCTGATGGGGAGAGAAATGAGCTCTCCCATGAGCGTAGGGCGGAGGGGTACAGAGAAGATAGCAGAGCACCGCTGTGAAACGTTCTCGTGTGCTTTCCTTAACCAGAAAAACATGCTTTTGAGATGCTTCCGTTCTATTCCCAGCCCCAATGTCTTGAACGTATTTTTTTTTTCAAAGATTCTTCCAGAACCAATCCTATTATGGAATACGAAAAGTATTCCTTGACCTTTCATTTATAATAAAAAATAATAGAATCAAAATCTGGAGAGGAAAACGCAGCAGCTAATATGATGAGGGTAGTGGAGGGAGAAATGTCTGCGGGCGGATCCTTTATTTTTAGACTATGAAACACCATCACAAATCTCTTGAAATAAGAGTGAAAATGAAAATACCTCGTGTCTGCCTGCTGATCGTCCATTTGGTTAGCCATGTTGAAGATCAACACAAGACCCTTCCCCTAGATGATGGCATTATTTTCCCTCCATCCCTGTCTCTGATGACAGCAAAGCCTGCCTGGGAGGCAAACAGCTGTCATTTGGCAAACTAGCAAATTCAAAGTGACAGATCTTTTTTCAGGAAACTAAGAAGGCTGTGAGGTTGTGGTATTTTTTTCTGCCCGAGTGAACAATACTCAATATGTCAATGAAGCACACAGGCCAGGTAGTGTGACTGCTGGGAATAAAGTGGCGGGGTGCCCTGTTATTCCATCCCGGTAGTCTTTGTTGGGGAGGAGCTTACAGATTTTGCTGCCTTCAAGAATTCCCCACCAAAATACAAATACCCCTGGAGGTAGACCCACATTCATCCCAAATAGCCAATTTCCTGGGATAGATGCCCCAGCCTGGCGACTCTGAGAGGGAAAGTTGCTTAGCAGTGGAGGCTCTAAAGCTGAAAAACAAAGCCTTGGCACACGTATCACTATACTCAGTGCTGCGGGAGGGAGACAGAAATCATACAGCAAGGTTCCTAGTCTCCAGAAACCTACAAGCTCTTGGGGAAAATAAGACAACAGACAACAGCAGATCACACAAACACTGTGGTGTAACTTCTGGCACAGTGAGAAGCACGAAAGAGATCTTCACCTTGATTCAAAAGCCATCACCATTGCTGAGCACAAATAGGACATTTTGATGCTTACTCAAATTTTTATTATCTGAGAACTTACACAATAGTGGTCCATGTGGAGAGTCTCAAGATGGCTCAAATAGGAATTTGTTGTTAGGAATATGGATGTCTTGTTTCAAGTGCCCCAAGGAGGAGGAAGCAGGGGAAGCTGATCCCACATCAGCGTGTATATTCTCATCGGAATTTCTAGTCTCTCTATGTATGAAGTCAAAGAGTCAACTTCTCCTTGAAGTATCCCCATTGTAACCCAATTCCAGATCCCAAAGAGCCCAAGAGAACTTTTTAGCACTTTTGAACCCAGGTCACAATTTCTCCCAGGCAATATTATACCACTTCTCATAAACAGAAGAATAATACTTCAGGTTTACATAGCAGCTTTCTTCTAAAGATCTCTGTAGACATTATTTCATTAATCCTCACAGGTTTCTTAAGATTTGCAGATGGAGAAATGGCACACAATGAGGCTGTCTCAGATCCCTCAAAGAGGCAGCTAGCAGTGGACCTGGGAACAGAACCCAGTTCCCAGCCTGGCTTACGGGATCAGCTGGGAAGGTTAGTTTGTAAAGCACAGCACTAAAATGTACAGAAGTATCATATTCAAATTAGGTTAGCTCCAATAGGCTGTTGAGACTTTAGGAACAGACTAGTATGTAGTTAAGCTAGTCTGCAGATTTTCTGGACAGGCCACCTGGGCCAAACAGGCGAGGTCTCCTGCCACGTTTCTGCCCTAGTACAAGGTAACCTATGAGAGGTACCATGTAAGGGATTACCCAGGACTTGGGTAAGCAGACCAGACTTTAAGCCAAGGTTCTAGAATGAAGAGACGGAAACAAAAGCTGAAAAAAGAAGTGTGTTGGCAGCAACCAAAGACCCAAAGGGGCCAGATTTCATTGCTTTTCTTTGAGACAGGGTCTTGCTCCATCACCCAGGCTGGAATGCAGAGGCACAACCATGGCTCACTGCAGCCTCAAGCTCCCAAACTCAAACAATCTCCCATCTCAGCCTCCAGAAGTAGCTGGGACTACAGGCATGTACCACCATGCCTTGCTAATTTATTTTTATTTTTATTTTTTTGTAGACACAAGGCCTCACTATGTTTCCCAGGCTGGTCTCAAACTCCTGGGTTCAAGTGATCCTCCACCTCGGCCTCCCAAAGTGCTGGGATTATAGCTGTGAGCCACTGAACCCAGTGAGATTTCATTGCTTATCAGCAGTTCTGATCATTGGAAATTGTAAAATGAAGTGATGACCTCTCTAGAACATTCGGTCAGGGGAAATCCTGAGCAAACGAGCATGAACTCACAGACAGGAGAGAATGCAAGCTTATACCTGCTCCAGCCTGTCTCCTTTGGACAAAGTCTGTTCTCAGTCTCTTGGAAAATAATAATGGAGCATGGGTAGGGGGGCCCTGAGATAGCCCAGTGGTTGCCAATGGCAGTATTAAATTTGATTGATGATTTATTATTTTAATTAAGCTTTTGCTTGCTCATTCTTCATTACTGATAGTAAAATTGACTTCCCCATAACTCTTACACAGAAATATCTGGAAGAAAAAAATAAAAGGCAGTTTGGTCAGCCACAAACCCTAAGTGTACAAGTCCAAGGCTCTGGGTCATGTCTCTCAACTCAACAGAACTTGAAAAAAAATAGAAAGACAACATGAAGAAAACCATTTCTAAGATGAAGAACATGAAGCTGAAAGGGAAAAGGACCCAAACTCCCCAGCTGAAAGAAGTGGTTTCACCCAAGACCTCTTTCCCAACTGAGTTTAGTCCAAGAGATGGGAGGTGTCAACTGTGGCCCTTTGCACAATATACCTCAAGCCCTTAACGTAAAGTGGCATTTCCAGACCTTTCTGCAACCCCAACCTCCACTGCTTTTGCAAATCCCTTCCATAGTCAGGGCCACAAACAAAGCTGATCCATCTCTAACCAAACAATGAAGTAACATAGTGTTTTCCAGGCAGGTTGCTGAACTATTAAGAATAATAACACCTGACATTTATAGGAAATCTATTATATGCCCCACCATGCTGAAAATGTTTTGTGTATTTTGTCATTTAACCCTTGCAAACAAGCCTGAAGAAGGCACTGATTTACTTCCCATCACATCTTATAGGTAAGTAAACTGAGGCACGGAGAGGTTAAACGGCTCACCCAGGTTTACATAGCTAGCCAGGGCAGAGATTCAAACCCAGGACTCTGATATCAAAGCCTATGATTTCATCACTATGCTATATAGCTTCATTTAGAGGCTAAGTGAGCCACCTTTCCCTTGCAGCTAAGAATTTAAATGTTTGCCTTTGTTGAGCACCCCATTTTCAGACCTTTATAAACCTTGGTGCTTTATGGTTTCATTCTGAACACAGAAGTAAAAATAATGCCTTTTAGGAAAGACAGATTAAATCTCTGACTTAAAAACTCAAAACAAGTCCCAGTCTCTGAGTGCCTGGTCATTTGCAAGGCTGACCAAAACCTGGACCCGAACCTGCCAAGTCCTCTCATTTCTTCTTTGATTTGAGCAGAAGAGTGTACTCTCTTGGGAGGCTTGCAGCATCCCACGGCCATAATTTTGTAGACTTAATGTTAAAATGTCTTGCAAGAACATCATGCAATTCATTGCACTCCATCTGGGAGTGTTATTCTTTTTCCCTCCTGTCTAGGCTCAACGAGTCTTTACCCCAGAGACCCAGGCCCTGGCAAACACGCCTCCTCCGGCCCAGCTCACAGTGCAAACTCTGAACAAAGCTGCCCTTGAAGCCCGAACATTTAAAAAGACTTTATGAAGCCCACTGGGGCCCCCCGATTATTTTGCAACAAGTCATATCCCATGAAGAAATTCACTTCTCTGCAACACAAAACAGAGGGAGATTAAAGAAAAAGGCAGGGGGGTGGAGGAAAGAAGTAAGACCCCCTGAGGTTCTGTCTGGCCAGAATCGTGTCTTTTAGTACCCATATCCCCTACAAAGACGATGTTCTGATGATATATGGCCCTAATACATCACTAAATGACAGTGTTCTCCTGATCCTATACCTTGAAAATATGACACGTGCCAGCAGAGGCAATGGGGGATTAATAAGGAGGCCCTTCTGATATTTACGTTACCTAACTATTCCATTTTTTTTTAATGGGCTTTAGTTTGTTGGAGGGATTGTTTTGGGTCCTATTCTGTTTAAGGATTTAGGTCTGGCTTTTTTTTTTTTTTTTTTTTTGGCTTTTTCAAGAAACTCACGGAACAAAGAAACACAGGCCATTAGAGTGTCCTGGCTGCTCAAGTAGAAGTCTGATTTAAAACAGGGCAGTGTCAAACAGCTCCTCATTCTGTTTAATCATATTTTGAAATGGAACCAAAACATTAGAGATGGCAGAACACAAAAAAAAACAACCACCAAATAAAAATAGTAGCCCAAAAGAGAGTAGCACTGCCTGTTTTTTATTAGACTGCGCGTCGTATAAGCAAAGGGTCTGCTGGCAACAGCACATTTGTGTAACTGGAATGGAGGGAACACGCAGAGCCAGGGATCGAGCCCCGTGGGCCCTGTCACAGATGCAGCTCTGCCACCGTGCTCAGTTCCCAAAAGCAAACAAAAAACCAACAGGTAGGTTGCAACTCACTCTGCCAGGCATGTGAACCGAGAGGGTTCATGGTGGCGTCCTGCCTTTACTGGGCCCAAATGCCTCAGTCAACCCTTCTCTCTTCCTAACAGAAGAGACTCCAACAGCTGGGATGTGGGATGGGGTCGGTGCGGCAGAGAACACTTCCAAAAGACTCCTGGGAAGAATCTGCAGGCCAGGGGTGAAGGAGAAGGAAGCCCTGCAAAGCAATGCAGCTTCACACGCAGGAGGCCAGGCTGCTTCCTCAACACCTCTGGTTATTTTACACTGCTGGGCGCCCTTCAGCACATGATGAATAATAAATCTGCTTCTTCCTCTGCCCAAAAGGAAAACAAAAAGGAAAGGGGTGATGAAACTCTATGAATATTTTTATACCTTTCTGGTGAGTTCTTTTGAACTAAGTAGAAGATGATGAACCACATTTTGGGGGTCCAACTCCAACTACCTGTAGGATCCGGGGCTCAGAAGGCATTATTGGGGCTTTCCAGTCCTGGGGTGACAGTGCAGAATCTTCTGGCCAGGTTGGTAGGGATTTTGGAGGGAGTGGGGAGTGGGGGTAAAGAGTTTAAAAGTGGTAATAATATTAGGTAACTCCATAGGAAAGCTCGAGACCTGACATTAAAGAAGGTGATAGCTGGAGATATTATTTTGACAGCCCCTTTCTTGACTTACTGCAATATAGGAAGATGGGCTGTCTGGTATCAAAAGAAAGATGACTCAATGGACCTTTTAAATATGCACAGAAATGACTCTCTGTCAAGGGTAGAAGAAGAGTGAGCATGTACAAATCACAGAAACAAAATATCTTAGATTCCCTTGGCAATTGGTGGTGGCAAAACCATATCTCTGTGAGGCCAGCCCTGGAAGGTTGTCACTCTTGTCATCAGCGCATGTCTCCTTCCTGGATAACGTACCTACAGTGAACCCACCAGGTCCTCAGGTGTCTCTCATTCCTGTGGGTCAACAACAAGCCACAGAGCCAATGAAACAGAAGATTTTTCACAGATTGCCCCGTGAAAGCCCACGTGCTGTTGGGAGTTACAAAAATACCTGATCTTGACAAGTAAATGGAGCTGACATCCATGGGATTAGGCAGGGCGGAGGAGCCGCTCACAGCCCATCTGTCATTTTGACAAAGTAACTTTCTGGTCACCAGTGAGACACTCTTAAAGACATCTGCACAATTGACCCTGACCACCAGCAATCACAGAGCCTTTCAAAGGTCCCCCCGGGATGAAAAGCCGATCAGCTTTAGAGCTGGATCCTGCAGTCCTCCCTCTGGGTAACAGTAAGAGCGGGGTGACATCTCAGTTGCTGGAAAGATCTCTGCTCCCAGGCTATATTTACGTTGGTACCAACTACAGAGGTTGTCCAGTTAGCCCAAGTAATGTCAGGTAGGGAAGCAAGGGAATAGGAGCTCTCTAGCTGGCTAGAAGTTCGCAGAACTGAAAATGTCAGCCTTGGACAGCGTCCCCTGTATGAAGGCAATTCTGTGAGCTAAGGTTTGTCTGACTCATTCACCAAGGCCATTAGCACTGTGTTCTCTTCACCAAAGCTTTCCCAAGGATCACATGCAGATGTCAGAAAAAAACTGGAGAAGCCACAGATTTATTTCCTCAGTTTAGAATGTAATTTTAATCCACTAGTGTCCATTTGCAAACTCATTAAACCATCAAAGAAAGCCAGATTTGCAAATAATCCATTTCTGAGATTAAGGTGTTATAAAGAAACGAGAGTGGCCAATTACACACAAAACATTATCAACATAAACTTGTTGCTGAAGGGATTCACAACATGTGCCCATTTTTTAAAGGAAAATATCAACCATAATTAGAACCCTTAATCATTAATTTTAACAAGGGTTCCATCACAAAACGGCTTCCAGAAGCTTTAGCATATCTAAAATAAGGCAAAAATTTCTGCAGAAAAACAAATGGCTATTAGAAACATGTGGCATGGGGCTATAAACTTGGGTTTTTCTGCAGGTTAATCACTGCAGATTTCAGATCTATCTGACCAAAAATACACGAATCTGTTTAACTAATATTTTTGAGCCCCTATGGCAGGCCAGGTACTATGCCAGGTTTTGATGGGAACAGAAAATATGAATCAGACACATCTTCTGCCCTAGAAGAGCTTACAATCCAAGAGGGAGAGAGACTAAAGCATAAACACAGCACAGGCACCTCCCATGTTGCAACATGAGGGGCAAGAAGTGCTGGTTACCAGCTCAGAGAAGCTCAGACGCGAGGCAGGAATCGTCAGTTTTGACCAAATTCCACTGCCACAAACTCCTTGAAATCATCCAAAGTCTCCTGGTTCTTTAGACACTACGTGGCCCACTGAAATGAGCCTTTAAAAAGTTCTGTTATACAATTATCTCACTGAGACAGAATTTGACCTACATCTGTCAGCGTTTTGGGATTGACAATTCACAAATGAATCTCCTTCTTTGATGACATTCCAGTGCACTCCAAGTGAAGTGTAGCAACCTCACTTGGCATTTTGAGCAGTAGAACAGTTTGTTTCACATATATCACAGGAAAATAAGGGGTGCTTATCTTGTGCCACGATTTTCTTGCTCTATGAAATTGTAATATTTAACACACTTTGCTAGTCTTTCATCTATGTTTTAGGTAAAATATAAAACATAACATACTGGATTTTAACTTACATTCTAAAACCAATAATTATCATGCTACCAAGTCCACCATGAGTGGTAATATCTATTTTTAAAAACCAGTTTTCTATAGGAAATAATTTTATTCTAGAATTATATTGCTCATTGCACAGTTTGTTATGATTACATTAGTGTTCATTGGAGACAACTTTTCATCTTTCAGTGGATTTGTTTAGTTTTCCCACCATCAAACATGATACCCAAAATAATGTAAGCTACGAAAAGGGCAAGTCATCATGACCGAAAAAGCAAAGTTTAGAGTACAAAGAAAAGTTCATCATTTATTTTGGGGAAGAGAAATAGTTAGATCTTCAAATTACCAAATCAAAAAATTAAACCCAATGGCAAAGATGAATTCGCCCAACAAATATGCACTGAATAAGCCCAGCATTGTCCCACGTATTGAGGGTACAAATGAACATGGGAGGGCCATGTCCTCACAGGGCTGACGTTCTAGCAGGGACGACTGCAGGGAACACACCCACGCATGATCTCATGGGCACTAGGGAGGGCTCTGAGAAAATCAAGCGGGACAAGGGAACAGAATAACAAGGTGTGAGGCTGTTGGAGACAGTGATCAGAAAAAGATCCTTTAGGCCGGGTGCAGTGGCTCGCGCCTGTAATCCCAGCACTTTGGGAGACCGAGGCAGGTGGATCACCTGAGGTTAGGAGTTCAAGACCAGCCTGGGCAACATGGTGAAACCCCGTCTCTACTGAAAATACAAAAATTAGCTGGTGGCGCGTGCCTGTAATCCCAGCTACTCAGGAGATTGAGGCAGGAGAATCGCTTGAGCCCGGGAGGCAGAGGTTGCAGTGAGCCAAGATTGCGCCATTGCACTCCAGCCCGGGCGACAGAGCAAGACTTCGTCCTCCCCTCTCAAAAAAAGAAAGAAAGAAATAAAGAAAATACCCTCTATTAAGGAGACATTTACTCCTACACCTCAGTGAAGGAAGGAGAATACGTCAATATATTGGATATGTGTGCTCCAGGCACTGGAAAGAGCAAAGCTCCAGTGGAGAGGGGGTTGGGTATCCCGTAGGAGTAAGGAGGAGCACAGCGCGCAGCTGGAGCACGGTGAGAGGGGAAGGTGCTTTGGGAGCTGAGGCCAAGATGGCGTCCGGAGCCGCAGCGCGCAGGGCCATGTAGGTAGTGGTTATTCTTCAAGCTGGATTCCGGGTGAGAGGAGAAGCCACGGGAAGATTTTGCTCAAGTAAGTCAAATAATTTGTATACTTTCAAATGGTCACTGGTTGATAACATATTGTCCAAAGTCAAGAGCAGTAACAGGTAGTTAGAAATAATCCAACTTATTTTCAAGACTATACTGACAAGAGTTGCTAATGAATAGAACATGGGATGTAAGAGAAAGAGGAATCCAGGACCCCATGGTTGATGGATGGCCTGAAAAAATGGAGCCATGCAGCTGATGTCACTGGCTGGAGCAAACTAGGTTTAAGGAGTGGTGACAAAGGAGATCTCCATTCAGGCCATTTTCAGTTTGAGATGCCTGCTCAACATCCACGTGGAGACACCAGGTAGACACGTGGACAGATGCAGCTGGACTGCAGGTGGGGGTGTGGGAACATAGATGTGGAAACTATCAGCATACCAGTGGTTTTAGGCAATGGATCTGTATAAAATTGCTCAGGGTATGAATATAAATAGAGAAAACGTCTTGGCTGAATCCTGGGACCCTCCAATATTTAAAGTTTGAAAAGATAAGGAAGATCCACCAAAAAGAAAAATAAACCAATAAAACATAATGCTTATAAGTCCATCACATAAATGCTGAGAGAGCGCCATATGTGAGTCCTTACCCACATAGACACATAAATGTGTGCATGAACAACTGTAAGTGACCCTGGCTGCGGTCATTACATTAATTCAGTGACCACCAGAGGTCACCTTCTATCAGCACCTGCCACTGTGCCAGGTATTTTAGGGACCAAGATACCCCAGGATGGGAGGGTTGCTACCCACTATTTGAGGCTCACAGGAGAGGCTGCCTAGACTACTGCTGGCCACTCCTTACTCCCACTACTACTAATTATCACACCTTCCAACCTAAGTCTCAGAGGAAATCTGATTTGACTTAAGTTTAGGAAAATTCTGGTTGGCTAGAAGACCTAAGAATTCCAGGGAAAAGGTCTAGGACCAATGTCCCCACAGAAGAGGGCACAGACCCACTAGAGCTTAGTGACCAAAGGCTGGGTGAGTATTACAGACGGGTGTGTGTGGCGGAGGGGACATTAAACACTTGGGAGTAATAGAAAGAAAGGGAAAGGGAAAATCTCTCAATTTAAGTTTTTCTTCTCTGTTATACTGAGTCCTGAAGCCAAAGCCTGGGAGAGAACAGAGTCCACAGTCAGAGGCCTCTTATAATGTCTCATGCCAAAAAATGTGGCTCAAAACTAGGACCGTGATACTCATCTACAGCAGGGTAACTAGGATCCAAGGATCTAGGGAAGAGTCTACACATACAGGCAGGCACTGGCCAAGAAGCAGAGAAGCCAAGACCCCACAACCATCTTGGGACTCACTCTGGAAGCGAGTAAGAGACAGAGGTCAATGGAGAAACAAGCTAGCAATGTGTTGCAATTTTGGGATTAGTACTCCTCTCTGTACTTTCAACATAATATTTCCTTCCCACATATTAGAAGGTTGTTAAAGTTTCCCCTGGATATCATCTTCACCAGGCTAAATTATATCAGCACATCATCATTAGTAAAAAAAAAATATTTACTAACCCCCACCTGAACACTTGACACTGCTCCAAGCTAGCCCGTTAGCTAACCCCAGCAATCCCTCTCTTGAGCCTTTGATCAAGATCACAGGTGGGTCTCCACCAGTTCTCCACCAGATCATCCAGTTTTGCCTAGTTCCATGTGGCACACTGAGGGGTGTCCAAGGGAGAGAATACAGTCATGGGTTCTTAGTTTCTCTTTCTGGTTGGGCCAGTAAAGCCCCTTCCTCATCCCTCTTTTCTGCTTATCACTAGAGACGGAAACTAAAAACCATGACTTCAGGATTCTAAAAGCCTAATACAAAACAAAACAGAACAACAACAACAATAAAATAAGGTGAGTTGGACAAGCTCGTCCCTGCAAATGTCTAACTGCCATGCTGCGTGGAGGAGGAACAGCCAGCCTGCTGTAATGCCTTTTGTATATTTCAGTATCAGGCTGAACTCAAGAATTAAAAGCTGAGACAGAAAAACTAGACACAAAACTTGGGGAATGGTGACATCATGGAATTTCTGCACTAATGACAAAGAAAGAAAATAACATGGTAAAAAATACTAAGGATGGAGATGAATCCCTGGAACAATGGAATGCCAGGCTAATTCAAAAAAAATAAGTTTAAAGGATTCCCATTTAAAGCATGGGAAACTGTCCAGCAACATGACCAGAATTCTGTGAAGGTGATGGGAATCAGAGCCTGGTCGGCTTGACTTTACACTCTCCCTCAGCAGGGAAAGAAAGGTGTGGGCAGAAACAGGGCAGCAAAAGGGAGAGAAGAAAACTAAAATTTCCCAGAATGGCTTTATTCTGCACGAGGAAGGGACCTGCTGGCTGTAAGTTGCCAGCCGAAGGAAATAGCTTCTTGCAGAGGTTTTGAGGAGTCGAAGGGGTTGGGGTGAAGTGGGGAGCTGGATCCCGCTTCACCTGGCCCTCAACTCTGCGTTGTTTGCGTCTGGTTCCTCCAGATGCAGCTGGCGCACTAGGTCAGTCATAAAACCCTGGGTTTTGTGTCAGATTGCTCCATCTAGTTGGCTCATGCTGAAGAAGCAACAAACATAACGTCACGTCAGCTTCGTCCTGCAGCTGCTACCCATCCCAGAAAGACCACAGGAAACAGAGCGTATCCCTGTGGGAATCCATCCCATGAAGAGACTGGCAGCAGCCCAGCGGGTCAGCCTGTCCCACCCAAAGGCGCCAGGCAGGACCCTACCTAACTAGACTGCAAGGACTGTTGAAAACATAATCCCCAGGGAAGCTATTTGCTGGGTCTCTCTCACTGACCCCGGGGGGTATTCTCTCAACCCTTGTGGTTAGGTGGCATTCTCTGAAAGAGAGCTCTGTGGACTCTGCCTGGGATTGGACAGAATTCTGGTACTTGAATTGCAGTCCCAACTCTCGCTGATTGCAGTAGGACTTTCGCCTTGCTTTTTCTTTTCTGAGCCTTAATGAGCTCAACTATGAAACTGGTTTCTTAAGAATGCCAGCGCTACCTCACAGGGTGGCTTTGAGGAAAATGAAGTTTGGACTATCCCCAGCTTATGAATACACTGTTTGTTCGCAAAATAGCTATTAAGATTAAAGTTTGCAAGGCGCTGTTCTAGATATTTTGATCATGAGAATTAGACGCTATTCCTACCCTGAAGAAGCTTCAAGTCCAGTAGAAGAGAAAGTCATGTAACTAATCAATAAAAATCTAGAGGAGAGAGGAGTAAGGGTTATAATAAAAAAGTAACCAATATAAAGTCTTCAAGGAACAAGTGAGTTCATTCTGATTGGGTGACTAAAGGAGGTTTGATAAAGATGACATGAATAGGAAAAGAACACTTCAATAAAGACAGCTAATGTGCAAGATAATTGTGTAAAAGTTCCACGAAAGCAACATTACGTAAACGGTAGTTGACCTATTATAAAGTTTTACACCAATAACAGAATTTCAACTGTACCTAACCAAGATTTAAATATAAACATATATGTTTATGTTTATATTCATATACCCTTCTCTTTCCATTACATGTCAGGTGGAAAGAGTGTTTCAAAAATTGGCCACTGCATAAAAGTCACTGGAAGGGTTTATTAAAAATGGAGCTTTCTGGCCAGGTGCGATGGCTCACGCCTGTAATCCCAGCACTTTGGGGGGGCCAAGGTGGACAGATCACAAAGTCAGGAGTTCAAGACCAGCCTGACCAACATGGTGGAACCCCATCTCTACTAAAAATACAAAAATTAGCCAGGCGTGGTGGTGTGCACCTGTAATCCCAGCTTCTCAGGAGGCTGAGGCAGGAGAATCACTTGAACCCAGGAGGTGGAGGTTGCAGTAAGCCGAGATCGCACCACTGTACTCCAGCCTGGGCCATAGAGCAAGACTCTGTCTCAAAAAAAAAAAAAAAAAAAAAAACACAACGGAGTTTCCCTGGTCTGCACAGGAGCCAGCCAGACCTACTCCATCAGGATCTCTGGACCAGGACACAGGAAATCTGCATTTTTTAGCCTTCCCTGGTGGTTCTTACACACATTAAAATCTGAGAGCCACCACTGCTGGGCCCCTGGTGGGAGAACAGAAGAAACTAAAGGCAAAATTCTAACCACTGACTTGTTAACGACCTACAACTGTGTGAGAGAAGACAAGTAGCCAAATTGGCTACTTGAGGGAGGAAGGGGCAGAGGCCCAGGGAAGGGGATAGATCGGGCAACAGAATTGTGTGCCCCTTGTCACTAGTGTTCAGGCTCCATTTTATGGGCCCCCAGCACACATACACAACTATTAGTTTCATCACACATTCATTCACACTTTCATCTAAGATTCTAATGATAGAGGGTAGTTTCCAAACTAAAACCATTATCCAAATGTTATATAAATACATATAGATAGATAGATAGATAGATAGATAGATATGTACACAGATACATAACCTTATAAAATCTAGCACAGTCAAGGACTAACAGGTTGCTCTGACTAATCGAATATTCCAAACAAGAGTTAATATCTCTGGCTTGCATAAGTTAATCAATTTTCAAAGAACTTTAAAGCAATAAAAGACATCTAACTTCAAAACTATCTCAACCATAATTTAATCCCCTTCTGTTCATGTAAAAAGCATTGCTCCTGTCTTGCAGTGCCTCAGGATATTATTAACATAAATGCTCAATAAATGTGTGCTGAGTTTAATGACCATCAATCAATCATTTGCCTACTCCAGTCCTGCAATGCCATTCCCACATTTCCTGCAGAGCTCCTACCATGTGCTCCCCACCTAACCTGAGCACTGCTTCTCCCCTCCCTCCACCACTGTCCCACCACCCTCAGAGGGGTCTTGAGGATATACAGAAGATCCCATTAATTCAGAGTTGGAGGTTCACAGATTGAGAGGCATTTTACTATGACACCACATTTTGGCTTTAGTTTATGAACCCAGTGCAAATTCACTCTGAATTTAAATACCCCCTCATTCAGGTACATCGCAATAACCTGGAGGATTATATATCCCTTGCAATAACCTGGAGGATAAATATCTCCCTTGAAAAAGTCTAAAAGTCCTCAAAGCATACATTAGGTTGAACCACATAAAACTGCTGCTCCTATAGGTCAACATCAGACAACTATCAAAAATTTCATAACTCCAAAATCTAGGGACTCCAGATTTCTGTAACATGACCCATTAACATGCAAAGTAATTTAAGAAAATTTTTTTTGCCCTTGGTCAGTATATGGTTTACATGAAACAGAAAAAAATTCACAGTTTTTAACAATTCCCCCCCACACACGTGCACCCATGGAGGAAAAGGAAGCAACACCATCTGGTACATGCATTTCCAGCACATCCCAGCAGGGAGATAAAAGGGCTGGTTCCTCCAACAGAAGCCACCCCAGACTAATGAGATGCACAAAAAGGGTAGATTCCTGCCCCCTTCCCTGCCAGCCAGCTCTTCCACAACTTCTCATTTGAGTCACCTCTAAGGGACAAGGAATTTCATCCTGGTACTCATCTATGTGCTAATGGAGCTGCGGCTAGCTGACCTCTGGTGGGTCCCACTGGGCACCAGAATCATTGTTTCACATGTGCTTGAAAACAGGAAATTACCACAACTCAAGTCTAATGGGCCCCATTCCCCCCAAGGGGCATAAACAGAAGCCCATGGCAAGACCTTAACTGTTTTGGCATAGCGGCTCCCAAGTGAGAGAATATCTGCTTCATCTTTCATGTTCTCTCATTCAGGAAAAGAGTGTTCCCCTGAGACCAAAAAAAACACTGCTATGTGAATGTCTTGATGCTACTGCTTTTACACCATAAATCCACAAAGCAGGAGAGACCCAGCAGGCTGTGAGTGTCTCTGGAATTCATGAATTTCTGGGCAGTAAAGGAACAGAATGAGGCAGGCTTTACTGGAGGCAGAAGCTGCAAGCCCCACAGGCCACTGATGTGGAGCAGCCTCTGCCCTCTGAGCAAAGGGGGAGCAATTTTAGTATCTTGGCACAAATGGCGCTGTTCAATTAGAAAATAATGGAAACTGGGTCCCCCAGTATCTCTTAATAAGACATGGAGCAATCAACATGGCGAAGAATTAAAATGTCATTCATTAATGTTATTGCTACAGTCCATAGACATGCCTCAAAGAGGAACCTCAGAAAATAGGTTTTTAAAAGGAGAAAGGGGGAAGAAATTAAGATCAAGATCCTAGCCAGGTGTGGTGGCTCACTCATGTAATCCCAGCACTTTGGGAGGCCAAGGCAGGAGGATCGCTTGAGGCCAGGAGTTTGAGGTCAGCCCTGGTGATAGTGAGACCCTGTCTCTACAAAAAATAAAAATAAAAATAAACGATGCTAAAAATGTTTCTTATAGAGGCCCAAAGAAATGGAAGAGCAGCTTTGGGTTTTCATACCTCCTTTCCATGGGCCAAGCTGTCCCTACTAAAAATAGCCTTTCTGAGGTCACCCACAGCCAAAGAGGCCAGTAGTGCCACCAGAGTGGCCAACTGACCACACAGGGTCTAAAAATAGGGTGCTTGCCCTATGCCGACAGCATTAGCAGCCATGAAAAATCATCTGGTCAAATATTATCTATGTGACCAAGCATACAAGAGTTGTTTTGGAAAGGCGTGTTTTCATAAGTTAAAATGCAATGATCATTATCTTCCTTATTTGTATTCTATCCTTCTCTTTGAAGTGACTCTGGGTACCATCATTTATCTGCATATCCTCGCTCAGAGTCATGTTATGTCTATTCCCTTGAAGCAGGGCATTTGGGGGACATGCTGTGGTCAGTGAAGATGCCACCCATCCCACCCTCTCATCTTCTCTTGCTGAGTTACCTGCACGAAACCTTATAATTGCCCGTCAGTTTACAAATCTTTGAACTTCTCATTTGGCAGAGGTAGGTTAGTACCACCCATTACCTAACATTAAAAAAAAGAAAGAAAGAAAGCTCATTACACTACACGACATGTACATACAATAAGGCCTTTGTCCTTAAAAGAAAAACATAATTTTCAAGAGAGTCAGCTCCCAGAAGCCAAGGGAGCTAACATCCAAAACCTAATATAAACATGAAGGCTTGTGTCAAGATTTCAGAGTTAGCCTCACTGAAAGGGGCTGGAAATGACTGGAGAATGCCAGCTCCAGGGATCGGGAGACATTTTTCATTGTGACTTTTTGAAAGTGGAAGTCAGATCGCCCCAGAACCTTCCTTGTCTATACCTCCTGCCTTGTCAGGGACATTTCTGCTTTTGACAACAGTCTACTTCTATAAAAGGGAATGTTCCTTTTATCACAAATAAGAGCAGATGTAAATATCAATATGATCTTATATTTTCAAATGTGATTACATTCATTTCAAAAAAAAGACAGTGTTTATATAATGATTATTTAGGATGTCTTTTATAGAGGAGGTTGACCTTCTGTGATAAACTTTCTGGGAGAATCATGTTTTGGAACTTGGAGTTCCATTCTGGGGGGAGCTATCCCAAGTGTTAACAACCCCAACTATAAACAGGAAACTCCAGTCTAACTCCCACTCAAGTCCCAAGGTTGTGGACCTCTTGCTGAAGCTATGGAGCTGACAGAGATGACCACGACGAGGTTCTTACACTTTAAGACACCATCCCTTAAGACGTGAATTCGCCCAACTCACTACACTACAAGGCAGAACATGCTATTACCAAGAAGAAGCAGCAGCAGGCTCTTAGAGGAGTTGGCAGGACTTCTAGTCCCAAGCACAGAAGGCTGTATGAATGTGCAGGGCCCACATGTCCAAATCCAGTCACACCAGTTCATCTGGGCTTGCCCTTTCTAGAAGGAGGCCCAATCCCACAGGTATGCACTAGTGCCTGTGGTTTGCTGGAAAGCAGGATGCTGGCCACATCACACTCTTTAAAATGAAGACGACTCAGAAGCTTCAGGCTCAGCAGGCCCACTGGTCACTTGTTTGACATTTTTGCCTCCTACCTGCCACTTCCTGATTTAATGGCAAGGACTGCAGAGGACAACTGGGCCTCACTGAGAAAACAACACTCTGATTCGTTGTTTGTAAATTGGCACAAGTTAAGCAGGTGAAGCTTTGAAAAGAAAAAATAGAGGAGCAACCCATCTTCCTAAGCCCCAAACAGTACCAGGGTTTCCCATCTTTAACAGAAAAGCAGCAGTCGCCTCTTCTGACCTTCCATTGTCTACCCTGAGAAAAATTCAGAATAAACACATTTCATAGGTGTTGACAATAAATTGCCATAAATACAGTCCATTTAATTTAAAGTATGGCAAAGGCAGTCATTCCATGACACTTCAATGGTGGAAGTAGCTATCATTTCTAAAGTGCCGACCACGGCCCAGACCATGTTTTGAGAATTTTTTGTGCTGTAACTTACAATTCTGACAAGAGCCTCATGATGAAGATAGAGATGTTGAGATATAGAAATGTTAGGCAATTTACATAAAGCCATACAACTATTAAAGGGTAGAAATGAGAACCACTAAGCTATCATTCCCAAAGAATATATTCACTGAAGTAGTTGCTGAAAAGTGGTTTATGGCATACACTTCACTTTCTTCTATTCAAGTTCTTGCCCTTAATAACAATTTCATTTACACTGTTCACAAACAGCTTTCACACACATCTTGGCCTTTAACCCATTCCCATCACCCCAGTTAATGCCCACAGCCAACCATTTAAGTCGGATGAAGGGCATATACCACTGAGACTTGTCCCAGACTTCACAATGAAGGCTCAGAGAGGGTAAGGTGTCTGCTCAGTGGTGCACAGCTACCAGGCAACCAGGTGAGACTCAAACCCATACATTCAGACACACATACGTTCAGGCATACATTCAGGCCCCCACACCACAGCTGCACTTCACTGACAAAATGGGCTTTAAACATTTCATGAGAAAAGAAAATATCTTACCTGAAGACCTAGAATTTAAGACATTAAATTATATCGTAATATTTTTAAAGCATCATTAACAGTTTAATAGAGCAAACTTAAAAGTTTACAATAGTAAGTTTTTATATTAGTCAGACTCTTTTATATTGTTGCTTTTATTCCTAATAAAAAATCCCTCAATGTGGCCTGGTCCATTTTACATTTAACTATAGAAACATTCCAATGACGTTTGCAAAAAGCATATTACTGTTATCCGTGAAATTAGTTTTGTTTGGGTACCTTTTAAAATTTCATGTGGTATTTATTCACTTTTGTTAAGATCTTTTAAAGTCAAAGTTTGGAAAATTTGTGATTTTTGCATTAAATTTTCAAAATCCCTACAGCAATCTTAGTTTTGGATTCCTGCCAACTGGGGATCCACTGAATCTCATCTATGATCAATTCAATCCCATGTGCAAATACGCAGGGTCTGGGGGGAAGGGACCATTGTTCATTGTTTCAAATAGTCCAAGAAGATGAGAAAGTTCCTTATTTGACATCCTCCTAGAATCTTCCAGGTCTTTGCAATGTTTAATGCCACTAGTCTTTGTCTTCTTCAAACGTCTTCTGCCTTGGCATGTACCTTCCTGGTTCTCCTCTTGCCTCTATAATTTTTCCATCTCTTTCACAGGTTTCTCCTTTTCTATCCTTCTCTTAGATACAACCCTTCTTCTAGTTAATATTATAGGCCCATTTTTTTAAAATCTCAATTTAGACTCCTCCCCAAGGCAAATAATTTATTCCCAAAGTTTTGAAGTTTATTTCTATGCAGACAGGTAACAAATTGCTAACCTCTAGTCCTGATTTCTCTATACTGAACTCACGATCTTTTAAGAGCCTACATGGCGTTTCTACCTTGAAGGTCTATCAAGCCCAACACATTACATGTAAACTGATTACTACCCACCCACCCACATGACCCCGTCTCTTCCTACAGTGTCTATGACATTGGCCAGACTTCTCAAAATTCCCTTCAGTTTTTCCCATCTCTCACCTCTGCCATCTATTTTCTTGCCAAGCGCTATAAACGTGGGCTCCAAAACACTTCTGCAAGACTAGTGGTTCTCAATGTCATGGCACGTTGGTGCACTTTTTAAAGGTGAGCCACCCAATCCTGATTAATGTATAAAAATTGTGCTGAAGGCCGGGCGCGGTGGCTCACGCCTGTAGTCCCAGCACTTTGGGAGACCGAGGCGGGCAGATCACGAGGTCAGGAGATCGAGACCATCCTGGCTAACACGGTGAAACCCCGTCTCTACTAAAAATACAAAAAAAAATTAGCCGGGCATAGTGGCGGGCGCCTGTAGTCCCAGCTACTCGGGAGGGCTGAGGCAGGAGAATGGCGCGAACCCGGGAGGCGGAGCTTGCAGTGAGCCGAGATCATGCCACTGCACTCCAGCCTGGGCAACTGAGCGAGACTCCATCTCAAAAAAAAAAAAAAAAAAATTGTGCTAAAACTGAGCATACATTACTATCATGAACGTACCTACCAGACTGAATAATTTACCAAATGGATCACGCAGCAGTGTAAGGCAGGGTGTCACTGAGAGTAAGAGGAGAGAGCTGGTGCTCCAAATATAATTTCAAGAGTGAGCTCTGGGAAGAGAACTACTCTATTCAAGTAGCAGTGCCCTGCTCTGGAGACACCAAGTGACAAGCAAAGTGGCTGTGCTACCAATCACTCCACTGTAATTACTGCTGCATTTTAGCAACTGTGTCTTTTTGGGCATGGTTTGGAGTCTTTCTATCAAAATATTCTATTTTTTTCAATACCTTTGGTATTCACGTAAATACTCTAGAACTGGAATGTAGTCAAAGAAATTCAAAAGACCGGGCAACATTGGTTTATCCCAACACCTTCTTTCCATTCCTACTGCCCACCCCTACTCCAGGCTGCTTGCTCTCACCTGACCACACAACATCGCTGCAGTCTGTTGTCCAAACTTCAGCCTCTTCACACTCTGTATATCCCGTACAAAAGCTCCTAGAGATCTTTATATAAAATTTATTTTATTGTGTCATGTGTTTGCACAAAAATATTAAATGGCTTCTCCCAGTTACATGAATGGAACTGATATCCTTATTATTACATTCAAGATGCTCCCCTTGCTGGTTCCCATGGAGATTTCTAACTCCAGCTCCATCACAGCTTTGGGCACAATAGACGCTGCCATTTCCACAGTCCCAAGCACACTCTCTTTGTGTCCTTCCTCCAACAAGGCTTTGCCTGGATCATCTCTCCTCCCACATCACGGTCCCAGATACCCTAGTCAGAATTCACTGGCAGCCCCCTTAGTACAGGGGTTTGAGTCTATTACAGTGCTTTTCTGTCACTCCTATAAAGTTTCTTATTTATATATGTGTTCGTCTCCCCCATTAGGCTGTGGGCAAGAATCTGTCCTGTTGGTCTTTGTCTCCTCAAAGGTCCCCAGCCAGCACAATGCTTCAAACACAGAAAGGGCTAAAAATAATAAAATAAAATGGAAGAGGGGATGAAGTGTGGAAAGAAGGAAGAAAGAATAATATTATTGAATTTATAACCTGCTATCCCTAGTGCCTTGAGTGGTGTTTTATAGAATTAGAACTGGGAATCAACAGGTCTTAAAATATACACCCAGCTCATTTGCTGATCTTAACTAAGTTCAACAAGCACACTTGACCTCCCACTGCCATGAAAGGTGGTGTTACTCATATTCTTTTATAGCACAAAGGACTCAATATATCATCATTTATACAGAAGGGCCATAGAAGAGGGTGTGAAAAACTGATATCCTTTATTTACCCAACAAATTCATATTAACTAGTTTTATTTTTCCATCATTTTGCCTTGCCTGACTTTTCCCATTATCTCCTATTCTACTGCCCTCCCCCTATTTGCATTCTAGTCTGGGGAAGGGCTCTCTTTCCTCAACATTATTTCCTACACTTAAAACACAATTTACTGTTGATACCCACAGTCAAGTCCAGTGCCTCAAAACAAAATAAACAGTGTTTGAAATGGGATGGGGAAGGGGAGCATTGAGTAAGTAGGCAACAAAAACATACTCAGTTCTGGAAAGGGGTCGAGAGCCTTCCACAAGGCGGGCCAGGAAAATCCCCATGATGCCAGGCCACTAGGCAGTTTTTCCAGAATTACAGTGCTCCCGAGTCCCAACCCAATCCCTCTGCCAATAAAAGTACAAGTGAAGGTGACCCCACAGGCATAGAGATGTAAATACTCTGCAAGAAAGCAGGCCCCTCTTCCACGGAAAGTTGTGTTTTTTGTTGTTGTTTGTTTGTTTGTTTGTTTATGTTTAATGGAAAGCGAGGGGAAAACTTACACCAGGGCCCAAAGATCACTGGGATCACTGGACCAATAAGGAAGCAGCCTAGATCAGCCCAGTCCAAGCCTGGAGGGACAGAAAAACTCACTAAACATTTCTGACAAACCTTGTTCATGCGTAACAATGGGTGGGTTTGCCATCATTATTCCTATGTCTCGTCCGTCGTCCCTTTTATCATTTTCTTTTGAAATTTTGCATCCTATTCCATATGAGGAAATAAGAATTTTTAAAAATAATGCCATCATCAACAACAGCAATAAAAAATCATTCCAGAGTGTTTACTCTATGCCAAGCCCCAGGCCAAACTTTATGTGCTACATCTCATTTAATTCACATAGCAACTCTGTGAACTAGATGTTGACATCCATCCCACTCTCCAGATGAAGAAACTGAGGTTTGGAAAGGTGAGGTAGTTGTCTCAACTTCACCACCAGTTTGATTTTAACCCAAGACTGTCTGATGTCTGGGCCAAAGTTCTTTGCCAAAATGTTATGATGCCAGCCAAAACCCATGTCTTTCTTGGAAGAGCTCTCCAAATTCTAGACAGTTTGGGTTGCAAGATCAAAACCACTATAACTGCCTCCATAGAGAGCCTACATTAGCTCTGTGCAGGTTGAAAGGACTCTCTGAAGCTCTTGAAGGTATCTGTAGAAGTTTTTAAGTAGTAAACGTTTCCAGCAGAGGGAAACTCTGGTTTAGCAAAGAAGGAACTGACTTCACATCCCAGTTCTGTCTCTTAGTAACTGTGTGATCTCACGAGATTTGCTCTACTTCTCTGAGCCTGAATAAAGCATGGACGAGAATAACTCTCAGAACTAGTCTTTGTGAATTTGCCGACACAATCCTATACATTAACTGTTACCTTTCCCAAAAATTGTTCTGTTGAAAGGTAATTGGTCACATCACCTTCTAAACAGAGTAAAAATAAATAAATCTGATTGCTTCCTTAGTGAGCATCCAAAGTCTAGAAATGACCTGAAACAACTTGGAAAAAGCAAGGCAATCTATGTATTTGTGCATATACTGAGTGCAGTACCTCTCTGAACACATCTGGTCTACTTTATATCTTCTCTCTCTCTGTTTCACACGTGCATACACACATGAATTGAATCCTCATGCAATGTTATCTCCCTCATCCTCAAACATGTGCCTAACACTTGTTTAGATAATAGATATCTATTCTCCAGCCAGTTAATTTGAACAATGAAGAACATGAGGATTTTATGGAGATAAGACACCAGACAGAATCTAAGATGCTGGGAGCTCCTTGTTCAGCGATATTAGATTTTTGTGATTAAAAAAGTAGAAGACAGCAGACAAGGTCTCTCTGTCTTCACTATTTGATTGGCTCCAAGACAGGTGGAGCCCTGATTCTTGTAACATTGAATTTCATGTTGCTTTTTATGAGCAAAGGGTCCATTTCTACATTGCACCTCTGGATTTTAAAGAGGAAATTTCAACCTCAGAATAATGTTTTTTGCTGAACAAAATGTACGCCAAACTAAGCTCTGACTTCGGGTTTTCTGAGTCCCAGCCTCCAAAGTTTTCTCAGGTTTCCAGTACTGGGCCCAACTCACTGGCTCCCGCCATGTCCTCCTATTCTACAGTTAGGTGGAAAAGGCTGAGAAGATCAAGCACCACACTTCTCATGTGTGCTTGGTGGACCTAGGGATGTCCCAAAGATCAGAGAATGGCTTCAGTTTCATTTATCTAGGTGTGGCTGGCTCTCTTCTCAGCTGTACTCCAGGGCAGGCACCAACGTGTTTTCCTAGACATTATGGGAAAAATAATTCTAGCAAGAAAGTGGGAAAATATCATACAAAAACAGTAATAACTGTTGGCTTCCTTTCCTCGGCCCCATAAAAGACCATTTTGTAAGGTAGGGAAAAGTTATGCTTTGCTTTCTGACTAAACAATAAAGCACATGCAGTTTAATCTCAACTGCCTACCCAGTTCCCTAGATTTTAGGACCATGATCCAACTTCTCACCTACCCCCTCAAATAGATGAACTGAAGCTTTTTGGGCCACATACTTTAAAACGAGATTCCATCACCAGCTAACAAACCAGTTATTCTTGGACTGGGACTGGTTCTGGCAAGATGCTCAGGTCTACGCAGAGGATGATAAATGAGAATAAAATTATTCAGCTCTGCTTACAGTGGCCACTGCACCCACTGTCATCCTCAAAAACTCCACAGAAATGAGCTCACTCCAACCTTTGAAACATTTCACAGCTTAAAAGTTTAAATCAGGCCAAGTTGATTTTTGTGGGGTTTTTTAAGCTTTTACTCTGTAATTATATACAGGACTTTGTGCCACCTATTTCCTCCCAACTGTAACATTTTACATCTTTTTTAAGCATACGTTGACGTTAGCTTTTTCTTTCTTTTTTTTTTTTTTTTGTACATGTTATGAAATAAGATATGAGCTTATACTCAGCCTTAGGTACCTTTCTGCCAAAAGGCTGGACCAACACAAACTAAATATGACTATTTTCTTTATCCAAAGTACAGTTGAGACTATTACATACCCTCTTAATGTACATACATAAAACCAGCTAACCACTAACGCTCCCTGCAGGTCAACTGAAATCATAACGAGATTTTCCTTTCATATAATGCGATTAACAAATGTCAACTAACTGAACTCCTGAAAGACTCAAAAGAAAAAACAAAATAACCCAAGGAACGCCAAAAGGTAAAATAATTTGGATGTTCTTTCTATTTTCTCCTTACTTTCTCACATCTTTAACTCAACAAATAGGCTGTTTCTTATGGTTATAGGCATGTGCTCTAGAGGCAGACAAAACTGAGACAGTTTCGGCTCCACTATTTACTCAAATGCAACCTTCACAAGCTACTTAGCCCCCTATGCCTCAGTTTCCTCATCTGTAAAATAAAGGTAAAAGCCCTCAAAGGAGTTTTGTGAAGATTAAATGAAATAATGCAGGCTTAGATGAGGCCCTACAAGCAAAAATAAAATAAAATAAAAATAGTACACATAAATGTTTACCATTGCTATTATTATCAATTTGCTCAATAGGTCTACCTTCCAGCCTAGGTACAAAAATGCCAAGTAGCTTCCTGGCTGTCCGGAGTGCTTTGAAATCCATGAACTGCAGTGGGTTCGTGGAAATGTACAAGAGTGTTATACAAAGAGATAAGTGGTCATCCATCTATTATTACTCAATTTTACCAAGTCATTACAAACGTTTGGGAAGCAGCAATGACTGTGACAACTTGGACCCCATAATTCTAAACCCCTGCAAAGGTCATGATAACATATCACTGAGCCTTTCAGCCAATGAAAGAGCTCTGTAATGGGTGAAGCTGATAGCCAAAGTCCTAATATTACACATTTAGAAAGGATTTCTGACAGCACTCACCCAAGGCAGATACCTACAACTGTTACTTAAATGTTGAAGACATAAATAAACCTACTGCCCTTCTGAATTTAATTGATACTTTTCTGTAATAAATATCACTCCCACTTGAATTCCAACTGATGCATCTTTTCAGATGTAATCTTTACCTTCAAAACTGCAGGACTCTAACATCTATCTTCTTATCACTAAGTCTCCACTTTCAGAGAAAGGCACTATTTTTAGCAGGGGTAGGAGTACTGAAAAGGGGGGAATGCTGTGGGGAGAATTTCTCATAATGTTATTTGGGAACAGTTTACAAAACTCAAACTACATACGTAAGCTTGATAAGTACTAATATTGCTGAAGTGAAAACAATATATTTATATGCAAAGCTCTCGGCACATTTAAATATTACTTGGTCAAGGTAATTTCCTCTGAAATCTTAATAGATTAAGATAAAATAATTCACTCACATTACACAGATAAGAAAAATAAAAAAGGAAGATTAAACACACATACACACACACTGCATTTGTAAATCTACAACTGAGTCAAAATTTAAACTGAAAGCTTCTTTTCAACAAATTATTTACTAAAAGATCATCAATGAACACAGCAACCCATAAATATGCAATCATAATACACCCTCTCTCAGCTCTGTTTTATTAGGCAGCAATATTTATTGTGTCAGCAAACGCAGTGCGTTTTTACTTGTTTCTGTTGATTTCCTTAGTCTTCCGAACCTGATAATTGTTTGATACAGCCATTTACCTTCACCCATTTATCACTTCAAAACATTGACCTCAACTCTTGTCATGAAAAAATTTATGTAGTATAAACTCAGATAGCTTGGCTTTTGCCTAAACCGAAATGAATTCCTTCTCCAGCGCCACACAGCATGCTGATCTAGCAACAAGTAGTCCTCTATCATTCTGGGGCTTTGCATTTGACTGCCTTAATGTATTTCCAACAAGGTTTTATAATGTGTAGTTTCTAACCAAATTTTGCCAAAAGTGATTGGCATGTAAAACACTCCTAAGCAAAAATGTTTACCTTGTAGGTCTATATTTCATCTCAGAAATTCTTATTCACATTACTTAATCTCCCCCAAGTGGTTACTTATTAGACTTATCATTAACTACTAAACTAAAATAAATGGAAACAAATTATTTTTTGAGTCTTCTAACCACTGATAGTGTTAACTAAGCAGCTGACAGCCAAGTGTCATTCTCTATTAAGGATGGAATTGTCCTTTCCGACTCATGCTTCCAAATCAGAAATAAAGACAGTATTTGAGGGTTTAGGGTATAACAGGCAAAGAAACCCGAGAAAGAAATCCAGAATTACATCTTGTCCTTATGTTTGTTTTTTGTGGCTGTCACCTCTCTTTCCCTTTGTCGCATACCTTATTCCTGACCTTCATACTTAAATCTTATCTCATCATTTTCCCACTGAGCTTAAATGACAGAACCAACGCAGAAAGTTTTGTTGTCCCAAGAATTTGGTTGTAGTAATCATTACTGGAAACAGACATTACAAACTGTCATTTCACCGAGACGTCATACAAAGCCTATCTGAAATTTACGTCTATAAGGATGATGTCAAAGATAAGAATTTCCAGCTGGATGAAATGGAAATTGCCAAAGTCCATAAAACTCAGAAATTAACTGGATTCAACTCACAAACTATGTACAGTTATGTGCAATTTTGTAATGATAAAGACAATTTGTAAGATCTGGTTATATTATCACATTTAATGGATTCACCTTATCAGAGAGAGCAGTTGAGTTCATATTACCTGATCTCCACACTTACCAAGCAGACACACATTATGCAAGGGTTGTCTGTGATAAATGGAATCTGGAGGACTTCACCTTCATTTTCACATTTTGCAACAGAACCTGAAATTCAGGGGGGAAAAATGTTTCATTTAAAGTTAGCTTAGCAGCATGATTTCAACATTTAAAATTTTTACACTAATCCTTTTTGAAACCTCTACCCAAACTTCAGAATTCTTAATGTGGTTTAAATTATTAAATTCACCAAAGCAAAACCTCTGCCCCCAACTCCATTTTCAATAATTTTATTTAAACAGGTTCAAAAAAGAAAAGACTATGATATAGGGATAAATTATCTGTTCTCAGATGGTCTAAGCACAATTCCAAGTATTTCACTGGATTTTTAATAACACTCCTCCTTTATGAAGATATTTCAACTAAGCACACAGCCCCATACGCAAAGAAAAAAATAAAAAATAAAATTTAAAAAAACCCTCAAATTGGGGCAGATTTTAAATTGACCAAAACTCAGAACTGAGTCAATAAACAGGCCTTTCTATGAATCTGTCTCGCATTGTCTTAGGTTTAAATCACTTTTTGAAACGCAATCCCCTTTTCCCTTCTCTTAGAAATTGACTCCATATTTTCTTTTCTGCACCAGGTGTCAGTAAAGTATGTCCTTCAGAATAGCAGCTGAGGTCTTCACCTGCCTGAAAACATATAATTATTATATCCGGCTATTAGTGCCCTTTTTAAATGATAGTTTCTTTAAATTCAAGGTCTTGAGAGCCAGTGCTTTAAAAAGCACTCCTAGCACAGTGGATGTATTGCAACCCCAAAGATGAGAAAGGAAGATGTGCGGAAAACTGCACAAATTTTTTTCCTGAGTTCTACAGAGGGAAAGATTAAAATAAAAGTTGAGGAAAGCATTAAAAATAAATAAAATAATTTCTCAAATTCAAATAGAAGAATGTCTATTATTACTACATTGAAGGCAACAGCCTCTCAGCCCGCAACCTCTTCACCAGCCTTCCCAGCCCTCCCGGGGCTTCGCTTCATCCCCATCGACCAGCGCAGGGCAAGCGCCAAGGTGCGCGCTCCCCACCCTCCCATCCCCGGGGCAAGCCAGCGCCACCTTTCCCAGGTACCAAACCGGCGTCCCGGAGGGCCGGTCCCTCCCGCCCCCTCCCCTACCTGTCAAGAAGGAGGAAGCCAGAGACATGGGGACCCCCGAGCAATTGAGTAGCAGCAAGACGCAGCACGTAATCCCAGGCGAGCGGCGGCAGTAACGCTCAGCCAGAGCCCCGACGCCGGAGAACCAGAGCATCGTCACCTGGAGGGAATCCCTGGCGACTGCAGGTCCCGCGCCGCCGCCTCTGCTCAGCTGCCGCAGCTCACAGTCGAAAAGGGCTCTCAGCCGGCGTGTCGGGAGACCGTCCGCGAAGGAGGGAGGCGGGCGCCCGAGAGCTGGGGGGCGGGGGGGTGTGAGGGAGGGCGGGGGGAGAGACCAAGGTGTGGGGGCGCCCGGGGAGGAGGGGTCCTGCGGCCAGGCTCCTCCGATGCGGCTTTTTTTTTTTTTTTCCTGAGGGAGTTGCTTGCAGTGGCTTAGCAGTCAGCCCCTCAGCGCCGGAGAGGGGGCCAGGAGGAAGGGGTGTTGCGGCAGCCGGAGATAGACTGAGAGGAGCTGCGGCGCTGCCGACTGCGCACTGCCGCTCAGCCGCCGCCCGGGCTGCCGCTACTGTTTCGGGGGCTGTCGCTGTCGCTGCCGCAGCGTCCTCCACTCCCGCACTCCTCACCTCCTGCCAGCCCCGCCGGCTCTCGGCCCTCCCGGAGCGCGCTCGCTCCGCCGCAACAGACGTGGGCTCACCGGGCGCCTCCCGGAACCCGCTGGGGGCGCCCGGGCGCAGGAGGGACTGCGCGATAGCTGCAGCGGGAACTCTCTCGGCCCAGCTTCCAGTTCCCCAGCCCCTCCAGGGAGGCCAGGGCCCCAGGGCGCGGACCAGAGCCGAGAAGGCGCGTCTCCACTGTCCGGGCGAGCGCGGCTCCTCCTCCCTTTCTTGGGGGAGCCCCGGGGATGCCGCAGCACTAGCGCTCAGGCCCGGGTGCCCCAATCCAGCGAGGGAGCAGCAAACGGGACGCAGGGGCGCCCCACCACCCTGCTCGCTCCCGGGTGCCCCACCTTTGGGAAGGAGCGACACACCCGGGGCAGTAGGGCCCCCGCAACTTTTCATGCCCTGCTTTGCTTCCCTCTGGCGGGGGCGCGACAGCGAACTCAGGGGGCTGAGCGGACAGAGGGGCAAGTGGCCTTAGAGATGTGTTCTGTGCTTAGCTGTCTGCGCGTCCTGACACTAGGGATGACCGAAGTTGAAACACACACAAGGTCGATTTAAAAACGTACCGAGGCAAACGCCTTTCGTCCTTAAAAAATGAACAGTCGCTCCGAGACTCCTCCCTTCCAATCTCGGGCGGACCGGGGCGGGGAGGTGGTGTTTGACTAATCATTCATTCACCCGAAAAGAGGGAGGAACCCCCGCCCCACCGCTCATCTCTGGCGGGGGCCGCCGCGCGGCGGCCTCTGCAGCTCGGAGCTCCGTCGCTCTCTCAGCCCGGCTGCGCCCTCTCGCCTCTGCAGCACTGGGTGTCGGGGAGTCAGCTCCTGTGATCCCCCTGCTGAATCGCCGCCTCCTCCCCACGCAGTGGCACCCTCTACTCAAAAGGGGTGCAATCGCAGAGAGATGATTTTTGTAACCAAAGTACGAAGGCGCGAGGTGGGAGTGAGGGACGCTTGGCAAGTGTTGGGACCTGACGATCAGCTAGCTGTCCTTGAGCTCACGGTGGACTACCGACTTCCTCTGTCCAAGAGTTGAAACCGGGTCCCCACGGAACGGACCTAAGGGTCTCCAGGCAAAGTGGGTTGTTTCCATTGTGGAAACTACAGCTTTGAAAATAAATGAGTCTGTTTGCTGACAGGTTTAATCTAGCTTCACCTTAACCCTTCCCTGCCTCGTTGACTGTTTATTCGTTTTTTCGAGTGATTTGGAGACTTCACTTAATTAGTGCAACATTGCCAACATCGCGACACACCGAGGAGCTGATGCGAGCACGTTGCTGTGACGTGGGAAAAATAAGAGAAGGGAAAACTGTCATTAGCTTAGCATGCTCCATTTCCCTCCCAAAATAGATTCTTACCGTAAAATTTAAATTGAAAGAGAAGGCTGATGTGTGATTCCTTCCCTCCCTCCCCCCACCCAAATAAAGCCATGGCCAGGCAGCTTCTCGGAAACCAGTGTGTTTATGTATTTACTAATCATAAAGATAATATGCAAAAAGAGAAAAATCTCTAAATCCAGCCTTACTTCCCAGGGACTCATTAAAAAATAAATAAAATTAAAATTAAAAATTAAATAAATAGAAACCTTTATTGCTGCAGATAAGTACAATCAGTTGGAACCACTATCTCCTCTATCTAAAAAGATTGTCCCTGGATGAGGCTTTTAGATAAAGTTGTTTATCATAATTTAATTATGGAAAGCTGAAGAATAAGGAAGCTGGGAGACCTTTTGTTGCCTTAGCCATAAATTTGGATAAATGCATGCTATGAAATTGCAAGACATTTGAAGGGTGTGCCTGAGTTACTTTGATATGCCTTCCCTCCCTGACACCAGCCAAACATCCTCAGAATTTGCATGACAAATTTCTTTATGATAGAATCTAGCTGTGTGTGGCATTTCCATAATGTGCAGCATGGTGCTTTGGAATGCACTGGAACTCTCCCTGTAGGTGCAAACCCAAAAACCACCTTAAAAACATTTTCATCTGTCTGAAAGTTTGCGAAGGGGAAAAATGCACAGAAGCCTTTGGCAAACCTGTCTCTTCTTCCTGTTTGTTATAAGCCTCTGCCACCAGCGATTTCCCTTGCTGCCTTCTTGGCAAATGGGCCCTGCTTCCGAAAGAGCAGCCTTTTCTCCAAGGCCTTATCAAGATGTTTTCCCATGCATCTACTGCTGCCATCACCCCTCAAGTGATAGTCTATCAGCTGACAACTGGTCTCTGTCTACACAAAACGGAGATATTCCAGGGTCAAAAAGAAAAAAGAATGCCTGCACTGAAAAGCACACAGATCTGCCTTCACAGTTTAACTAAATAAATAGTGGTACCATCCAAATCCCAAAATGGCTTTGGCTGAAATCAAAATGAGGGGAAAAAATGTGTATTTGGGTCTGCTTATGACATTTTTCAAGGGGAAAGAGGTGATGGGGCCCAAAGACCAATGTTTAACTCTGGGCCTGTCCCAGTCTCAATTAGACAAAACTCTGTCTCATCTCTTTCTCTGGAAAATAAACTGTGAAACCTAATCAGATTAAAAGGGGCCAGGCCTGCAGTAAGAGCAACTTTCTTCATCTCCTCTCAAAACTACGATGCTAAATTCTCACTGAAAAATTCAACTGAACATACAACTTAGTCACGTGGATTCAAGTCTGAAAGATGCTTCTAGAGAAATCACATCAACCCAGCTTCCTAAAAGTAGAAACCAATAGACCCTTCCCAAAGGAAACAGGGTAAAGAGATTGTGATACCTACCACTAGGGCAGGGTGCAAGGTATTTCATAAACTTGAGAAAGTTACACCTTAAAAAAGGCATTTACACTTGATAAAGATAAAGGATTATGCTACCAAGGATCTTACAGTCTAGTAAGGAGGATAAACTATGTTTATAATGAATACAGTAAAAGGTAGAAGTGAAGGTAAGAAGAGAAGATAATATGCCATGGAAATTTCAAAGAGGAGATTAAGCTTCCTGGAGGAGGTGGCATTCGAAACTGAGCTTTGAATGAAGAGGTAGGCTCTAGTGAGGGAAGGGCAGCCTGGACACAGCAGGGAGTAACAGCAGAGAGACTCAGGGTTTACAAAGAGAACAAGGAACAGGAATTCCATTGGCCCCATCTGCCCACTGAGCTGGAGCTGTTGGGAGGCTTGGAGATAAGGAGAAATGTACAGGTGGTTCTTGAAGGATTCACTCCCGGGTGACCAACAGGAAATCTACCATAGAGTGAGTGCCTAATTTTTCTTTGAAACAACCAGAATGCATTTCTTTAGAATGGAATTTTTTTCTGCAGGTGTATTCAGCAATCTGAACATGTGGTCAATGTAATACTAGAGAGCACCATTTCCACCTTCCCGTGTTTGAAGGTGATGGAGTGGATTCTCTACATGAATCATTATATTCAACCTCTTTAGCTATGGCTATATGATTCTTCTTGGGTTGAAAGTAGAAATGCCACTTTTAACTATTTATTTGAAGCACTGGAGATCTTAGACATCATATAAACCAACTCCCTGCCCTTTCGCTTTAAAAATGAGAAATCTAAAGGCTGAGGAGTAAATGACTTGCCCAGGGTCACACAACTAGTTAATGGCATAATCCATTTAAACAGGGGTCCTCTGGCTCCCTGATCATGATGTTTACCATTATAAATGTTTTGCCTTCTTAGATTATGAGTCATAAGAATTTGAGGAAAGGACCACTGAATATTTTAGATATGATGCAAATTAAAATTACAGAGATGGTGAAATAAGTACTCAAATATTTATCGAACTAAACTGGTACCAAGAAAACAAGTTGTAACACCATAAAAAGCAGACCACAACTTAGCTCACTGGTTAAACTGAATTTATTCTGAAGTCACTCGGCTAAAACCTTGAAGAACTGCACTTCTCTTCTAGGCTTTGCTACAGGTTCGCTTAGTTTCAGAGAGAGGTGGACACCATTGAGGCTGGTGAGAAGTCCTCTAGATTCTGCCTGAGGCTTTAATGCCATTCCAAAAAATAAGAGACTCAGAAATGACATTTTTTGGAGGAGATAGGAGGGAGTAGGGACAATGATAAAAGCATCATCCCCATGATATTGTATAATTTATATAAATGATAATTATTAAAATTAAATTATTAAATCATTAGCCTGATCTTTTCTTACTTAATCATTTTTCTTCATTCTTTGTAGCCTTAAGATTCTTTTCATATAATTGTACTCATTACAGAGTTTATTTCTAAAGCAGGGCATTTTGATGAGGATGATAGGAAAGTGACATTTTTAAACACAGTTTCATGGAAATAACAAAATTACTATTTTTTTAAATTAATATTGTAATAAATAAAGCCACCTTCACTCTTTCCCTGGCCCTGACCCCATCTCAATCCCTGCCTCAAGGACAATGGTATGCTGTGAGTAATGGGGTAATGTTTGCTGTTTCACACAGTACTCATTCATTTCAATGTCCATGAGCCAAACTAACTGGTTTGGAGTGTCAAAAATTCTCTAGTTATACAACTAAAATAAAATGAAGTTACATAGTTAAAACAAAGATTTTAACAATTCCCATCAAAACATCCAAAATATTTCTATGTACTGATTCATCTTCAGGGGCTTGCTGAATACATAAGTCATTTTGATATTAGAAGTTATAAAAATCAGATGTAAATTTGGCTTCATTGTCAGGGAGGCACCAGTGTTGCCAATTCATAGATAATGATCTTTGAAAAAGAGTTCTCTTCTCCACATTCCATCCAGAAGTCACTCCCCAAAACAAGCTTACCTAATCACCAGCTTCATTGGCACCAAAGCTGCAGCCCCATCTATCCGAAGTGAGGGATGGCCAAGGAGATCTCAAGACCAACCCAGGGAACCAGAATATTAAGCTAATGCCTCACTCCTATTGTTCTAGGTTTCACTAGCTCTTCTACTTTAAGCTCTCCTGCTTCAAGACTTTAAGTTGATCTCATTGGAGTAAACATCAACAGAGGAGGGAATAATCAACGTTACTGCAGAATTAGCATTCAAGATTATCTATAGACTCAGAAACAGTTCAACTTTACTTACGTAGGGAGGTATACTACCAGGTTGATATTTAACATGTATGGCTGCTCTGGCAGAGACTCCCGGCTGTCTCCCAACATCTAGTCTTTCCTTCTTTCTCAAGATAGAACCCCCCAGTTTGTGCAGTGTATGTGGCTCTCAGCAATAAAGATCATTTTTCTTAGTCTTTCATACAGGTAGTAGTGATCCCATGACTAACTTCTGGCCAATGGGATAGAAATGGAGAAATGTCACTAAAGGAAGGACATGCTCTTTCTTCTTCTCTTCCTCCAATCTGATGGCTGGAATACAGACATGATAATGTAAGTAAGGCTCCAGCAAAATCTTTCCCCTGGGGATACCTTGGGAAAAATGCCTCTGGGAAATGGCAAACAAGAAATGAGATTAGACTCTGACACCATGGAGTGCAATGGAAGCCTGGGCTGATGCCTCTGGCTTTCCTGAATGTGAGGGGAAAAGTAACACCTACATTGTTTTAATGCTTGTTAGTGTGTGTGTGTGTGTGTGTGTGTGTGTGTGTGTGTGTTTTGTTACTTGGCAGCTAAACCTGAAATCATCTGAAGCATTTAGCACATACCAAAGACAAGAAATAAGTGCTCAGTAAATAGTTACCTGTGTTAATTAATTAATATATTTTTGTATTTATTAATGTTTCAAGCACTTTCAGAGCCAAGAAAAATATCTTATAAGATATAAGTATCTTATGTAATTTACATCTATCTTATAAAATTTAGGGGGACTTCCAATGTTCTTTATTTAAAAAAAAAAAACAACTTTCAGATATCTGTACAACCATGTTCATAGCAGCATTATTCGTGGTAGCCAAAATGTGGAAGCAACCCAAGTGTCCCCCTCAAGGGATAAATGAGTAACAACATGTGGTGAGGATATACTATGAAATATTATTCAGCCTTAAAAAGGAAGGAAATCCTGATACATACTACAACATTGATGAAACTTAAGGACATTATGCTAAGTGAAATAAGCCAATCACCAAAAGACAAATACTGTGTGATTCTACTTATATGAGGCACCTACAGTAGCAAATTCAGAGGCAAAAAGAAGAAAGGTCGTTGCCAGGAACTGCAGGGAGGGAGGAATGGGGAATTGTCTAATGGGCAGAGTTTTAGTTTTGCAAGATGAAAAGAGTTCTGGAGATTGATTGCAAAATCATGTGAAAGTATTAAACAGTACTAATTGTATGCTTAAAAACAGTTAAGATGGGCCGGGTGACATTCTAATGATTTGAGGCCAGTTAATTAACTTTGTGAGCCTCAATTTTCCCACCCAATAAGATGAGATAGTATCACCTCTGCTTGCTTGTCAGGGATGAATATGAAATTATTTTATATAATGTTGTATTTTAGAAGGTAACAAAACTAGAGACTTCTAGATATTAAAGAACCCTCAAAAAGCATCTAATCCAACTTCTCCATTTACAGATAATCCTACTGAAATTCAAATAAAGTAAGAACTTGCCCAAAGCTGTGGTGTGTATGAATTTTTTTCCAGGAGAGCATGCACCTTCTTTAGGAAACATTCCTCAAAATATGTGGTCTTAGTGAACTCTGCCAATCATTATACTCCCCATTCCCAAACACACTTCCAGCAAACACAGAAGTCGTAAGGTCCATGCTGGGCCAATCACAGCCTCTCATCTCTCTGACCACATTTATTGTTCCAGGATTTGGAATGTGACCTCAGCTCTTCCCCTGGATTTTTAAAACTTGAGTTGAGGAGTTTTCCTCTCTTCCTGAAGTCTGCCACATGGGTGACCCTGAGTAAATGTTGGTCAGCATAGATATTATTGACAATAATAATAATATTGCAAAATCAATACAGCCAACATCTAGGTACTATAGCATCTGTTATAAGCAATGCCTCCACCTAAAGGACTAAGGCTATATGTAGACATTTTTTAGGCACTAGAACGAGAACTGCAGAGGAAGAAAGAGAACAGGAAAGGCTGGCCTTGCTGGATCCCTGAGATCACAGGGCATGGATGTCAGCAGCCTCTTTCTCCATGCTGGAGCCTGCCCTTATCTTCACAGTCTGTGTCAGCCTTTGCTAGGCAAACCTAGCAATCAGTCCTAAGGCCCTTCAGTTCAATACATACACACTTATTGAAAACTACTGCGTGCCTGCAGGTACTTTATTCCCATTAAATTTGCCATACATTCATTTTGTTCACATTAAAGTCCCACAGTTTCCACTTCTCTAATTTGAGACGTTATATTCTCTAAAACATAGAAGGCAGCCATTTATGTTTTTAAAATAGCCTTTAACCATTTAAATGTACATATATTTTTTATTTGTGTAAATGGAAAGGAGTTGGGGAGAACCCAACACCTTTGCTGAATATTTTAACTGATGGAGGGAAAAAATCAATTTCATGAGAAGGATCTCGTTCTGTTGCATTTCTCATCCCCAGTGAGGTTTATGATGGAAATAATGGCTGGGCATTAGCTATTGTAGTGCGAACAGACGCAATTAAATGGGCCCCAGACAAAACAAACAAGTAAATAGCAGCCTATTTGTGGGTCACTTTATTCTTCACTGCTACCAATAGCTTTTGTTCTTTGGGCATCATAATAAGTGTTTGCTCTGTACCATCTGTGAATGTGTTACTTTTTGCCCGTGAACATCTGGAGACTGATAAGTGTAAGCATTAATGAACCCCCAAAATCTAGGTGATATGGGATTGCCGTCTTGGTTTTAAAGTGGGCCACAGGGTCTCCTCATCTAGTCTTCTGTGCAGTTAATTCCCTCAGGGGCAAAAGAGTGGGCTTGAAAAACCTGAAAAATTGGAAGTTTAATTTTGACAACTTGTTGTTAGTATAGTCATTACTTTCCCTTATAGTTTGGAAAGTAATTCTCATGGTGCCTAAATTACTCTTTGATTGAAGGCGAAATTCCTTCAAGCCACAGAGTTCTTAAAGATAACACGTGGTAATCCAGCCTAGATGAAAGAATAGAATGTTCTGGTGACTTCAATGTCCTAATGGGTTAAAAAAAGGTTGTTTTATATTAAGTTCAGGGGTACACGTGCAAGTTTGTTACATAGGTAAACTTATGTCATGGGGGTTTGTTGTACAGATTATTTCATCATCCAGGTATTACGCCTAGTACTCATTAGTTATTTTTCCTGATCCTCTCCCTCCTCCCACCCTCCAACCTCCGATAGGCCCCATTGTATGTTGTCCCCATGTATGCATCCATGTGTTCTCATCATTTAGCTCCCACTTACAAGGGAGAATATGTGGTATTTGCTTTTTTGTTCCTCTGTTACTTTGCTAAGGATAATGGCCTCCAGCTCCATCCAGGTCCCTGCAAAGGACATGATCTCATTCTTGTTTATGGCTGCATAGTATTCCATGGTGTATATGTGCCACATTTTCTTTATCTAGTTTATCATTGATGGGCATTTAGGTTGATTCCATGTCTTTGCTATCATGACATATGCAAGCGGAATATATAGTTTACTGACTTTCAAAGCATTAGAAAACAATAAAATATAATTAATAATAAAGCATAATTTAATTGCTTGCACAGTTAATTAATATGCAAACCAATTAAAATTTATTTTGATGATTCAAAAGAACTTCAAGATCTTCTAGCTCCTTGAAACTCAAAATGTATTTCCTGAACCAGGAGCATCTACATCACTGGGGAGACTGCAGAATCTCAGACCCCATTCCAGACTGGTTGAATCCAAATCGGCATTTTAACAAGATTCCTGGGTTGTTGGTATGTACTTTAAAGCTTGAGAAGCACTGCTACTACCGTAGGATGGTCAATTTGTAGTACAAGTGTGCCCAGATGTCAATTAATTAATAGAGAGTTTGAGTTAGTAAGAGCCAGAAAGGGCACCTTGTTTGGTATTTTTATCTCCAACACCAATCCATTCAAGTTGGCTTGAATAAATAAAAAGTAATGTACTAATTGACAAAGATTTAGGCCCTGGCATAGAAGAAGCTGACTCACTTATGTAAGTGACTATATCTGCTAAAACATCTTCATTAGAAATGTCTCAGCTTTTAAAGCAAGAGGTCAAGGTAAGAGGCATTTACCATGTGCAAAGATCGTGTTTGGTCAACTTAATTATGTGTGCTTTTATACTTAGGAAAGATAGAAAAATAATTTAAGTCAGGTAGTGTGTTCTGACATATACAGACCTCAGAATTGGAGTGGCCCAGGCTCTAAACAATTGTGTATTGGATTCTTTAACCTCCCTTGTAGCGTGGATGACAATATTGATGATATCTATTTTGTGGACTAAATGCAATAACGTATGCCAAACCACTAACTCATCACCCAGCACGTGGTGACATGTCGATGTGCACTTTCTCTTCTGGGTGTGGAACTTGGTCTTATTTTCTTTCTTTATCCCCCTCTTTTAGAAATAATGTTTAGAAATGTGTCCCAGAACTGTTGTGTCTAGGGGCAGGTGCATTCAAAGCCTGTGAGAGAAAGGAGCTAATGGCATGGCTGGTGAGGAACGTATTGGTCCTGCTCTTCCTGCCCAGCACCCAGACTCCCGAGAGACACGAGGGCGGCGCGCTCTGCCTCGCAGACCCTGTAGGTGGCAGCACTGGGACCGCCAGAGAAGCACAGCCCCGGTTGCAGCAACTCAAGAAGAGCCTGCTGTGCCCCTGACAGTGGTTAAGCCGGGGTCATCTGCCTGAAAGTGCAAATTTTGCTCCCACGCATATAAAAACTGTGCTTTCCAGTTCCTGGAAAGCTATCCTCTCCCCTTCCCTTCCAGCTTAACTCCTCTGCATTTTTTAGCATTTCTATGGCTTCTTTCCCAGCTGTCACCCAAACTGGAGTGCAGTGCTGCAATCATAGCTCACTGCAGCCTGGAACTCCTGGGCTCCAGTAATCCTCCCACCTCGACCTCCCAAAGCACTGGGATTACAGGCTTGAGCCGCAGTACTGGGCTATCAATTCCTTTAGATTCACTCCCAAATATTGTAAATGGTCTTTTGATAGTTGCTGCTTCTTCCCACCTTAGAGTACTCCTGCCCGTACCCCACTGTAAACTGGTAGGTCAAGGCAGGTGTACAAATAATTGTTGGTTAGTAATAATAATTATAAACCTATATGCAGTAAGTGTCTTGCACAGTTCTAAGCACTTTGGGTACCTTAGCTCACTAAGTCTTTAAAACCAGACCGTGAGGCAGGTGGTATGTCAGTAACTTGCACAAACTCAAACAGTAAGCCAGGGTTCCAAACCAGGCAGCCTGATTCCTGAAGTGCCCCTCAAGGGAAGGTTATCAAAGGGGTCGGGGAGAGGAAGCCATCATGTAATTGCCTGCAAATTGAAGAGATCTCAAGGAGAAAATATATCTCTACCTTTCTGGAGAGTTCCTTAAATGCAGACAGTAACTCTACTGGTCCACAAATAATCAAACTACTGGGCTCTGCAATGGCATCATTTGGGCTTTCATCAAGGCAGTAAGACGGTAGAAGGCTTTGGGTCTGGAAACAAAGTAGGGGGGGTCTCATGCAGAAATGCATGTGGAAAGAAAAAAGAGTCCTATCAAGTCATGAGAAAAGCCACATCCAGCCAGATTAACATCAAGGCCTAATCTAGGTGTCAGTTCTGTCATCTATCTCATTACGCTGCCAAAGGAAGCTGGCTTTCCTTTCTTCCCTCCAGGAGACTTAAAACAGTGGTATAGTGAAGGCAAATACATTTTTAATGGGCTTTGCCCATTAAAAAACAAACACCTTGATTCCGATTTTTATTTTTGTGCTTACTTGAAGGCATGCAACTTAACCAGCAATAAACAAGCTAGAGCTGTTTGCACGATGCCCAGCACGCTGTGAGAGCTCCACCGGGGTTTTTGTAGTAAGACTTCTAAGTGTTTCCCTTTCCAGCCTCTATCTGGTCTCATCAGAGAGACTCCACTCCCCTACCTCCTGTTAGACTAACCACGCTGAAGTAGAGCCACATGGTGTAACTCCCTTGCTCACAAACCCTCTGTAGCTCCTACTGCCTAGAAAAGAACATTTAAACCCTTTAAGCTGGCAGAATTGGCCTCACATCTGTCTCCCATTGCCTTCCCACAGCCTATGCTTCAGCCAAGCTATATCACCTGCGGCTGCCCCATGTCTGCTCCAGGACTTTCTGCTCTTAGGATTCACTTTTGCGGTTTCCTCTGCCTAGTTTTGAGATGGCCAATACTGTAACAAACAGCCACACGTGACTTTATGCATTAAAATTAAATTTTAACTTCTCTCCTCCACCACACTAGCCACACTTTAAGTGCTCAGTGGCCACATTTTGGATAGTGCAGATTTTTGCACATTTCCATCATGGCAGAAAATTTAGTGAGACTGTACTGGCCTCTGGGGGATGTCTAAATCCTAACTACCCTGAGGGAACAGTCCAAATGTCACTAATGCAACAACACTACTTCTGTGCCTCTTGAGCTACAAGTTTCCGTTCCCAAAGCAGCTGCCAGTCATGACTCACTCAGCTAACTGCCTACCACTAAGGCACCTGCTGTCCCAGGCCACGTGTCTCTCCAAGTTAAGCACCTCTTTGATTTCTGAGCCACGTGCGATATGGGTAGGTATGGAGGCTAGAAGGTCCAGGAAGTAGGAAATTCCATTTTCTTGCTTTGCTCTCACATTAGTTTGGAACACCTATTATGTATGTCTTAGGCACCATTTCAGGCACTTTACATACATTATCTCATTTGGCCCCCTCAACTCTATAAAGTAGATATTATTATCCCTATCTTACATATAAGAAAACTGAAACACACTGTGGCGAAGTAACTTGCCCAAGATCACCCACCAAGAAATAATCAAATCAAATGCAGAAGCCAGATCTCTGTGACTCAAAGTTGGGGCTTGTTCCATACACAGGCAGCCTGCCACCAAGCCTGTTGGATGACGTTGTCTTCATCACTTTGAAGCTAATAACATGATTTCTGGCAGAGCTTGGAAGTGGGGGTGTGGAGCTGAGGAGGGGTGGATATCCTGAACAAAGGACAAGAGCGTTGTGAGTAGAACTTCCTGAGCCTTTCATTCATGCAAATGTGTTACCTCATTGTCATCCGACTTCTTAACTCTATAAGGTCTCAGAAGAATAAGTCATGTGTGTGCTTGTTTATGTGTGAGGACGTGTAGTCTTAGTACAGGTATGCAGGGTACAGGGAAAAGCATTAGGGGACATGAAACATACAATAAAAAGATTAAACAAAAGTCTTCAATATTTCTACATTGATGTCTCAAAACATTTTGCAGTATTAGGTATATTAGGCAGAGCCATATGAATCGACCATATTTGTAAAAAAAAGAAAGAAAGAAAGTAGAATATTGGCAATATCCAATGATTCAACCCAATAGGTTTTATTATGAAAACAATGATTATTTTGGGATCTAGACCCGAATTTAACACAATCCAAGAATGAAGTCTTTAAAACCCCTGTCAGGTATGTCTCAGGTACAGAAGTGGGACCTTCTGCCTGGAACCCTCATCTGAACTTGGAAGCAGGGTGACCAGGTGACCCTCTGAGCCTTCAAAACTCTATAGGAGCCATACATAATCTAAGCAGAGATCTAAATCCCCTCAAGGAGACTGAGAGGTGGAGACCTGAGGAGAGAACATTAACACATTTAAAGAAAGAATATGAAGATCAGAAGAAGAGGAGGGTCTTGGTAGATCCTAGAATCTTGAAAAAGGAGAATCACAGCCTGAGCCAGGACAGAAGCTGGTCTTGTGCTCTGGGATGCAGGGAGAGCTCGCCTGGCAGAGATAGATGAACCAGGCTAGGGGGCCATTCAGGTAACCCAACTCAGCCTGATTCCTTAATCACAGATAACTCAGCTTCTCTTACAGATTTTTCTTCAGGGGAAGGAATTCCTGTGCTCGGCTAGCCTTCCCTAAAAAGTGCAGCAATTTTGTTAAGGTTGTACAGAACAAGGCAATTCCTGCCCCAGTTTCCCACTCCTGGAGCAAGTTTTCTTCCTCCTCCGACAATGGTACAATCAGAAAGGTCAAAATGAAAGTTGGTTCTACTTTTGTGAGAACCCGGTGTAGAGCCAGAGAAACCAAACATGTTTAGTTGAGTACAGAATTCTTATGTCAATACCAGGATCTAGTACCCTGTGACATTTTTCTTCATATTAAACTGATGCCCGCAGTTTAATGAACACATTTAAGCATCACTACAAGCCAAGCTACCTTGAAATGTTGTTAACAGCCCATATCAAAGACAAAAATGAAAGCGAAGAAAAGTTTACTCTTGTAAATATACATGGTCATATATCTTCTCATACAAATGGGTTACTTCTGACCTACAAAAAGCAACTCACCTTAAGATTTAAGTGTAGGTAGAATTTTTTAAATAGTGTATGGATTTATTTTAGTTATCTTTACAGAAAGACATTGAAGTCTTGCAAGAAAGATCTCCATAGGCTCAAATCCGTTTGCTTTGTGATAAATTGGCATTGAAATGTTGAACTAATGTTTCAATATTTTTGTTTAATACTTTTAAAACCTTAGTAGCCAAATCATCTCATCTTCGGAATTTTCTAAAAATCTAGAAACCTTAGGGTTTAAATAATGTGTTTCTGTTACATATTTCTTACACTCAACTGTGATTTTTGCAATTACATTTTTAAAAATATTCGTGGGAGAGCCTAGAAGCAGACTTAATCACCCAACCATATTCAGAGCCAAAGAACAGGTTATTTTTTAATTTAAGATGTTGAGACAGACCTGTTATGAAAATACGCAAAAGGGTTCTCATTGTTTTTCAGGAAAATGTAAATAAAGGGGCCCAGTGGCTTATGTTTTTTATAATCCTTAACTCCAAAAAAATCAAAATGCAAGAGAATGTTTGAAGTCTGGTTAATATTCAAAAATAAACTCTGAACAGTATGGTCTTTCTCTGAAAGATGAAGAAAATGAATTCCAAGGAAGGGAGCTGACTTCCCCAGTAATTCCTTAGCATAGTCTAGCAGGTATCACCATCATTAACTAAATTACCTGATGGCTTCTGGTCCCCAGGCTCTGCCTCCACCCTGGGCCATGCCTCAGCCTCCTCCTCACTCTCTTAGGCTCGTCTATATTTGCAAACCAGTAAGCCAAAGATTGCTGCTGATGCTGCTGATGGTGAGACCACGGGTAATAGTCAGTGGACCAGAAATGAAGCAGGAACTCCTGCTTCCCTCTGCTCCTCTCCTTGAACACTTCTGGCCTCAGCACTTAGCACTGTCTGCACAGTAAGATTGTGATGTATTGTCCCAAGGGGTAGGGACAATAATTCAGATAACTTTTAATCTTCCTGCACTAAAACTGCAGTTGTCTCACAATCCCATTGAAAACAAAAATGAAAAAAAAAAAAAGAAAAAAAATTTTGAAGCCTGAATACCGGTGGACTTTGGGCATGGTGAATACCCTTAATTTTTCCAGCCTCCTGGCAATTTGAAGAGATAATGTGGATAAAGTTCATTAAATAAGCAAATCTGCTACGATTGTTTTTATTGGATGCAAGTGAGTGTGTGTGTGTACACAGTTGTAGAAAATGAGCAGGACCAGCGTTTTGGTGTTGTGATCTGTGCAGTCACAGGGCCCTCATCTTGGTTTACTGCTTTACCGCTGCTGTGTTGATATTCTTGATAACTTTGAACAAGAGGCCATCCCCACATTTTCTTTTTGCACCAGGTCCTGCAAATTATATAGCCAGTCCTGAAAATGAGAGTCTCCCCTTGGTTCTTGGGGGCCTTCTAAACCAACAAGTAGAAGACCCAGGCCTTATTATTCCTGCATCCTTTGACTTCAGCTGGATTTTTACTCACGGCATTTATTACTAGCATGTTCTCAAGCTAGAAAAGGGCAGCACAGTGGCAATGTTGTCAAACAAAACCGTTGATGATGCAGTGATTGTACAGGAGTTATTTGCATTAAGATAAAATATTAGCAGGGCCAGGTGCCCTGGCTCATGCCTGTAATCCCAGCACTTCAAGAGGCCAAGGCGGGCAGACTGCTTGAGGTTAGGAGTTTGAGATCAGCCTGGGCTACATGGCTAAAACCTGTCTCTATTAAAAATACAAAAAAATAGCCAGGTGTGGTTGTACATGCCTGTAGTCCCAGCTACTCAGGAGGCTGAGGCAGGAGAATCACCTGAGCCCGGGAAGTCAAGGTTGCAATGAGCTGTGATCGTGCCACTGCACTCCAGCCTGGGCAATGGAAGTGAGACACTGTCTCCCCCCACCAAAAAAAAGATAAAAAAAGATAAAATATTAGCAAACAGCTAAGTGAGTTATTTCTATGTTCTGTGGTCAATTCCACCTTAAACTTGCGGCTCTATTATATGCTAGGTACTGTTTTAGGTACTGGAAACACAACAATGAGCAAAAGAGATAACAATCCTTGCTCTAATGGGGCTTATATTCTAGTTGGGAGAAATACACGATAAATTAAGCCTTATAAATTAAAAAAAAGTGACCAACTGCCGAAAATTAAAGCAGAAAAGAGGCAGTGGAAACTATTTTAAATAGGGTGGTCAGGGAAGAACTCATTGAGGGGATGGCATTTGAGGCAAGCCTGGAGGGAAGTAAAGGCACAAGCTGTACATTCTCTGGCTGAGAAACAGAAAGTGTAAAGGTTCTAAGGCAGGTGTGTGCTATTTGAGGAATAGCAAAAAGGGAAAGAGAAGAAGAAAGAGGAAAAAAAGATGAAGGTATGCATGTACTAAGAGTCCCATCTTGCACAGACTCGTAGGCCACAGTTAAAAACTTGTAGGCCAAGTTTTGTAACGAGAGTTTATAAAAACTGTTAGAAGGGAAGTGATTGAAGGGTTTGGAGTCTGGGATTGATGACATGGCAAGATTTAACAAGATTATTCTGGCTCCTGTGTGCAGAGGTACAAGACAGCTAGGATGAAATCAGGGGACCAGACAGGAGAGTACCAGGTGATTGGCAGGGGAGGTGGTAAGAAATGGCTAGATTTGGGGTTTATTTGGAAGGTAGAGCCAATCGAATTTGCTGAAAGATAACCACAAACAATAGCAACCACAAGAAAAATAATAAGATCTTTGACCATGTCCTTCAACTAGCGTAACCTCTGGCAGGCTTGGCTATCAGTGTTATCTCAGTCCATCTTCACAGTAACCCTGCGTAAGAATTATCATCTGCATATTTCAGATAAGGAAAGTGGGGCTCAGGCAGTTAATGTAACGTGGTGAGGGCACTAACTATTAGTAGAAAGATGTTCATCTATGTAGATCCAAAATCTTACTGGCACATCATGCAGGGAAGATGCTAGTTTTCAGCGTCAACTCAGAAAAAAGAAGATAAAAGAGAGTAAGAAAAGCCTGATTTGGACTCCAAACTTTCTTCTCTGTTTAGTAGCTAAAAGGGATGCTAATAATGAGTGAGCGCTGGGGCACCATAATGAACTTTGTGCTGGGAAAATGAAAGATTTCCTACCAGGCACTAATTTAGGAGAAATGAGCTCACCTAGCTCTTTGAAGAATTTTAACAACCATGGAATTGCGCCAGTAGGATAGAACCTGAGCCAGATAGATACTCACTGCAGTGGTTTCATGCTCAGCCACTTTCACAAAAGGCCAGACTCCAGGAGCCAGTAGCTGCTTCAGGGGTTGTGGTGAATGGAGGCGTGAACTACCATGAACTACGTAAATGGCTCTAGAGTTGACTGGAAGCTTTTGCCCTGGGGGCTGAATACTTAAGAAAGGCATCTGCCATCCCAATGGGAAAGGCAGGGGAGGGGTGAGGAGCCGTCAGCTGGAAGTGAAGGATGGGCAAGAGGCTGGGAGTAGGACCTGGTAACCCAGATAGGAGAGACAGTTGTAAAGCAGCTGTAAAGCATTTTAGCCAGGCTGAAAGCATCCTCATGAAAGAATGCCACTGCAATCAGCCCACATAGACTGTGGAGGACTGTCACCATGTGTATCCTCCACAGTTTATTGAAAAGTAAAAGCTTGTCTTTCCCACCTTGGGGGACAAGGGAGGGAATATAGCTCCTCCCAAAAAATAAATGAAGTGAGGTGATGTTCTGGTGACGATTGCTGCCACCCCAAAACTTAGTGGCATCGAACTACCAATCTGTTATGTTCGTGGGTTCTGTGTGCTGGGAATCCTGATAGGGCACAGTAGTATAGCTTGTCTCTGCTCCAAGATGTCTGGGGCCTGAACTGAGAAGATACAAAGACAGTGCTGAGAGGGTGGTGATGTGGCCTGACAGCTGTGGACTGGAATCATCTGGAAAATCCTTCACTTATGTCTGGTGGTTTATGGTTGCTGTTGGTTGGGACCTCACTTGGGGCTGTTAGCCAATGCATGTCCTCTCCATGTGACTTGGGCTTCCTCAAGGCATGGCAGCCCTGTGGTAGTCAGATTTCTCACACAGAAGCTTAGGCCTCTGAAGGTGGAAGCTGCATTGACTCTTCTGACCGAGCCTGAGAAATCTTGCTGTCACTTCTGCTGCATTTTCTTGGTTATAAATAAGCAAGTTGCAAGCTCACTTCGACTCAATGGGCAGGGACATAAAACCCCCTCTCACTGAGACAAGTGTCAAATAATGTGTGTTCATGTTTAAAACCGCCACAGCAGAGCTTAAAATATCCTGGCATTTGGGAAGCTTGCACTTACCCTGGGATCTGGGAGGAGAGTGGGAAGGTGCTAGGAACTGTAGCAGGCATCCAGGCTCCTTTTCCTCTCCTCCTCTCTTCCCCTCATTTATTTTCTGAAACCCTGTGGATTCTGCCCCACCTAACTTGACGCCTTTGAGAGGGCATTATTTTCCTAATGGTTCATCAGAGTCTGCAGTCCCATTCTCCTTTTCTCTTGTTCCTGTATGTCACAGCAGACATGCGTTCCTCCCTGCCTGACCACAGTGGTTAGAATTTCTGCCGCCAAGTTTAAGTCTTGACTCCGCGAATGCTGAGCCCTCTGACTGTGGACAAGTAGAGTGATCTCTTTGAATCTCGGTTCTCCATTGAAATTTCCTATGATAGTTTTATTGGGATTAAATGGGATGATGCCCGGCAGAGAAAAGCCACTTAGGAAACGTAAGCTGACCTGATTTGCAACTGTTCCAGCACCATTCTATTTTATTTCATTTTTAAACTATCTTCCTACTCCTTATACTTTGTTCATAGTCTTGGTGCAAACAGATCACATTCACACCCTGGCCCCCACGCCTACTAGGTTGATGCAAAAGTAATTGGGATTGTGTCATCACTTTTAAGGGCAAAAACAGCAATTACTTTTGCACCAACCTAATAACTGTGGCGCCTGAGGCTGTTTCTTGGCCCCTCTTAGCCTCAGTTTTGTCATATGTGTACCGCAGATAGTAATGCAAGTCTTTTGGGAACTGGGGTAGATTAAGTGAGATTATACATATAAAGCAGCACTACCACACCAGGTTCTTGTGAAGGCTAATTCCCTTCCTTGTCCTGTTCCACCCCCTAATTCCCCTTCATACATCATGGGCTTCCCTGAAATGAGCAAAGTTCATTCTACTAAAGATTCAGAACTTTCTCCCCAGCTCCATCTCATACACCTCTCCCATCAATAACCATTCCCAATTTCCCAGTCTCCCACCATGAAAATTCAACTATCTCAGTCTTTTGTGAGGGGAGGTTGCTTGGAGATAGCGTGGCCTACCTGATCCTTGAGAAGAAAGCCAGCAGGACAGCTTAGGTTAGGCAGGGGGCAGCTCCGCGTCACATTCGGCTGCCTTGCCTGGAGGCCTGGGTAAATATGTCAGCCCCAGGCTGGCTCCAGCCCCCTGGTGGGGAAGCTGACACTTGCGTGCTAGAAGGAACATCCCCCTTACTGTGGGACTGGGACTCAATTTCCAGCCTTTGTGGAGAAGGAGCAAGAGAGGTAATTGTGTCAAAGCCTGGGGGTTTCTTACTCAGGACTAAACTGGCGGTAGCATGACAGCAGCTGCTGGGGTGTAAGTCTTTCTTGCAAGGAAAAAAAAAAGCTTTCAAAAATTCTCCCCCTAAATAGGGTAGGCCTTAAGTGATCCCAGCCCTCTGTGTAGGGTCTTTGCCCAAATACTCATCACAGCCACAAACATGTTCCCTGGCAGCCCAGCAAAAATCACTCCCCTCCAATGACTGTCAGTTTTCCATCTTCTTTTTTTTTTTTTTTTTTTTTTTGAGTGGAAGAAGTTATTTACCAGTGAAAGGAATCTGAACTATACTTTCAGTGTTTACATTCCTGAAACCAAGTGAGGAGACACAGCCCCTGGGAAAAGGCTGGCCAGAAACTTGAATGGGCTTCCTCCCTCCTATTTCTTCCTCCAGCTTCTTTTAGAGAACAACAAGAGGTTGAAGGTGTCATCTTTTTTCTTACATTACCCCATGCCTGCATGGGTTTATTCACCTATCCTTTCAACAAGCACTTAATGAGCATGTATTATGTGCCTGACCATGTGACCGGTCCTGGGAACCTAAAGATAAATTAAGCAGGATCCTTCAACAGACTCTGTGTGTGTTTGGTGGGGGGATGGTGGGGTGGCCGTAAATGTCAGTGGGTGTTAAAGTGCTGTGGCAGGGCCAGAGAATGCAGCCACGTGGGAGGACCCACAGCTTCTGGTGATGAGTGAGGGACAAGTGGGTATGTGCTATCTGGAAAACAGCAGGAGAATATTTCCATAAGAAAGGGCAGCAGGGACAAGGCATGAAGCAACATGACCCTCTGAAGAACCACAGGTCCTCAGGGGCAAGAAGGTCCCCTCCAGAAATGCAGCTGGACATCCTGGCTTGGCTGGAACATGCCATGCTACAGGGTCCGGGCTTTTCTCCAACCCTCCAAAGAGCTGCTCTTCCAAATTAGAGCAGCTGGCAGGTTACTTTCCCAGGCACATGGACCTGGTGCTTCCTCAGTTTCCCCCATCTGCAAAACATAAAATAATTCTTCTCCAAGGCCTTGCATGGCCTGGATGAGCTACACAGAAAGTATTATGTGGCTTCCAACTTTCATCTGCTTTATTGGTTCATGAGTGAAAACGTTCATTTATTTTTATGGGACACATGGGCTTGGTGATTTTTTATTATTAAAAATGAAATTCTTGAGAAAAATTCAAAACTTTGGTTTCACAGCTTTCTACAATATTACATTTGGATTCTGTGTCTCTCAGGCAAAGCCAAAGAGCTGAATGACAACAAACCATGTGGGTTTCTTTTGAAATAAAAATGAACGTGTGCACAATTTTCCCCCATTCCTCCCCTCCCCTTTCCCACAAACAAAGACTCATGAACATTTCACTTCACTGTTTTCCAGGGAGTTGACACCCAAGTAATGAGTGGGCTGGTTGGTTGAATAAGTAAAGCTGATTGTGTCAATCTGTGACCACCCAGGATGACCATTTTGACAAATACTTCCCAAGAGGAGGGAAGAGGAGACAGTGCCCCCACCCTCCGACCTTCCTGAGTGATCGTACTTTTGAACCGCAGATCCCAGAGAACCAGGACCTTCTGCTTTTATATTGAGGCACACCTGTGTCTGGGATGAGGGATAGGAGTGGATGTGTGGATGCTATGGTGATGTCAGCCCAAAATGGTGGGAGAAAGAATAGGCTTTGGAAAGAAATGAGCTTGATTGAGGGGTTGGATGACATGGGACCATGAGTCTTCAAATGGGGTTCAAGAAGCCCTCACATCAGAACGATCTGTGTTGCTTGCTTAGAATGGAGATTCCTGGGACTCCACCTCAGTTCCTAAATGGAATCTTTGGGAGTGAAGTAGAGGAATCTGCGTTTTTTATCAGGACTCCAGGGAAAGTTAAAAAATTACTCTGGGTCAGACAGGAGGAAAAAGCCCAGATACTGCCACTCATTTGCTGAGTCAACTTGTCAAACCTCAATTGCCTTCACCCATACAATAGAGATAATCTGTGCCAGTGGGACTATCTGTACCAGTAGAACATGGTTGGCTGCAATAAACATAATTTCCAATATTTAAAAATAATATAAGCATTCATTCACTCACATAACCATAAGTCCCAAGAAAGTAGTCTCATGGTAGGTAGACTCAGCATTCAAAGGCTTCGGGAGTCTGTCTGCAATCATTATCTCCTTTTGTGCAACTCTGTTGTAGCCACTAAACAGTCCCATGTGTTCTGGTCCAGGACCTTGAATTCTGATTCCATTTGTACAGTGTAGGATGTGTTGTCATGATAGTAAGATGGCTCAAATCTTTTGTGCATGGATAACGTAGGTAAACACAAGTAAATAAACAATATGAGGAACTCAGGAATGAAAGCATATGTTTGTTCTGCTATAACTCCACAGGGCAACCTCACTGTGTGTGAATGGGCAGCTGGCTGCCCTTGTTGTGAAGAGTTTCCTGGTTGGGGTTAACAAGAATGAAAATCAAAACAGACCAGGCTCAAAGCCTCACCCCATCCCGTCTCTACTCAGGGAAGGGCTGAGAGCCAGGGGAGGAAGTAGGAGGAGATCAAGGTAATGGGTCTTGTGGATAAACCAGAAAAGGAACTGTGGGCAGCTCTCTTAGAGAGCCACAAGGCTGGCACTACAAGATAACCAGTCTAGACTGTCTTCCAAGGGCTGAGAGACAAACTCTCACCCCGTGCAGCCCGACCAACAGGCCCACCCCTTTGCTGTGGCTTCCCAGCTGCTGCCACCATGGAGTTGTCAGGAAATTTGTGATAATTCTTTTTATTGATCATCTCTATTGATTCTGTCTATGGTGAAAATATACTGCAGACACATTAAGTAGCTATTATAGGTAAATTGTCTTTTAATGAATTGTACCAACAGACAGGATTTTACAGTTAACCTTAACTGGGACTCAGACTTCTCAGACACTGATGATCATAGAGGGACTAGATGCTAGTGCAGAAACCAAGCTGACATTGGACCATGGAGATTCACCTGGATACTACCAGGACATGCAAAGACCTGCCCAAATGGGCAAGCCTGAATAAGCATGGGTTCTCTTCTCATTGGGAGATAAAACAAATCACCATAAAGATCACACAATGATGAATCCTATGACTCTATTTCAAAAGCATACAAATTTTGCCATTTTCCTCAACTTTAAATATTTGCCAATTAGTCTCCTTATTTCAAAACTCCATCAAAAAAGGCAGGGGGAGGGCATCACTTTGGATGAACTCCCTGTCTTGTCTCATATCTTAAAGCCAGGTTATTGCTTATGAGAGACTAGAAGAAAGCAAGACTTCAGCACTTTGTAGAAGGGTTTTCTTCTTTCTTCTTCATGCAGTTTTTTGTTTGTTTTATTTTCTTAAAAAAAAAAACAAGCTCTGTGTGTGTGTGTGTGTGTATGTGTGTGTGCATGTGTGTGTGTCTGAATTTTGGCAAAACTGTATTGAGAAGAATCCTTGGAAGCTTAAGTCTAATCTGCCAAATTATAGCCAGTAGCAACATTTTTCCACTTTGTTATCACATCCTCAAAACAGGGCTTGAAATAGAAGTGTCACTTTGTGGTGGTGCTAGCAAATACTCAGAGTACGCAATGACCAGAAGCAAGACTTTGGCTATTATTGTTTTACAATGTAATGGGCAAAAATCACCATAAAAATATGCTATCTCTGATGGGAAAATGGTCCTTGCCAAACTTTTGAAAATTGTGATTTCAACGGTTTGGCAGGAAAAAAACCCTGTATTTTGACAGAAAATGAATTATGGCTACAGGCATTGAATACAAAGGCCAATGTCTCGATTGTATTTGAGTTTTGGTTTTAAGGGGAACAATCATTTAGGGCTGGTCACGTGATAAAAATCCTCTTTTCTTACACAATCTACGGGAAATAGAGTAGCCCTTCCAATTCTCACTGGCCAACATGCCAGAATCCTTTTGGTACAAATCCAAAGGAAGGTTCCTCTCCAAATCAACAGAACCCAGGCTGCTGCTTAGATTACGTGGACTGAACGCTGACTATAGGCCAAGCTCTGGGCTCACAGCTTTGGTCCTTCTCTTCTGACTCTCAACAGAGCCTCTGTCCCAAGGCTGTTTTGCCTCTTGGTTATAAGATGGCTGCCTGCAGCAATCAGCATTCATTTGTGTACTGATTCCACCCAACAGGACAAAAACAAGAAAAGAACACTTTTCTCCCAACATGGGATGCAAACAATTCCTGCTTGCATAGTTGAGTCAGTTCAATCATGTGCCCTCTCCTAAATAACTGCAGATGTTAGGGAAGGACCATAGGCTTCTTGGTTTACATTGCTCAGAACACCTCTTTGGAGCTGGAGACAATGTGGACACCTGGATGAACCTGGGGCTCTGTTCAGAAATCAGGAAGTGAACGTCCGGTGGGCAATCAAAGGTGTCTGCCACATGGTCTTATTTAGTGCTTACTATGCAGTGTGTATGATTTTGGTTCATGAAGAAATTGAAACTTACAGATATCAACAAATGTGCCCAAGTTTACATAGCTGGTATATGGTGGAGTCTGGGCTTGAACCCAGGCATATTGAATGAGGAAAGCTCATACCTTTAACCTCATCATTCTGCCGCTTCCTTTTAGTCAGCGTTCCAGGCTGTGCTTCCAATATTTTTCTTTATACATGTTTATTGTCTATGCCACAAAGAAGTGACGTTTTTCTGTTAGTAATATAAATAGCAAAGAAGTATGAGCCAATGGGATGTAAGCAATTGATTCTGCTCTCCGTTATTGCCTTCCTGCATCTGCTGCTACACTACAAAACTTAATGGTTTAAGATAGCTATGTTAAAGGATAATTTTCAAAATAAGGTAAAACCATAATCTCATGTAGGTATAGGATGAGCACATGTTAAATAAAATGAAGGAAACAGATAGATGTTACAAGTAATTCAAAGAAGTCAAAGAAGCATAAATTTATACGGAGCAAAGGGAAATTGAAATGCAAGCAAAAATGGGATAAACCTGACTTTTGCAGGAAAAGAGAGTGCTGTTCCTCCACTGGACAGAATTCATTTAAATGTGTATAGAAAAGAATTATTTGTGGTTGAGATCAGTTGTTTATAATATCACAGAGCTGTGAAATAGCTCCCATAGAATTAGAATCTGATAACCCAGAAGGGTGTGCTGTAGACAATGCATAGTTTTCCATTGAATTTCTTCCCTATACCACAAACATTCACTTTCTCATGACTTTACAATTTGGGCTGGATTCAGCTGGGAAGCTCTGCTAGTTTCACCTGAGATCATTCCCATGGCTTTGATCATCTGAAGGTTTGACTAAGGCTGGATAGCCCTCCCTACTAATTAGTGCTGGTTCTAAAATTTGTACCCACAGGGTTTTAATTGATAGAAGAGACTGAGTGACAACATGGAGAGGTTAATGACCTTGAGAGAAGATTTTTGTTACTTACATTTCCCCAGAGAAGGGGGCATTCCAAATCACTCAGGACCACATGGCAAAGAACTAGGTTTTGATTTAGAGGCAGAAACAAGAGTAAGGGGGAAGCCTAGACCTGAGACTTTATTGAGATTTTTGCAAAAAGGAAAGGCAAGACAGAGTCAAAGTTTAGAATCATCTCATTTGAATAACTCTGGGGGGCTCGGAGACATAAAGACTGTCCCTGGTTGTCTGATACCTGGCCCTGGATTGATTTAGGACAGGGGAGATATTGGCTTGGTGTGTGGGAGTTAGCTGAAGGGGGTTGGGGGACAGCACTGGGCTGAACAGTCTATACATGAAAGGCCAACACCCCCAGGAGTAAGCTAGCTCTGCAAGGGTCAGTGTCTCCCCAGGTCTGAAAGACCTGCAAGATGTCCAAACATCTTAACAATACAGAAAATACAAAACATGATTAACACAGTGCTGCCATCAGCTGAGCCACCTCCATTCTCTTCTGAGTGGCCTCTCATTATCCAGTCCACTTCACTGGGTGTCCTGTTATGGCAGCTGAGATCCAAGAGGGAGGGCAGAAGCTGGCAAGACCTCTAGAGGCCAAGGCTCAGAAATGACAACAGTGTCACTTCCACTGAATTCTATAGGTCAAAGCAAGACACAGGGACAGCCCAGGCCCAGGGAGGTGAGAGAGAATCCTCTTTTTCATAAGAGGAGCCACAAAGAATTGGTGACCATAGTTAATCTACCCATAGAAACTTATCAAATCACTCACCAAATTTTACTGGAATTGCTTGTTGATATGGCCAACTCACACACTCACACACTAAATAAGATTCTTATGGGACGAGACTGTGCCTTATTTATCTTTGTACTCAAGGGCCTGAAATACATTAAACACTATTTGTCCAAAGCTAATGGATGGAAAGATCATTCAGCTGGATGGAATTAAATGAGCAAAGATAAGGAAGCAAGAAAATACAAGAACTGTTCAATTTCCCGAAGCTGTTCAATTTAGTGTATGATGGATAGTAGAAAACAAAAGTTGTAAGAGCCTTGTATTCAAGACAAAGGACTTGGACTTAGTTCTTGGGAAATAGGATACCACGAAAGGTCTTTGAGTGAGAGAATGACTGGTACTGTTGTGCCTCTAACATTGCTTAAATTAACTGGTGGCTGGGATGAGGGGCCAGTTTAATCATTTTGCCACAACAAAGACAAACACTAGGGGACACACAGGGGCTACTTTACCTTGCAAGGGATGCAGTCAGTTGTCTTATGCATCGACTTCTTGTCTCATCAGTTCTGTTGCAGAATGGCCTGAGTCAACTTGGTCATTCACAATTGTCCACTTCTTTTTGGTTGATTTCTTTAGCCTCTATTGAGAGCTGCAAGTCTCTCATACCCTCAACAGCAGATCATATGTTACAGTGAAATCAAATCTCTGACCAAATTCTGCCTCATGAACAAGCAATTATTAACATATAGGCACAAAAATATCACAGAGTCTGCTCATGTAAGTTCAGGGAGGCATCACTGCATTCTTCAGACTCCCTGAAAAGTAGCTTGCTTGAGGGTTTTACTTGGGGCAAAGGCCACTGTGCTCTAACAGTAGATCTTAGCTAACCTGAGTCCATTCAAGCCACATGATCCCTCCATGTTATGGCCAAATCTAAGACTGAATGAGAGTCCTGGGCCTAGGGTACCACTTGGGAGAGTACAAGGCTCTGGGCTTTCCACATTCTTATGCCTCTCGTGCAAAAACAGAGGTACTCTGCTGTCCATTATTTCTAGTCAACTCACATATTTTATACACCACTCCTTTCACAGATGTATGCATTTCTAATATTATTTATGCTATTTAACAAATGCCCTGATATAAATCTTTAAACAGCTTTATTGAGGTATAATTCACATGCCATATAATTCACTTACTGTTAGATCAACTAGTACAGATCAAAACGTGATCCCTGTAGCTCTTGTGTATTAGTTATCTATTGTTGTCACATAAAAAATTACCTCTAAATCTAATGGCTTAAAACAACATTTGTTATCTCAGTTTCTGTGGGTCAGAAATCCAAATACAATTTATCAGGGTCCTCTGCTTTGGGGTATCTCACAAGGTGCAATCAAGGTGTCAGCTGGGTTCACTGTCATCTCACGGCTCGACGCAAAAGGATCAGCTTCCAAGGAAGGCAAGAGAGAGAGAGAGTGCTAGCAAGATGGAAGTCACAATCTTTTATAACCTGATCTTTCAGAACATCTCAACACTTTTGCTATATTCTATTTGTTCAATCAAATTGCTTGGTCCAGCCTATACTCAAGTGGAGAGGATTACTGCACAAGGGTGGAAACGCTGGGAGACTGCCTACCATACCTTATAATAATTTCCCGTGGACTCTTGATTAGAGTCTTTCAAATGTTAACCAACAACCCTCTACTTTAGGTACAGAAACAAATTAATACAAGTATTTATCACCTTGAAGTCTATGTTGAAATATTTTAAAGTCAATTACAGACAGAATAATAGTACTGCTACTCTATTTGCCCAAGACACCAAACTATATTTTTAAAAATTTCTATTAAAAATAATTTTATTTCTCAGTAGAGTTTCCTTTGATCCCTGATCTTTACATTTATCTTGCCAGTTTTACAGGCCTTATTTCCATGTATGGCTTATAGAGAGGCAGAACAGGTTAAGCTAAAAAAAATAAATAAATAGGCCCAAGACTTGAAAAGTTGAGTTTTTTCTGATTACAGAATGTTTAAATCCACAATAAGAGACAATACAAAGTCACCAGGTAGTTAGTGAGATTGCCAAAATTGTAGCTGGAGAAGACAGTTGACATTGAGGTCATTTTTTCTAAGAAAATAGCTCTCAAATTTTTGTCTATCTTGAGTAGAGGAGGAAAAAAAGAACAACAGGATTACTTATACTGAAAATAATCTACTCCCTCTTTGGTATTGGAAACCATAAACAGTATATTTTGACAAGAAATAAAATATACTTATTCAGGATGTAATCTTTAAAACCTGACATAAAATTGACAATTTCTGCCGTGTGACCTGGGTAATGCAATAAAATCATCTTTGTGTACATGAGCTCTCAAACAAATCTCCTATGAGCCTGCATTGTAAAGGGTGGCAGAGAAGAAGATAATGGACTCTCACCCCTGCACAAGATTGGGTTTCTTGGAAACACAGGACGTATGACTTGGATAGAAAATTATTCTTTGGGTACACAAACCACAGAAGGCTTTTTGATGGAACACAACTTTCAAAAATTAAAAGATTCCAATCTTGCGAAGTTTCAATTGGATTCATGTCCTTATAAAAGTCATTTTTATTTAACTTGGTAATTGCAAGGTCAAATCAAAAGTGAGCAGAGTGCAAACTTCTAAATCATGTCATTAAGCAGCCAAATTTATAAAATTTCCCATTATTAAGGAAAGGTATAGCCACTCAATGTTATTGGTAAAATCATTTTATTCTAAAAACAGCAACAACAATAGCAAACTTACTTGTAAAATGGCTAAAATGAAAAACAAAACAACTCATTTCCATCAACTTATTGTAGGAGAACAATACTGCCACATAAACAGCAATAAGACGAAGACTTCTATTTCTTTTGGTGTAATTGAAAGCATCTTGATAAATGTCAGCTTGTCTGTTGAATAAAATCCATGTCAACCTGTCACATAAAAATACAACATTTTTTTTTCATAATCTCATGAAGTCAAGGCATTCCCTGGGCTTCAAGCTTGTTCCAGTGAGAAACAATAAGATCTTTATGCAGCTATTCACTTTGAGGTATAAATAACCAGAACCCCAGATAAGAAAATTATATTTACAGCCTAACTTTATTATTTTAAAATTGTTGTTTTTCTCCTTAGCAGATCAGCTGACTGTGGATTGCTGGAAATCCCTGCACATTTTATCATGCCTCAGTCAGCAATATATTCTTGGCTTCAGAAACATTGATGTTGAAAACCGAACATCTGGTCTTCCCTTTCTACCCCCGCTTCTACCATTTCTCCCCCAAATAATCAGCATTTCCTCCTTTGCTTCCCTGGCTTGAGTAGCTTTAAAACTTGAATTTGGTGTATATTACATTATATTTATTTGGTTTTGAGCCACTTTGATACTACTTCCAGTTCTGTAAAGTTCTTAGCAGTGCCATTTCTGTTGTTCCTTTTTAGAAACCACTTAAAAGAAAGATTAAATGTTACTCTGATGGGTTGGATTAATTGGTCACTAGTAAAAGGAATTATATCGCTGCCCAAGGTGAGAATCCTATTTCTTTCCTCTCACCTATTATGGATATTTTTAAAACAGACCTAAATGGAAATCTTCCCATAATGACATTCTAGACCTGAAGCTTCTTATTTTTCTAGACCTGGAACTGAATGCAAAATGCAATGTGTATGTGGTATGCATGTTTTCTTTTACTTGACTTTAATAAGTTTCTCAAAATGATCTATAAGCCTTATATTTTAAGAACCACATTTCTAAGCCAAGAAGATTCATCACTTACTTTATATAAACCCCCAAATTTCCTCCTTGAACCACTGCTAATTTTCACACAGTGTGAGGGATACTGCTGAATATAAACTTGTCGGGTAGAATATAGAGAAAAGGCAAATCCAGAGTGATCCAACAGCATTCCCAAATGCATCCAAAATACTGGAGTGCAGGACGCAACCAGGATTATTTGAATTCCATTTGGATCCCCATAATTCCATTCTTTTTAAAAACGGGTCATCCTTTTCTTTATTATAATGAAGCATTCTTTAATATTTCTTGCCTCTCTGGTTGAAGATGCTTTTGAAAAGCAAGACTTTAGTTGTATATTTTTTCTGGATTCCCTAGCAATATATTTTGATGCAATCATTGAAAAATGTCATGCTCTCTCTGGGGTCTTCGCAGTCAATGGTAACTAAACATTTGATTGAGAAGTGTACTTTCTGTGGACTTTTTTAGGGTCACTGCGATGTGAACAGAACCCAGTAGAATTCACTTCTGCTGTTTCATTTTAAAATAGGGTTGAGAATGGAAATAATGCCTTTCTAAGTGGAACTGAACTTCAACTTTGAAGGGATGCTATAGATTTCTGAGGGAGCAAGAGCTTGTGTCTGGAACCCAGCATCTCCATGTGGTTAACAGCTTCTAAAATTTATCTCATGTGTTTAAGGTTTTTTGTATAAATTTAAGGGACTTCACATTTCTAACCAGTGTGTTAACACTTAGATTAAGACCACACTTACACACCCTTTTCTTACTTAAGAGCAATTAAATGGTGTACTAACAAGAAGAAAGTTACTTTATTTACAGTGTTGATGGAAAAATATTGGCAATGTGATAACTATTACTATAAAAATATGATTTTTTAATACTTCTAAACTAACCTTTGAAAAAGGCTGTGTCTTTTTTCTTTTTTTCAAGGCAAGGTTCTTGGAACCACTTGGTGAGTCTATATCGAATATTTTACTTTCTTTTTTCTGTGAGACAGCAAAAAGTTCATCCAAATAGAACCATGCTTCTACCACATAAATCACTCAGAAAATCTGGTAACTTTCCATGTGATTCAGTTAAATCCTTTAAATCCCACAGGAGAATTTACTTGCTTTTGGCATATTTCACCATATTAGGAGGAAAACCAGTCTCCAGGGACGTGGTGGTTAACGTGAATGGGCCAAAGGCAGATGTCCTAAACTCAGTTTTGTTAGCTTAGGCATTTTCAGATGGTGTTTCTCTTGGTCAAAGTTCCTCGAGAAGTTTCTTTTCTGTGTCCTCCGTCCCCGCTTAGGTCCCCCACAATGTCTTTAAAAGGACAGACCCTTTCCTTTTATAATTAAATATAAGATTTAAATGTAGAGGGCCGTTAACATGTTAAACTAAACCCAGCCTTACCTAACACCAGGATGGGTGGGTTTGAGTGCACAGCAAGAGATGCAGGGAGAATAGAAGAGAGCAAGACACTCGCTGAGAAGTGGAGGGGCTGAAGGAAGCAAACCAAGTCTTCTCCCATTTCTCAATTTTGCCCAAGGCTGGCCCACATGTTAGTGGATTCTCTGAGCTGAGATAGAAATCCACCTTCTGGAGGCGGTTGCTATTATATGGGTTGTGCAAACTCTAAACAACTTTACTCCAGAAGACTTTTGCATCCTGCATATTTTTAAGTTTTATTACATAAATATGAATGCACAATGCCCAGGAAAGAGGTGTTCTGTGTCCTAAGAAGAGTCACTGTTTGTTCATAGATGCTCAGGTCATGACTCACATGCTTTTTAAGAGACTTTTCTTTCAAGTGAATGTAAATGGGGTGGAGGAAGGGAGAGAGGGAGACAAAATCAGGGACAGAATGCCATCCACTATAAATTATATTGATGTCACAATGAAAAGAAATAGCTCCTCTGCAAGACTTCACATATTCAAGTCAACAAATGGCTAAGTGTTGTAAATATTTCCCAGTTCCATGGGTTTGAGAGTAAATTTTAAAAATCATATTGGGGCTCTCTGCTAAAGATAGTAGAAGTCCAGCCTCTCCCAGAGTCAGACTGGTCATTGGTCATCTCCACTCCTAGAAGAGTTTCAAACATCTGTACTTTCAGACTGGAGGAAATAAGGTAAGGAAGGAAACAAAAAGGAATGTTTTCAATGTGTGGCCTCTTACTCTACCCTCTTGAACAATCTCAGTAGATCCTGGTGAGACGCCCCTTCCCTTTCTTTTCGAGAATTTCTTCGATAGAAAATTTAGCATAGCAGAGCTATAGAATTTGGAGAATTTCTACATATATGCTTGATCTCTTTTGAAACTCAATAGACCTGCTAGCAGGGTAAAGAAGAAAAGTATTGCATTCAGTCTAACCCAAGGGGGACTTGGATCACCTAACCCAGATTCCCCAGGGCTCATGCTGAGGCTCATTCTTCCTTAATTCAAAACATGGGCTGTGTCTTGAAGTCTGAATGCGAAGGCTCAAGTTAGATAATAAGGTGCCATTTGTCCAGGGAGAAAGACAAAGCAAAACAGAAGAATGTGAGTAGATACCAAGGCATGCCAAAGAGTTTCCCATGCTTGTTGCCTGAGTGTAGTTAGGTGAAATACTTAAAGCCTGCCTCTGTGGCCTGAGCCCAGGCAGCCAAAGTGGGAGAAAATTGCTCCTTCAAAAGTTAGTGCTTAAATTAACTGCCCCCATCTCCACCACAGCCCCAGGTGTTGTAAAAACTGGATTAATCTAAGGTCTTTTTAACCCCCTACTTTGCATACATATTTAAATTCTGGGGCTCTAAGCCAAAATTCCCCAGTGGACCACCTTATCCTTTGTTAATTGAAAAAATAAACAGTTCTGTGGTAGTGGAGAGGGGTGTTTTCACAGAAATGTCTTTGATGCTAAGGCTGCTTTAGGGATACATTTCCTGTGCCTTCCATGAAGTATAGCACAAGACAAACTCAAGGACCTCAAAAAACAAAGGGGCAACCAATAGTCAGGACCCAAAGTGTTTTCTATAAAGGCGATTGACGGGTGGTTACACTTACCCTGACTCAGGTTAAATCCAGGAATGGTGAGGGGTTTGGGGAATAACAGCCTATGCATTCAACACTGCCCAGAAGTCAGAGCTCAGCACAGTGTGGGTGTGACCAACACATGCACACCAGGCTACCGCTTCTCCTCTCTTGAAGTGGTGACAGCTTATGAAATTCTAGCTGCTACTGCTGATTCAGCGGAAGGAGTCCATGGAATGTTATTGCCAACCACTATTTCTCCATTAACTTATCTATACCCACCATGGGTCATGGGAAAGAAAAGTTTATCAATATTGCATTTGTTTTTACTTGGTGTGAGAGGTGGAGGGAAGCTGGCATGTGCCTATAATACACAGTTATATTAGATTGACAGGATTTAAATAAGCGTGAAGACCTAGCGGAGTGTTACTTTCCCTTATGCAAAGGATTTTTTCCAAAGGGGTGAAGAACATACATTCTCAAGGTATCTGCTGGACCCCTATTGACTTCTGTAGGGATGGCACTGTGTCTGAGAGGCCAAAGAAAAGACCTACAGCCAGCGAACGAAATACAGGCTTTATTGAAGACTTACCTATCGGGTGGTCCAGGGACAGCGGATTAGGCAGGAAGACCCACTATCGTTTGTAAAAAGTATGCAGTGTATATAGCATTTTGGCTTAGCAACCTCCACCTAGCAACCTCCATTTAACCCAAAACGAAGGGCCTTCCCCTCCCCGGATGGCCTGTATTTCAAGGAACGGGCCAGGAGTTCAGATATTCTTCGTAAAGAAGGAGTGAATCTCCAGGTTGGCCACTCCCGTATTCCTTAGCTTGAAACTGAAACAAAATTCTTCCTAGATCATACGGCCATTCTCTGGGTTTGCTTAAGTTATTGCTGTCAGGTGCATCTGCCATACACACGGTAGAAAGGGACACTTTAATGTGTGGTAAAATAAGAAGCATAGTTTTGTAGACCCTGCAACTGGATGGACTAACCTGTTAACAGGCCTACACCAGTAATCTGAGAGCACACAGTCCAGTGTGCTAGCTAAAAGCACCTGTGCTGAAGTCAGGCTGCCTTGGGTTCAAATCCTGACTTCTGCCACTTAGGTGAGTGACAGTCTTCAGAGTCTCTAAGAAGCAGACCCCAAGGCAAAGATTCAAGTGATCCATCAACAAAGAACTCCCCAGGGAAAGTGGTAAATGAGAAGCCCACTACAGAAGGAGAAGTAAAGAGGTGTGATTTTGGTTGAAGGCCAGTCACAACCTGATTCTCAGGGAGCTCAGGAGTGTAAATTGCACCCCAGAATTCATCCAGAGGCAAAGAAGCTGATCTTTGGTTCACCAATTGGTCATCAGCTAGTAGGTGGAGGTTCAGTAATCAACTCCTGGATGCTTGGCTACAGGTGAGGCGGCTATGGCAGCCCACAGGCAAGCCTTTGAAGAATTTTCCAGCCATAAGCCCTTGGCAGCAAGGCACACGGAACTGGGGAATGGGTGCAGAGCACTGGTGATCATGACCACATGGGCACTTGACAGGGGTGCCAAGGGTGTTCACTGTAGTGAGTATGGACACACTTCCTAATTTCTCTGGGTCTAAGTTTCCTTCTATAGAAAATGGGGACAGGGTCGGGCATGGTGGCCATGTCTGTAATCCCAGCACTTTGGGAGGCTGAGGCGGGTGGATCACCTCAGGTCAGGAGTTCGAGACCAGCCTGGCCATCACAGTGAAACCCCGTCTCTACTAAAAATACAAAAATTAGCCACATGTGGTGGCACGCCCCTGTAGTCCCAGCTACTCAGGAGGCTGAGGCGGGAGAATCGCTTGAACCCGGGAGGCAGAGGTTGCAGTGAGCCGAGATCATGCCACTGCACTCCAGCCTGGGTGACAGAGTGAGACTCCGTCTCAAAAAAAAAAAAAAAAAATTGCTAAGGACTCCAAAGAGCTTAGTTTATGTGGGGTATAGCTATCAATATTTTCCATATTAGAAACTGAAACTGAGAAAAATTTTAAATATTAATTACTTAACTGTAAAGTAATAATTACATGTTAAAGTAAATTACACATTTTATGAAAAATAGCTATATTTTCCAAAACAGAAAAAAATGAGAGAATAGTGGCATTGTTTTACATGTTTTCAAATTTCTTTAATATCTGGTTCCGTAAAGATAGCAGGATTCTCCTCTCTGCTTCTGTGTTGCTTACTTTGCAATATGTTGTTTTGGTTGAAGTATAGAAAGAAAATCCAGCTTCACATAGTTATATAGTTGGAAAAGCAGGAATATGTTCCAATTTTCTCAAATAATTTTAGGTATTTTTCTTTCACTATACTCCAAAACTCTACACATGTTAGTTTTAATAAAGGTGAGTTGCAGAATAGAATTTGAAACCAGGTAATTGAACATTTTATACTCAATTACATTAAATCCATTGCCTATCTTTCATGTTGAGTGTATTATTTTATCCACACATGATTTATAACCTAATATATTGGAAAATATTACACTGAATTATGCAAATCTTCCCAATGTTGACACGTTTCATTTACAGTATTTTAAAATACCATTTATAAATAATGCCACTGATCCTATCAGAAAACTCTTTAAATATTGAGAAACTTTCAGGCTCAGAGTAAAAGATAAAAGTTTTCCAAATTCAATTTTCAGTTGAAAGCTCAGATTTGCACTGTTCTAATTACCGTTGAGACTGAGAAGCCATCCCTGGCCCTCCCAGGCTGGGTCAGGGACCCTCCTGGAACAGTATCCCTTCCTGGCCTCTGGCGCAACACTTGCCACATTCTATTGAGATTATCTGCTTTGGTCACTGTGTCTCTCACTAGACCATGAGCTCCTTCCAAGCAGAATTATGTCTTCTATCTCCTTGTCCTTAGTACCTCACACATAAACATTACTCAGTGAGGGAATGATTGAATAAATCCCTGGGAGTGATGAATGCACTGACTACAGGAATCTGTCTCACATTCCCAGACAGGAGATTTTGTTATCATGTAAATCCTATGCATGACTGAAAATGTAAGCCGAGCTGAAGTTGCCTTACAAACATAGATGTCACACGGGTGATGCAAAAACACACACCAAAGAAATAAAGGTCTGTCTTCCTCTGGGGCAAGGGCCCAGAATAAAAAGGCCAAATGGAAGCAGGGACAAAAGACAGACCCTGTGAAGTGGGCAGCAGAGTGGGTGGGTCATACACGGGGTGTGGAACCATTTGTGGGGGAAGGGAATAGAAGGAGGTTTGAAAGGAAACAGAAAATAAGGAATGGGAAGCACAAGTCCAGCCAGAAGAAAAGAAGAAAATAGGAGGCAACAAGACTAAAGGATGGCAGAAAAGTTGAGGAAGAAAAGAATAACCAGAGCCCAGCCCTCGCTCAGCAGCCACAGACAGAATAAGAAAGGGGCAGAGACAGTAAGGAGAGGTGGATGTGAGCACAGCAGATGGACGGCAAAGAGAATACTTTGAGATATTTTCCATGTAGAATTTGTCTACCCGCTAAATTCCTCACAGTCCCACCCCACCTCCTGGCCCCAAATTAATGTTTATTTGTGCAATGAAATTGTGTCTCTGCATTTGTCTACACTGGAAAGAAGGCCTTCTCTTATCCAGATATTTTTCTACTCACTTTGAAGAAGCCCTGAGCGACCTTTTCTGTAGGACCACATTTACAACCATCTACATTCGGTCCATAATGATTTCGTGTATTTGTCCTCTGTGTCCAGGACCCAGTGGTTGTACTGGAGAATTTTATCCCTAAGCCCTGCCTGACAATACAACGAAACTGACATCAAGGACGAGTGAAGAAACAATGAACCAGACAGTCTATAACCAGCATGGAACACTATTGTGTGAGTCAATGTCTTCTGATGAACATCTGTTCCATGGCATCGTAATAGTCATGGCATGAGAATAAGTTAGGGACACTCAGGGTTAAAGAAAATTCAACAGGCTTCTTTATTGTAGGGATTCTTAAAGGTAATCTTCACTTTGGGAAGACAGCACACTGTATCTCCCCAGTTTATTTACAAACAAGGCCTTTTTTTGCTGAGCCAATATCTCTCAGGATAAGCCCCTGAAGACCACAGTTTGGAAACATTAGTATAAACTCTAATGGCAGAGAGAGGGTCTGTGAGGCCTCAGAAGCTCCTGGACAGGTTGGAAAGCCACAGACTTAAAAATAATTTCTAACAAGTGTTAAGATATTTCTGTTCCCTTGGGGTCCCTTCTGCAAATTTCCAATAATCCATTAACCTAGAGTCAGTTTTTCAGGTTAGGTTATTACCACCATAGACAGACCAAGGCAGAGATGAAGTCCAAGGCTAGAAAATATCAGAGGGAGTTCTTCCCCATGTCAGGTGCGCCCTCTCCCAGGTGCCTGCATGGCCGACTCTCTTTCCTCCCTCAAATCTCCTCAAACATCATCTCTTCATCGGGTCCTTCTCTGATTGCCCAGTCTAGAATTACAGACCCATTCCCCTGTGCTCCTTCTTTCTGCTGCATTTTTTTCTATCCTCCTTCTCAACATCTAACATACTATTTAATTTAGTTATTTATTTTGTTTCATTACTGTCTGCTTCTACCAGAATGCAGTCTCCAAAAGGGCAGGAATTTTCATCTCTCTTGCTTACAACCGAAACTCCAGCATCTGAAGCAATGTCTGGGGAATATCAGCCACTCCGTAAATCTTTGTTGAGTGAATGAATAAATGAGTACGAGAAAGAAGGAATGCTGGGTTTTTAGTTGAGGTTATGGAGCATGTTTTACATTTCTTTGTCGCATCCCTCCATCCTCCAGCCTCTGAGCCTCTGGGTCTCAGCAGGCTAAGCAGTCACGGAGATCACATTCTGATCTTGTGACACTGCCCCAACTCCAGCCCTCTGAAGCCCTGGGTGTTTGGTATCCTGGAGGTGAAACAGCAGCAGCCTTTGCGTTTCCAAGGCTGTGTCACTCAGCGACATCACACAGCCACCCACAACAGGCCAGCTTGCGAAATTGTTAAGGAGCCTGAGGATATTATTTTCATTTCCACACAAACATAAATGATCAGATATAAGCGTGGAGCTGCTGCTCTGGAAAATAACCATCAACCATCAAGGGAATGTGGCATAGTTTCCTTAATATTCCTCCAAATACTCCATATTTAGGGTATGTGCTAATTTCTCTCTCTTATAAGTAACTCTTTTTTTTTTGGACGGAGGCTCACGGCCCAGGCGAGTGCAGTGGCGTGATCTCGACTCACTGCAACCCCCGCCTCCCGGGTTCAAGCGATTCTCCTGCCTCAGCCTCCCAAGTGGCTGGGATTACAGGCACCTGCCACAATGCCCAATCAACATTTTAGGATATAACTCTTTTATATTTAGTTAATGTATTTGTGGAACATATTTAAAAACATAAGTGCTGAATCAAAATTTATGGACCCTTTTAAGTCTTTTAATACATAGTTCTAAATTTCTTCCTAAAAGAATTAACAGTGAAGGAGAACACATCATTTTCATGCAATGGATATTTTAACTTCATGTAGAAGAATACCAACGTTTTAGGCAGGAATTTACATTCTCCTTTGAGAATGTGAAGCCCTTATCTTATTCACTTTTTAATCGCTACAGCCTCGTGCATAACTGATGCTCAATAACTATTTGTTGAATAAATGAAACAACACCGATGAATTTTTATTGAGTTTTTTGATCAATTTCTATACAAGGCAATTTTTTAAATTCCAAACTTTTTCTTATTATTTTTATTTTTACCAATATTGTCTTCATCAAAGTCAATTCTTTGACCTTAAATTGCATGACCAATTTTTGATTAATCATTAAAGATTTTTTCTCTGTATTAAGCATTGCAAATTAAAGCCATTGTCTACTACAGATTTTATTCTGTGATTATTTATTTCCATCAAGTTCAATTTCCTGAGATCAATTATTCAGATTTACCTTTTAAAAGATGTTTGTTTTTATTCTTCCATCGATTTTAGTCAAAACGAATGTTACCATGTGTAGTTTAACTATGAGCAATTTTATTTTATTTTGAGTATTTCTTACCTAAGTTATTCAATTTTGGTGAATTTTTGTCATTTTTAATCTTACAAACAAGAAGTGACTTTTTAGGCAGTTAATCATATAACACTGAATCTTTAGTAATATATAGTATGAATTGAATAACAGTTTTTATTTTATTAAACTGTCACAAAATTGTGATTCCTCTCAGATACTGGAAGGTTGTTCTTTTATGAAAGTATCCTATCACTCTCAAAATCTTCTTTCAACTTTTATGAATTCTGAAAGGTGCTATGGTAAAGTCAACACATCCTTGGGTAAAAATGGTACGAGTGCAAACATTGGGGTCAAAATGTTCTGCTTTGGATTAGAAAAGGCTCAATGCAAGATGTTAAATTTCAGTTAGGCATGGAAGAATAATTAAGATTTGCTGCCAGAAGAAAGGCGTACAGATGGTTTTCATGCAGCTACTTTTCTCCATAACTTTGACTCCACCATTTGACCAGGTGGTAGTCGGATCCCACCCTTCTAGCCCATTTTGACTCATGTTTATATATTTTTCATCCAAATTTTGCCAACACTGACAAATCATCTTCTCCTAAAATCTTTCTTGGATGAAATGTATTTTCTGAATCAAATGCTATTAAATCATTTTACTTCTTTTAAATTATATACCACACATTTAAACTTTTTAAAATAGTTTTTCCATTTTCATTTTTGTTCTGAAGTTTTATCAGATTATTTTCCTTGTAAATTTTAAGATGTTATGCAACACTTTTTTATTATTCATAAAGAAAAAAGGTTTAATTGACTCACAGTTCCGCATGATTGGGGAGGCCTCAAGAAACTTACAATCATGGTGGAAGGCACCTCTTCACAGGGCATCAGGAGAGAGAATGAGAGCCAGCAGAGGAAATGCCAGATGCTTATAAAACCGTCAGGTCTCGTGAGACTCACTCATTATCAAGAGAATAGCATGAGGGAAACAGCCCCCATGACTCAATTACCACCGCCTAGTCCCACCCTTGGACACTTAAGGATTATGGAGATTATAATTCAAGGTGAGATTTGGGTGGGGACACAGAGCCAAACCATACATTTTTAATTGAGCTACTTTTTTATGCTGGGCAGTGTTCTAGATACTGGGATATAGGAATAAGTAAGACAGATACAGATTCCTGCACTCATGCAATTTAATATTGAATCATGAATCAGGGCTTTGTTGTTGTCTAGAAATAATTTTAGCATAATAATCTCTTCCTATGTGGATTTTCCTCTTGAGGCCACTATTTCTAACAAGTTCAATGTTTTTGCTCCAATTTTACTGATTTAGTTTTGGTTAAGAAGACTTGATTCTTCTATCAGTTTTTTTGTTTATTCGTCTGTATCTTAGTTGTGGACAGTTTTTTTTCATGTTGATTATTTCTAACAAGTCTATTTTTTTCCTGAGCCAATTTTTGCTGTATCCAATATGACCAACATGATATGATCTTTTAGATGATTTTCATTTATAACAGATTGTATTCATTTATAACCGATTGTATGTATGTATAACATACATTGTATGCTGCATACAATGTATGCATACATTGTATGCTGCATACAATGTATGCATACATTGTATGTATGCATGTTGCATTGTATGTATGTATAATTTATAACAGATTGTATGTATGTATAACAGATTATATTCATTTATATGCAGATTGTAGCCATTGTCAATTTTATTTTGTGTTGATAATTTCTGAAAAGCCAAAATTTTCTCAAGCTACTCAGTAAAAAAGCCCTTTGGGTTAAATTTGCAGTGTCAAAACTTCAGAGTATATATATTTTTAAATCCTTATCAAAATAGTCTGATTTTGTGAATTGTGATTCTAGACTTCTTATTTTGAAAGAATGGAATGAGAAAACATGAAGAGTCATGGATGTTTACAGTGGCACTTCTTAGATTTTAATGTGCACATGAATAATGTGGGCTCTTGATAAAATGCAAATCCCGATTCAGTGAGTCTGGGTAGGGCCTGAGACTCGGCATTTCCAACAACTCACCAGGTGATATCGATACTACCAATCCACAGGCTGAATAGCAAGAAGCTAGAGTGTGTTGCTTTGTGGTTCAGCAGGCCTGGGTTCTAGCCCCTTGCTGGCTGTCTAATCTTGAAAAAGTTACTTAACCTCTGAATCTGGTTTTTTTCATTTGTAAAATGAAATGGTAATAATATTATCTATCTAAGAGATGTGTTGTCAGGAGCAAATAAGATGAGTTATGTAAAATGTTTAGCACAGGACCTGGCACCTAGTAAATTATGAATGGTAATTAACCCTTGTTAACTGATGGGTGAAAGCACACAGCAGGTTCAGGGAATGAATGGTAAGGGGTTTGAGGTGGCATAGAGCCTGGCTACTGAAAATGGACCAGCAGCATCCGGAGGCTTGATAGAAATGCAGATTCTCAGACCCCACCTCAGACCTATGAATAAGAATGTGCATGTTAAGAGATCCCCTGGATATTTCTGGGCACCTTACAGTTGGAGAAGTGCTGGCACCATATTTAAAGACAGGGGGATGGAAGCAAGTCTGGAAGGGCAAGAAAAGTCAGATAGTAAAGGGCCTGACTTACCTACTAAGGATCTTGAACTTTTTTTTTTTTTATTTGAGACGGAGTCTCGCTCTGTCGCCCAGGCTGCAGAGCAGTGGCGCAATCTCTGCTCACCACAACCTCCACCTCCCGAGTTCAAGCAATTCTCCTGCCTCAGCCTCCCAAGTAACTGGGACTACAGGCACGTGCCACCACGCCAGGCTAATTTTTTGTATTTTTAGTAGAGACGGAGTTTCACCATGTTGGTCAGGATGGTCTCAATCTCCTGACCTCATGATCAGACCGCCTCAGCTTCCCAAGTGCTGGGATTACAGGTGTGAGCCACCAAGCCCGCTGATCTTAAACTTTTTTTAGAGGGCTATGGGGTGGCAAATATCCACACTTCCTACCCTCCCCTGCGTCCCCTTCCCTCCCTGCATCTTGTCCCCTCTCTCCCCAACCTCCTGTCAGGTACTGTTCATCAATCCAGGCTCTTTCCAGCTGAGCCTCTGTTCATCCTCATGATCCTTACTAACACAGTGCCACAGACAGGGCACTATCAGTGGATCCAAGTTGACAGAAATGAGAATTTGCCATCACTGCAAGAGACCAAAGGGAGCCACTAAATAACTTTAAAAGGGAAAAATGAGATAGCATGTGTAAGTGCTTAGACAGCACCTAGTATCCAGTAAGCGCTCAATAAAGAGACGTCATCATTATTTCTGTCTAGCCTAGCAACACTGTCAACATTTGTTGTGCCAACATTTTCACCAGACAGTGAGTAAATGAGAAAATGTAAGACAATGAATTAACGTTTTTGGTATTACAATGCCCATTTTTATGTGAAATGATGGGAAGAGTAGAAAAATTTTTTTTTAATTTTCATATGACAAAATGAAAACTTTAGCAGTTCCATGTTCTCTTCTGCCCATTTTCTGCGTTGTTAAAGAATGACACTGTGAACACCCGCAGGTGATGAGGGTTTATGTAGATGGGCCGTGGGTAGTTGGGTGGCTTTGTGCTGCTGAAAACTCCGAGCAGAGTGGACCAGCCCTTCTTACTGTTCTCCCTCTCCTCACCCCACAATGTCTGCTTTTGAACAAGTAAGAGTGAGAATGTTTTCTCTTGCAAATTATGAAAGTTCTCCCTCTTACCATATCACATCAGCATTCACTCTGCACTTAGAGGAGTAGTGCTGACAAGAAGGAGTGGGAGCCTGTGACAAGACCGGCAGTGGTGGCAAAAAGCCATCATGAAGGATTCAGCTCCAGCTATCCTCATGAAGTCTGCCCAGGCAGCGGTATTTAAGAGGGAGAAGGTAGAGTCTCCCTATCAGCAGCCCTCAGAGGCTAAAACGGGTAGGATTAGCCCAGTCCAAGGACCCAGAGTTGAAGAGGGTTGCTTTGCATGAGACGACCCGAGAGAACTTTTGCAATGTGAGCATCAGACTTTTGGACACAAGTGAACTGCTGGCTCCATTTTCTGGAGGCTGCACTGCACCAGGATACCCTCAGCGCTCAGAGCCAGCACTGGCTTTGCAATGCATGTGCTTCTGCTTCCAAGTGCTCAGCTCTCCCTGAGAGCTCACTCAGTGTTTCAAAGACCAAACTGTTCTAACAAGCCCAAGAACCAAAGCCCATTGAGGTTTAAAGCTTCTCTTGTTTAAAAACATTTTGTATTTACTGCCTTTTTATTTTTTAGATCAAACACAGGAATCTGTGTCCTGTAGTAAACCACCCGCTCCTTCTTCCTATACTCCCTGGTGTCATGTATGTAGTTGCACTGCCATCTGATTCTAGAACATTAATATGCAAATAGAAGTAATAACAATGCCATATAGTGAAATACAGTGTTATTCTTCAACTGGTCTCTTCTTGGCAGAGCAACCCAAGAGAGAGAGGGGAACCAGAGTTCAGAGCTGCAACCTACGAGGATGAGACAGGAACCCCATTTACTACCACACTATATGCCATATTTCCCATGGGGGCCTTCCTTGACTTCTTTTTGAATATTCAATTTACCCAAGCTCATCATTAATTCACTTTCAAAGTGTGATATCAACAGACTTCCCATAAAAACATCTCTCAAATAATGAAGGCTTTGGTTCTAATGGGTTGCTTTGAAATGGCAGCCCTTACAAACATGATTAAAAGTCTCCATTGGAGCTTATTATTAATGAATAAGATTTTGTACGTATGCATATGAGGCCTTCTCCTGAAAAAGATTTCAAATTCTGTTCCCAGTGAGGCTCAGGGCAAACATCACCACTTCCCATCATGAGTAGATACACTAGGGCTGGTCTGTGTGGCCAACAGAAGCCATGACTGAAAATACAAAGTATTTTAACCTTTTACCAAAGGATCAAAAAGAAAAAGAAAAAAGAAATAGTGCTGACCACCTTCCAGCTGTTTTGCTGTATTAACAATGTCTTTTGTTTTCTGTATTCTGATGCTTTGACCTCTGGGGCTTTGCTCACCCTAAAGAGATGACCCCTCTCAGGGTTAGCCAATTCCTAGAGATAGTAAATGACTCAGCACAGAGCACTTTTAAACACAAACCAACCACTCCAGAGGGCCAGCCATCTCCTTTATAGGCCTCTCACACTCCAGGCTACCATCCACCTGCCCTAATCACCCCAGGGCCAGGTACCAGACAACTAGGGACAGTCCCTGTGCCCCAGATCCTGCTGAAATTGTTCCAATCAGCCAATCCTCAGCCTGCTTACCCTGCCTTGCCTGTTCCTTTTCACAAAAACACAGTGAAGGCCTCTGCCCCCAGTGCTGTCCCACCTCTGCCTCCTGACTGACCCCTTAACTGACCTGTGCACCCCCCATGACATGGCATACCCCTTCTCTTGGGATCTGTGAGTAACACACTTTCTTTTCAATAGTAGTCACCTCCTGCTGTGCTGGTGTTACCATACCTCAAATTTTCTATTAACTTTATAGAAATTTATAACTATTTTAAAACATAGTTATAAAGCATAGACTTTATAGTGCTGGACACCTCATTTGCTCACCAGGTGAGAGCAGCACATCTCTAGTTCTTTTATTCCCCAGTTCTTCCAGTGAGCACCTGTCATCCTGTTTCCCCATAAGCTTTTTTCCCTATGCCCCTACTCCTGACCAGGATGGTTTGTGTCAGACTTGCTACTGCCATTAGGCAATACATTGACATTCTGACAGCTTCAACCTCAACACCTCCCAGGTATCCCTGGCCCCCAATTTGAGAAACAACCCTGAAGCTGCTCACTGCAATTACTTCTGCCAAAGATTTGGGTTTATTTCATTTTATCCTTAGGGGGGATTACAGAGATGTTGTTACACCTCCCCATCCGGAAATTCCTTGGAAGCCTCTGAAAATGATCCCCTTTCTATGGATATTGAGGGTTCTTGGATTGGTAAAGAAAATATTTCTCTCCTTCCTTCCCCAAACAGTTAATTTCTCTGGGGCCTTATTTCCTTTGAGAAAGAGACCTCTGCCACCAGTGTGAGAGAGCGGAGAGATCCATTTCCCTCTATTTAAGCTCTCATCATGTGCTTATTCTCCTCTGGGAGGATTTGGTAACAATTCTCTACACAAAGAGGACCTACGTTCACATTCAATTTTATGAAAGCCAAGGTAACTGCTTTTAAAAGGTATGCAGGGTCCAAAAGCTCTTCTGTCACTGAACCTGAGATATGCAAGGAGATGCTTGGCTTCAGCTCCCCTTCAGCCCCTATCCTCCAAAGAAAAGAAACAAGGAAAGACTTTTTTTTTCCAATGCTAAACTTGTATCACAGGATTTGGGAGTCTAAGGTGACTTCCATGTGTAGGGTTCCTCCGCTAATCTATGTTTCCCTAGCTTACGGCCCATCCACTCCCACCCCTGTTTTCGTGCTGCTGATAAAGACATACTCAAGACTGGGCAATTTAGAAAAGAAAGAGGTTTAATTGGACTTACAGTTCCATGTGGCTGGGGTAGCCTCACAATCATGGTGGAAGGCAAGGAGGAGCAAGTCACATCTTACATGGATGGCAGCAAGCAAAGAGAGCTTGTGCAGGAAAACTCCACCTGATAATAACCATAAGATCTTGTGAGACTTATTCACTATCACTAGAACAACACAGGAAAGACCTGCCCCCATGATTCAATTACCTCCCACTGGGTCCCTCCCACACTATGTGGGAATTCAAGATGAAATTTGGGTGGGGACACACCCAAACCATATAAACCCCTAACACAGTTGCCTATTTCTCTGTAATATTTCACCTGAAATGGAGGCAATGTTCAAGCCACAATAAACATAACTCAATAATATAGGAGAGAAGAAAGAAGAAAACATAGAATTGATCTAGCTGCTCGTTGTTGCAGGGCTTTTGACTGAATTTGGGTGTGAGCTGGGAGACTCAGGCTCCCCAGAGACAAAATGCCTAGTTTAGATGCTTGGCATATCTGGGAAAGAATTCCCAACCTCTTTCTCCATGTGCAACCTTAGAACCAGGAAGGTAGAAAGTGAATCCTTCCAACCACCTTAGTTGATGTTCTTAGTACTCTCCCATGGCCCCATTTCCTCCTTATCTCAGGGTCCCTAGCCCAAATTACAAGCTCCCAGAGAAATGCACCTGTGTTTCTCTGACAGAAGGCCTTTGCTGCTACTTTGTAGGCCAAAAGTACAAGGGAATTATGCTCCCCATGAATAGCCCTCAACAAAAAAAATGAATGGATATTGGTACTTTCTACCCCAGGGTGTGCTCTATGCTGGCTCCCAAAGATCCACAGCAGGACTAAGCTTTAGATTCCCAGTAGTAACTTGCTTGATGATGAACCCTTATCTTCGCTGCCCTTCCTCCCTGCCTCACTTTCCCACTCTCCTACCAGTGTTTCCTGGGATCACCTCCATTAATGTCCTTATCTTAGTATCTGCTTCTGGTGGGACACAGACCAAGACATCATTTGTGAAAGAGATCAGTCCTTTTGCTACAAGCTCTCCTTTTCCAAAATAAGAGGTGAACTTCGATGGAGTCACTCATGTGAAAAGTAGTTACTATACATATCACATGTGCCAAGGCCCCTGCTCACTGCTTTTGCTTAGAAAGCCAGGCTCAGGCCGGGCGCGGTGGCTCACGCCTGTAATCCCAGCACTTTGGGAGGCCGAGGCGGGCGGATCACGAGGTCAAGAGATCGAGACCATCCCGGCTAAAACGGTGAAACCCCGTCTCTACTAAAAATACAAAAAAATTAGCCGGGCGTAGTGGCGGGCGCCTGTAGTCCCAGCTACTTGGGAGGCTGAGGCAGGAGAATGGCGTGAACCCGGGAGGCGGAGCTTGCAGTGAGCCGAGATCCCGCCACTGCACTCCAGCCTGGGCGACAGAGCGAGACTCCGTCTCAAAAAAAAAAAAAAAAAAAAAAAAAAAAAAAAAAAGAAAGCCAGGCTCAATCCTATTCTTCATCTTCCCATAGACTAAAGAGAAGTGGGGAATAATGATGAAAAGTCAAGGCTCCAGAGTCAGAGCACCTGGGATTGGATCCCAGCCCTAACCCTTCCTAGGTGTGCAATTTTGAATAATTCATTCTCCATGTCTCCAAGTCTTCATTTCTCTGTCTGTAACATGGATAAAATAGTTGTGTCTACCGTAAGAGATTTAAATGAGATCACTTATGCAAAGCACTGAACACATCATGTGGTGCACAGCACATGCTCAATAAGTGGCAGATTCTCTTATTGACCTTCTAGTTTCAATTTAAATGCCCTCTCTTTGCGGAAGCCTTGCCTGACCTAAGAGTAAGGTTTTCTCATATGTTCCCACAAGATCCCTATTCTTCCTCTGTCATAACCCTCACTGCTCTTTATTTCAATTACGTGTTTGATGCCTGTGAACTACGATGTTTCATTGTCCAATGAGAGCAGGAACCTTTTTGTCTGCCTTGTGCTCTCATATATATAACATATGTATGCATGTGTGTGTGTGTGTGTGTGTGTGTGTGTGTGTGTGTGTGTATTTGTGTGCATTCATCTCCTGTGGCTGCTGCAACCAATTAGTGTACTGCAAACTGGCTGGTTTAAAACAACAAAAAATTATTTCCTCACTCTTCTGGAGACTAGAAGTCTAAAATCAGTGTTTGCAGGGCCACATCCCCTCCGGAGGCTCTAGGGGGGAACCCATTCCTTGCCCCTTCCAGCTTCTGGTAGCTCACAAGTCAAGCATCCCTTGCCTTGTGGCTGCATCACCCCAATCTCTGCCTCTGTGGTCACACTGTCTTCTTTTCTGTGTCTGTCTTCTCTGCATGCCTCCTATAAGGACAATTGCACTGAATTTAATCAAGGATGATTTCACCTCAATATCCCTAACTTAATTACATAAGCCAAGAATCTTTTTCCAATTAAGGTCACATTCAGAGGTTCTCGGGATTAGGACATGGATATATCTTTTGGGAGGCCACCACTCAGCCCACTACTATATACATATCTATAGCATACATACAGAAAATATGTTTAATATAGCCATACATATATATGAGGCAGTATGTATGTGTGTGTGTGTGTGCGTGCATGTGTGTGTGTATTCTCAGTGTGTAGCACAGAGTGGTTCACATCATGAATGTGTAATAATTGTTGTTGAAGGAGCAAATAGACAAACAGAACAGGGTCCCTGCCTTCTAAGAATCAGAAAAAAACTAATGTCAAAAGTGGACAAATTTTAGTTGAGCACAGTGGCTCACGCCAGTATTCCCAGCACTTTGGGAGGCCTGAGGTGGGTGCATCACAAGACCAGGAGTTCAAGACCAGCCTGGCCAACATGGTGAAACCCTGTCTCTACTAAAAATACAAAATTAGCCGGGCGTGGTGGCACACACTTGTAGTCCCAGCTACTCAGGAGGCTGAGGTAGGAGAATTGCTTGAACCCGGGAGGTGGAGGTTACAGTGAGCTGAGATTGTGCCACTGCACTTTAGCCTGGGTGACGGAGTGAGACTCCATGTTAAAAAAAAAAAAAAAAGTAGACAAATTTATGGAGACTATCCTACTATTCACAAAATATGTAATTCCCTCACAACATTCCTCCAACATCAACAAATAGCTCAGGAGAGTGCCTGGACTTGGTAAAAGCTGTGACTGCTTCTAGAAGCACTACTCTTTTCAGGTCACAGCCTGCCTCCAAAATTTCCCTGGAAAAAACACAATAGGGCTTTTACTTCCTAATTAGCAAGATCCTGTCCAGAATATTCTAGCACTTCAAAGAAGCTTTCATTCACCAAGTTTTCTCTAAAGAAACCGTAGCCCCCGACTGTTCACAGCTTTTCATTATGAAACTGGGGGCAGTAGGAACCCTCCTGTTTCCTTTTCCTCAACATATAATATTTCTCTCATGCACCTTTGCCAAAAATGGCACTTCAGAAGATCTAAGAGGGGAAAAACAGCTGATTGTTGCCAAGAAAATCATGGAGAATTTCACCCTTCTTGGCCACACACTCTCTGGAGCACAAACAGGGAATTTGCCTTTCACGCCTTTACTCTTTAATAAAGTCAGATCTGCACAGATATGGGCTGGCTTCTGTGGAACTCTCTGTTATTTGGCATTGTCACTTTGACAGTGGCCATCCCACTTAAGTCACTGGGTCATCTAAAGGTCACGAGAAGGTGTGGTTCTTTCTCCCATGTCTCAGCACAGAGAAAAGATGGGGGCACCCAAGGAGGTGGTGTCTGAGCTGGAGTCACAGCCATGGAAGCCCTGGCCAAAGATCACCTCGCACCTGACCTCCAGTCACTGAGGCTCCAGATGGTCATAATTTTCATGTTTTCCCAGTCAGGTTTGGAACTGAATCAGTGTCATCGTCTCCTCCCCGCCCCAACCCCTCTATCATGGGACTTTCTGGGGCCAGCTCCTGCCATTTTCTTCTGTGGGTCTCTGGCACCCTGACCTTGCTGCTCAGGCTTTCAGATGAGGAGCCATCCAATCCTCCTGTGCTGTGGCATGGCACACAAATGCCATGGGATGGGGACAGTGCATCTTGCTTTTCATTATGAAGATTTTTTTTATAATTACAAAATTTTTTTATAATTACAAAAGAGTGTAAAATAAAAGTGTCAAAAAAGGTAAAAAATAAAATAAAATCAGTTATTATCCTACTATTCAGAAATAACCACAATTACCATTTGATGATGATATTTTTTAATGCAACATAAGCTTTATTTAATACATATTTTCATTTGGTTTTTCTTTGCTCTTGCAAAATTGGGATCACATAAACAATGGATCTTAGTGAATCTTCAAAAGAACCTTCACAAGTTTATTAGGTGATATTAATTGCTACAGTAAAAGCAGGAGCTTAGATGAGGAAGGTGAAAAGAGCTCAGTCGGATGCAGGCTCAGATGGTACAAGAGGCAAGGCAAACAGGGACAGCCTGGCTTCTGAGCCCAGCAAACCTAGCAGGTCAGAACCTTCTACTTATTGGCTCTGTGACCTTGGGCAAGTTCCATAATCCCTCTGACCCACTGCTTCCTATCTCTAGTGCATATAAAATTATTAGCATCATACTTAGCAAGTAGGTAAAAATATGAATGGTATTAGTACCCTTCTCCTTCTGAATAGCAATGTGGTAGCCACAGAGACTTCAACCACTTCCTCGGGGTAAATTTTTATTCCTAAAGAATAAATGTCAATTTGTGTGATAATTATCGATTGTATTGGTCTGCTTGGGCTGCTATCACAAAATACCACAGCCTGGGTGGCTGAAACAACAGAAATCGGTTTCTCACATATCTGGAAGCTGGGAAGACCAGGATCAAGGTGCCAGCTGATACCATTTCTGGGTAGGGCTCTCTCCCTGGCTTGTAGATGGCAGCCTTCTCACTGTATCCTCACATGGTAGAGACAGGGAAGCAGAGATTTCCATAGGATTAGTAGGGCCATCTATGGCTCTACCCTTTTGACTTCATTTACTTACCTCCTTAAAGGCCCTATCTCCAAATTAAGTCACACCAGAGGTAAGGACCTCAGTGTATGAATTGGAAGGGAGGGCAGAGAGACATGATTCAGTCCACAGCACTGATTAATATTAATAAGGCAACACTAATACAATAGTCTTCTCCTGCAGAAAAAGGCAGTATGATGCTTTTAACCTACGGTTAAGTTGGACGTATCATGGAAAAAGAAGAGGGCAGCATGAGTCTTCTCCAGTGCAATGTGAGAAGCCTCATGGATCTGCTCCCTCAGACCAACAGCATTTCTTCAGGGCCCCTGTCAGTGACCCAAGGAAAGCGCTGTTCACTTCTGCAGCCTCCAGGAAGAAGTCTTGAGGTGAAAGCTCACTGATTTAGAGTTCCTTACTTGAGACGAAGAATTAATATTAACTCTATCTTAGAAAGTTAAGGCAACTTTCCCCACCAGTTATTGGAGTGGTTTTCTAGTCTTTCCTGTAGCTGGTTGGTGGGTGAGGTTGCTGAGGAAGATAGGAATTCCTTCTAACTCCTGTGGGAGGGAATGAGGTATCTTGACTCACCCATTCCTTTCCTCCGCTCTTCCACTCTGGGGCATAAACAGTGGTCTGACCCTTTGCCCACAGGCTGGCTTCCCCTGAAATTAGAATCTCTAATGGGTTGAACATATCACACTTGCAGGCTGTGAAGGAAGTTGGTTTCAGAATCTCATCTGCCAGTTCCTCTTTATTTTCTACTTGAAGAATCCAGGGCTGTTTCTTCCACCCTGAGAAATGCCTCCGTCTTCAGAAGAGCAGAAGTACCTCAGGTAGTAGGAACTGTGCCCTAACTTCTCATTCAATCAATGGTTCCCGACTTGTAGATTTGGCAGACTTGGATAATGCATTGTGGGGATTCTCATGGAGCTGTCAACTTTGTAATTTCACCAGTTGCATGGCTTGCTATCTTGAAATAGCTGGTGTTTCAAATTAGGAAGAAGATATTCCTAAACTAAATTGACAGTCTTTCCCACATGAGACCTTTGGTGACCTTAGACTGATACACGGGTCTAAGGTCACCAAAGGTGTTTTATGATGTAAAATACTACATTGTCTTTATTCTTCTCATTTTGTGATAGATGATAAAAAAAAATCAAGATGGCACCAGTCCAGAGATTAGACATTTTGGAATCTTTGACATTTGATTCTGCTTTTCATTCTTCCCCATTTCAGAGCTGGCTTTTACTGCTCTGCAGTTATTTTCTCACTTTGTCTTCCTCCTGTCTTCTTGTCTCTTTTACTCACAAATCTGTTGACTGACCCTACAGGATCCATGGTTGGTGGACAATCAATTGTGGTCAGAACTGAAGGCATGCCAGGTCTGGGGTGGCATAACTATTAGTACTTCTATGTGAGTCACCTCCAGCCCTGCATCTCCTCTGGTCTGAAGTGATTATGTAGCACAAATCAACTTCACCCACACTTGCAAGTTACAGCAGATTCTAAGCTCCTTGAGGACACGAACTGGTCATTCTTCATCTCCATACCCTCTGGGCTTGGCAAAGTGTCTGGCCCAGAATAGGGCATCAATAATTTTCTGTTGAATTTATTTATATTGAAGTCTTTACCTTGATTATTAATTTTTCCTTCTGATTCTTGAACTTTAGTTCACCTAAAGAGACCTCAGAAAAATTGTATTTGAGACCCAACCCATCACCATCTTACTTACACCTTGCTATATTTTATTCTCAGAAACATCATCCAAGGGTGACAGGGTCTGGAGTAGGAGGCAGCCAAGTACCATTAAAAGAGCAAACGCTGACCAATATTTCCGCCTCTGCCGAGACCTCCTCCTACTCTCTCTTCTGCAGTGGGCTGATTCATTCAACACATATGCATGTTCATAATAACCTCCATCTGTAGACCAGCTTGGATCACATGAGCGGTGGTCATTTTGTAAACCTCAGTGTCTTGGCACTTTACACTTATTTTAAAGTATTTACTTAAATAAGCTCCATTTAGAGCTTATTCAGCCAAAGATAAAGAAATAATTAAAAGGTCAATAAGTTAATGCAAAGATCCACACTAATGGCTTGAAACCTTTATCTTTTTAGAGGTGGAGAATTTCAGGAAAGAGATAAGATACAGAAGGCTCTGGGATCTCCCTAACCAACATTTCACTGACTAACACCCTAAAACAGGATCAAACTCTTCACCTTCTCCAGCCAAATCACTGAATTGATGCAATCCAGGAGGTCTTAAGAACAGTTGTTTTAAGAGATATTTGAAAAAAAAAATAAAGGATTAACCTCTCCACTTGATTTTTCCTTATCACCAATGTAGCACTTAAACACGATCCTATAGTAGTTTAATTCTTACTAACTTGAGCAGAAAAGAAAAAAAATTAGAAAGAAATCAGCACAACTCACAGGATCAAAGGGATGCTGAAGGACTAGGTTTGGGCAATGGCAGGAACCAAAGGAGCACTGAGGGCCAGAAGTGAGAGTCCTGTGGCTGGGACCCCCATGGACCTGGCACTCCAGGCAACCAGCAATGAACCTGGCTCTGAAATGCTTCCTCTCCATTGTCTTACTTGTTGAAGAGTCAAAGTCCCAGAAATGGTTTTTGATTGGTGGGGCTTAGTCATGAGCCTGGCTCTAAGATCACACTCTTGGCCTTTAGGTCACACGCTTGGCCATTGAACATGACAACGAGCAGTAGGGAGGAAGAATCTGGACACCCAGGTCCCACAATGTGAGGCATATTCTGGGAATTGCTCTCATGTCAACTCACACACAAAAGGGCATTTCCACAAAGGAAGATTGAAGTGTCAGCAGGAAGTTTGGGGGTTTCGATATTAAAGCCAAGAAACAAAAAATGTCCACTAGACTCTTCCATGAGAATGGAAGTGTCCCTCTTCACTCAGAAGCTGGCATGGTATCAATATAATTTTTAAAAATATATTTTTAAACTTTTCTTCTTTTCAGTTTGGGGAATCCCTTTCGAAATACTTTTCCTAATGAAGGAAATTCATTAAGAACATATTAGATTCAGGCATTTACATCCTTTCTAAGATGGAAATTAAGTTCATCTTCCATATTCTTATCAAAAGCATGTCACCAGGCGAATCTCACAATTGTTCTCTCACAGCCTCTTCCTTCCCCTCTGGTTTCTTACACATGAGAAAGAGAAAATGTACCATACAGTGATGCTGCAAAAGGAAAAAGATTCTGGCTATAAGACAACAAAACATCCCCCTTGGAGCATGAGAAGGTGAAGAATGACAGCTGCAAGAAGAGAAAAAGGAAAATAGTTTAAAATTAAAAGAGGTTAGGTATCCAGCTACCACTCATTGGGTACCAACTATGTGCCAGGCACAGTGTATGTTTATTACATTATTTTCCCCAAATCGCAGATGAGGGAACAGACATTCAAAGCTTTAAGTTGCTGAAGGAATGCTTGAATGAATAAACATGATGTTAAGTGGAGTTGAGGGGTCCTGGTATCTGATGGCCCAGGCATCATGTGTCTGGCCAGATCTGATCTCCATGCCCCCAGCCTAATCTAGAGATTGCTGTGTGCGCCTTGGCTTCCCTGCCCGTGACTCTACTACCTCTTGGGCTTAGAGTCCTCCAAAACCCAGAGCAACTGGCTCTAAACCCAGCCAGTCACCCAGCACCACACCCTGGCCCACCTGAGTATCATCATCTCCTGAGAGGTGGGCCACACCTGACAGGTGTGTCCCCTCTTCCCTGCCAGGAGGCCAGCTGAACATATTTCCATGCTTATCTGGCATCCTGTGATCAGCCCTACCATCTCACTAACCACAGCACAATAAGATGACGAAAAAACCTCTCTTAGATCTTAGAGCAATAAGACAACAAAAATTTCCCTTGGCATTGTGTTGATTTGTAGAGTGTAGGGACCATGTCATTTTCATAGTTTTATTTTGTTTTTTGTTTTGTTGTTGTTGTCGTTTTGAGACAGAGTCTTGCTCTGTCACCCAGACTGGAGTGAGTGGCATGAACTCAGCTCACTGCAACATCTGCCTCCTGGGTTCAAGCAATTCTCCTGCCTCAGCCTCTTGAGTAGCTGGGATTACAGGCACGTGCCACCACCCCCAGCTAATTTTTGTATTTTTAGTAGAGATGGGGTTTTATCATGTTGGCCAGGCTGGTCTCTAACTCCTGACCTCAGGGAATCCACCTGCCTCGGCCTCCCAGAGTGCTGGGATGACAGGTGTGAGCCACTGCGCCCGGGCCAATTTCATAGTTGTAAACCCAGAACCTAGCCCATTGCCTCACATATAGTGGGTACATAATAAATGTTTGCTGACTGAAAAACAAAACAGAACAGCAATGATGCTCTTTGGAGTTTGAGTATTGGACTGTCCTAATATCATATAAGAGCCACCTTACAATCAGATGATTCTGCCCTGCCTAGTCCCACCCTCCTCAACACTTTGTGTTTTTAATACTCAAAAACATTATACCTAAGCCTGTCCACAGGATGGCAGAAACATGTCTCCACTTTGTCCTCATTCAGCGATTTTTATAGCATAGAAGAAATGATGTTAAGAACAATGGCCAAAAGATGCAGCAGTAGCCTTCATTGTTCATGGGGTACTATGATCAGTTTGTTCTTCCTAGCACAAGGAATTGGAATATCACTGTGGATTGAAACAAATGACTTTCTGTTTACTTCCTACTTAAACAGAAATTCAGTTAGCTAGAACACCTTGTTCTCTGAGCACTCTGGCTCATCAAGGATTTATCATCCCGTATTGGATAATTTTTCTCTTCTGACATCTGCTGCATTTTTATGGTATTCATAAAGCAGTGTGCTTCTTTTACAGAGGAAGTCTAATTATAATGACTTACATTTGTACATGGTTAAAAAGCAATTTCTGACAACAATCTGTAATAAAGTTAGGGCAGGTGTTAATGTCCCTACTTTGTTTGTGATTAGACTGAGTCTTACATAATTAAACATGCCTGGGTTCACAAAACTGATACAGGGTTCCCACTCATTTATTCAACAAGTATTAGCTGAGCACCTACTATGTGCCAAGTGCTGTGCTAGGCCCTAGGATGCAACTTTGAGCTAGACGGACAGTCTCTCCTCTCCCAGAGCATAAGTGTATGGCTGCAGGTCATGCCATTTCCCTTATCCCTCGCTAGGGCCCCACCCCCTGCCAAATAAGTCCCTGAAAGCCCCTGAGGAAGCTTCCCAACCATGCAAGAAAAATGGAGGCCCAATTTCCTCCGGGGCAAAATGGCTGGACATGTCCATTTGAATGGTTAAGGCTTCTCAGTGCAGTGGGATGAGGGCTCCCCAGGCTCCTTCCCCTACCTCCAAGGAGGGTGAAGTTCAGGTCCACACCCACACTGTGCCCAGTCTATCTTGTCCAGCTATGAAACCCTTGCTCATTCTGATGTCAGTGAGTCATTTACCATGCAATTAGCAGAGTTGTGAAAATGATAGAAGGAAAGGAAACAACTCTGGTGTTTAAATGTGGTGCTTAGAATCAACACTACCTCCTTCTCCATCTATCATGGCTAATCCAAAATGTAGAAATGCATATGATAGATGGTTATGGTTGGGGAGATAAGATCTAGTTCTTGGTCTACAGAATAACAAAATGTGCTGAAAAGCAGCATTACTGCAGTTCCAGGTTTCTCTTTCATTCAACTCTAGGGAATTCGCACGAGCTAAATACCATAGTCATTCAGATTCTCTCTTTTTTCCCAAGAGAAGCTACTGAGCCCTTGTAGCAGGCAATCATATTTTATTAACAGTGGATTTAAGAAGGGTTCAGGGAAGATTCTCAGAAAACTTATTTTCTAAGGATACAGGTAGTAGATTAGCAGTCTGACCCAACTGAATATCCCCTCTTCCAGCCCTCACCCAGTGGACCCTTAGGACCTTGGGGTCAGACCTAACGTGTCTGAGATATCCTATCCCCAGACCTTGATCATAGCTGACCTGCACCCTCTCCCAGACAGGCACAAGCCAGTGGCTGACACCACCTCCCCATATCCCACCTGGGCAATCACACAATGCCCTTTTCAGGCCACTCTTGGTCTCCTACCAGTTGCTTTTATCCCTTAGTTTCGGGATTTCTGATCCTATACTCTGGCTTTTATCCCTACATGTGACACCTTTTGGTTAGCAACTCTCCAGCTTCCTGATGTGCAGATTTAGACTTCAACTTCCACCCATGCCAACTGTGTTCTCAGTTCTAGGGACTTCTGGAATGGGTGTCTCCTGTGGCCTCTGAGAAAACTCCAGATCTACTCCTAGCCTTGACAAATTCCTCTGGATGGAACGTTTCTAATACCCTCCATTTCTCCTCTCTTCCTACTAGGTCTTCTTCCTAGTCCCCCAAATCTAAGCTAACCTGTAATTGCACCAAACAAAACAGGTTCAGGTGGAAATGGACCAGCTTCAGCAACAGTGAAGCTAAACACACTTCCAACCATGAAGTACCACATGGAGAGTGGCTAACTAAAGCCAAGAGAATCACAGAGTGATGTGTCATCTCCACACTGACTAGAAAGGATAATGCTGCATCTGGTGAGTGTCATGCAGCTGCAGCAGGTGGCATAGAGGAGGGCGGTGAGGGACGAGGTCAGCTGAGCCATCTGTGTGTTCCCCCACTCTAAACCAGTGCCAGATACATGAAGACATTCAATCCAAGCACAAACCCCAGCACCCCTTCAACAACCATGCAAAGGGAGTCAACTCACCCAGCAGGCACTTCCAGCCTGGCTTTTCAAGTTGTCCCTCAGCTGCAATGCAATGGGAGGTCTAGAGGGGTGGGGTAAAGAGGCTCTAGTCCATTTGGAGGAGAGCAGAGAGAAAATGCCTGAACCAGCAGTGACGGTGGATGGGGAAATCAAAAGCTCCTGCAAAAGCAGATTGGAAAGGGCTTAATGAAGGAAGGGGAGCAGGAAGGGCTGATCAGGGTCCCAAGTTTCTGATTTGGTTAACTGTGTGAATGGTGAAAGATGTAAATATGCTGGAGGCTTGGGACAGCGGGGATGTTGAATTTGTTTGGGGGCCTGTTAGGTCTGAGGCCCCAGGGGACCTCTACTGTGGAAACATCTACAAGGTGAGTTTGGGATTGAAGGGCTTGAAAAATGTTTGCATTAACAGAGATCCCTTCCTGAGGGCCAAAGCACAATTTATATATAAGCTGATAAGATGCTATCAAGATAAAGAAAATAATAGAATGTATATTCCCTGTCAAGGTGACTCTCATGAGAGAACTACTATATAAAGCTGCACTCATCAAAGCATGATAAAAAGATAAAATAATGGCCAGCATAATGGTTTACATTAAGAAAACGACATTCCTGTGAACTGTAGAGAGGGCATTTGTGTGTGTCTACCTGTGCTTGTCTGTCTGTATGTGTCTGTCTGACTCCTGTGTCTTCAGGGCCAGGACTGGGGGTGGCCAGTGAGGCACTCAGAATTGAACGGGGCTCCAGAAACCACAGTAATCAAGATAAATCATTTTTGTCTTCATCATTTTAATGTGATATCTTCAAAATCATAATTAACATGAAAATCCATAATAAACAAAACATCAACACTTTAAATAAACGCAGGATCAGTTACAGTACCATGCCATGACAAACTGTATTGGAGCCTGAGGCAAAGGAAAAATCAATAATACTGATCCTGCCTCTGTTTAAAGTTTTGATATTCTGTGCATCGTGGGTTTTTAACATTAATTCTGATTTTTAAAAAAGATTGCATTAAAATATTATTTATCTTGATTACTGTGGGGTTTTTTTTTTGGCATCTCCTTAAGTTTTGTGCCCAGGGCAAGTGTTTTACTCAACTTACCTTAATCCTGGCCGTGTGTGTGTGTGTAAGTGTGAGTGTGTGTAAGACTGAAGACAGGAAGACAGAAAGAATGAGAACAAGCACATCAATTCAAGTAGAGCTTTACAGTAAAGAGACTACAAAACAGACCCCTCAGCATGTAACGTCATTCCTTGCCAAGCAATACTTATTTTTTCTTTTGAGATGGAGTTTCACTCTTCTTGCCCAGGCTGGAGTACAATGGCATGATCTTAGCTCACTGCAACCTCTGCCTCCCAGGTTCAAGCTATTCTCCTGCCTCAGCCTCCCAAGGAGCTGGGATCACACGTTCCCGCCACCATGCCCAGCTAATTTTTTGTATTTTTAGTAGAGACAGGGTTTCACCATGTTGACCAGGCTGACCTCAGGTGAGCCATCTACCTCGGCCTCCCAAAGTGCTGGGATTACAGGTGTGAGCCACCATGCCCGGCCAACACTTTTTTTTTTTTTTTTTTTTAAGATGAAGTCTCACTCCCTTCGCGCAGGCTGGAGTGCAGTGGTGCGATCTCTGCTCACTTCAATCTCCACCTCCCGGGTTCAAGCAATTCTCCTTCCTCAGCCTCCCGAGTAGCTGGGATTACAGGTGTGTGCCACCACGCCCAGCTAAGTTTTGTATTTTTAGTAGAGACGGGGTTTCACCATGTTGTCCAGGCTGGTCTCGAACTCCTGACCTCAGATGATCCACCCACCTCGGCCTCCCAAAGCGCTAGGATTATAGGCGTGAGACACCCCACTTGGCCGGGCCAACACTTTTAACTTCAGGTTTCATGCTGTCCTTTGTTGCTGTTCAAGATGCATCTATAAGGCTCAAGACCTTATTTTAAACACCAGAAGTCTGACACCTTCATATTTAAGCACACCAACAATGTACAAGACTCCATGGCCTTCCTTCACCCACCCACCAAGCTATTCTCAAACCTGTGCTGCCTGGATCCCGGGAAGGACCTGAGCTTCCCTTCCCAGACTGGAGACTCTTTTACAACCCTTAATCATCAGAGGTCACACAGACACTGGGGATACAGGACAGGGTTGGCGAGAATCAATGACTAGGTACCTCATTTGGCCCCCTCAAAATAGAAATGTTTCCCAATGTGATATGCTTTTATTCTGGGCATGAGATATAAGTTTTACAGCAGCAGGCATCAGGGAATCACCCAGATAATCTGAACGAGAGTGCGTAAAAATGAGTTCAAATATAAATAAGGTTCCAGGCCTTCAAGGTTGAAGAGAGCCCACAAACAGAAGGTTATGAGAGGAAAGTATGGCTACCACTGCAGTGGACAGAAATAAGGCACCAAACTCAGACAAATTTGGCAGAGCAGAAGGTGCTAGGTGTAGAAAAGCAAAAGACTTGGAGTTGGGGCTTCCTTGCCTGCTTCACAGGTCAGGCTGAGCTCTCCCAGCTTCAGAATGAGGGCGTGTTCGGTTTGTTCCTACTTGGCCGCCCTTGCTCTGCATGACCTTGGAGGCAATCCAGAACGACACCTACGTCTAGACAACCCAGTGTAACGGACAGATCAGATCTCAATGACCCAGGCCCACACGGCAAAGGCCCTCCGTGCCTCTAAGCTGTGTCCATTCAGAGGAGCACGTAGGAAACCAAAACAAAAGTGAGACTTTTGGCTTGCTAACACCATTTGACACATTTCCCAGATTTTGAAGGTCAATCCAGCTGAAATTTGAGCATCCAAGATTTTGGGTGTTGAGTTTTAAAAGGCCTAATATAAGAGGACTCATATGCCAACTGAATCAACTATCAACACTGTGATTTTTCAACTAGATAACCAAGATGGCTTCTGAAACCTTCTAAAAGAACGGCTTCTGCTCTGCAACGATTGGGCTGCCAAGTACTGTCATGGGGGAAGAGAATAGTCTCTCATGTTGCCAGTTGCTGAATTCACCTCCAGGTTCATCTTCTTAACGCAGTTATTCCTCCTTCCAAATGTGAAAATCCTAAATAACTTTTATTTTGCTTTAAATGTCACCTCACTTTATGTTAAAGATCTTAATTTATTAGCCTTCCATAATCAGTTTTTTAAAGAAAGTTCAGGCCTACATAAAGGAGGCATTACAGCCCCTTTGCCTGTCAGGTAATTACTTAAGAACTAGGTAGGGAATTGCAAGAGAAACAAATAAAAAAGACCCAGATTAAACCTACTACACATTTGTCTGCCAGTGTAAGACTGCCTGGAATAGACTTTTTTGGTTGTTTAAATTACCTCTGTAGGGAAGCCCATCTCCAAATACAGTCACATTCTGAGGTACTGGGGCCTAAAACTCCAACATATATTTTTAAGGGAGACACAATTCAACCCATAACACCACTGCACCCCCAGGATCTCGCACAGTGGTTGATGCTGAGTAAGGGTTCAATAACTATTTGTGGGGTGAATGAATGAGAGGCTCACTCATTGCTTTAGCTCAGGGCCACCCAAAAAGCTTGGCCAATCTAAAAGCCTTTTATAGACCATATTGCTTGGCCGAAAGAGTTGCAGAAAAGGGACAGAACTCTGTCACAGGATCAAGGACATCTCGGCATAGCCTCAGTTTCATTCTTTCCTCAGCCCCTCAGTTATCTCTCAAAAAGCCAACACCGGTGCTATGCCCTCACCTTCCTGTTGCATGAGCAAGCTAGACTTCCAGCAACAACAGCACAAGACAAACGATCCTTGATGCATATGAACTCTTTACACATGAAAATACATTTCCAGGCCGGGCACAGTGGCTCACACCTGTAATTCCAACACTTTGGGAGGCTGAGGCAGGCAGATCACTTGACACCAGGAGTTTGAGACCAGCCTGGCCAACATGGTAAAACCTTGTCTCTACTAAAAATACAAAAATTATCCAAGCCTGATGACACACACCTGTAGTCCCAGCTACTTGGGAGGCTGAGGCATGAGAATCACTTGAACCCGGGAGGTGGAGGTTGCAGTGAGCTGAGATTGTGCCAGTGCACTCCAGCCTGGGCAACAGAGTGAGACTCCATCTCAAAAAAAAAAAAAAAGAAAGAATATATATTTTTATAACAAACAAAATTATCTGTATTATGTTAGTGTGATTCAACATTCTCTAAGTATTCACATTGGACCCATGACCCACAGAAAGCACAGGTCTTAAGGGTTTTACATTCAACCTAATTGCAATCAAGCCAATACACATTTTGTTAACTGAGCGCCATGTGCAAAGGACTGGGCTTCACACTTTGGAGACTTTTTTTTTTTTTTTTTTTTTTTTTTTTTACTGAAAAGAGGAGGCTCCTGCCCTCAAATAGCTTATAATCAAACAGGAAGATTAGTCGTACTCAGAACATTCAATGACAAAGGGAGATGTACTAAGATATATAATTCCATCTGTAGGGGATTGAATGCTGCATGGTGAGGAGGAGCAGGGAGTAAATGGAAGGTGAAGAAGGAATTGTCTTTCTGCAAGTAGGAATGGAAGGGAAGGGTTGATGCTTCTAAGGGAACAGCATGAGCAATGGTAGGGACACGATGAGCCTAGCCCTACTATGTATTACAGAGCACACAAAATGAGTTAGACCTTGGCAGGGGAAATAAACTATGTACAGACAGGGAAGGGGAGGAAAAGGATGACAGAAGATGCAGAGAAATTGGGAAAGGCTTCGTAGAAGAGATAAGTATTTGAGATAGAGCTTAAGAGAAAGTTAAACTTTCCAGGAGAGATGGTAGTGGGAGAGTCCAAGCTAAAAGAAGAATCTGATAAAGGATAGAGGTACAAAAGTGAAGAACATGCCTGGGGAACCACAAAGGCCTCTTTTCCTTTCTATTTTTAGCTGAGTGCATGATGGAGAAAGTAGAGAAATTGGAGCCCAATTGTAGAGGGCCCTGACTACCATATTGGGGATTTTGAATGAGATACTCTAAGAAAGTACAACCAAGCAAGCTTTTGAGCAAGGACAGGCAGGCACATGGTCAGAGGTTCCCAGGGTGCAAAGGATGGACCAGAGAGGTACTTGAAGGTGGGATGGGTATCTAAATCTCCCTAGGCCAGTTCCTCGAGAATGTCACTTCCACGTGGACATGGATGTTTGTTTTGCTCACTGATGCATCCTGTGTCTTGGCCTGTGTCCAGTGTATGGCAGACATTTAGTTAATTTTTGGATTTTTGGACAGGAACTTAGAAACAGCCTTCCTACCTGACTATAAGGCTGTTAAGATGTGAGCCCATATCTGTCGACATTCCTGAATCCCACCTCATGGAAAAGTTTGTTTGCATACAGGGTCAGAGAAGACAGGTGAGTGGAGAACACTGAGGCCATTCCCAGTGTCTCTGTTCTCCCCGTGCTCAGTTGTGGGAGCCACTTGGGCTCAAGCTTGCTAGAGTTAGGGTGCTCTTACTTAACCAAGAAAGCACGAACATCATTCCACATAACCCAGCCTCACTCAGCTCACACACCTCTAGTGAGAGAGGGGCCTTGAAATCAGCCACCACTGCCCTGACAGCTTCTTCTCTCTCCCTAGTTCTTGTCTCCCAAAGCTAGACAGAGGAAGTCCACTTGTTCCTAGACTGATTAAAATGGTTTTCATGTTCTCTTCTAGTCTCCTCTTCCACATGCAAGAGACCCCAATCCTTCCTACTGCTTCTCTTCTCATGTGGAGTCCAGGCTTCTCTAAATCCTGGCTGGTCCTCTTCAGGTAATCCCGAGTGTCTTTTAAAACTGGTGGCCCAGAGCTGAGCATGTGCTCCCAGGAGTAGCATAAGCTACTCCTGAGCCCCTTGAGTAGCATAACTCAATGGTGGGCACCACGACTCAGTTCACACAACGTGAACTGCATCCTAATTCACTGCTGTCTTATGATTATGAAAGTGCTGACTTCATTGGAACAGCCAGGGCTTTTCCTTCCCTCATCTGTAAATGGGCTGGGAAGGTAGAAGGGGTACTGACTTCATGCTCTTTGGAGTTTCTTTCCCTTCTGTCATGATATAACTCTGAGCACACGACTGGGTATTAATCAGTGATTATTCTTCTGACTGTAATCCTTTTGTCCCCTTCCCTGCTTACCAGAACATTTCGTTATGGTCTAGCAGAAGATTAGCAAAACTCAGGGAACAGGAGATTCTCACCACAAAGATAGAAGTCCCTGGTAGAGTCTGGAAATTGCTTGCTGTGGCAGGGAACTTCTGAGATGGCTTCCAATAATGCCCCCCACCCTTGATTGTGGCTGGACCTACATTCAATGTGACTTGACTTGCTTCAAAACTTACCAAATAGAACATTGCAAAGGTGACAAGATGTTATTGCCAAAATTAGGTCATAAAGGGCTGTGACTTCCCTCCTGCTTTCTCACTTGTTGCTCTGATGGAATTCAGCTGCCATGAAGCAGGCCGCCCAATGGAGAGACCCACATGGCAAAGATGGGGGTGGTCTTCATCCAAAAGCCATCAAGGAACCAAGGCCCTAAGTCCAACAGTCTGTGAGAAAATGAATCCTGCCAACAGCCATGTGTGTGAGCTTGGAAGTGCATCCTGCCCCAGTCTTACCTCAGGAGGACTGCAGCCCCAGCTGGCACTGTGCTTGCAGCCTGTGGGAAATGACCCAGCCAAGCTGTGCCTGGATTATCTGCTCTGGCTTATCTGTCCAAGGTATCCTCTACCGTCTGCTAAGGATTTCAATGTCTTTGTCATTTTTCCAAGCCTTAGAATTAAAACCCTTACAGATCAAGACCGTATCAGATTCACTAATCATTCTACCTTGTGTCCTGGCAGCAGAATCTTTAATAGGCTGAATCATAGGACATTGCCCTTATTCAATGGTTTCTGACCTACACTAATAGCCAATTTATATGGTTCAACTCCACACCTCTCTGATATTGCTTACTGTTCTGTGTTGTCAGTTTTTTGCGTGCCTGACTCCTCTTCTAGGCTCTGGCAACTTTAAGGTAGGAAATAGTGATTTGCTTAAGTTTGAGTCCCTGGCACCTGGCCCAACAGCTGCCACATTGCATACATCAATAAACATCTTTAGAATTGAGTTGTTGGTATGTTTACATTGTCTCACAAAACAATTAATTATTCATTACTCAATAAATATTTCCAAAGAACCCGAGTGTCAGGTCTGGGCTAGGTGCCAGCATTACAGAGATGAATCAGTCCCTGTCCCTGAAGTGTTCACTGTCTAATAGGAGATAGATAAGTAAGCAGAAAATTACGATTCAATATGGAAAGTGCTTAAATAAGACATTAACAGTGATAAAGGTCACAAACCGAGTTCATTATATCTAGGGTAGTTAAGAAAAACTTCCTAAAGGAGGTAAATTCAGAGCTAGCAGGGAAGTAACTGATAGTGTGGGTTGTGGATTTAGTCAGCAAGTCCCAGGATCTTAGGAATATGACTGTATTTAATTATCTATTTCTGCATAACAAATTACCACAACATTGGTGATTTAAAACAACACATGTTTATTATCTCATAGCTTCTGTGGATCAGAATTTCAGTCCTGGCTTAGCCAGGTCCTCTGGTTTATGGTTTCTCATGAAGCTACAATCAACTTATCAGGTACACTCAACTTATCACGTAGGGCTGGGTCTTATCTGAATGCTCATCTGGAGAAGGATCTGCTTCCAAGCTTACTTACACAGTTGTTAGCAAGATTCAGTTCCTTTGAGCTGCTGGACTGAGGGCCTCAGTTTCTAGCTGGTTTTGGATTGGAGTCTGCCCTCAGTTCCTTGCCATGTGGGCATTCCTAACATGGCAACTTATTTCATCAAAACCAGCAAGGGACAGAGTTTGCCAACAAGACAAAAGTCAGCAATTTCTTGGACTATAGTCATGGAATTGCTATCCCATCATCTGTGCCATATTCTGTTTCTTAAAAAGCAAGTCACTAAGCCACCCTACTCTCAAGGGGAAGTGATTACATAAGTCCTCGTCTTGGGCTCTGTTTTAGGAAGAACCCAAAGTAGGACAGGCCCCATACAATTACTCACTAAATCATGTTTTAAGACCCACCATTGACTTTCATTGATGGGTGCTACAAAAACAGTCTTATCAAAACTTCTGCAATAGGGAAATTGCCAAGGAATCTGTTCACCTCATTTCACAGATAAAGTCCCACATTAATGCCTCTCAAGCTGGGGGCTGAAAAACTTTGCTTCCTCTAAGGAAATTTTTACTACTCAGGCACAGCAAAAATCATACCCACTGCTCAGTGGCTTTCCCTCTTTGCTTCAGCCACTAGGAACCATCATCCAATTTATGGACCAATTAATGCAATTAGGTATGCCTTTATGGACTATAGGTCTGGGTTCTATTTTTACCTTTTAGTCTTGGTATTGCATTCAAATTTATGTTTTCTTCAATCCTGATTTTTTAAATTATGTTTCATCATTTTACCATATGTATTTCTTATAAGAGGCCTCAGCTTTCATGGATAAAACAGGGCCTGGTCAAATAAATAAAGTTACTTTTGTTTATATCCTTTAATAAATTTCTTAGTTCTTCAAACAAAAAGTACATTTAGGAATTTTTGAATTATGAGTTAATTATAAGTGTTAATTTAAAATGCTATGTTTGTTGTTGAAAACACGATGAGTAAAGAAAAATTTCTGTGATCTTACCAGCCAGATATAAACCAACATATATTGGTAATTATGTCCTTTTAATCCTTTTCCTACAGATATTATTTACTAAAATTATTTCATTAATTCTAGTTTCATTCCCTGCTTTTTATTTCACTTAACATTATATTGGGGTAACAATCCTTTTTGACACTCAGTAGTCTTCAAAAATTGTTTTTATGTTTGCAGAATATCTATGTGATAATTTACTTAACTACCCCTTCTATTGGACATTTTATTATTTCCATTTTTTTCATTTTTAGAATGATGTTATGAAAATCCTTATATATGTAATTATATTTGTATCACTGATTACATCCTTAGGATAAATTATTAAAAGAGGTATTACTTTATTACAGTACACAAATACTTTTACTCAAAAGCCCTTAACAATTTGCACTCATACTGGCAATGTAGAAGCAGTATGTCCATTCCCAACCCCTCGCCAATATCAGATACTATTTTTTTTAATGTCAACTTGATAAAGTACTGCTTAATTTTAAAGAGCTAACTAAAGACAGTGGATCTCTCTGCAAGTCACTTTGCTTCTCTTAAAACAACACCTCACTATAAACTCAACTTCTATTTAAAAGCAAAAATATTTTATTGAATAACTATGTATCGACCACCTACTAGTGCAAACAAGGTCCTCAATTCTCCATCCCTTCAGGCAGTATCAGCTTGATGAAATTTCTTGGCTCACATAGAAAGTAAGACTTTGCCATGTGCCTGGGAGGCTCAAAATTGCAAATATAGCCAACAAGAGGAAAATCCACACTACACGTTTTGGTGCAGTGCCACCATTTGTCAGACACTGTTATAAATAATGTCTTTGAGACTTTTAGAAGTGTGCACTGTGCCTTGGAGGTGCGGCATATGGAAAGTTTCCCTGGAGTGTCAATTTTGAAATGAATTCCAATGCCAAGGTCACAGCTCCAGCTAGATTCTCCTTTCAGAACGGTGATTCCATGGGAATTCCCATAATCCATATACAGCTACTACTCATGGAGGGTGAGAAGGCGAGATGAAAACAAGTCTCTTTCTTTGAGGTCTGGTCACTTGGAAAATAATGAACTTTAGTTGGTGATTTTAACGTCTTTGAGATCTTTGCTTTAAGGTGACCCACGAAGGGGAAATATCAGTTGAATTAAGTTACTGCAGGAATAAAAAATGTTGCCCAGACTACAGGATAATCAAGCAACTTATCAGGCAACTATTCATTTGGGAACATGGAGTACCTTTCAGTGCCTAGTGCCCTTGGCCAAGACAGGTAAGAGGTGGTGGGGAAGGGTTGGCCTAAGTGGATCTCATTGCCTTTGTCTTCTCAGGGACCCAGCATGCAAGTCCATTTTTTCCCCATTCATATGTGCCAACATTCAGTTTTTCCTACAGCTCTAACACGGACAAAGGAGGACCAGGTCAGATTTTCTGCCTAAAAACTCATAGGTGATGGCTATTGCCCTTACATAGGCAAGCAAGCACAAGCCACAAAAGAGCTCTAGCAGACATAGAATCATTCCCATTCCAAAAGTCGTGAACTCCAGAACCCTCTCTCCTGCATCTGCACTCCAGGCCTGGTTCCTTACTCAGGTTCCCCATACTTCTCACACACACACACACACACACACACACACACACACACACAGGCAGAGTCATGTGCCTGGCAGTTCCATTTTGCATGCCTTTTGCATAGTGGGAACTTATTGTTTACTTTACCTGAAATTCAGTTCATTTTTCATTCCTATTTCTTCTGTTTTTTAGCGTCATTGTAATGGAAGGACTAAGAAAATTCAACAGATGCTGCACACCATTCCTTTGGTTTGGGGATTATAGCTTTCAAAAATGAAGAAAATTCACATTATTCAATGTCCGCCAATGGTATAAATAAATGCTTTATATGTAGCAGAGTGTAATTGCCACATTCCAAGGTAAATTAACCCATTTTAAAAATGTTCAGGAAACATTTTTATTTTCTTTAGATTCCCAAGGGAGATTGGGATGAAATAAATATCTCCACCCTTCTACCAAGTAGAAGAAAATAGAATATTTTGGCACAATTTGGGTTCAGAGAAAGGGCAAAATATATATAAGTAAACAAACATATAGTCATAGGTTTCCATATCCAACTTTATTCCCAAAAAGATTTATCATGGAGGAGAAGCAAACACATCGAGGTTGTGGCAACTCTCACTTCAATTCATTGGCGCTGAAAGGAACAAACCCAAGTCTTCATTTGGATTTGGGTGCCTAGGACCTCATTTCAACCATTCCCCAATATTGTGAGCAGATGTTCAAGGCAACTTAAGAAAGAAAGCACCCAGGTCAAAACTTCGTGAGTTAAAGCTAATTTTATTTTTTGCCCTGAGATTCACTACTGTGCAAAACAACTTGTCCTCTTGTTTCCCCACAAGGTTTCCCCACCACAGAGCACGTGCTCCATGCTGGGAAGGAAAGCACACCTACTCTTCAGGGTGTTTTTCATATCACGAAGTTTGGACGTTAGGGCAGGAGCCTCAAACAGCCAACAAAACGGAATGAGGCTGTGAGTCAAGAGGAGTCGTGAATCAACAGCGGAAAGCCTGCTCTGAGCCTGGGTTGGTCCCGCCAGTAGGTGTTACTTTAGCCATTAATCCGGGGCGCTCTGTGGATGGAGGAGGGTCGCCTCCTGCCAAGACACACACAACAAAACTCCAAACCAAACTGAAATCTGCCAGTTCTGCAAGTCTCCTCTGAAGGCAGAGTTGGGCCCCTAAGACAGGATCCAGAGCTCGCCTGCGAGGGCTGACAGCAGCCCCACCCGGCTGGGGCAGCAACACAGAGCCTCCTGGTCGCCATCGCAGGCTGCTTCACTTCATCATTCAAAGTGGCTTTTGGCATTGGGATTAGTATGATTTACTGCAATTGCAACAATAACCATCCTCACCCACTGTCTGAGGCCATGAGAACCCATCCAGCACTGTTTATTAGCTTTGGCTTCACTCGCCATGATTAAGTCCTTTTCAGCATGCTTTCCCTGTCCTCTCAGTCTTACTTCTCTCCCAAGAAGCTTTACACTCTAGCTGGAGGACCCAAGTTCCCCACGTTTCTCTACTTAAAGCATGTGCTTTATGAATTCAAAGTCATCAGGGGCAAACAGAAACTTCCCTGCTGCTTTGCAGTGGCCATCATATTGAACACGAGTCTTAACGATCTGACACACCTGCACAAAGCTTTTACCTTTCTCTGTATCCTGCAGCCCATATTACATGCAAAAAGTCCTCCTGGCCAGTAGAGGGTGCTGCATCTTTCACTGTTAGGACGATCGACTTGCGGATTGCTTGCAAGGTGGGCTCTGGGTATTTTATTCAGATTTATAACTCTGACCACACCTTCTTCCCTTTCTCACTCTCCTTTCCTGGAGTTAGACACATACAAAGTGTGACGGTGTCCTCAGTGATCACTTAATCCAGTGGTCAGCTGAATTGTTCTGTAAAAGGCCTTATGTAAATGTTTCATGCTTGGTGGGTTATGAAGTCTCTGTTGCAACTACTCAGCTCATATTGTAGCTCAAAAACTGGCACAGACAATATGTAAACAAATGGGATGGCTGTGTTCTAGTAAACCTTTATTCACAAAAACTAGTAGGGACCCCTTATAATCTAATGTCAGATTTTTTTCTTTTTTTAAGATGAGGAAACAGAATCCGAGAAAGGTCTATTCTTTGAGCAACGTTACATGTCTAGTAAATGTGAAATGCAGAGGTGGAATCAAGGTTTTCAGACCCACTGTATCAGGCTATTTATTATCCATCGTATTTCCCGTAGTGTAAGTTTACTCAAAATGCCTGAAAGAATCTTAGTCATCTGTGATTGGCTAATATCAAACACGCACTGGATAAAGCACTTTATTACTTTCTGACAGAACGTAGTGCAAAAGCATGACACTATAAATGCTACTAGCATCCTTGGCTCTGGCATGTAGGTTGGCTCAGTCACCAACTTTATAATTATAATATCCAGGAGGAGTTCTGTGTCTGATTCTATTATAGCTCTGTTACTTTTCTTGAAATCCATGAGCTCATATCACAGCCTCCATTGTGACCACCAGTTCTTCATCTGTTTCTCCGTATTTCACCCCTAGTCTCACAAGGGGACAAAGTGAGAGACAGTGTCTGGAAACGCAGGACAAATCCAGCTCCCCCCTGTTGGGAAACACTGAAGGAACATGCTTTCCTTGCAAATAGCTTTGAAAATAAATTACTTTGTCCTATTATTAGATGAGTACTATTCTTTTGGTATAGATTAAACACTCTTTGGGAAGTACCATGATGAAGCAAAAGAAAAATCTTTGTTGCCAGATTCTTGTTGTGTGGCTTTGAGGTAGTTAACCTCTCAGAGACCCAGCTTCCAGAAATAATGGAAATAATAAGATTTTGCCTAAAGAGTCCTTGTTCAGAGTGTACATAGGGTGACAATATAATTTATTATCCAAACCAGGATATTTCTGAAAATGAAAGGGAATTATATTATAATTATGCTAGGCAAAATCTGGAACTGAGTATATGGCCACCAAGTTATACAATATAGTGACTGGTACATAGATACTTGACACATCTCAGTTTTCTTTTGTCTTTTTCTCCAGAATTCAAGCAATTCTACATATATATCCTTTTCTTCTGTGTGTCAGTGTCATCTTGAGCACTAGGACTAGATAGTGAAGCCCTCCCCTCCTCCACCCCTTTCCTGATACTGCAGAAAACTATAGCTGTGCCTGGTCACTCTGCTTTGAAAGCCTCAGTGACACCATCAGGGTCAGCGGGGCAAAAGAAGATGGCATTCACTATTCTGCAGTAAGCACAGATGTTAATTTGAAACAACAACATGCCTATTTGGGAAAGAGAAACGTTGTGCTGTGAATGCGACACTTATGAAAGCATAAGGAATAAACGCCTTGGATGGGGCAGAGGGAGGGTTGGGTGGGAGTTCTGATCAGCTCAACCCGTGTACACTACGTGAACTCACTTAGAAATAATAAAGCCTCTATGCTTTCTCAGTCTTGTATTGGTCTTCAACTCAGGCCCGCCAAATTGTGCCAAATTATGTGTTGTTCAACTTGGACTGCCCCGAGAACACTAAGCTCCTTTTGCAAGTTAACTGTGCCGTATTTATAAGATTTCAGCATTACAACTAGGAGTTATCGACAGAGAAAGGGAAATAAACAGATAATTTTTAAAAAGTCGAAATGACAGCCATTCTTTCCCTCAAGCTTGAATCAAGGTTACATTTGTTTGAGTCCCTGGGTGACAGTTACATGCATGTACACACAGGCAGACTCACGTTATACAGTACTCTGTGTATGAGAACATGTAAATAAGAGGATTAAGATCAACATCATGTTGCATTTCTGAAATTCGCATCTATTTTAAGATAGGACATTTTGAATGAACTTCACTTTTAACCCATAGAGTTATTCTTTTTTCTTTTTGAAAATATAATTTATTCATCTCTATTTCAAACTAGTTATTTAACTCAGGCCAAGAAAATAATAATAAAAAATTTATTTTGAAAGGTTACATTTCCAGTATTTTTTAAAAAGTTACTTCTCCTCCCCACTCCCCACCACCCCATCCCCTCAATAATCAGATAGCAAGGCACACTTGGGGGTTAAGAGTTTGAAGTGTAAGTTCAAATCCCAGCTCTCCCACTTCCACAATGTGACACTGGTCAAGTTACTTGACTCCTGCAAGCCTCAGTTTCCTCATCTGAAAGTGGGACTAATGAGAGTTCTCACTTCACAGAGTTTCTATAAAGGTTAAAAACATGTAAAGTGCTTAACAGTTTTTCAGGCAGAGAGGAAGGGGACCAAAAATGTCAGTTACTCCTACTCTTAACGACTCAGCTTAGTTAACTTCCTCCTCTGTAAAACCTCACCCTCCTCTCCCATGTTAACTAGAGTTCAGGCCCTCCTAACCTCACCCCTGGATCACTGCAGGGGTCGCCTGCCTGCTCTCCATGCCACCTGCCTCATCCTACCTGCTGGTGTATCCTGTGAACTCTGATCAAACTAGCATTCTCTTTCTAAACTGTATTCTCATTCACATCTCTTCTCCAGAAGTTTTAGAGGCTCCCTATTCCTACAGGAAAAAATTAAGTTATTAGTAGTGTGTATGTTACAACTATCTTTTTATTCCTTGAAACTTTTCAGTTTTGCTCACTTCATAAAGGTGTAAAAGAGGGCTCTGAGCAAAAACTCCCCAAATGGGATGATTCAAGGTCGGCCTGCTCTGATCTCACTTTCCAATGTAACTTTGAACCCCATATGTGAACTACTAATTGCTTCCCCTACCCCTCCGGCATGACTCTCCTTCAAGGGCCATCTTAATCTCCCCTCTTCTATAGAGCCCTGTCTACCTTCTCCACCATGACAGATTCATCCCTGCACTGAATCCACTCAACAGACTGTTGCTGTATCCCACTTGGCACTCAGTTACGAACTCGCTTATAACATCTCTACAACCAATATAATAGTATTTTCTCCCAACTAGAATGTGGACTTTTGGGGAGCAAAGAATACTTTTAAAATTTTTCTGGATTTCTGCCACTTCCACATAGTAGATGCTCAATAAAAAGCTTGTTGAGGCCGGGCGCAGTGGCTTACGCCTGTAATCCCAGCACTTTGGGAGGCTGAGGTGGGTGGATCACGAGGTCAGGAGATCAAGACCATCCTGGCTATCATGGCGAAACCTCGTCTCTACTAAAAATACAAAAAAATTAGCCGGGTGTGGTGGTGGGTGCCTGTAGTCCCAGCTACTCGGGAGGCTGAGGCAGGAGAATGGCGTGAACCCAGGAGGCGGAGCTTGCAGTGAGCTGAGATTGTGCCACTGCACTCCAGCCTGGGCAACAGAGCAAGACTCCATCTAAAAAACAAAACAAAACAAAACAAAACAAAAAAAAGCTTGTTGAATGGGTGAAGTAAGAAGAATTAAAACGTAAAATATGAGGTCAACATTTTACAATATAAAAATCAAACTCTATGATAAAGACTAAAGGTTCTAATTTATAATGACTGTGATAGGCTTTTCCACTCTAAAAATGTGTAAGATAATATGACTCATAAAAATGACAGTGTGAGAGATGACTGACATTTTTTGGACCACTTCTTGTGGATGAATATTTTAGAGAATTTGATCAAATCAGGAAAAAGAAATTCCATTTAAAATGATAATATTTAACAATCACGTTAAACCCATCTCAGGGTCAAAGCGCCCTGACATCAATCTCCCCTTTAGTAAATTTCTAGGGAACAAAGTTTACTAGATGATTATCTAACCTACACACCTTCATAGGCCAGTTCATCAAATATAATACACTGGAGATGAAAACAGATCTTTTTTTTTTTAATTAATATACCTTGAAGCCAGCCCTTAAAACAATAGTTTTCACAAAGGCAAGATGATTTGCTGTGTTCATGAAGAAATTTGATAATGTCTCAACATCACCCAAATGTCTGCGACATATGCTGCCCATCAGACCCAAAGAAATGTATAAGTGCATCTGTTTTTACTCAGAGCCCTCTTTTACGTCTTTATGAAGTGAGCAAAACTGAAAAGTCCCAAGGAATAAAAAGATGGTTGTAACATACACACTACTAATCACTTAATCCTCTCTCCAGTGCCCAGGCTGTCAGGGCCAAGACGATAATGCGGATGCTAATACATGCTGTCTGCGGGTGCTGTCACAGCCACCGCGTCCTGGAGCTCTATTTGTCAATACCAGAGGGATTACAGAGAGACAAAGTACATAACTGAGAAGAGTGTGTGTCCAACATGGATCCAGTTTCCTTGTTTGTCAGCGAGTGCTGATGGATCCAAGAAGATGCTGCTGACACCAGCTGAGTTCTCCACAGGCAGATGCAGTGGAATTTCTGTTCCAAAGCAAAGTAATAGGCAGAAGGGGCCAGAAAGAACAATTCAGTGACCCAATCTCCAAAACAGCTGGGTTCACTTAACTCATACTTAGCCAGAGAAGTTCCATCCCGGCTGAAATCCCACAGGAGAAAGCGTTAGATGTTAAAACACCTGGGTGCTTGGAAACCAAAACTCAAAGACCATTTCCAAGACTGTTGGAGCCCGGACAGTCACGTCACTTGTCCAGGCTTCCCGCAGCTCTGCATGAAGAAGGGCAATTGGAAGCACAACCAACTGCTCAGGGATATAGTGAGGCTGAAGAGGCAAGAGAAGCGAACGCCCCTGGTGAGATTCCTGTAACTCTTGGTGATTGTTTGCAAGGTGAGGAAGCAGAACCAGCTGTTCTGAAGCCCTGCACTGCTTGAAGAGTTGCGCAACCCTCTTTCTGCTTTGGCTGGGGAAGGCCGGGCGTAGGTGTGGCGCCAAGCCCAGCTCATCTTTATTTAAAGACCATTGTCTGAAACACAAGTTCTGCTGTGCCACGTCTTCCCGAAAACCTCAATTCCAATCCAGCTGGCATTCGAAGAGAGAATGGATTGGGTCAAGTAGCCAGTCTTCATTAGTGTGAAGGCTAATAATGTCTAGAAAGAATAACAGGAGAGTGACCCTTCAAAGGGAGGCAGAGAAAGAAAAAAAATCCTGGCTCTCCTACCCACCAGCGATGAGACTTTAGGTGCTTCACCTGAGCCTCACTTGAAAAGTGGGGATCATCAAATCCACCATCCTAGTCTTGTGCCAAGACTAAAGGAGATGATTTATGTAAAAAGTATCTGGCATTGTCCCTAGAACTTTGCAGCCACTCAAAAATATGTTATTAACATCCCTTTATTGAACACAGAGAATTCCCAGAACATGAAATGGTTAGGGATGGTTTCAAATGCATTAAGGCTTGAGTGGCTTGTCCTGGACTCTGCCAGTTCCTTGGAGTATAAGAAAGAGGCAGTCAATCCCATGGAAAGAAATATTCTATCAATATCTTCACTGAGTACTCTGATAAAGAGGAGGATTTTCCACATCCCCCTTAAAGATATAGCGTAGCTTCAGCTGGACGTAGGAGGCCAGTCCTTAGTGACTAGCCAGAAAATTGAAAAAACAAAGGTTAAACTTTGGTGTTTCTCAGTCTAGCATGGCAAATGCCCAGTGCAGATTTTCAAGACATTTTTTTCCCTTACATAAGAGAAAAACAGGTGCTGAGAAGGGTGAGCTTGGTGTAAATCCAGCTTAGAGCAAGCACAGAGCCATTGGGGGAAATCTTGCCAAAGCATTAACAAAACAGGAGTTTACCTTTCCCCAAAGTTTGCTTTCCACCACAGTTTCATATTTAATGTGATAGGAAATAGTACGTGTTAATTTTCTTACTAAACACACTACATGTGTTCCACACCTCCGAGGGCCAGTCCAGGTGGGGAGATGAGGAAAGAAGGCACCTAGGGTCAGCCCTCATCCCTATAAAAATGGGGAATAGCAGGCCAGATAGTCGAACTTCTGAGCCCTCTCGTGCCCTAGTGGGACTGATGATCTTTAAAGACACCTCCTCATGCATCCGATGAGGTTGAAAAACACAGTGTCATGGAAAGAGTGATTGTGGGAAGCCAGCACCTAGAAATTAGAGAGGAGAAGAAGATGGGCTTTGATCCTATGCTAGGATCAGCAGGAGAACGTGTGCTGGGTACAGATTCTGAGCCGATGGTGACCTATTCTTATCACCCTATGTCATCAGACACCGAACCCCCTCCCTGGCTTCATCCCTAACTACTGTCCCCAGGCTCACAGAACTCAGAGTCATACTGGCCTCCCTGATATCCCCTGTAACTGCACGCATGCTCCGACCTCAGGGCCTTTGCACGTACTGTATCCTCTGCTCAGAACACCCCTTCCCTTGTGTCTGCATGGCTTGTTCTATACTTCATTCAGGTCTCTGCACATTTGTGCAGCTACTGGAGAGAACTTTCCTACCCACCACATCTCAAAAGCACCATCAGATTCAGCCTCCCTACCTCACCATTACTGTCACTCATTCTCCCTTCTCCCTGCTTCGCTCTCCTTTGCAACACTTGCCACCCCTTAAATGTATATACTCATTTATACTTTGTTTTCTGCCTCCCTCACTGGTATGTAAGTTCCATGAGAGCAGAAATATTGCTTGTTTAGTTTCTGCTATATCCTTAGTTAGTGCATATGTGCTTGGTACTTAGTAGTATCAAGTACTATTAAGACTAAGTAGTACCAAGTACTATCAAGACTAAGTAGTGTTCAATAAATATCTGCTAAATTAATAAAAGAACATTATTCCCCACATAACATTATGCTGGAGCTTAAGGGCCCTTATAAACTATCTAGTTTCACCCTTTTGTTTTAAGGAGTTTAAGTCTACTAAAGGGAAATAACTTGCCCAAGAGCCCACAACTAGTAAGTCTAACAACATAGAAGGCAAAAGTGGAGAAAAAATGATTCTAGCCAAAAAAGGAAAGAGAAAGAGAGTACACACACTTTTACTGGCTAAAGAAGAGATTCTATAGTCCAAACATGTTTTAGATACAGCCAAACTAATATTTAGTATCTATAAAGTACTTTGCAAAATCGCATCTTTTGCAAGCAGACAAAACAAACTTAGGAACGGGCCCGAGACGTTCAGTTCTCCATTCATCATTGTGGTGCAGTGGGAATATTCCAGCTGCTGAGGTTTATCTAAAGAGCAATTATTGTTTTGGTTCAAATCTCCCACCTGCAGGCAAACTTCATTCATCCTAGATGGAGAAGGAAAAAGGAGAAGGAAACAGGTATTTGTTGAACTAGGCACTATGCCAAGGGCTTTCAAGTATCTCAGTTAATTTTCATGACATCCCTGTGGCCACTTTACAGATGAGAAAACTAAGTCTCAATGGGGTTAAGTGAAAGGCTCCAAATCCCACAGCTAATCAGTGGCAAAGCCAGAAGGCTCACTTTGGTAAGCCAACTCCAAAGCTTGGGTATTTTCCACTACATTAGGCTGTTCTCTTTAATTTTCAAAAGAAATTCAGTGAAGAAAACTCCCCCATGCTTGTTTTGACCTAGGATTTTTCTACCCACTGAAGGGCGAAGGGGGATGGATGTATAGTCAGCAACGTGTCTTGTTTAGGTTCCTCAGGTTTACATAAAGATAGGACTCCACCAATCATCACACTGATAAAGCATTCAGATTTGACAACAGAGCGCCTGCATTGGCTCTGACGGGGAAAGCCATCAGTTTCCCCCAAAGCCACCCCTATATAAACATGCAATCCAAGTGAAAACAGTGTGCTTGCTATGCAAATGTGGCTTTGAAACACCTATCCTAGCACTAGGGTGACCAACTGTGTTAGTCCTTTCTTGCACTGCTATAAAGAATTACCTGAGACTGGGTAATTTATAAAGAAAAGAGGCTTAATTGGCTGATGGTTCTGCAGGCTGTACAGGAAGCAGGGCTGGGGAGGCCTCATGAAACTTACAATCATGGCAGAAGGTGAAGAGGAAGCAGGCACGTCTTACATAGCTGGAGAAGGGGAAGAGAGTGAAGGGAGAAGTGCTACACACTTTTAAACAACCAGATCTCATGAGAACTCACTCACTATCACAAGAACAGCAAGGGGGAAGTCTTCCCCCTATGATCCAATCACCTCCCACCAAGCCCCTCTTCCAACACTGGGGATTACAATTTGACATGAGATTTGGGTGGGAACAGAAATACAAACCATATCACCCACTGTCCCAGTTTCCCTGGGACTAAGATGGGCAGGGTAACAAGCTGTGAGGATGCAGAATTTTTAGCCTCAAAACTGGGAAAGTTCTGGGCAAACTGGAAAACACTGGTCACCCACACAGCACCCATACTTGCCACAAAGCTTCCTCTCTTAAGCCTACTGTCATGAAGGCCACATTTGTCCTTATACAGCCTCAAACTCACTTTTGTTCAACTTTCGTTTCAAGTTCTATTGATTAAAATGTCATTTATAGAAGATAAAAATATATGCATCTCATCTATTTTTTATTTTAGATTTTAATCCTGGATTCACTGAAGCTCTAGAAATATGTACCAATGAACCATAATCTTGTAGTCCTTTTTCAGAATTCCTTTAAAACGACTGCACTTTGGTATTTTGCCTTTATATAATATGAAGACACCATAAGAGTACTATTGAATTAAATGGGGGAGGAGGGATGATGAGGACAATAGTCACTACATAATTTATTGTCCTTTTCAATCTTCTAAAGAAATTTATTTCAGATCTAAGTGACAGGAATATTTCCATGTCCCTTGAGAAACGACATTTTCTATAGCTTTTTTCTGTACGAAAATTGGTTCTGTATACCTGAGCTTGTTTCCATTTTTACTTAAACCAGATGGAAGCTCAGAGCCAAATTTCTTGCTCAACATTAAAAATTGTGTCAGACTTAGACCAATGGAACAGAACAGAGCCCTCAGAAATGATGCCACATATCTACAACTATCTGATCTTTGACAAACCTGAGAAAAACAAGCAATGGGGAAAGGATTCCCTATTTAATAAATGGTGCTGGGAAAACTGGCTAGCCATATGTAGAAAGCTGAAACTGGATCCCTTCCTTACACCTTATACAAAAATTAATTCAAGATGGATTAAAGACTTACATGTTAGACCTAAAACCATAAAAACCCTAGAAAAAAACCTAGGCAATACCATTCAGGACATAGGCATGGGCAAGGACTTCATGTCTAAAACACCAAAAGCAATGGCAACAAAAGCCAAAATTGACAAATGGGATCTAATTAAACTAAAGAGCTTCTGCACAGCAAAAGAAACCACCATCAGAGTGAACAGGCAACCTACAGAATGGGAGAAAATTTTTGCAACTTACTCATCTGACAAAGGGCTAATATCCAGAATCTACAATGAACTCAAACAAATTTACAAGAAAAAAACAACCCCATCAAAAAGTGGGTGAAGGATATGAACAGACACTTCTCAAAAGAAGACATTTATGCAGCCAAAAAACACATGAAAAAATGCTCATAATCGCTGGCCATCAGAGAAATGCAAATCAAAACCACAATGAGATACCATCTCACACCAGTTAGAATGGCGATCATTAAAAAGTCAGGAAACAACAGGTGCTAGAGAGGATGTGGAGAAATAGGAATACTCTTACACTGTTGGTGGGACTGTAAACTAGTTCAACCATTGTGGAAGTCAGTGTGGCGATTCCTCAGGGATCTAGAACTAGAAATACCATTTGACCCAGCCATCCCATTACTGGGTATATACCCAAAGGATTATAAATCATGCTGCTATAAAGACACATGCAGACATATGTTTATTGCAGCACTATTCACAATAGCAAAGACTTGGAACCAACCCAAATGTCCAACAGTGATAGACTGGATTAAGAAAATGTGGCACATATACACCATGGAATACTATGCAGCCATAAAAAATGATGCGTTCATGTCCTTTGTAGGGACATGGATGAAGCTGGAAACTATCATTCTCAGCAAACTATCGCAAGGACAAGAAACCAAACACCGCATGTTCTCACTCATAGGTGGGAATTGAACACTGAGAACACATGGACACAGGAAGGGGAACATCACACACTGGGGACTGTTGTGGAGTGGGGGGAGGGGGGAGGGATAGCATTAGGAGATATATACCTAATGCTAAATGACGAGTTAATGGGTGCAGCACACCAACATGTCACATGTATACATATGCAACAAATCTGCACATTGTGCACATGTACCCTAAAACTTAAAGTATAATAATAATAAAAAAAGAAATTAACAACAACAACAAAAATTGTGTCAGACTCTTTTGTCTGTATATGTATATTTCAACTTTCTGCATGTTACAGATCTTAATTTTTATGTAATGTAATGAGGTGATAGTGAGAATATGATCATATGTGCATTTCATTATAAGTTTCCATTTCTCCTTACAACAACCCAGTGAAGTGGGTGTTATTTTGAGAATTTAAAGTACCTGTTGCTGAGAGACAAAGGAAAATGTTTAGTTCATCATCGGAATGGAAATTTAAGACGAGTAGCTGAACAAACAGCAATGATTGGTCAAAAGTTTTCTGATTTATTCTGACATTTGTCAACACCTTCTATATGTTTCCTAGGGAAGATGGAGAATGCCCAGCTGAAAGGCTCATAGATGCAATCCCCAATTCACTCTTTGAAAGGTCTCAGGTGAGGTGGAGAAACAGCCTCACTCCTGTTACTAATGGGGGCCAAATACCCAGCCTTAGGCCAAATGGCTCAGGTTATTTTTGAGGCAGCCTGGTGTGGGACAGGCAATGGGTCTGGAGCAGAATCTCAGTCCCAATATTTGCTACCTCTGTGACCTTGTGGCCCTGGATGTGTCACCTGAACCATTTAAGTCTTCATTTTCTCACTGGTAAAGCAGGAATAATAATATCCACCTTAGAGAGTTATGATGATGACTAATTGAAATCATGCAAATGAAAGCATTTCCCTATCCTCATCCCTACCACCCAGCACAGTGCCTGGCATGCAGTGAAACCTTAAAAAGAAAAAGTCTTAGCTGTTACTACAGAAAAGTTAATCCTCAGACTGACAGCGTTCACACTGTACCTGGCAGTGACTAGAGATTTTATCACAAACCTCTGGCAATGCTGCCTCATATAACTTTGGCCACTTTTGCTCATTTGTTAAAGGATCCTACACAGGCCCAAAGCAAAGGCCCCACATTAAAGTGGTTATTGTAGTGGGTCACTGGGGTTCTTTTTCCCTAGGCAACAATGAAACTGCATTAACAAGCATTCACCAGGGCAAACTATAGGCCATGAACATTAGAACGTTGCAAAAAATAACAAACTCTTAAAGAGATAAACTGCTACACAGGCCCTCCTTCAGGGATCCTTGCTTTTTGCACATGCTAAGCTGGCCAGAGCCAACAACATGTTATAGTAGAAGCATGCTAAGCAACACTATGTGTTCATCCTTGGGATGCCCTAAGATCCAACCTTTGAGAAGTTGCAGAGACCTGCTCAGATCATGTTAGCTAGTGACAGGCTGCCTTGTGCTGTCTCTCTCTGCTCCTGCTCACCTCCTCCCAATCTCTACTCAGCATCCTACCCCGACTGAATCTGACACTCTGTGAGCTTCCCCACCAACACATCCTCTCCAAATTCGGGTGTTGGAATGGGCAGAATAAACAGAGCTGATTACAAATTTAGCCCCATTCTTTGGATCACAGACTCAAACCACAAGAAGCAGAAAGGACAACAAGAATGACCCGCAGGGTCAAGACTCCTGAGTCTCAAGCTGGGAGTGTCAAATGCTTCCGAAATGCTCCATGGGTTGGGAAATCAAAAAGGAAAGGGATAGTGCCAGTAGAAAGAATGGAAGAGAGTCTCACAATAATTTAATGCCAGGGCATTATTTGAATGCATGGAGTATTCAGAGCACAGATTCTCAGAACTAACTTTTAGAAGTTATCTCAGCCAACCCTTATCTGATGTATGAATCAATTTAGAATTCACTAACAGAGAAATGAAATCCACCCGAGGCAGCCCATACTCTTTCGGGGATAACTATAATGTATAAACTGGTCTTCATTTGTCATGCAACGTCTATATAATTCCTCTCTTATTTTGAAGCTCTTTATGTGTTTAATGAGCACTTGCTCTGGTGTCAGGCACTGGGCAGAAACTGGGGGTGCATTGGAAAACTGGGGAACAAGAGACACATTTCTTGCACTCATGGAGCTTATTGTGTAGTTTGGGAGACAGACATTAATCAAACATGACTGATGGGTATGGGCTAAGTACTGTGAAGGAAAGAGAAAAGATAGTTGGATGACATAGCTCCACCTAGGCTGCAGGGTAGGTGGCAGGGAAGTGGTTTGTTGGAAATGCTCCTCTGAAGAAGTCATAACAAGCTGAGAGCTGAAGGATGAATAGGAATTAACTCTTGGATGGCGTTAGGGGCCAATGATGTTCCAGAGAGAACAAGCTCAAGGCAAGAGGGATCCCGATGGATGCGAGGACCCGAAAGAAACCCAGAGTGACTCCAACCTAAAGTGAGTGGGCAAGAGCCATGCAAAGGATTTTTTCCTTATTCTAAAAGTAGTGGGAACAACTAAAGAAGTGTATATGTGTGTGTGTGTGTTGGACCCTATATATGTACCTTCAGATTCTATGCTCCTCAACCCTCTCCCAAACCCTTGGCTGCCTACTCCTGGAGCGCCCTGGATGATGCAGCCTCAGGAGCTGCCGCCTCACCCTAGTCCCACCTGCATGCACACGGGCCACCAATGTGGGCTCCAGCACGGCCCTGGGTGCCCAGACCCAACCTTGCCATCCCATGGAGGCTGTGCCTCTTCCTGCCACTGGAGTTTCGTCCTATCAGCTGTCAGAGGGGTTGGGATCTGACTTCCATAGGAATGCATCCATAGGAAATGGGAAAGACTCAACAAATAGGTTCTTCCATCCGGTTCTTCCTCCCTTTAGTGGAATAGGAGAGGCTTAGTGGTTCCTTACGGCCTGTCTGGTAATATCCTATTGACCAAGCCACCAACCATGTGTGTCTCTTTGTGGAGCTGTATCTGGCATCATAATCACACCATCACTTCATATTTTTTCCCTTTGTCCCATAACTTAATTCTCTTCTACCTGGCTCTTTGTCCCCAGACCTCTAACAAAGCATTATCTTTTGAGCTTTGCCCTTATGTTCTGAAGAAACTGTATGTAGAAGACCATATATGTAGTGGGTGTGTATGTAAGTGTAACTGTACGTAGAAGACCATATATGTAGGGGTGTGTGTGTGTGTGTGTGTGTGTGTGTATGTGTATCTGTGGCTGTGTATGTGGATGTGTTTGCACTGAGAGTGTTTGCTAAGGGAAGAAGCATGGGGAACCACAATAATAAAGTCACATTTGTGTTTGGTAAAGGTCACCATGCACATGGTGAATGCAATGGCTGCTGTGGGCAGTCGTGGTCATCCAGGAGAGAGGGGATTACAACTTGGCCTCCCTGTTGCCCCTTTTAGCACTTTAGGTGTCCTAAGACAGCCATCACTCCTTCTAGAGGCTTCTCTTCTTTGGGTTAAATACTTATGCTCCTTCACTTTACAACTGCTATGAGTTTTCTCAGCATCTTGTTTGCTCTCATCTGGACGTAGTTTAGCTTGTCAATATTCCTCTTGAAATCTGTTGCCTGGAACTAAATGTAATATTCCAGGTGTCCTTTGATCAGCTAGAAAAGAAACAATTGCCATTTTCTTTTTTCCAGACAGCACACTTCCACTAACATGGCCTGGTACCGAGCCACTTTTCCATAACAGCTGAGCTTTGAGTCTTCGATTCTCACCACTAGGCCTGTGGTCAGGGAGCACCTTGCTCATGCTCTGCTTGTATCCTAGTTACTATTATGTTTGTTGCTGTTGTTTTAACTGACACATTGAGCCATGCGTTCCTTCCAGTGAAACTCCATCTTATTGTTTTTGACCCATCGCCCTAGCCTGTTGCAAATTTGGAAGGAGATACAGTGTAGTGGTTAAGAGCATGGACTCCTCAGAAATAAGGCAGTCCTGGCTTGAAGCCTGGCTCCCTCTCTTATTAGGTTGTGATCTGTGGATATTGTTTAATTTCTCCAAGCCTAAATTTACTCATTGAGGAAATTGATGTAAAAAGAGTACTGCTCTATTATTCGGTTTCTGTCGAATAATAACAAACGTTCTCTCAAAATTTCAACAGCTTAAAGCTAACACAAGGGATTGTTGCATAAAGCTTTAAGGTTTAAGCAGCACATATTTATTTTACACTCATAGGTCTGCAGATTGGGATGGGATTCTGGTGTTCTAGGCTGAACTCAGGCTTCCAGGTGCATTCAGGTCTGCTCTACCTGAAGATCCATGCTGATACCAAGGGTAAAAGGCTACAACTACCTGGGGCTTGCTCTTCTTATAGAGATCATGGTAGTGAAAGAAGCCAGGTCAAATGCCCAGAACTCACATAAGCTGCTCCTGCAAAGTCGGCTGACAGTCCATTGCTTTCTAATTTCCCTTCACTGCCTTTAATGGGGCTATTGTGAAGAATACTTCAGTCATGTCAATGAAGGGCTTAGCACAGGGCCTGGCTCAAAGCAACCATGCAGCAAATGTCAGCAGTTGCCACTGTTAGTCCCAAACCTGTCATCCAACACACTAATGATCTCTCACATATTTGAGTCATTCATAGCCACATCTGTCCTCTTTAACAAGACAAATTCTTTGCAATTGACATGATTCATCACAGCCTAATGCAGAAAAAGGGTTAGATCTCTAATTCTGCTGGGAGTGATGAGTGATGAAAAACAACTACGTAACCCCAAATAGGCAAAGCCTAAATTAGGTAACTATGCCCCACTTAGGCTTCCATGGTATTGGAGACCATTTCTTATAGGAGTGGGATGTGTGTATAGGGAAAGGAGTGAACTTTTGAAAGTTTAAGAGTAATTCAAGAGAATTTTGCCATTAATAGATTTTTTTTAAAAAAGCTTGCCAAACATCACCTAGATAATCTTTTTCTGACTGGAACAAAGGAGAAGACTGGAAAACAAGCAGGGAAGAAAAGGGGATTTATCTCTAGACTAAAGTGAGCTTTCTCTCACCAGCTTATTTTTGAGGGATTCTCTGAATGTAAGCTCTCCTGGATGGCTCCATAGAAATGTTTGTGACAGGAGAGCACCTTTTCAACAAAACCTTACACTCTTGTATTTATATACAAAAAGCAATGCATAAACATATGAAAAAGTACGCTCTGTCATTAGTCATCAAGAAAATGTAAATTAAGACCCCAATGAGATACTGCTACACACCCACCAGACTGGACAAAATAGGAAAAGGTTGACAATACCAAATGAAGACGAGGATGTGAAGCAACTGGAATTTTCAAACAGATCGCTGTGGGGGTGCAAATTTACACAGCCACTTTAGACAACTGTTTGAAGTAACTCTTAAATCCAAACATACAAATACCCTATAATTTAGCAATTCTACTTTTAAGTATACATCTCACTAAAACACTTACATGTGTGTACCAAATAACATGTGCAAGAATTTTCAAAAGAGCATTACTCATAATAACCCCAAACTTAGGTTTTTCCCATTTAGGAAAAGCCTAAATACCTATCAAAGTAGAGTGGTATTGGATACTATGCTCAGTACCTGGTGATGGGAATCATTCGTACCCCAACCTCAGTATCATACAATATACCCAGGTAACAAACCTGCACATGTACCCTCTGAATCTAAAGTAAAAGTTTGAAAAAAAAGGTAGAATAGATGAATAAAGTATGTGATATACCATGTATTATGCTATGTATAAATAACATTAAGAAACCACTACTATATGCAAAAACATACGGACATTTCAAAAATACAATATTGAGCCAAATGAATTAGATGTAAAAGGCTGCATTGTATATTATTCTATTTATATAAAGCTTAAAAACAGGTAAGACAATTTCTTGTGTTAGGAGGGATAGTAGTAACTTACGGAGATGAGAGATGGATAAGGATTGTTAGAAGGGCATAAGGACATTCTATTTCATGACCTAGATGGTAGCTGTGTAATTATAGTGCACTGAATAGTGTCTACCCAGAATCTTGGAATGTGGGCTTATTTGGAAGAAAAGTCTTTGCAAATGTAATCAAGATGAGGTCATCCTGGATTAGGACAAGCCCTAAATCCAATGATGAATGTCTTAATAAGAGACAGAAAAGAAAAAGGTACAGGGATATATAGAAAGGAGAAGTTCATGTGAAAACTCAAGTGAAAACTGAAGCAGAGAGACTAAAGTTATGTTTCCACAAGCCAAGGAACACCAGAAGCCACCAGAGAAGCTGGAAGTGGCAAGAAAGGGTTTTTCTCTTAGGCCTTCAGACGTAGGCTAGCCCAGCCAAGATCTAGAGATTTTGGACTTCTGGTTTCCAGAATGTGAGATAATAAATTTCTGTTGTTTTAAGCCACTCCCTGTTTGAGGTAATTTGTTACAGCAGCTCTAGGAAACCAATATGGGTTTTGGTCCCAGAAAGTGGGGTATTGATGTAACAAAAACCTAAAAAAATGTGGAAGTGGCCTTGGAATTGGCTAAATGGCAGAAGCTAGAAGAATTTTGAGGCACCTGATAGGAAAGACGTAGTTTAACCTGCAGAGATGGTTGACAGAGATATAGACTTTAAAGGGCATTCTGGTGAGGAGTTAGAAAGAAGAGAAGGGCAGGAAAGAGAATGGTTCTATCATCTTAGAGAATACATATTTCATCAAAAATAGAATCTTAAAAGAAATACAAATGGTAAGGGCACTTCTGGTGAGGTCTCAGAAGGAAATGTGGAATATGTTTTTGAAAACTGGTGGAAAAGCTCTGCCTGTTATAAAGTGGGAAAACCCTGGCTAAATTTAGTTCTAACATTGAGTGTAAGGAAGAATGTCTAAGCCATGAACTTAAATATTTAGCTGAGGAGATTTCCAAGCAAAGTGTGGAAGGTGCAGCCTGGCTTTTGCTTGCTGCTGCTTGTAGTAAAACACTAGAGGAAAGAGATAAACTGAGGAAAGAACTGCTAATCAACAAATAACTAGCACTTGATAATTTTAGAGATTCTTGGCCTATCCAGATTGCAAAAGATGCTAAAATTAGGAAACTAATACAGTGGTTTTGCTCACTTTGTGGTTATACATCAAGCTGGCACTTACAAGTTACATAATTTTCTATATGTATGTTATACATAAAAGTTTTTTTCAAGCAATAAAGCTCATGGTTGAAAAACTAGAAAATATATATGCAAGAACAAGAAAATAAAAAAATTATCCATATTTGCAATATTCAGAAACAACCCCTGTTAAAATTTTATTATATATGCATCTAGATTTTCTTCCATCTTTTAATATTTCTACAGGTATTTTCACCAAAATGGGATCTTATTATGCATTCTGATTTATAGGCTACTTTTTTCTCTTAACAATGTATTTGTTAACAGATAGCTTTCTAATAAGTATGCTCCTATAAGAGTATTCTTAAGATCTAGAAAACAGTAAGTGCTTTACAGGTTTACACAAGTTTCACAGTAGCACATTTTATTCTTTTTATTTTATTTGCATGTTCCTTTTTAAAGTTGTCAAGAAGTACAGAAGTTAATAAATAAAAAGTCTTACTTATCAGCAGTAATTTGTTTAAATTTGCATTTATTTGATTAGAAGCAAGGTTAAAAACATAAAAACATGTTTTTATATTTTACTGACCATTTATATTTCTTCTCTATGAATTGCCTATTTTTAGCCTTTGCCCCTTTGTTTCAATTGTAGCATTTATTTTTTTCGTATAGGCGCATAGTGATTCTTTACATATTGAATATATTAATCTCTTGTTTGTTTCATATGTTACAAATACTTTTCTCAGTTCTGCCATTTGCTTTTCAATTCTGTTTATGATACCTTTGATGCATAATTTCATATTTATGTAGTTACATATCCAAATGTGTTTTTCATGGTTTTTGCCTTCAGTTTATGGCTAAAAAGACCTCCCACATTCCCAGATTTTATAAATAGTTAACTAAGATTTATTTCTTCCAGAGCTTTTGTGGCGTATTTTATCTTTTCAATTTTTTATCTTCCCAGGATTTGTTTTATTGGTAAGAGGTAAAAGATTCTTGATTTTTTAAATCAAAATTACATTAGCTTCATTTAGTGGATAAACCATCATTTCACATTAAAAAATACTTTTTCACTACTAAAAAGAGATATATCCTTGCATTTAGGGTTGTCTTATTTCATTGTTCTATCTATTCTGATAAAATTTCTGCATATTTATTTGAATGTAACTTCACAATTTAATATTTAGTTAGTGTACATTTCCCTTCAATTCCTTCTTTTTAAATATTTTTTGCTATTCATGTGCATCTATTCCTAAAGATAAATTTTAGAAGTTACAAAAATAAAACCATTTGCACCTCAATTTGCAAATCCATTAAATGTGTAGATTAATTTCGAGAATTGCCATCTTTACAGTAAGTATAGGGTATTCAGGCAGAGAAATGGAGAAACAGTAAGAAACACAACTGTGTGACTAAAGAAAAGTATTCCTGTAGAATTCTGTAGAAGCAGAGACACAGATAACCCTGGATCACTAGGTTGTAGCCAAACTGCATTTAGATTATCTTGGAAGCAGTACAAAGAATTTTTAAGGAAAATTAGTCTCACAAACATGCATGTCCTAATGAAACTGGAGAGGTACAGGAGGCCAGATACTGATGGGGGCTCCTGGAATAGTTTGGAGGCAAAAGAAATAAAAGATTACAGAAGTCAGGACCTGGTGCCTTTTCAGGCATGGGGGACAAGACAGAGGAGGTTCTTATGATGTTGCTGTGGTGTCAGGATCAACAGACAGGCAGAAGCTGCTGCCAGCAACAGAGAGAAGGAAGTCAGGAAGTAACTCCCAAAAGTCAAGAGAGACAACCGGCTCAGGTTTAAACAGGCTAAGATGAAGACATGGCATGACTTCTAAGTGGAAATGTTCAGGAGGTTGTAGGTTTGGAGCTTTCTGAGAGGTAGGAGTACAGCAAACACAGAATTTGGTACACAGGGGACCCTCAATTAACTGTTTGTGGCGTTGGACTAAGTGGTAGGTTCAATGGGTGTCAGAGCTGAAAACCGTGTTGTGGAAGAACAAAGATTCAAGAAGTATGCTTTAAACCTTGTTGAATACTACATTTACAGGACAGAAAGAAAACTAGAGTCAGAGAAAGAAACAAATAAAAAATGAAGGTATGACTTGAATTTTTATACAGTCAGCAAGAAAGAACATGAATTTAAATAGTGTTGTCACAGGGAGGGAAAGGCTGGTCACTGGAACATGTGGAGTGCCCACCCGAGTTTGTAGCGAGCCCATGGCCTTGTGGTTTATCAATGTTGTAACAGGCTGTGTGCACGGAATTAGATATGCAGAATGTGATGAGCAATTTAAGGGATTTTCAAAGGTAATTTTGGTTCTACATCATTTTCACCACCACCCCCCTCCCGCAGTGACTTCTAGACTGTAATCCTTTCATGAGGTATGACTTCATGCTAACTTGGTCTTTTCACATGGTTTTTATCATGTCATGTTATTACACTCAAGTTGCTGCAAGCCCCTTATCTGAGCCAAAGCCAATAAATTCTCTAGGTAGAAATCTAGGTGAAAATGTCTAGGTAGAAATCTCATATGGATGGCATAGCTACAAAGGATGCTACTGGGCTCACACTCAGACCTGTGGCCCCCAGTCCTTTGTAACGCTACTAAAGGGAGACTAGTAAAGTGGCTAAAAGAATGGACTCCAGTCAAACTCTCTGTGTTCAGATTTTATCTCTACCACCTTCCATCTGTGTGACTTGGGCAAGACACTTAATCCCATGAACTTCAGCAGTCCCATCTGCAAAATGGGGCTAAGCATAGTTCCTATCCCATGGGATTGTACTTAAGTAATTGTTAAATGAGTTTGATATATGTGAAGAGTTTAGAACTGTGCCTGGCCACTTGTAAATGCTCATTAAATATTAGCTATTAGGTTCGTGCAAAAATAGTTGCAGGTTTGGCCATTTAAAGTAATAGCAAAAAACTGCAATTACTTTTGTATCAACCTACATTAATTAGTATCCATATACTATTCCAGCTAACAAAGTAGTTAAATAATTTATCCAAATATATACAGCTGGTAAGTGGGTGAACCTAGACTCATAAATATCTTGATGAGTTCAATATTTTTTCTACTACTTTATACTTGTTCAATCGTGTGTATACTCAAAGTAATGAGCTATGTCCAATTTGGGCAACAATATAGTTTGACCAAAAAAATGTGCTTAATCCAAATTAATTTACTTTCAATTTTGGGGGGTGTTTGGTAGGGCATGTTTGATGTATTTACATGCACACAAATAAATATATTATGTATGACACATGCCATTGATCATACCACTAACAATTGTTCTAGAACCCTTTGGAAGAGTGAAAAGTCACTGAAACCAGACCAGTGGTGACACAGGCCCTCTTGCTTTGAGAAACCCTGTCACCACACACTTCTGAGTTTGAAAACTGAAACCAGTAATGAGGACCATGTATTGGGAGCCTGTGGGTGGTATGCTATACTATGATAAACTCTTTGCAGATATTATCTCTAAAATAAGTCTCAGTATTTCCATTATATAGATGAGAAAACAGGGCTTAGAGAGGTTACATAACTTGTCTAAGGAATGGAATAAGTACCCAAACCCAGGTCTGCCTAACACCAAAACCCTTGTTCTCCCCCACCTCAACCATGCGGCTCCAATCAAAGTTAATGGGAATTAAAGAATAATTAAAATGGTCGGATGTATACATGATGAAACACTATGAAAGCCACTGTTGTGAACTTTAACAGCTGGAGAGTCACTAGCTCAACATTGGTTAAGAGAAGGCTTTTACAATGATTATGTTTTCCCCTTATTTTTCATGTTGTTCCAAAACAAAAGAACAAAGGGTCAGTCCAAGTTCACGGCAGGTAAATTTAGAAAAAGAAAATTGTTTTGCCCCCAGCATGGAGCCCCACTATAGAATTTCATATCACGAAACACTGCAGATCAAATATCAGGGCTGCAGTTTTTAAAGGCATTTTGGTTAATTTAATGATCAACAATAATGCTAGCTGTTGACTGGGCTAAGATTAGAGTAACCAAATCCCATGCCTCAGGGCTTCAGCTGACTTCCACAGAGGCCAGAGAGGAGAGTTTTCGTTCTCTCCTGCTTTCACCATCTGCCACGTAACCTTCTGGACAGAGATCCTGCATGTCCTTCCACTGTCCCGTGAGGCTCTAGGTCTCCAGCACAACCAGCATGTCACTGACAACTCATCTGACCAAAGCAGCAAATGTCAGTCCCCATAGGAAAAGCTAATCCAGTCACTGAAGGGTTACCCAGTCCAATCCCCCACCACAAAGTGAAAACAGAGCAGGGTCTTTGTTTATTGATTTGCCTAGGACCCTCTGACTGGCCAAGGAAGAAAAAAAATAACCCAGCGCAAAATAAATGTTCGATTTTTTTATGTAAACAAGATCAAGACCAACTTGGCTGTACAAAGCAATTCTTTGCATGTAAAGCAAAAAATAGCTCCCCTGAGGAGGAAGGAACCCAAGCCCCGCTCCACTCCCCCTCCTCTCCACGCTTCCCCCAGCCATTTTCAGTAACCACTGCTTTTCTGCCAATGAATGTCTTATTCAGGGTCCCTGTGCGGGAGTCACTGCAGGCAATGAGCTCACTCCCACCCCACCTTTCTATCCAAAATGTTTTCTGATCGAGATAAAGGATATGGAGTCTAGGCTGAAAGTCAGTATTATTGCCAATTATCTCCATAAAAAAGAAAAACTTTTATCCAAAAATCTCAGTCTCCTATTTCTTTCTGTGGGGCTCTGACCAGTTCCAAACTGCTTTTACGTGGGTTTAGAAGTGGACTAAGGGGAGACTTTTTTTAAAAACCCAAATTCTTTTTGTCAAGTACCCAGATGGTGGATGGCAATCTGGATGCAAGTCCTTTAAACAAGGGTCCCAAAAACTTAGTCCACCTTTTGGGACCAAGGAAATTAATCCTAAATTCTTGTTCAATCCTTATTTACGCCAAACTCTTAGTGACTTCAGTGAAACATCTGCCAATTTAGATCACATGACTCGGCCTCATTAGCCAGGATATCTATGGATAGGAACATTTTAAGGAAAACAAGAACCTAAACGAACCTTCACCCCAAACTCAAAGCCAACACAAACGAAAACGCTCACATTTTAGATCTGATTTCCTGTGGAAAACGAGGCTAGTTTCACTTTCATACAGGTCTCATTTTCTTAGTGCATTCAAAATGAAGCCTGAATAAATCTCTCTGGAAAACCTCATTCCCTTAGAGTCCAGTGACACAGAGAGAACTGGGCATTGGGTATTTGGGGTACAGGATATGTATGATACCCTTCTAAAACTCCGTGTAGGGAAGCATTGGGCCTGATTGATGTTCCCACATTTATTGGGGTACTCAGGGAATGCAAGGAAAGTAGAAAAAGGGATTCTTACACTTTACTCGCTGATACTTCTCCGACTGAGAACCCAAATCCTGGCAGGTAGGCCCTGAGAACATAAGAATGCCGACTGATTAATCACATAGATGTAAGAATGTTCTTCCTGGATTTACTCAATGAGCCCATGAACTGCTCTCCATGAGAACACTGGGAACACGCATAAGAACTAAGCGGAACCCATGGTGGTATCGGCACTGTCTTTCCTTCCTGATTGCTCATGGTTTCATCCCTTGATAAGGAACACCCCAGGAACTGAGTGGCCTGGACATACACGGTGGGAGGGGACAGAGGCACACCCTCTCCTAACTAACCCTCCCTTTCCTCAACCATCCTGGTGCTCAGGAAAGAGGCAGGTGTGAGTAACAGAGGAGTTAGTCTTATAGGGTCACATGCAAATTCCTGGTGCCCCAGCCTTTAGTAAACTCATGGCACCTCAACTCTTCTATCTAGTGATGAGATTCTTCTAATCAAATGAGTGATACAAGATAATCAACAGAAATGTGTGTTGTTTACCTACTTGTTCACATAGGATACATTTATAGTCCACCTCATTCTACAAAGGATTTGAGGTGGAACAACTGTTCATTCTCAAAGGCTCAATGAAACTCTTCCAGAGGGTTATTATCTTGACTCAAACTAGAGGTTGCCAAAAACAAAGGACAAAATCAGGAAAGCAATCACCGCCAGTATGCCAACAAGCTCCACTAGCTACACGTCCCAGGGTGGAAAATGCTCCGGTGGTTAAAAGTATTCTGTTTTGGCATTCCTATCCTAGAACAAACTGTATCTACCACAGACCAGTGCTCCTTTTCATTCACTGTGATGTCTGACTTAACCACAGGCAGCAAAATATCTGCAAGGCCAAGTACATTCAAGTTTTACCAAAGGAAAATGACCTATGGTACACTGGGCATGGGAGGAGAGAATTACTATCAAGGGACATACGATGTCTACCAATTTCCTACCAAAAAGCTACAAGTGTCTAAAATAATTCTTAGGATAGAGGGCAATTCTTAGAAAAAGTCTGAATTTTAGACTCTTTAAAAATAGGCTATTTTTAGAGCAGTTTTAGATTTATAGCAAAATTGATCAGAATTTACAGAAAGTTTCTATATACCCCTTTCCCCCACAGATGCACAGCCCCCCCAAAATGGTACATCTGTTAAAAATGATGAACCTACATTGACACACCATCACTGAAAGTCCATAGTTTACATTATGGTTCACTCTTAGTGCTGTATGTGTTATGGGTTTTGACAAATGTGTAATGACATATATCTATCATTGTAGTATCATACCGAAAGTTTCACTGTTCTAAAAATCTTCTGTGCTCTGACTATTCATTCCTTTCTCCCCCTGACCCCTGGCAACTACTGATCTTTTCATTATCTCTACAGTTTTGCCTTTTTCAAAATATCATATAGTTGGAACCATACGGCCTTTTTAGAATAGCTTCTCTCACTTAATAATATGCATTTAAGTTTCCCCATATGTTTTCCTGGCTTGATAGTTCATTTTAGAGCTGAATAATATTCCATTGTCTAGATGTATCACAGTTTAGTTATCCATTCATCTACTGTATTAGTCTGTCTTCCCACTACTATAAAGAAATACCCAAGACTGGGTAATTTATAATGGAAAGAGGTTTAACTGACTCACAGTTCCACATGGCTAGGGAGGCCTCAGGAAATTAAAATCATGATGGAAGGGGAAGCACACATATCCTTCTTCACAAGGCAGCAGGAGAGAGACAAGTGAGTAGCAAAGGGGGAAAAGCCCCTTATAAAACCATCATATCTAGTGAGAACTCACTCTCATGAGAACATCATGGGGGAAACCACCCCCATGATCCAATCACCTGCCACCAGGTATCCCCCTAGACATGTAGGGATTATGGGGACTACAATTCAGGATGAGATTTGGGTGGGAACACAAAGCCTAACCATATCACCTAGTAAAGGATATCTTTGTTGTTTCCAAGTTTTAGCAATTACGAATAAAGCTGCTATAGAAAACCATGTGCAAGTTTTTGTGTCAACATAAGTTTTTAATTCATTTGGGTTAACACCAAGGATCATATGGTAAGAGTATGTTCAGTTTTGCAAGAAACTGCCAAATTTTTAACATAGTGGCTGTACCATTTTGCATTCCCACCAGCAGTGAATGAGACTTCCTGTTGCTCCACATCCTTGCCAGCATTTGGTGTTTCAAGCATTTGGTATTTTTGCCATCCTTAAAAGTGCACAGTAGTATCTCATTGTTGTCTGGAGACTTTTTTTTTTTTTTTTTTTTTTTTTTTGAGATGCAGTCTTGCTCTGTCACCCAGGCTGGAGTGCAGTGGCACGATCTCGGCTCACTGCAAGCTCCGCCTCCTGGGTTCATGCCATTCTCCTGCCTCAGCCTCCCGAGTAGCTGGGACTACAGGCACCCGTCACCACGCCCAGCTAATTTTTTTTGTATTTTTAGTAGAGAGTCTGGAGACTTTTTAAGCATTCATTACATTTCTTAATTACAAAGCCATCCACTAATGCAAACTCAGTTAGCCAAAGGAAGTTAATATTTAATGAAGATAGATACCCTCTAAGCCCAGGAACAGCACTAGATATTCCTTATTCCTATTTTACAGACAAGAAAACAGAGATTCAAATATGTTGGTTCATTTCCCCGGTCACACAGGTCAGGAGGTGAGGCCCGGATTTGTACTCATGTCTATCTTTCCCCAAAAGCCATGCTTCTCCCACCATATTAATCAAAGCAGAAGGGAAGTAAGCTTACTTATGAGTGTCCACGTTGGGCAGGCCAGGCCTTATGAGTTTACAACCTTGAATACATTCTCTTATTTAATCCTCATAGTAAAGCTAACTGTGATATTATTGTCCCCATCTACAATGAATGAGAACAATGGAGCTCAGAAAGGTTAGATTCTTCCTGGGCTAGGAATTGACCATTTGGTTGTTAGACCATGAGGGAGGATAGAAGATGGGGGCTTGGTGGAAGGGACTGGGGTGCTGAGATGAGAGGATGAAGACCCTCAGGAGGTCCATGGAAGAGATGACTTACAAAATTGTCTGGGAGAATTTTCCCATGTTGACAATCTGTGTGACCACATCAGCCAATGCCAGCTCTGAGGGGACCTAACACAATTTGCTGATGGATTAGATGTGGCGAGGTGGTGGGCAAAAAAGAGAGGACTAATGTATAACATAGGCATTGGCTTTGGCAACTGGGTAGATAGTGATGCCATTTCTTGAGACAAGAAAGACTGCAGGAGATGTGTTTTCAGGGATAAAATCAGAGTTCCAAAGCTATGCCGTTAGTTAACAGTAGAGTACTGTTTATGCTCAGATTTCAGCACTAAGTCAGAGAGAAAAGTTTGCAAAGAAGAATAAGGCATTATTCCTGGTCAGCTTTAATGCAGCAGTCATGCCCCTAATAAGCCGTAATACAAGGCAGAACAAGAGAGGTGGCTAGAGAGAAGAACTTGAAGGCTGTTCTAAATCCCTTAGTTTTCTATATACTCATTGGCCAATTAAGCAACCACACAAATCAATGCTTCACTATAAACCTTAAAATTGAAATCCTAACTTCAAGTCTAGGCCTAAGATATTGTAGAGAAGAGAATACAGTGAGAGCCCCAAAGAGGACAGCCTTCCATACTTGAGCATGTTGTTTGCGTGGCATAGCCTCAAATTGCATGAGAATCATTTATTTGTCTTTAGCCATCTGCTTCATGAGCTTTTCTTAGTTTATGTGGTAGGAAGGGAGGGAATGTGGTCTTGTGTTTTGCATCATAGGTTTCTGGCTTTGCAGCAAACTCAATGAGTGATCTCGGGTAAGATGCGGAGCGTCACTAGAATGTGAATCTACAGTTATCTGCCTTGGTTCAGGTGTATTAAAAAGAATAAGAATATACTGCACCATTTTGCAAAATATCAACAACTTCAAACAGCACTGTAGAGAGTTATGCAGACGCTGAAGTCCCATTTGAGAGAGAGCCTTGCCCTCATTTACAAATGACCTGAAAACTCCCCAAGATATGTTCTGAAGAAACACTGAGACAAAGGCCATGCACCCAGTCCTTAAGCCCAGAAATCTTGTCTCCAAGTACAGAGGTAGCAGTGGTAGGGAAAGAGTTTTTGCCAATTATTGGCTGCCTGTATAGAAAAGATGGTCTTGGCCAGGCGCAGTGGCTCACTTCTGCACTCCCAGCACTTTGGGAGGCCGAGGAAGGTGGATCACCTGAGGTCGGGAGTTCGAGACCAGCCTGACCAACATGGAGAAACCCTGTCTCTACTAAAAATACAAAATTAGCTGGGTGTGGTGGCGCCTGCCTGTAATCCCAGCTACTCGGGAGGCTGAGGCAGTAGAATCGCTTGAACCCGGGAGGAGGAGATTGTGATGAGCTGAGATTGTGCCACTGCAATCCAGCCTGGGCAACAAGAGCGAAACTCCATCTCAAAAAAAAAAAAAAAAAAAAGAAAAGAAAAGAAAAGAAAAGATGGTCTTTACAGAGAATTTGATTATTTATTTAATCAGGGACAGGGAATAGCCTTGAAGACAGTTAGCAGAAAGCACTTTTTAATGATGACAATTGTGACTCTACTACATGGCCAGTGCAGCAAAAGATGCTCTCTCTGCTAATTCACATTACAACCCCACAGGCAGAGTAAGACTGTACCCTTACTTTAGATATGAAGAGACTGGGTTAAGGAACTTGCCAGGGATCTTACAGCAAGTAGAAGAGCCAAGATGTGAGCATGAGTGCCAAGCTGCTCAACCCCCACATCCAGACACGTTTCTAATGCCCCACACTGCAGAAGGCAGATCATGTTTTTCCTCAAGGATCAAGTTCACTTGCCCTCCAATGACCTCCTCTGTGAAGAGAAGGCCGCTTTAGGTGATCTCTGAGGACCTCGTGAACTCTAGAACTGCCAAAGCTTATTGTGATTTTTAAGCCAAGATGTGTTTCACAACACAGCATAGGAGGAGAAACCTGCCTTTATAGATCCTCCTTCCATGTAACTATGAATTTACTGCCTTGATTTTCTCATTTCAAAAAATGGATCTGTACCAAGCATACCACTTACTTCTCTTAAAATACATACCATGTTGCTGACAAATACATTTATAATACATTTTAAAATAAAGATAAATAATAATGCCATGAGAAAAAGCAGGGGGTAAACAATGTTGCCAAATTTAATAAGGGTTTCACTCTTTTTTTTTTTTTTTTTTTTTTGAGATGGAGTTTCACTCTTGTCTCCCAGGCTGGAGTGCAATGGTGCAATCTTGGCTCACTGCAACCTCTGCCTCCCGGGTTCAAGCAATCCTCCTGCCTCAGCCTCCTGAGTAGCTGAGATTACAGGTATGCACCACCACACCCAGCAAATTTTTGTCTCTTTAATAGAGACAGGGTTTCACCATGTTGGCTAAGCTGGTCTCGAACTCCTGACCTCAGGTGATCCACCCACTTTGGCCTCCCAAAGTGCTGGGATTACAGGCATGAGCCACCGTGCCCAGCTGGGGTTTCACGTTTCTTTTAAAGGATTATTTTTAAAAGGCTGGTCACTATGTACTAAGCAGAGAAATGTCATCTGAGTCAAGGGGTGAGAAATGGGTTCTCACAAAGGCAACACACAGTCAGCTCAAGGGTAGCCCCATGTCTCACAGCCTCACAAGCTGTGACTTCCCACCTTTGAAGTATGGAAGCTAAAGTCTCACTAGATCCCCATAGGCAGAGTGGTGCCAGGAGTATTGATAGTGACAATTGAAATTCAATGTAGATTGACCATTTTATCTGTGCCAGGCAGCATGAAAAACTTTAGGAAGATGACTAAGATATAATTCTTGCCCTAAGAGCTCATAGTTTTGTCTGGTGATCTTTGACTCTGTTTCCATGGCAACACACTTGACTAATGACTTTCATATCCCTGGCACAGTAGGATAAAGTGCTCAGTTACACCTAATTCGCATTCTGGAGCTGTATCTCCACCACCTTCTCTCTCGCTCGCTCTAGCTCTCTCTCTTGTCTTTGTTCTCTTGCTCTCTTTCTCAGTTATCTAATGTTTAAATATGAAAAACAAAGCCAGCATATCTCCCTCACAGTGAGAGTGATCTAGCAATGATCTTAGCTTCCCTTAACTTGTAATAAAGAAGGAATGTGTTTGAACATGTTTGTACTTTATTTATTACTAGTAACCAGTGACCTGCAACCACCTCCTATTGTCTTGACATGCCAGTGTGTGGAGCATCACAGGAGGCTGAAAATCACTGGTCTTGTGGGAACTGAGCCTCAAGTTCAGGCTGCTGCCTCCTGCCGGGCAGGTTGTGCACCGCATGACTCCAGAGGGCGCCACTCGCACAGTCTACGATGGGGAAGGAACCCCACCCCCCGCCCCACTGGAGTTGTGTAATCAGGTGGTCTTACCCAAGTTGGACTTTGGGCCCAGCTTGAAAACCTCCTAAACACCCACTTTGAGCAGGCTAAGCTTCCATATCGCAACATTCCATCTGGCCAAACTACATGGACTCTTTTCTGCAAGGGAGTTTCTAACCTGACTTCTGACTTTGTAGGGAAGAAGAGAAAAGCAGGAAGGTTGATTTCACTCTAACCAGCTTTTAAGATGACTTGGTTTCTCATGAACCTGGGATCTTTAATATGGAGGAAAATCCAGCTCTAGAGGGAGAAGAACGAATGGTGAGAAGCAGGTCTCCACCCTCTTGCTTTCTATTGTCAAACAACAGGTCCCCAAAACCTAAGACCGATCACATGGAAATGACCCTATGCCAGTGCATCTGCAGATGTTGGAGCCATGGGGACCCTGAAGTGGGGGCAGTGCCAGAAGCCCATTCCAGGAACAGGAATTAGTTGCATCCCTGCTCTGGTGACAGTGGGTGATGTGGACAATAGCTGGCTCCAGTAGGCTGGGAGGGATGAGGGATATCTTGACTTTGTCAGGGGCTCTCCTATCCATGAAGCCTCCTTTCCCGAAAATGTGTTAGAGGGTTTATCAGTGGGGTACATCGGGCTGTCCTGTGAGAATGCCTCCCATTCCCCCCATAAATGAGCCCAGATGTTTCGGGCCATCTCCTTGACATAGCTTCGTTGGAGTTTCCATACAGAAAATGGCTACTCCCTGCCTGAGAAAATTTCCCAGCTGTCATGGCTGCTTCCATGTTCCTGACAAGCTGCTCCAAAAGTTATTTCAAGATGGAAGCAGCAGAAAGATGGATTAGCTCTGTCAACGGGGAGTCCTGAAGTCCTGCCATTCACTGAGCAAAGAAGCGTGTGCCTGCCATGGGCGGCTGATAAGGGAAGTGGACACAGGATAAACTTCAGCCCAGCCAGCTGACAAAGCTCAAATGCAGTCTGAAAGAAAACAGCTACTCCTGGGCCTCTGGTTTTTCAAAGCAAAGACTGTGGGCTTTGTTCGATTACCAGGTTGTTACCATCAGCAGAAAGCTTGCCATTCTGAGCTGCTGCTGCCTTCTGCAGAGACAACAGGACCAAAAAGTATCTCTTATAAGACAGTTTACTTGTAAGGAACCAGAAGCACAAGTTGCCACAAGAAATGCTCAGTCATCTCCTATGCCTCACGTCTCTGCCCCTCACCCCTAAACCATAAACCCCTCCACTCTTGTTCATTTTAAAGAGCAGAGCAGGGTTTTTACATAATGGACTTCCTAATGCATATCTCAGAACTGTGTAACTGCTAACACTTACTGGAGAGTTCAGTGTGTGCTTAATAAGAACAGTAAGAGCTTCACATGCATTCCCTCATTGAATCTTTACAACACACTGCTGTAATAACACAGCATTTTGCAGATGAGGAAACCAAGATGCAGTGTGGTGAGGTGCCTTGCCTAAGCACAGCAGACAGGTGGTAGCTCTGGGAAGTGCTACCAGGCTGGTCCTCTTCTGTTAAGTGCACTCCTTCTCTTGCCTTTTCTTACAAAAAAAAAAAAAATGTTGTGTTTACAGCTTGCAAAGGCTTTAGAATCTCTTGCCTGCATCACAGGTTTGGAGAAGCACAAGTTGCATGTGCTTCCATGCAATAAAATAATAACCAGACACTAATAATTCCCATGATTCCTTTCAGAAATCCCTGTGTCTGTGTTTGTCCCTTTTGAAAGGATTGTCCAGTTTGCTTGTTCCTATCTTATCTTGGTTAATTGAGCCAGATTTTACTTTTTCCTGGCTCCTTGAAACTCTCCCTGGCTAGATAAGCCTCAAGGGTTCTCTCTCCTTGCTATTAGTCACAATTTCCTAATGTTGAGCTTCTGCCAGGAAGACAGAGGAGGCAGCTCCAAACGCAAATAACTAGTTTGTGTGTGGGACTTTGGCAAAGTGTTGGTCACTTACAAAGGCTACACACAATTGGCCCAAGGACAGCTCCATGTCATTTTCCATCACGATGGAAAAAAAAAGTCTGTGTTAAAGTTGCTTCAAAACAGCTAGTTCCTTAACTTCTGTGGGGATAACTGGGCAGACATCTGAAGCCAGTGTACTGGGTCTCCGCAGACCTCTGGCTCGTCCAGGGGCTTGCCCCATCAAGGCAATGCACGCAGCTGTTACCTAAAAAGAACTGAGGGTCCATTAGGAAAAGTCGGCCAACCGTACCAAGATTTGCAAATGAAACATGTTAATCTTGTGCCATTTCTTTAGCAAATATTCCACACCTTGCAATGCAAGGTCCAGAACCAGAATACAAAACTGCACATAAAACTGAATGAAAACTGTTATCGAAGACAGCAGTTTTGAATTCTTTAAGTATGTTTCTCAAGTGACCATTATTTTTAACAGACATAGAAACACAATAATTTCATTAATGGCTTTCTCCTTATCTCTCTAATAATAAATACCGTATTTCTGTATGCATTCATTCAACAAGTATGTCACTGAACCCTTACCATGCACTTGCAAGACAATACAGACACTAAGATAATACACTGAGCCCATTGAGGAGTCCACTGTCCCATCCCATGGGAGTGACACACAATATATCAGGAAAGACTGGCTAGAGTGTGCTACAGTAACAAACAATACCAACTTCTCCTCGGCCTAAATTAGCAAAGGTTCTTGCTCATGTTATGCACGCACTGTGGATTGGGAGGTGCCTAGGCTGATGGAGCAGGGGCCATCTTTAACATTGCTAGTCACCATGCTAGAAGAAAAAAGATCTCTCAAGGCTCTTGTACGGGCAATTAAATGTGCCATCCTAGAAATGAGACTCATCTCTTCTGCTCTCAATTTGTTGCCCAGTACTGGTTATTGGCCCCCATCCAACCACAAGAAGCCCAGAAAGAGCAATTCTACCTTACAATTAGATGGGAAGATGCATCAACATTTGAAGAGCAGCCCTAATGAGTACCACACACACATTAGTTGGTAATCATGATACCATGTGAAAAGTGCTCTAATAGAAACATGGAAAAAAGAGGGAGCAATAAACTAACAAACTTCACGGAGTCATTACAAAAGGTACCCAGAGGCAGTGGCATTGAGTTTACTCTTAGATGATAAAAAGGTGTTTTTCTGAAAATGCATATGGGCATTCTAAGAGAAAGAGTGCTGCAAAGACAGGGAACATGAAAAAAACACCTTTTATCTGAAGGCAGTGGAAGGAAACCCAGGGTGGCCAAAGCAACGAAGGTGAGAGAAGCAGAGAAAAGAGGGGCCCGTTGTGAAAGGCATTTGTCTTCTCAAGGAGTTCCAGTTCATCCTACAGACAACAGAGAGATAACAGAAATTATCCTACAAGGGACAGTCACACAGAGGTGCACCAGGAATATGTTTATTTGTTTTTCAGGAAGATAACACAGAAGACACATGGATGAGGAACTAGAAGAGAGAGAAAGGCCATTAAGAAGCCACGGCTGTCATGGAGGTAAAGATAGTGAAGCCGGAGCCAGACACTGCCAGGGGGTCTGAGATGTAAGCGGCATATCTGAGGAAGAACTGATAAAACTCTAATGTGGAAGCTGGTGACAAGGGAAACCTTCAAGACCACCGCAAGGCTGCTAGCTTAAGAAATGAGGTAAATGCTGAACACCATCCCCCAGGCAGGGATTCCGCTAGAGAATGCAGAGGTTTGAGGCAGGAAGATGATGAACTTAGGTTTGTACAGGTTGAATTTGAGGTGCCCCTGGAGATTCAGGTGGAGCTGTCCCTGGGAATGCAGGACCCAGGAGTCTAAGTTCCTAAGGCAATATAATTTGGAGATTGATGTAATTTGGGATTAATGCATGTAGTTGGCAGTTGAGCCCTAGTCATAATGACAGTACCTCTTGGAGAAAACACATGGAAACATTCTGAAGTGTAACTTGGTTAGTCACTACCTTTGTAAAACTAAGTATAAGAAGTTCAGGCCAAATAATTTGGGAATATCTCATCCGTTCAAATGCCCTGAGAAAATTACTTCTAAAATTTCCATTAACATCTACCCCCATCAGAGCAAAAATTTATACATCTGCTTCTTCTAAATTATCAACATTTCCACAGGCAACGTTGTGGAAACGTTGATAATTAGAAGTAGATGTATAAATTTCAGTCAGAACTGATTTCTTCTTTAACCTGAGGAAAGAATTTTGAAACTGAACTTCTAATGACAATTATAAGTAATCAATGCTATTTTTAAGGGACTAATCAAGTTTTCAGGGTTTCAGCAAATTTGGGTGGCCATCCATAGGAATTTTCATTAAGCTAGAGTTTGTTCTTTTAATTTTTAATTAAGTTGGCCTAAGTCAGCAATCAACGTTTCCATGTTACTATGTAATGTATAGGGTAGCAAGTACAAGAGGCTCCCACCAGCTCCAAAAAAGATCATTCAGAAGGCTGGAGGGAGAAATCTGAACTCTCATTGTCAGCGATCCAAGAGATAAACAGAGCATTATAAGTCGTTCTGAGGCAACGGGATCAGGGTTTTTTAAATAAATCATATTAATATGTGAATAAGACAAGCATTATTCTCTCTCAAAATTTAATAGAGCTTTTGTTTCTGCCAAGTAGGAAGGTGACTCTTGGGCTGTGCAGCTGGGGAATACGTCACAGGCTTTCTGGTCTTGCCTCTCACATGCACCCACTTTATAAGTTGCTAACCCTGACTCCCCGGGTCAGTCCACTTCTGCCAGGCAAACACAGACAGTTTCTAGTTGCAAGATATCCCCCATGGCAGAGAAAAAAAAAAGTTTCTTCTGGGATGCAGACAATCCAGGAATCAGTGATAATCCACTGACCTTTCTAGGAAGTAAGAGCAAAGAACAAACAGGTTAGATTCTGAGAAGCTGTTTCTAAGTTTGATGGTTTTTTTTTTCCTAAGCCTGAGGCACTGAGAAGGGTTCAAGCTTGTATTCTCCAGATGCAAGGTGAGTCTGTCTTTTTGCATTTTAAAAACTAGACATACTTTTCTCTTCTTCGCTAATCTATGTTCTGAAAAGCAGTGGCTTTCAAACTTTTGGCAACTGACCCACATTAAGAAATACATACATATTTCATTGACGCAGAAGTTTCTGCAACAATATTTGATTTTGCAGCATGAAACGTGGCCTGATATGTTCTAGTCTGTTCTATTTCATTTTAAAATGTCTGCTGGGTCCTAAATGATTCATGACCCCCTAATTGATTTTGCCCCACAGTTTGATAAATACTGTGATCTAGTATCTCTTCCCAAAACATACATTTAAACCTACATTGGGCTGGGCACGGTGGCTCATGCCTGTAATCCCAGCACTTTAGGATGCCAAGGTGGGTGGATCACCTCAGGTCGGGAGTTCAAGACCAGCCTGCCCAACATGGCCAAACCCCGTCTCTACTAAAAATACAAAAATCAGTCGGGCATGGTGGCTCATGCCTATAATCCCAGCTACTAGTGGGGCTGAGGCAGAAGGATCACTTGAACCTGGGAGGCGGAGATTGCAGTGAACCAAGATCGTACCACTGCAGTCCAGTCTGGGCAACAGAGCGAGACTCCGTCTCAAAAAAAACCTAGATTGAAAAAAGCAAATAACAGTGGTAATGCTTGATGCTCTTGATGTGCTCCATACTATTGACTCTGGGTCATCAATTCAGAACTGACTTTTTCCTCCCTCCCACTGATGTTGAGTAGATTCTGATGTGCCTCAACTCCGTGGAGCCCTCTGTTGCTTTTGACCAAAATTTTATCACCAGCTTATTTGCCATATTTGGCCTCTACATTCTCTAACAAACCGCCTCTGGTGACTTGAGGCTACAAGGCACTTGGCTTTGCTAATTCTAGACCAGCACTCTATCCAATAGAACTCTTAATAGAACTTTTTTTTTTTTTGAGACACAGTCTCGTTCTGTTGCCCAAGCTGGAGTGCAATGGTGCGATCTTGGGTCACCAAAACCTCCGCCTCCCGGGTTCAAGCAATTCTCTTGCTTCAGCCTCCCCAGTAGCTGGGATTACAGGCACGTGCCACCACACTGGGCTAATTTTTTGTATTTTTAGTAGAGATGGGGTTTCACTGTGTTAGCCAGGATGGTTTCAATATCCTGACCTCATGATCCGCCCGCCTCTGCCTCCCAAAGTGCTGGGATTACAGGCGTGAGCCACCAGGCCCAGCCAATAATAGAACTCTTAATAAGCATAATACCTGATACTTTTTCGATCCTCACCCTTCTCCCTCCCTCCGACCTCAAGTAGGCCCTTACATCTGTTGTTCCCTTCTTTGTGTCTGTATGTACTAAATGTTTAGCTCTCGCTTTTACATGAGAGCATGTCATATTTGATTTTCTGTTCCTATGTTAGCTTACTTAGGATAATGGCCTCCAGCTCCATTCATTTTGCTGCAAAGGATATGCTCTCATTCTTCTTTATGGCTACATAGTATTCCATGGTGTATATGTACCACATTTTCTTTATCCGGTCTACCTTTGAAGAGCATTTAAGTTGATTCCATCTCTTTGCTATTATGAATAGTGCTGCAATAAATATAATTTTTCATGATGATGGAAATGTTTGATATCTGCACTATCCAATATGGTGGCCACTAGCTACAAGTAGCTAATGAGCACTTGAAATGTGACTAGTGGGACTGAGGAATTGAATTTAAATTTTATTTAATTTCCATTACTTAAATTTAAATAACTACATGTTGTTAGTAGTTCTTATATTGAACAGTGCTGCTTCTAAACAAATCCTTAAAATATTTTCTCATTTCCTCAGTATATACCTCCCTTTTATTACTTGTGATTAATTATACTGGCATCACATTGACATGGCACACTTGATGTAGTTCATCCTTTAAAATCATGTCTAGCAGCAAAGATTCAATCTACAACACTCTCCATTTTCCTGCTCTTTTCATTTTTTAAATGAGTTTTTCTTTGTTTTATTTTCATCATGACTTCATCTTCCCAGGCCTTTCAATATCCTCTCAATTTCTACTTTTTTTTTGACGATTTGATGCTTTTTTCTTAATTTAAAAAAAAAGGCTAAAAGTGAATTACAGACTCAATAAGCATGCTATAGACTACTTGTAAACAAGAGATGGTTGAGACTGAAGTAATCAATCCCAAACGCCATTTGTCAGTGGTGAATGAAGAGGACTTATTAAAACTTTAGCTCTGGACTGTAGCTTGTTTGCATCTTATATGCTGGAAATGTGTATATTTTATATCTGAAATTAGAGAATACCTAATAGAGGAGCTTCTCTACTTGAACAGACTAATAAGCTGAGGAATTAATAGTTGAAGAAGAAGAAAAATTGTTAAGAAAGATACCTTCACCCTCTAGAGAGCTTTGGATTGACAGAGGTAGACAAATACAGGTAGAAGTAACTTCACTGTGAGGCAGACTTGCTATGAGATAAAACTGTCAGAGAGGTATACTCTTATTCAAGACAGTTTCAGAGAAGAAGAGCTCTGAGTTGTGAATGTGAGTATAGAGGGCTTCGTAGAAGAGGCTAGGTCTTATAGATTAGCATGTATAAATATTTAAGGGCTAGGAAGAGCATTACAGGCTGGAAACTATAGTTAAGGGAGATTTATAGCACATGAATGTGTGGCATATTCAAATAAGGCTAAGTTTCTAGGGTCTCAATGTCCCTTGTGTCTAATTGGGCCTGGATTTTAGGAAGATATATTCCTCAACAAATATTTACTTTGGATGGTAAGATCAACAAAACAGTTTAGAGCAGGGAGATCAGCTTCCGGATTGATAAAATCCAGGTGAGAGATAACAATGATCTAAAAGAGGAGGTGGCAAACTATGGCCCTGAATCAGACTGGAAGAGTGTTTTTATAAATAAAGGTTTATTGGAACACAGACATGCCTATGCACTTACCTATTGCCTATGGCTTCTTTCATGCTTTATGGACGGAGTTGAATAGATGCAACAAAGGGAGTGTGACTCACAAAGCCTAAAATATTTACTATCTGGCCCTGGCCCTTTCAAGAAAAAGTTTGTTGGCTGGGTAGAGTGGGCTCACATCAGTAATCCCAGCTCTTTGGAAGCCCAAGGCAGGAGGATTGCTTGAGGCTAGGAGTTTGAGATCAGACTGGGCAACACAGCAAGACCCTGTCTCTAAAAAGAAATTTTTTTAAGTAAAAATTTTTAAAAAGAAAAGGAATGTTTGCTGACCTCTAGTCTCAACTGGAGCAATGGGAGTAGAAAGGGTGGAATACATATCAGGGAAACAGTGGCAGTGAAACCCACATGATTCAGAGGCAGATGACATCATAGGATTGGTTTATAAGGAAGGTTGACATCAAGATATCTCTAGGGTCTCTAGCCTGGAAAACAATTCTGTTAACTGAAATGGGAACAAGGAGAAGACAGGCTAGGAAAACAGGTAAAAGGTTACATGTTAGAAGTGTTGTGTTAGGCCCCTGTGGTACACCAACATGAAGATAAATGTGTCCAACACTACAGCAAACAAGAGAGGGCCCAACCGAAGATGCAGGCTTGGGGCTGTATGCCCAGAGTTGAGAGATGATGAGAGAGGAGAGGAGAAACAGGAACAGGCCAGAAACCTGGAGGAAACATCTCCATAAGCAGCTGACAGAGAAAAGGGAACCAGTGAAGAACTCAACAGACAGGCAGGAACAAGACTACGGCATCATGGAAGTAACAGGAAGCAGCAAACATAAGAGAAAGAGGATGGCCACCAGCATGGAAAGCTGTCCTAAGAATGAGGAAGACTGAGATGAGTTGACTCAACACATTAGAGCATCACTGCAGGCATGTAGGGACAGAATCCAAGGAATGAACAGAAGGAGAGCAAGTCATAACAGCAAATAAAGATGAATCCTTTGAGGTCTTTTGCTATTGAAGAAAGATAAGGCCAGCAGGGAGCTAGAAGGGGAAGCAGGTCTAAGGGGGCTTTCTTGAAGAGAAGGGAGCTTTGCCAAAGCTGATTTCACACAACTGTCAGTAGACTCTGACATGAGGACGTTTCCCAGACTCTGCCTGGTTTACAAATTGCTCAGATGCCTTTGTTTGCTCTTTTAACGCATATATCAGCGTGATCATCTGAAAGGTTGATGCTTCCAGAGCCCAGGGACAAACCAACTGATATGCTCCTTCTAACTCCGTGTAAAAAACTTCTTAAGTTTTCTAAAAGGGACCAATTCCTTCTTAAGATAAAAGTTTATAAAAGAGCTTCATATCCTTTGAGTTCCAAAGGCGGAAAACGTGCTGATAAAATCTGAACGTTGGAGGAGAGGTTAGTATCTGGAGTCTGTGGCCTCCCCAAGCAGCAAATCCCCTCCTCCTAAGCCCAGGAGGTTTCTGTCCAGACTCAACTTTTTGGTGCTTAGGGTTCCAGCCCTCAAGAATGTGCCTCTTCCTCCGTGCTGCCTTTGACTTCCCAATTTAACATTCAATTGCAGATGGCGTTACTTTAGAGGCAGAGGAACAGAAATTTAAAACTTCCAGGTTTGGAGCCAAGTCCTAGATGTAAACCAGTGGTTTACATCCCAGGGGACATTTGGCACTGTCTGGAGACATTTTTGGTTGTCAACAAATGTGTGTAGAGGTACAGCAAAACATCCTACAATACACAGGACAACAATTCCACAACAAAGAATTATTCAGCCTAAAATGTCAGTAGCTCCATCCAATCTGCTCTGAGCCACCTATCCTATTGGAAAAGGTGTCATACATTAATTTCCACTAAAATATTAAAGATTGATATTGTATTAATGTGTTTTTTGGGCTGCGGGGTCGGGGGTAATCTTTGCAGTTGCAGACACTTTTGGTCTCCTACCTCAAATGAATTTCCTATTTCCTCTTTCCTAACAAACCCTCTTTATAGTTAAGGAAATCACCCATTGACAGCCACAAAGGATAACTAGTGCACAGCACTGCGGGCTTAGGGGTGAGAGGTGAAGCCAGCTGGGCTTCTGGGTCAGGTGGGGACTTGGAGAACTTTTCTGTCTAGCTAGAGGATTATAAACGCGCCAATCAGCATTCTCTGTCTAGCTAAAGGATTGTAAACGCACCAGTCAGCACTCTGTAAAAATGCAACAATCAGTGCTCTGTGTCTAGCTAAAGGATTGTAAACACACCAATCAGCACTCTGTAAAAACGCAACAATCAGCACTCTGTGTCTAGCTAAAGGATTGTAAATGCACCAATCAGCACTCTGTAAAAATGCAACAATCAGCACTCTGTGTCTAGCTAAAGGATTGTAAATGCACCAATCAGCACTCTGTAAAATGGACCATTCAGCGCTCTGTAAAATGGACCAATCAGCAGGATGTGGGCGGGGACAAATAAGGGAATAAAAGCTAGCCACCTGAGCCAGCAGCAGCAACCCGCTGAGGTCTGCTTCCACACTGCGGAAGCTTTGTTTTTTTGCTCTTCACAATAAATCTTGCTGCTGCTCAGTCTTTGGGTCCACACCACCTTTAAGAGCTGTAACACTCACCACGAGAGTCTGCGGCTTCAGTCCTGCAGTCAGCAAGACCACGAACCCACCAGGAAGAACAAACAACTCCAGAAGTGCCACCTTTAAGAGCTGTAACACTCACTGCAAAGGTCTGAGGCTTCACTCCTGAAGTCAGCACCACCACGAACACACCAGAAGGAATAAACTCCAGACACATCTGAACATCTGAAGGAACAAACTCTGGACACACCACCTTTAAGAGCTGTAACACTCACCGCAAGGGTCTGCTGCTTCATTCTTGAAGTCAGCGAGACCAAGAACCCACCGGAAGGAATAAATTCCAGACACAGGAATAGACATATAAACTAGGTTGGCCCAGTGAAACAAAAAGATTGAAGGAGTGGTGCTAATAAATGTTTAACAAAAGGTTGTCCAGGAAAAAATTATATCCATATATTTACATACATACATACATACATTTATTATAAATTTTTACTGACATAGTGGATGTGTAGAACCCAATATACAAATAAAATAAAACATACAATGCTCTTTATCGTACCACACTGCCAATCAATTTTTCACAGAATACTTTCATTGACTTTTGCATTCATGTATCTACAGCCAACCTATTGCTGCAACTGACAAATGAGTATAATACTGACACAAATGTGGGCTGTTTTTGTTTGTGTGTGAAGACATATGTCAGAACTCCACTCATCTGTCAATGATGTGAGTGACTTTGCTGAATCAAATAATACTAGGAGACTATTTCCTCTAATTTTTGGGCCATTCACAATGTAACAGTTTAGAGCCAAACCTTTGAAAGTTTAACCTGCATTATTTACATTTCTCCATCATTTTCTTAAGTTCAGATGATAAAATAAAATCAAAATCTGATTTATAGCAGTTGCCTATTTCTATGCTAGAAACACTACTACTATCATGGCTGATTTCAAGCCACTAATGTGATATCACTGAGTGTGGAGCTGGGGGAGACGTACAGCAGCATACCATTGTATACTGTCACCATCCTAAAAATATGATAGACTTTATATTCATGTCATGTCAAAGGCATAATAATAGGAAAATAATTAACAAATGATACATATTAAGTATTATCTTTATTTTAATGTAACTCATTTCATTGTTAAGTTATATAATTTAATGTTTAATAACAGCTGTGTTTAACAATCAGCTTGCAAAATTCCTGAAAATTTAACAGTCAGATCTCATCAGTCCATACAAGCCAATTCTAGTACACCAGTGATTAAGACAGAGAGTTTTCTCTTTCTCTCCTGCAGGGTGCAAATAAAGCCCGATTTCCACTGGCAGCTATTATAACCAGGAGAGGATCCTGCCTTTGGCTAAGGCCAGCGGAAAGGAAGGCAAATGGAGAGACACAAAGAGCCTGAATCTTTGAGCCATCACTCAGTTGCGATCAAACTGCCTGGAACCCACCCCACCCCGATCGCCTGCTCGGACAAAAATAACTGAAGCTCCCATTGTTCAAACCAGCTTGTGTCATGGTTTCTGATGTTTATAACTAAGACCAATTCAAACAATACAATATTTTAAATCTTTATTATTTTTTAAGGAAACAATAGCTTAAGGGTAAAAACTCATCTCTAATTGTAAAAAAAAATTATCTCTAATTGTAGGCTTTTGAAGTTAGGGTCGGTCAGTATTTTTAGATAGAATCTTTCAAAACTCAGGAGAGAGACTCAGCTTATTTCATGTGTATGATGAGGATGTCTCCTTTATTCTTTTTCCTGCTATCACACTTATGCCAGGCTTTCTTTCAAAACTTAACTCACCCAGCTCCTTGTCTTTGAAGCCTTCTTTTAATTCTTCTCCCACATTCCCCAAAACCAAGTCAATTCTCTCCCTCAGTGCCCTCATGTGTATAAATTGCATATCATATGGCATTTTTTTCATGTCTGTAAGACTCCCAATTTCCCAAAGGCGAGGTTACTGTCATTTTCTTCTGTATCTACAGTGACCATCACATGAAAAGTACTCCATAAAGGTGTTAAGGATGGAATTGTGTCCCCAACCCCAAAATTCATGTGTTGAAGCCCTCACCCTCGATGTGACCATATTTGGAGATAGATAGGGCCTTTAAAGAGGTAATTAAGTTAAATGAAGTCAAAATAGTGGGGCCTAGTATCATATGACCGATGTCCTTATAGGAAGAGGAGAGACACCAGGGATGTGCACACACAGAGGGGAGTCCATGGGAGGACGGGGCAAGAAGGTGGCTGTCCTCGAGCCAGAGAGAGGCCTCAGAAGAAACCCAACTTGCTGGCACCTTGATCTTGAACTTTCGGCCTCCAGAACTGTGAGAAAATAAATTCCTGTTGTTTAAGCCACCCAGCCTGTGGTATTTTCTTATGGCAATCCAGGCAGACTAATCCAACAAGAGTGCTGAATGAATGAAAGTCCTTTAAGAAAGAGAGTTCACGTGTATACATTAATCTGCTGCTATTAAGCACTTATTTCTCACTATCCCAAGAGTATGATTTTATGAAAACTCTGACAAATTAGTTTAATTTAATGTTTGTTAAGAAAAGGAAGAAAACATCAAAACAGTATATCTGTTTGCCATAGAAAACATAAAGAGATTTTCTCCATAAGTCCTTTTGTATCCCTAATTTATGATTTTTTTGTTTTTCGGTTTGTTTTAAAGAGAGTATGATGAACCCAGTGGAGACCTGGGAACTATACCCAAAAAGGAAACAGGACCAAAGAAAGAGGTTGCTTTCATCTCCCATGAAAGCAAGGCTGTTTTTGTTGATACATATGGAAAAAATCAGGGCCAATTATACATTGTGATTTGGCACCGAGGTTGCAGCCTCACCACAGGCCTTTACTTTCTTTCCACAGATTTACTGTTACAGCACACTGAAGTCCTGAGCCCTCCGCCACCCGCAAGGCCTTCCTCGGAGACAGGGACCTATCCAGAGATGTCTCTGTCACTGTCAGGATGCGCTGCAAGTGGACAAAGGGTTTCCTTCGTGTTGACCCTAAGAAGACCTCGACTTGATCAAGGAAGAACTGAGCATGGCTTGCAGTAGAGACAGTCACACACAGCTTCCCATGAATAGGTGTGGGCCTGATCATCTTAGCACCTTCTCTAGCCTTCAAGAAGCTCTCAAAATCAGGGCCATCTTGGTATTTCACTAGCTGCTTCTTTCTTTTTTTGATATTTTAAGAGACAGGGACTTGCTATGTTGCCCAGGTTGGACTTGTATTCCTGGGCTCAAGCCATTATCCTGCCCCAGGGCTCCCAAGTAGCTGGGACTACAGGCCTGTGCCACCTCACCCACCCTCGCTGTTTATTTCAATGAACTGCAGGTTGATGATGATCAATCTTCTTTCCTAATCTCCTGGTTGAAATTAGGGATATTCAGATTTTTTTGAAGTGGAGACTATCAGGGTGTTAGAAGACCTAGTTCTGAACCTGCTCTCTGCTAACTTACCATACGACTTTAGGCAAGTTGCTGCCCCACTAAGAACTTCAGTCTTATCTGTGAAATCAAGGGACTGGACTAAGTGGTCTCCGAGATCCCCTCCAGCTGAAACCATCTCCTGTACTGTCCACTATTATAGCAAATAACCACACATGGCTGATTAAATCTAAATTAATGAAATAAAAGTCAGAATGTAGTTCCTCAATCTCACTAATCATATGTCAAGGGCTTTAATAGCCATGTGTGGCCAGTGGCTGCCAGGTTGAACAGTGTAGTTCTCCTGCTCTCATTTTATTGATGATCATGGTTTCATAACAAAACCTGCCAGTTGAAGACCACTTTCACGTGTATGGTGCATTTTAATACACGCTTACATTTAACTACCCAAAATAGGCAAGAGAGATATTCTAATATCTGCCTTATCAGATGAGGACACTAACTCAAAGAGTAAATTACTTGCTATAGGGTCATACCACTAATGACTAAATGTAGTTTCCAAGCCCAGGACTCTCTAACACATGGTACAAAGTCATGACGAGAAGACATGTGCCCCCTGGCCAAAACTATTCAACCCATGGTAGCACCAGAACTGAGATCCAGGGATTAAGGGCTGATCTGGAGACCCTGTGCCTTGGTGTAGACCTTAGCTCAGCACATCCTAGCTGTGTGACCATGGGCAAGTTATTTAATATCTCTGGGCTCCTTTCTAGTCCTCTGTTAAATGGGAATGACCACAGGATCCACTGCTTATGAGAACTGCACAAGTAGATGCAAATAAAATGCTTTGCATGGGAGGTCAGGCACCTAACAATGGCTCACTTAGCATCGCCACTGCCTTCATTTTACTCCAGGCCCTTGCACGTCCTCACTGCCCCAAATAGACCGATGGCCCCTGCAGCCTTACTCCCAACTTGTCTAAAGAAAGTTGCTACTCTTAGGCATGGACAACAGCTTGCTTTTTGAAACCTACTGAGTAGTTTGGCCTCATAGCCTCCTGGGGCTGTGAGCACTCTGTATTAATTACAAGTTGTACAGGAAGAGCGCTTTCTGAGGGATCGGATTAACCCACCTGGGCAGTGTGCCATGAGCAAATGGCTTTTCCCCCTATAATTTTTTGAAACTCTTCAGTGGCAGGAACCCACCATATACCTGCCCCCAAGGAAGACCTGACCCACAGTAGGTGCCACCAGTGCATATGGCAAGAGGGGTGAGGAGGTGTAGGGGCCACCCCAAGAGCCTCCAGCACAGCACTCTGCCCTGGAGCAGGGTACAACAGACTGCAAAGCTGGCTCTGCCCAGACTAAATTTTATCTTCTGCAAAAGGCAAAGCAGACACACATATCCCCTGGTGATGGTTTTTCCTTCCCTGTCCCACCACAGTGTACTGTTTGAAAGAACAATATTTACACTGATGTTGCAGCAGGAGTGGGGGCCAGGCTACAAAGCGGAAACTGGGCTCCACCAGAGCAGGAGGGAGGGTCTGGGCCCAGCACCGACTCCAGAGGTGTTTTCCTCTGCCCTCCTATCCTCTCAGGGGCCTGCCCTGGGGACTGAGGAAGCCAGGAAGGATCATCTGGCCCCATGTCACTTCTCCAGGGGCCAGGAATGGAACTACCATCAGAACCTAGGTCACTCTTAATGCAGGAAAATGAATAGCTACTGGATGCAGCTATTGGGCATCCATGGAATGCAAGATGCAGCGTGAACCATTAACAGTGGCTTCTATCTGCTGGTTTCCACATAACACAACCAAGGCCACAGGCATGCCAATGTAGAGGAGGCACTCAGTCACTCACATGCTTATTTATTTGTTCATTCATTCAACAATGACTTACTGAGCACTTGGTCTCAGGGATGATTTTGCGCTAAGTAAAACATGGTTCCTTTAGCAAGAAATTCAATAACCAGTGGGGAACACAGAAGGACAAAAATCAAATTATAGTATGTTAAGTGCTAAAACTGAGACACAAAGAGTTAAGGGGTGCACAGAGATCCAGGGTCCTCTTCCAGGAGGAGATGTATGGGATCTGGGTCTCAGTAGGCAAATGAGAATTTGTGTTGGGCTGGGGGGTGGGGGGTATCAGGGGAGCAATCTTGTGCAGCCTTATAGACCACTGTAGAGACTTTTACTCCGAGAGACGTGGAGAGCCCTTGGAGGGTGTGGGGCAGAGGTGTGATATGATCCGAATGTGCATTTTCATGGGATCACTCTAGCTGTTCTGTTGATAACAGATTGGGATTGGGAGGGGGAGAATGGAAGCAAGGAGACCAGTTAGGGGATTATTGCAAAATTCAAGTGAAAGTTGATGGGGGCTTATTGACTCAAGCCCCTAAAAAAAATTGTCACTGCCTTTATTTTAGCAGAGCCTGCTATATAGTAGATGTACAATCAGTGTTAAATTATACCAGCCATTCGTGATATTTTTTAACCACCTGGCCAGAGCAAACCTTCTCCCTTCTTCGGCAGCTGTCAGAGTCTCTATCTTCCCATTTATTGTGCTCATTTTCCTCTAAGTCTTCAAATAACCACCAGGCCTGTCGAGTTTCCCTTCATAGTACCCTCTCTGGATCTAAGCGCTTTGCAGAGTGTCTGCCCCATCTCTGGGGTGGTTGGAAATCAATTAAGGGGATCCTGCTTTGGAGAATCATACCAGTTCAAGCCAGGTTCGATCATGAGGGTACCCTAAAAATTCCCACAGACCCAGTCATTGCTCTTACGGTTCAGTACCAGAGATATGGAAAGACAGATATCAAAATGCCACGTGAGTACAATAGACACCATTCTTCCCGGAGTTCCTAGGAGATACCTTGGCTGTCTTACAGAAGACCCTCTTTTGTTTCATCTCTCTCCCTTCTAGGGTGAGCAGTGTCCTTAAAGGAAGCATTTAGAGGAAAATGTCTCCACAAGCCTGATCCCTTTCTCTGAAAGCATAATAATGCTCAAGAATGACAACAATGTAAATCGCCAGGATCATTAGCGGAACCTCGATGAATTAAAATGGCTCACATCAGGGTAAGATTAGGTCAGCTGCATTGAAGGGAGCCAGAGTGCTGGGGTTTGCTGACTTCCAAGCATTTCAAAACCAAATATTGTCAGAGCCCCACCGTCTCAGTCTCAGCAGCATGGATAGTCAACCCCTGATAAGATCATCCTTGTCTGGAAAGGACCAAATTACCGTGCTGTTCAGTCTCTAAGACCCCTTCATTACCCATCCCGCAAAGACAAATTACCCTGGAAATGCTGAAAGGAGTGAGCCTCTAAAAAGGCTCCATCTGCTCCATGGAGAAAGGGCTACTTCTGCTCACAACACAGGTGGAGGTGAAGGGCTATGCAGAAAGTCCAAGAGTTCGCCTCAAGAGAAAAATGGCATTGAAATCATCAAGCAAGCCCAGGAAAGTCTGAATGCCCCAAGAGGTGAAAATCCTAAAAGCAAAATAGAGCCATTATGTCTCAAGCCGAGGGAAAGCTTGAGAGATTCTGGTGCCTGAAACAAATAACAGGAAAACTATGTCAGATGTGTGGTCATGGCATAAATCATGAACAAAAACACAATTATAAGACTCCACAGAAGCAGGAGGAGCGATTGCTCGAGCACAAATCTTGATAACTATTGAATACAATTTTCACCATGGAGAGGCAGGCAGTTTGTAACCGAGTTTATTTTAGAATGTCAGGAGTGACTTGTCCTGAGGAGCTATGGTGGTTTTAAATTTTTTGTTGTTGTTTATTTGAAACAAAGTAAAATTTACACAGGAGAAACTGGGAGTCGATTCCTTCTGAGAGTAGAGTGCACTCCAGTCTCAATGACCATGAGAACGAAGCAGGGAACAGGCCTGGATTAATTGCAGCAGGAAGTCCCCCAGTTGCGTCTGAACAGCACGTTGCATTTCCTGTTCCGCTCTCACCATTTATGACTAAGTCATTTGGTTTGTCTGATGTGAGCCTCACGATTTTGGCCCTTATTTGTGCAATCTCTCCTAATGGGGTAAAGGAACACCTGGTACATAAAGGCTCAGTTCTTAATGCTCTGGAATCCAACTGCCTGGGTTCAAATCCTACCTCCACCACTTATGAACTGGATTAGCTCAGAAAAGTTACTTAATAACTCTGTGTCCTCTGTCCTTCTCAGTAACAAAGGAATAACAATAAAGTAGTCAAGAAAATTAAATTAGCTCATCCATATAAACTGCTTAGCTATCATTAAATATTTGCAGAATTGGATTAATAACAGACTAGAGATGAGTAGAAGGCAAGGAAGGCACAAGGGTCTGTGTCACACATAAAACATAAGCCTTCAGTCCTAGTCCATGGGTAATCGAGAGAGGACCTAAGCAATGCATTTTCAGCTGGGGAAACATATTTTCATATTTTAAAAATTAAAAGAAAATAGTGAATGAGGGAGGGATGAAGAGAGCCAGTTATCACAGTTGCCAAAATAGAAGCGCATGACCCAAGTGGGTCTCAGGAGAATACAAAAATATCTAGAAAAGGCTTGATGGCAGCCTCTGAGTGTGGCTGTTCCCTACTATATGCCAAGGAATCCTCCTGGTCCATTACAGAGAGTTTAAAATTGAGGATACGGGGACCATGGAGATGTTCTCAGGAAACAAGAGTCCCAGAAGAGAAAGGGATGGCCCATGATTCCCGTTTATTATGTTACTATGCTGCGAGATTCTCAAATATTGTTCATATTATAGCAGCCCAATAACATAGGTTTCACCATTTTACGGATGAGGAGAGTGAGTCTCCAAGAGGAGCCAAAAGTCATGCTACCAGCTGAGTGGAAAAGCTGAGATTGCAACCCAAGCTTGTCTCACTTCCAACCAAAGCATCCAAGCATCTGTGGCCACTAGCAGCACACATTTGGTGGGGAATATCAGTTAATCTACTATGCTCCTCAACAAGCCCGTCTTTCATTAATGACAGATGGGAGTGACAGTGAAGGGACCTTTATTCTTTCCCTGACTGAATCTTCCCTCTCCACAATAATGCACGGTTATCCTCGAGCACATTTCTTGGAGGCAATTTGAGGTTTCAGTGTCCCCTAATGTCACACTGCCAAGCAGGAAAGGAAAGCCAGTGTTAACAATGCATCTCATTTTTCACCTAATGAGCACCAACACGCTTAGGGATGTGAAGGGTGAAGTCTGACCTGTCAGCTGCTGGCGAACACAGACCCATCAGTGTAAATCCCCTCCTGGGTGGGGGAGTGGGGTATTTCCCAGTTGAAGGGTGTTGTTCTTGGCTGAATAATTGACAAAACATTGACATGGTTCCTCCTCTTTTACGTCTATGGTTCTGGAAGAGTCTGGCACTGCCGTGCACAAGGCTGACCTCCCTCCCAGTCCAGGAGTTTCTTGGGATTCTTTGCACCCACAAAGCCTGCTCTGAGGGAGTGAAGCGACAGGGCCACCCCTTCTTTTGCCGGGAATAGAAGCTGCCTTCTATCAACTGTCCACCGCTGTGGATTCTCCCTCCTCTCCAGTTACAAAATGGAAACAGATGAATTCAATCAAACATAAGCCCCCGAATTATGGCTTCCTTTATACCTTGTGGTAAAGGAGTTTAGACATAATTGGCACATGATTTTCTCCAGCGGTTTCGAGTTGTTCCCAAACGTAAAAAGGAACCTTTCAGTTTGGGAACGAGATGGTTTTGTTTCAAACCAATCCATCATGCCTTCCGAAGGCAAAGAGGGTGGGTCTGCTGAATGGAACCAGGAAAGTGGTGGGTGGGTCACAGCCTTCATGGCTCTAATTGGGCAGATGTAGGCAGGCCGCAGGTCAGTGAGAAAAGAGGCACAGAACTCCCTTTTGGCGGTTGTGGGGGCTCTGGGGAGTGAGACTGTCAGAGTTGGGGTGGAGAGCCACTGATTATTCTGTTTCACCAGCAACACACACTTGGAAAGGGATATCAATTAACCCGCTATTAATCCCCCCATGTAATTGAGCACTGCAGTCTGTTATTGGACCATAAAATATAGAGGTAAGTCCTTCCCTTTTGCAAATCAAGGTCAACAGACACCCAAAACTCCACCTTTTACAGACCCTGCAGATAAAAAACAATCTCCACCAACAAACACTGCTGGCCCCAAAAAGCAGCATAGTCACCATTCAGCTATGTTTACACAAATCTGCAATGACAGTCAACATAGAAAACAAGGGTACACTTGGCTGTAAAAAGCTGGGTTTGGAGCCCAAGAGGTTTTCCTAAATTACTATTAACAAAGTCAACAGGTTAGTATGTTTTTCAAGGCTTCATCCAAATGGGGCACCTAGATAATGATCCTATTACATTAAGGTAAACAAAAGGGCGGTTGTGCACCCTAGGATTAGGAGGCATCTTAAAAGCTCTTTCATATTTATTTTCCACAATTTAGCAAGCCCGAAAGGGAAATGTTCAACTTCATTAGAGAGGAGTGCTTACATGTTGTAGAAACAACAGGTCACTCCAGGTTCTCCTGGCATTAAAGATTCATTTAGAAATCTTACCGAGGACATCGTAGGCCCCATATGGCTCAGCCTTTAGCAAGCTCTCCTAGGAGATAATGGATACAAATTTGAGATGATAGAACCATCAGCCAAGGAGAGAGAATTTCTGCCACAACCTGTTATTTACTTCTGGTTGGGGGCAAAGGGGCCTTTGTTTTCAAGAAAGTCTGGATTGATTGTGAACCAATAGTCTGCCAAGCTTAGGAAACCCAAATGTGACTCTTCTGGGTGCTGCCCTGAGTTTGGCTCCTATCCCATCTCCCTCTCAGACAAGCAGGAACTGGGAGCTCTGGTCCACAGAGGAGAGTCACGTGGCGGTAAACAGATCAGCTGCATCAATCCTGGTCAACACGGAGAGAGAAATTCTGAATGCAGATGACCCTCACACGTGTGCTTCAGAGCAGAGGCTAGCTCCAGTTCGGCAGATGAGGACATTAAAACTTGCAAAGCTAGTTTAAGGTAGCAATGCCAGGACATGGTTCAAGTGGAAATTGGGACCAGGTCTTACATCATACTCAGTGGCTTTTCTGCATCCCAAGTTGAGTTGTTGACTATTTAGCATGCAGGTCCAACTTCAGACCTCGTCCCAGGCTGCCCAGGCAACTTTCTCCAGGCCTCAGCAGGAAGCAAATGATCAAGACTCTAAGAATATGAGCAAAGGCACTTCATATTTGGAATCATCTCAGACCTTTTAATACAAAAGATCAACATGGACAGGCGTGCCCCTCATTTCCAGTCTAGCTCTAGCTGAAGTAATTGTTCTCTCTCTTCTCCATTCCTCAAATCCACTCAATCCCCCATCATGATTTGTTCTTAGAGATATGAAACAAATTTGTTTCTTCCCTCCATCACCACTGGCACCACCTTAGTGCGGGTGACAGCTTCTCTTACCTTGCCTGCTTCAGAACTGGCGTCCTTGTATCTGGGGTTGTGCCTAGAGATGGGCTGTGTCTTTTTCAGAGTGAACTTGTCAAAACCCAGATCTGGCCCCAACATGTGTTTCTTTCAAACCCCACCAAGTCATCCATTATACTACAGGATAAATCTCATTTCTTCAATAGCATACAAGGTTTTACAAGGCTGGCCTGACCTCCATCCATCTCAGCAGCCTGAGCTCTCACCACTCTCTGCCCCTTACTTCATGTTCCAGCCACTGCTGGAACTGCTTCTGCTTCCTTAGATAGATCATGCTGCCTCACTTTCCAGACCTTGTCTCATGCCGTCCCCTTCACAAAAAGTGCCTGCTTTTTCTCCTACATGTGACTTAATCCTACCCCATTTCTAAGGCCCAGACACTCCCTCCTCCTCTCTTCTCCTGCTCCTCCTTCCCCTCTCCAATACAGTCCCTCATTCCTCTGTGGTGCCACTGCATCCTGGCATGCATCTCTCTGCCACCACTGACATCATATTGTAGCATCATTATCCATGTGGGCACCTACCTTCCACACCAACTTGGGACAGAAGACTGAGAGTAGGCATGCTGTCCATGCACAAATGGCCAGACGAGTACTCACACTCACAATGAAAACACAAGCAAAATAGTGGATTTGCATGCCCACCCGCTTTGGATACAAATTCAGGTTTGCTTACTCTCTCTCTTTCCACAGCAAAATGGCCACACAACCATACCGAAGTGGCAGAAAGAAAAAGAAGAAAGCTTCCTTCCGGGTTCAATTCAGACACATCTACTGAGGATGTTTCAGGCAGATGTGGAAGAACATCAGGCTGGCATTTGAGGGGCAAATAGCTTTGTGAGGAGCCTACTATTATTATCTCCTTTTGGGAATAAAGGGATTTGCAGGTCAAACAGATTTAGGAAATACTGCATAGTGTTATATTGAAAGCTCTGAGAGGTCCTGCAGTAAGTTAAAAGTATATATGGATATATTTTACAGATAGGGTCTTGTTATAACACCAGGCTGGTCTCGAACTCCTGTCTTCAAGTGATCCTTCCACCTCAGCCTCCTGAGTAGGTCTTTAATCTAACATTTTTGGCATGCATTTGATCACAGTCCCTCCTTCCCCTTCCCTTTTCTACACATCATCCAGAGGACTTCATTCTAAGCACACGTGGGTAAATGCTGGCTTAATGGAAATGTGTGTAAGCCACAGAATCAAGCAGACCCTGCTTTCAATATCTGCTTCGCCATCTCTAACAATGAAGGCAATTCATTTAAATTATCTGAACTGAAGTTCCCTCACCTCTGCAAAACACGGACAGTAATATCAGCCTGATAGGCTGTCGTGAAAATTAAAAGAGATACCTTAAGTAAACCACCTGGCACTTATTAAGTACTTAATCATTGCTAGTTTTGCTTGCTTTCCCCAGTGTCATCCTAGATGTCTACGCTAGAGCCATGTCTACATGGCCTTAACACCTCTGGCAAAGAAGCAAATGCCAGCGGCACGACAACTCACTTTCTAGGGCACCAAACAAACATTACACTTTACTGAAATGTTTGACTAAATTGACCTGAAACAATATCTACTACAGGCACACCATCAAACCCTCCTTTTCAAACTGGCTGATCACTATTTCCAAATAAGGACTCCTTTTGTGCCATGGATATCATGGATGTCATGTACCACGACACAAACATGAAAGTATCCTGTCCTGGCGCCCATGAGACGCGCAGTGGGGAATTAGCCCCCAGCTTAGAGGATTGGGGCCACCAGGGTATCATTCAGAACACACAGCAGACACAACTTTCATTTTATTTCTCTTCCTTTGAATAAAAATGTGTCTGATGCTTCACCTACAATGAAAATATTCTACAAGTTGTAAAAAACAAAAGTATTAACACACTTCATAGACATGCATAACCATGAGATAATTGTGCTTCTCAGTTCGTTGATATCACCCAACCCCCAAACCAGGGGTTATAATGTGTGCCTTGTTGTGTGGTAGTTCCCCAAAATATTATTCATGGGAGGTTTATAATAACAAAGCATTACCATAATAAATAGTGGTCACAAGAGTCTTCTATCGAGAAGAAACCTGCGAACCTTGCTCATATTCCCTAACCTTGATTCAAGATTAAATTTCACTCTTTCAATCACGGATTCTAAATCCTAAGAACTCTAAACCTTGAAATTGATACCCTTTTTTGAAAGAAAAATTAGATCGGAACTGTCAGAAGGAGTGATCAAAATGACATGAAACAAATCAGATGACGTGTGTGTAAGAGGTTTTCTTTAGTTCAGCTGTCAGGAAAACACTGAAGTGTCTTATCTCTCCCAAAGCCCCAAAGCCAGTGTCCCAGGCCAAGCAAGCCAAAATTGTTTTAAGAAAAAATAAAGGCACAAAAGACTTCTTAGGAAATTCAAATTTAAAGTGTTACTTAAGCTCACAGCTTGGACCTGTCAGAAATGGGAAATCCAGGATGGTGGTAGGCAAATGAAAGAAGAAATTATTTATACTAAAGCTCAAATCCTGTTAAAAAGAACTCTAAAGAGACCAGAGTTGTTTAATTATTCTACCCTATTACTCTATCAAATATTCCTTGAAGTAACTGGGTCAGGATTTAGACCTTAGAAATTTAATTACTATACATAATTTTGTTGGAAGAGCATTTGTTAGAATGCTTTGATGGAAAAGACAGCCTACTTTTTAAAAATCCCTTTATAATGAAATACAGTATTGGCAACTTCTCTTGAGGGGTCACTCAGATCACTTAAAATGGGTAGTGCAGGCCAGGCACGGTGGCTCACGCCTGTAATCCCAGCACTCTGGGAGGCCGAGGCAGGCGGATCACCAGGTCAGGAGATCGAGACCATCCTGATTAACACAGTGAAACCCCATCTCTACTAAAAACACAAAAAATTAGCCAGGCACGGTGGCGGGCGCCTATAGTCCCAGCTACTCAGGGGGCTGAGACAGGAGAATGGCATGAACCCGGAGACAGAGTTTTCAGTGAGCCAAGATTGCGCCACTGCACTCCAGCCTGGGTGATAGAGCAAGACTCCATCTCAAAAAAAAAAAAAAAAAAAAAAAAGGGCAGTGCAGCAGAGGTAAATCTGTAGTTAACCAATGTGGGAGTTATTGATTATTAGACCTGCTGTGTTCTGAAAGTGAATTGGAAACCCATTTGCCTTAAACCTTACAAAAAATATTCAGCAAGGGTTTGTATATGCATGCCTGTCATTGTAAGGACAATGTCATAATCACAGTAGAGAGAAGTACTGGTTCCCATCATTCACTGCTCCCTTGCTCTAGCCTCACTGTGGCTGGGTGCACCTCCCTGCCTGCATTGGTAGGGTTCAATCAAAGAAGCAGAATCATGGTGAGGGGCATACTGGATTTCTTACAGAGATCAGACCTTATGTAATCTTGGGAGTGGGGTAAGCAGCCCATTTCAGGATGTTGTCCTTGCGTCTGGTGCTAGACCCGAGCACTGGCAGACAGGAAGGAAAGCTGGATGTGAAGCGAGGAAGAGCAGTGGTAAACCAGAGGCCACAGGATGAGCTAGATGCCACATGGTTGTCTCACTGCCTCCAAGCCTCCAACATTCACACAGAATGACAGAAAAGCTCGTTCATTTCTCCATGGAGTGGCCCTTGAACACCACCCACAATTTGAGGAAGCTGAAGGAGACCAGGTGGGAGCTAAAGGAGGTTGTGAGCTGACTGCTGCCCCTGTGCCAACAAGGCGAGCCAGCAGGTCCTCGCCGGTGATCGCAACTGCATAGATATGACCATAGCTTGACTTCTGCTTTCCAGATCTTTTGCAAATTTCTCTTTCAGCCAACCCTACTTCACACCCATAAAGAGAGGGACATTCTTGGAAACACAGTTTCAGCTTAGCTAAAGCCACCACACTTCCCCATGGCTTTGAGTTCAGCCATGTGACTTGCAGAGGTGATCGTGTACCAAATCTATGTTCAGAACTTAAGAGACTCTAAGTGCCACCTGACCACTTGTACCATCTTGCATAGAACTGAAGTGAGAAGCACAGCAAGCCCATTGCAACCCCAGCGGCCACAGCCTAAAGCAGAAGACGCCAGCCAAGCCCAGACTAGATGAGCTGAACTGAGGCCAAGCTGCAGATGTATGCTCAACAATAAATGACTGTTGAAGGCACTGAGTTTTGGGAAGTACCTGATACAGACTTACCTTGACTTTGATGATTAAGGACCCTCTAATTACTGATCCCTCTCATGATCCCCAATTCCTGCAAGGTACCAGGCCCCTATTGCCCATAAGCACACAGCCATGAAGACTGAAACCCTGAAGCAAGAATTTAGTCTATCCTCCTAATTTCGGGAATCCCCTTTTTAAAAGCAGTTGGGGTGTACATGTATAAATTCAACATTAATCCCAACTACAGCCACAATAATACAAAACCTTGAGAAAAATAGTTAAAGAAATAAAGTCCTGCATGAAGACAAACATAAAATCTGACTTAGGAACATGAATAAATGGAAAGGCACGCAATGTTCTTAAGTGGGAAGACACAGTGTTGACAAGAGGCCAGTTCTCCAAATTAAATTATGAATGTAACATAACTCCACTTAAAATCCCAGTGGGATTTTGGGGTGGAGAAAGCTCGGTAACATCATGAGGAAAGTGAAATGTGTGAGAATAGTCAAGAAATACCTTTCAGAGGTAAGGTCTTTGAATCTTTGAATCTGCTTCTGATGGCGAGGGTCCTTCTGGCCCCAGGACCCCATGAATCCTTGCCTCAAAGACCTTCACTTCTTTGCCAAGGAAGCCTGCATAAAGAGACTCAATAAAAGCTGATGAGATAAACACATAGTCACACACACACACACACACATACACAAATAAAAATCTTTTTTAAAAAACATTTGTTTGAATTTCTTTTTTTAGGCACACATTTCCATTCTTTAAGTTACTTCAAAAGTCTGGGAGCTGTGGCTTGTCCCTGGGCAAGAGGGAACAGAAAGAGGCAACCAGTGGCTCCCAAATGCACCCCTGGATATGCAGAAGCTGTGTCAGCTGCTTGGTTGTGATTTTGACCTAACACAGAGCTGCCCAGACCAGGGGTGAACAAGTGATGTCAGAAGTTTCAAGCCTTGTGTTGAATAGCACTGATGTTATTTAGGTTTAGTCTTTAAGAAAAAGGCTCCGCTGGCACTCAAAAGCCCCTGTTTTCAACCACAAAAGCCCTGAGTGTCAAGGAAATCATGTGCTAGCCACTAACACTCAACTGTGGATTTTCCTGACGGCTAGACTATTTTTATGCATGTAGTATTGGCTACAGTCTTTGGAGCCAAAGGTTTTACTGCCATGCAATTTCATAAGAAAGCTCAAGCATCGATTTGACATTAGTTAACAGATCATCCCCAGCTCCCTCTATGGGGTGAGGCCAAGGGGGACCCAGAGGTCAACCTTGGGGGTATTCTACTCCCAAGAGGCTGCAGCTGAGGGTGGGGGCTGCAGATGGAGTTAGATAGGCGGATAATCCACAGAGCTGGAGGTGGTTAAGGCAGTTTAGCTGGGAGAAGGGAGAAGGCTCAACAGTAAAGCACCCTGGGTTGAAATCCCTCCTCTACAGATCCTATCACTCTAAGCAAACTGCTGGGTCTCTCAGGGACCCTACTTCCTGCCTGTAGAAGGGGGGTGATGGTGGCTGTTGACAGATCCTGGTGAGAATTATCCTAAAAAGTTATGTAAAGCCCTTACCACTGTGCCTGGCACACACAGTAGTGCTCCACAGATACTTGTATGTATGTAATGAATGTTAAAAGCAGTATTAGAAGTGCTGGACTAAAGACACATTCAGTTCAGTAGGCACCAGGGGTGGGATGGGGCTATTAATTTAGCCTGTTTTGGCTTAGGCTTCTCACAGTAAGTAATGTTTCAGCTGGAACTTCAACAATGAATGGGGGCTGGGCACAGTGGCTCATGCCTATAGTCCCAGCACTTTGGGGGTCCAAGGCAGGAGGATCACTTGAGCCCAGGGCATTGAGGCTGCAATGAGCTGTGATTGCACCACTGCACTCCAGCCTGGGTAACAGAGCAAGACCCTGCCTTAAAAAAAAAAAAAAAAAAAAAAAAAAAGGATTTCAGCAGCTAATGATGAGGGAGGCTCTCCAGGATAGAGAAAGAGCATGTGCAAAAGAGAGGAGGTTGAAAGAGGTGTGAAGGGAGGTGAGGGGAGAGCAGTGAGGCACCAGGGCAGCTGGGTCCAGGTTGGGGGCACCCTGTGTGCCACAGGGAGGATCAGTGAGCAACCAGAGAGGGTTGTGAACTAGGGGTGATCCTCAGTCAGATAACATCACCTTCTTATGCCACCTTTCCCTTCTCAACCTGAAACCTTCACAATTACAGAAAAGTAAGCACAGGGTGACCAAGAAGCAGGTGGCCCAGAATTCCCTTGGCCACTGCTTTGTGTGACGTGATCTTCCCACCGTAGCCTGGCCAGGCCATGCCCGGTTGCCAGGCTGTTCCATCAAGGACTCTCACCATCCATTTTCCCAGAGCCCCTTCAGCTATCATAAGAAAATATTTTTCCACTGGGAGTCTACTAAATGTCATGTCTAATTTAATCCTAAATACATTTCCATACAAAAAGGAGTCAAATGAGTAAACCTCTTCTATGTTTCCTGATTTCTTGTTTCTCTAGGCCTTCACCCATATCTCCATTCTGTCTCTCTCTCTCTCTCTCTTTTTTTTCTCCTGGGGAAGTAGAAGTGGATGGGGAGGAGAGAAGGAGGATCCTGTCACTTACTAATTCGTTTTCCATCCTCAGCCCTGGATTTCATTCTCTCTGAGTGGGACAGAACAGATGGAATTGTGCCAAAGGGAGACTAACTTATTTATCCCGAAAGCGTAAATTACCCCCAATTATCAGAATCCCAGTTACATCCAAGTAAGCCCCTCTGCCTCTCCTCAAACATTTTGGATTTCTCAGCTGTTCATTTAAGTTTTAATGGGGTAGTGAGAGGTTAGAAAGTCGGGGAGAAATTGAGCTTTGCTGTAGATTTAAGCCCCCTCCCCCTTCCCCCTACACTGAGCTCTTCCCTGCTCTTCCTCGTGGGGGACCTGAAATGATTCTGATTAGCAGCAGATGGTGGGAAGACCCCTGGTGGGGACAGGAGACCTGGGCTTAGTGTCAGCTTGCTGCTGAGTTCCCATGTGGCACCCAAGTCTCACATGTCCCAAGACTCAGCTTCCGCATCTGCAGGACAAGGGATTCCAAGGATTCTCACCAATACCTCTTCGCACCCTGACTGCTATAATTTCAAGATTCCAACCAAATTTACCTTTTGTTTCTGAATCATCTCGTTTGATTTAAAATTATTTATGGAAACCTTCTGTGATGTGTGCATTAGTGCAATGCCACTCAGAGTGTGGCCACAGCCCCAGGCCTGTCTGTGCATTGTTCCCGGTCTGTGTTAAGGTAACTAGGAAAGTTGAAAGTAAGCATTTAGAAACTCTATGGCAATTTGACATGGCCAAAACCTCCAAGCAAGTGACTAGGGACCTCGTTTGTTTGAGCTTGCATGGTGAGTTGTTTGTCGCATCAACTATGTTGTACACAATTGGACCTTATGTAAAATGGAAATAAAAAAGAAACAAATACTGCAGCTAGGTGATCAAGGTCAACATCAACAGTCATGCTGATAGTTTGTGCCGTTAAATATGATGTAATAAAAATGTCACTTTACCTCTGTAGTGTTCCTGCTAATAACCCTTAATTCCAGTTTTTTTAATGTTAGAGACAGGGTCTTGCTCTGTTGCCCAGGCTGGAGTACAGTGGCACAATCATAGCTCACTGCAACCTCAAGCTCCTGGGCTCAAGCAATCCTCCATCCTCAGTCTCCTAAGTAACTGGGAATACAGGTGCACACCAGCAAGCCTGGCTAATTTTTAAAATTTATTTTTGTTGAGACAGGCCCTTGCTATGTTGCCCAGGCTTTTCTTGAACTCTTGGCCTCAAGCATCCCTCCTGCCTCAGCCTCCCAGAGCACTGGATTTACAGGTGTGAGCCATTATGCCTGCACCCAGCCAATTCCATTCGTATGACCAAAAAAAAAAAAAAAAAAAAATCACACAAACTCCAACAATGGAGCATTCTACAAAATACTTGACCAGTACTCTTCAAAACCGTCAAGGTCATCAAAAAAGAGGCAAGTCTGAGAAACAGTCACAGCCAAGAGGAGCTACAGATACATGATGAGAAAATGCAATGTGGTGTCCTGGAGGGAATCCTGGAACAGACAAAGGACATTTGGTAAAAACCTAAGGAAACAGAAATAACTACAGACTTTAATTTATTTTTTAAAAAAGGAAAGAAACAAACTAGTCCTTCCCACAGATAATTTAAGAATTGCTCTAACATAGATTAATTTATTAAATCTTCATAAAAGCCCTGGGATGTATGGAAAGTAAGTGGTCTGTTTCCCATTTTATAGATTTTTATGAATGAAGTAGCCCAGTCTAATGTTATTTAGTGAGTTATAAAAGAACAAAGTCTGAGCCCTCTTCTCCTGGCTTCTGTTCTCTCTCTTTGGCTTTTCCAAGTAGATGGACATTTATCCAAGTTTATGTTCTTTTTCTGATTATGAAACAACCCATGGTTGGCGTAAAAAAATCAAAAAGTATATACAAGATAAAGAAACATACTTTTTAAAATCATTCATAATCTCTAAAGTCAGAGCAAGCAGCTGCTAACTTTTAGATTTCCTTCGTGTGTGTTTGTGTGTGTGTGTTTGTTTCCTAGGCACTTACCACTCCTAAGTGTGAAAGGGAGGGAGTGGGTACTAGAACCTAAAGAGGGAGAGAGAGAGGGAGAGAGAGAGAGTGCTCGTGTATGCTGTGTGGAGAGGGCCATCCCACAGGAGATCAGGAGATGGCCCTTGGGTGCCGGGATGCAGCCACCTGCTGGAAAAAAGAGTGAGGGAGAGAATAAGCAGGAACTTACGGGACAGCAGGACAGAGAGAAGCTTCCTCTAGACCACAGTAGCCATGGTCTGTAAGCAAATAAGAAGGCACCCGTTGAAATGAAGGGACTGAACATGCAAGAAAGAAAGGGCTAGATGGTGACACAAGGCACTAAGGAAGTAAGAGGGATGGCATCAGGGATGGTGTCAAGAGCTATGGGAAGAGCCCAGCAATGGAACAAAGAAGGGACTAGATTTCTCAAAATCAAAATGAAACAAGAGAAAGGGTGAAAATACAGTGATTTCTGGGGTGCAAAGGACATAGCTCAAGTCAAATGACCTCATCTTTTTAAATTTTTTTGTAAAGTAAGATTTGAGGTCACCTATGACTGAGAAGGGGGCAAGAATACAGTCAGAGTTCTGGAAGGTAGAGTAAGTTTTAAACATCTGCTGTAGGGATTTAGCCAGAGAACTCATAAGAAATTAATAAGAGCAGTTTCTAGCACAACCGAGGTGAGAAGTGCGTCACTTCTTAGCTGTGTCAGTAGAACAATGGCTACACGTGAACAAACTGTGACCTCAGCACTGGTGCACCTTTGACCTTATGACAGCAAAACCTTCAAGGAAGCCCAGTAGTCACCAATCAGTTCTCCCAAGCCTGGCACCATCTGCTTCATCTGCAAAGGCCTGAATTCAACAATGTGACTCAGCCTGAGCTGCACTTGTAAGCACTGTTAGCCAGAGAAGAGATGTGCCTGTTACCTAAATTTGCATGGGGTGGTATTCCAATGAGGAACCTGAGGTCATGAAAGAAAGCAGAACCTGTTGGCTGGGCACAGTAGCTCACACCTGTAATCCCAGCACTTTGGGAGGCTGAGGAGGGCAGATCATGAGGTCAGGAGCTCGAGACCAGCCTGACCAACATGGTGAAACCCCGTCTCTACTAAAACTACAAAAAAATGAGCCAAGCGTGGTGGCATGTGCCTGTAATCCCAGCTACTCAGGAGGCCGAGGCAGGAGAATTGCTTGAACCCAGGAGGTGGAGGTTGCAGTGAGCTGAGATTGCACCACTGCACTCCAGCCTAGGTGACAGAGCGAGACTCCATCTCAATTTAAAAAAAAAAAAAAAAGATAGATAGAAAGCAGAATCTGTTACAAAAAAAAAGCAAAAGAAAACCACAGCAAGAGCTGAGTACAGTAATTTAAAGAGTGGAATAGAGCAGGCCAGGAGGTAGTATGGATGTATCCCCAGGAGCCAGAAGGAGAGAATCTTCTGATAGGTCTGGCAGGCACTGCTGGTTGTCAAACTGTTATGCTGTCTCCCCTTCTTCCTTAGAAATGGGTCCCACCTTTGTTGCGGACAACACCATACCCAGCTAGAAGGCAATACGTACATTCCTCCTGTGCAGATGGAATAGCATGTGATATAGTTCTAGCGAAGTTATATAAGCTGAAGTCATTGGATGAAGTTTTCAGAAAATCTCCTTAAAATGTGGGGACAGGAGCAGAGGAAGAAGACGGAGCACAGACTCAGCTGTCTCCAGCTGTTTCATGCTTCATCTGCCCCCTTTGCTTGCCTAGAACATGGGGAAGATGCCAGAGGAGAAGTGGGAATAATCTTGGTCAGTGGTAAACAAAGCCAAGAGAACTCCAAGAACCTGGATCTCAATGTCCCTGAGGACAACTCCATGATCACAGCTGCATGCTACAGACTGCTTCTTACCTAAGAAAAATTGAACCAGTCATCTGTGTAGGGCTCTGCCTTGGGGGCCTCGGTTTCTCCCAGCCGAATATAATCCCCAATTCATACCTTAAGCAACTTTTCATTTCAATCATTAATTTAGAAATAGTGTGTCAGATATTTGATGTACTAGAGTTTCATGTAGCCATTGTTCCTTGAAAGAACCCAGCCATCATTCTTTGGGGACTTAGAAATCCTTTTGCACAACTGAGATTTTGTTTTGGGGTGTTTGTGCTTGCCGTAAAGCCAGTTGATCTACATACATGCACAACGTATGATAAGCATGAAGCAGCCCAACTGGTTTTATTAGTTTTCCTTGGGCTTTGGTCTAAAAAGGTTTCTTGCTGAGTTGATTTCACCCCCGATAACTTCCTTTACACTCAACTTCCTAATCGAAAAAGGCCCACATCAGGGGTAAAGAAACAGAGACTGATCCTTTCCCAACCCTCTCCTGGGACTCCTCAGCTCTTTACTACACCGCTGGGCTGGCTTAGCAAAAGCAATTTGATGTCCAGAATTTCCTGGCAGCCTTCCACAACTCTGTCTGCCTCATCAGAAAACTCCAATCAGTGAGTCTGTGGCTAAACGCAGTCTGATCTCACTGGTGGTGTTGCCACACTTTGTTCTTTTTCTAATGTGCTCTGTGTTCACAATGGTTTTGTTCTTTTTTAGTCATGAAAGCTGACATGATTTTGGAAAGTGAAACATGCTTCCCTAAATCTTTGCTCATACCCCCTCAGGTGAAACTCTCCAAGTCATTAACCTTAAGGCCATTCTCGTTGTGGGAGGGCTTTTTGTATTGGATTCCAAGAGCTACCATTCCCATAGCCTAGATTTAAAAATTGGTGTTAGTTGCAATGTAACTGCTTCAAGCTAAAGCAAATAGAGAAAGTCAATACATAAAAGCAATAAAAGTGGAGGTGTTCTGATTAAAGTGGAGGCCTGCAAGGGTGAAGAGTATGAGGGAAAGACTGTTGAGAGCCTCTCCAGGTTAACCATACCCTTCCTCCAAAAGGATCTCCATGGGGAATCCTCCAAGGAACCATAGGATTCCCGGGAATACAGCCTGAAAACCACTTTGCCATAGGCCTAGAGTGGCAAGAAGATGTTTCATCATCATCTTCAAGATAAGCAAGCTAAAACCACATTGAATCTAGGTGTATTAGTCCATTCTCATGCTGCTATGAAGAAATACCCAAGACTGAGTAATTTATAAAGGAAAGAGGGTTAATTGACTCAAAGTTCTGCATGGCTGGGTAGGCCTCCGGAAACTTACAATCATGGCGGAAGGGGAAGAAACACATCCTTCTTCACATGGAGGCAAGAAAGAGAAGAACAAGAAGTGCTGAGCAAAAGCGGAAAAATCCCTTATAAAACCATCTGATCTTGTGAGAACTCATCCACTGTGACAAGAACAGCATGGAGGTAACCACCCCCATGATTCAATTACTTCCCATTAGGTCCCTCTCATGACATGTGGGGATTATGGGAACTACAGTTCAAGATGGTCACACAGCCAAACCATATCACTAGGACACTGGGGACTCTTGATGAAAAGAGTCTGTTTCAAAACCTTCCCTTCATTTCCAAATTACACTGACCATTTTCAAGCCTCTTGCATTTTGTTTTCTGTCTTTATTCCCTCAGCTGTATTGAGATATACAAAAAATATTCTGTACTTACAGTGTTCAACATGATGCTTTGATATATGTAGATGTTGTGAAATTAGGATCACAATCAAGCTAATTGGTATATCTACCACCTCATGGAGTTAGCTTTGTGTGCATGTGTATAGTGAGAACATCTCCTCTCTTAGCAAATTTCAAGTATATAATACAGTACCATTTACTATAGCCACCATACTGTACATTAGTTCTCCAGAACTTCACAGAAACTTTCTGCTCTTTGATCAGCATCTCCCAGAAACTACTATTCTACTGTCTGCTTCTATGAGTTTGACTGTTTTAGATGCCACCGATAAGTGAAATCATATAATATTTGTCTTACCATGTGTGGTTTATTTCACTTAGCATAATGTCCTCCAGATTCATGTGTGTTGTTGCACTTGACAGGATTTCCTTCTTTTTTCCTTCTTTTTAAAAGCTGAATAGTACTCCATTACTCCATTGTGTATACACACCACATTTTCTTTATCCAATCATCTGTTGATGGACACTTAGGTTGATTCCATATCTTGGCTACTGTGAATAGTGCTGCTATCAACATAGGAATGCAGATGTATTTTTGAGAAACTGATTTCATTTTCTTTGAATATATACCCAGCAGAGGAATTTCCAGATCATATGGTAGTTCTAGTTTTAATTTTTTGAGGAACCTACTGTATTCCATAATGGCTGTATCAATTTACATTCCTACCAACCGTGTACAAGGTTCCCTTTTCTCCATATCCTTGTCAACCCTTGTTATCTTTTGTTGTTTGGGTTTGTTTTCAATGAGCTTGAAAGTTTACAGGCTTGCCAAACCTAAATGGATTTGGATCATTACCATGGCTCCCTAACATTTTCTAAGTTGAAAAATAATGAGCTTGCTATATAGGCAAATGACCAAATCACACAGTGATTCAGAATTAGGGACTGGATTAGGGGACACAACCTCTGTGGTGTCATGCTTAGTCATAAACAATAGATACTCCCTCACTCCCAATGACAAATTATGTTTCCTTTATGTGTTTAATGTTTTGTTTTGCTTTTCTCCTGTATCTATGTATGGCTCCAAATGAATCATTTTCTCAGATCTCTTTTATTCTAACTCTCCTCAACATACTATAGTCATTCAGAAACAGACACACCTAACAAGAGAAAAAGCACAGAGCCAACAGAAACTCAGTTTCCTTACCAGCAAAATGGGAAGAATAACACACTGTATTTTCTGGAGTAGTCCTGGGAACCAAGTGAAATAAGGTCAAGTGAAAGCATAGTGTCCAGTACATCCTGAAAATTCAATTTAAGATTTTATTTTCTCCTCTGTCCTTCCACATGCCTTCCAGGGAAACATGAGAGGCTGTGTGAGTCCATTCTTGCACTGCTATAAAGAAATACCTGAGACGAGATAATTTATAAAGGAAAGAGGTTTAATTGGCACACAGTTCTTCAGGCTGTACAGGAAGCATGATACTGGCACATGCTCAGCTTCTGGGGAGGCTTCAAGAAACTTACAGTCATGGTGGAAAACGAAGGGGAAGCCAGCACATCTTACATGGCCAGAGGAGGAGGAAGGGTGGAGGGAGGCACTACATACTTTTAAACAGACAGATTTCATGATAACTCACTCACTCACTGTCTTGACCAAGGGAGATGGTGCTAAATCATTCATGAGAAACTGCCCCCATGATCCAATCACCTCCCACCAGCCTCCACCTCCAACATTGGGGATTACAATTTGACACGAGATTTGGGTGAGGACACAGATCCACACCATATTAGAGGCCATGGGTAAAAATGCTCTGAATGATTTAGAAAACTAAAAGCAAGCAAGTGCTTAGAACTCTCAGGTTCAAGACCATGGGTAAAGCTCTACACTGGAGCCCTCTGAGCTCAGCCTATTTGTGTCTCCTCGTCTGCAGACACACCAGCATTCACTAGCTCTTTCTCAATTGTCAGTCCTGAGTGACGGACCTTCCACACCTGCAATGATGTGTCTTTGTTCTCACTCTAACAATACAGACTTCCATTTTATTCTGGAAAAGTTGGCTCCTCAGAAAGGGTTTCCTTTGACCAACAGTGGAGTTGAATGTTAGAGCAAGGAAAATGTTTCCCATTTCCTCCTCCGATTTGGATCCATTTGTGACCAGGACCTCAAGTGGCATCACATTTAACGTGGGACAAAAGAAGCCATTTCCACTCAGGCCTCATGCTGCCCACTGTAAAATTCCACCACAAAGCTGTTTTCAAATTAATCCAATAGTTAGAAGCTATAATGCATTCTGTTTTTGATTTTAAAATTCAAATATATGCATGTATGCACATACACACACTTATGTGAGTACACGAAGATTTTGGTAGCATCTGGTAGAAGAAAACTCCAATTGCTGTCTGCCCTCTAATTCCATCTCACCTTTCAAAGACTCTAGGAAGGTTTGCCGTCTGCCTCCTGCCAAAAACTGGAGGTAGCAGTGGGGAGAGAATGAGTATATTTTTATTTTCTCCTTTAAGCTGGGCTCAGCGCTAGACACTTAACCCGACTTGAACCTATGCAATAGCCCTTAAGCTCAAGTATCATTATTGCCATTTTAAGGTGAAGACAATGAGGCCAAGTATTGCAAAGTTCTTGCTTAACTCTTGGCAAGTGGAACTGTGTTTTGCTTACTTTTGTACCCAGGTCACACTTCCTCATGCATCATGGTGATTCTTTCCAGAAGGTCCAGCTAAGTGTAGACACAACTATGATACATAAGATTAGAAACTCAGGCCAAATTTAAGGTGAGTGGTCCCAGGCAGAAGACAGAGGGGTTCCAGAGAAAGGCCTTCATTGTGGGGTGGGAAGTGCATCTCCTGGGTTTCCTCAATGATTGGTTGCGTGGTTTCAAAGAAAAATGGGCTTTAGAGCATTGAAGACCTGGGCTTGGATCCCCACTCAGCCACTTACAAATTGTGTCACTTTTGACATCTTCTGTGGTCTCTTTGAGCCTCCATTTTGCACTTAAAACAAAAGGAGATAACAATACCTATCTCAGACAGTCATGAGAATTAAATGAGAGAACAACAGATGTGAAACTTCCTAGCCCACATCATGACATGCGACAAATGCACCATAAATGTTTGTTTCTTCCTCCGCTTTCCCCAAAGTCCAAAGCATTCACAGACTCTTTACAAGGTGGCAGGAGGCTTGTATTAAGTATCACCGTGACCCCTGATGTTCACAGTCTCAACATCTTTAAAGCAATATCTAGAAAATGGTGATTTTTTTCAAAATTCAGAATTAATGAAACAAGAATCTGATACAGTGGAATTACTTTGTTTCACATTTTTTTTCTTCTTGTAATTGAAACCATTTTCAAGTTTTATTTAGTACAAAATTAATTTCACATTTTCATCAAGGAACTCATGTGGGTCTCAGGATGATTCAGATTTTCCGATACAGAAATTCATAGCATTCATGACTGAGTGTTTTCTAAGACAAAAGAGTTTATGCCACAGGAGACCATTTCAGTCCTGTTATATGAGCAAACTAAAAAACCTTTTACATGGCACTTCCGAATTCAGGTCTAACATTAACGTTTTGTAAGAGAGCTTGATTTTTAAAAATCTACGTGAGTTACTCATCCCCAACTTTCAAGTTCCCCAAGTAAAAAAAGCAACTTGATTAACTTTAAGAATAAACCAGTTTCCTCTTGAACTGAACTCAGAAGTCACATTGAGCTCATTTGTCAAGGCGAAGTGCATACTGAATCAGCTTGTGTGGTGTAAGGCTCTGGGCACAAGAAATTGGGAAGGTTGTCCCCTCAAGCTTCACAAGGCACAGGCTATCAGGTTGATCCCATGGCTTTTTCATAGACACACGAGCAACACCACTTGGGTCACAGCTAGGACCCCTCTAGCCTGTATTCTCTACCAGGCAAAGAGAAACAGAGGATGTGCTTTGAGACATCTGACCTAAGCATTTGAGAGAGCAGTCACTGCTATTAGTCTCCAGAACCTAACTCAGAGTCAGAAAAGCCAGCCAAACTGGGGCAGGTGAGCAGGAGGCAGTGGTCAAGGAAAGGTAAGTGGGTGCTTTCCAGAACACACCTGTGTGTACACTGCATGAGCGCATTCCCACCAGACCTGACCCTGACATTATTCACCTCCCTCTCTCCAACACTGGAATCAAACCACACTCCTCTCTGGCCCTACCCCTGCCCCAGGCCTCAGGAGCTCCTCTTAGCAATCTCCAGGATGCAGGCAGCATCCCCCCAACCCCATCCCTAGCCATTCCCTAGCACTTGGGAGAGCTGACGTTTGTCCATGGTTCAGTGCTCTTAGTTCACCTTACCTCTTTTTTCTTGGATTGAGGTAAAAGTTACAAAACATGAAACTTGCCATTTTAACCATTTTGAAGCGTACCATTCAGGGGCTTTTAGTACATTCACAATGTTTTGCAACCATCACCACAATCTAATTGCAGAACATTTTCATCACCCTAAAAAGCAATCCTATACCCATTAAGTAGTCCCTCCACATTCTCTGCTGCCCCCAGCCCCCGGAAGCCACTACTCCACCTCTGTCTACGGATCTGCCAATCCTGGACAAGTGGATTCCCTTAAGGAGTACTTTTGCCCTTGGACAATACCATGAGAAAGGATGGCCAAAAGATGACCCAAGCTATTTTAAGATACCAATGTCTCTTCAGCAAAATGTTAAATTGCCCTCATGGTAGAGTTAGTATGTTTTGTTTTGTTCTATTATCTTATTCCCTAAAATCTATCTGTGGCATTGCAATAAACCTGGATTCTTAATCAATGAGAACATGCATGCATGGATGGCTACATGTGGCTAAGTATGCACCTGTGTACGAATGCATATGTTACTGTACATAGATGTTCTGTTTTCACAGAAGGGCCACACTCCATGGTCTCTGCCCTGAAAGGCCTTGCTACTGTCAAATGAGAGGAAGTGCATGGTGCAAGTTTCCAGGGAGAAAGAAGGGCTCTTGATGACAGCTTGGCACAGTGGGAAAGGCAGCGCCACTTGATTTTGGCCACGTCACCCTTGCCCTGGGTCTCATGGAATTTGTTCCCCTCTGGATCTAATATCTGTGCCTACAGAAGTGCAGGAAAGGAGGTTGTCATCCATCGATCTGTCCGAGGCCTCCTGGCAACACTTGGGTAGCACATTGCAGTTTTGTAGAATTATGTTCAAAGGTCAACTCTACTTGTTAAGATTCTTAAGGTGTCTGTTTCATTTAAACCAAGTTTTGTGTTTGTACATGTGTGTTTTTTAAGGGAGAATGGAATCTACTGAGAGAACAATCCCACACAAATTAGAAACACGTGCAGGCATTCAGTAGGTCAGCTCAGTAAAGATGTGTTATTATATTTTGTGTATAGGAACTGTATTCACAGACAAGGCCAACATATGAATTTCATGATTCTCTGGTGCACAGGTTAGCTGGTCCCCCAGATCCTGGTCCATACAGTTGCTCAGATGCAAAAATTATTTTCAACTCCTTCAGATAGAGATAAGGAGGAAAAACATCATATTATGATGTAAAGAGTTAGAGCTTAGTTGAAGAATGGATGCACTCATGACATGTGGCATCATATTTAATACCAAAAAGCCAAAGAGACACAAGGTCTGTGTGGACCACACTGCTTTAAAGCATCCTTGACCTCTTTTGCTTTGCAAAGCAGCCCATGTAGAGCCAATTTAGTATCTAAATATGAGAGAGATTTAGAGACAAGATTAATACTGTTACTAGGACTTTCTGCATTGAAAATTAAATGCACAAAAATATATTTCATGGTTGTTTACAATGACCACTTCCTCTCTCTACCTTTCAAATGTTGCTAAGTCAGTAATGCCAATATAATGGAAGAGGGAAGCAAAAATAAGAAGGAAAGGAAAACACACTTATTGACGATCTTGTCCTCTCTATTAGATTGTAATATATTTGATCCTATTTTAAGTTCTTACAACCACCATGTGAGGCCAATATTATTATATCCATTTTACAGGTGGGAAAATGAAGATTCAGAGAGATTTAATAACTCATCTGAAGGCACATAACAGAGCTGGAATTTGAAGCCAGGTTGGTCTGACCTTAAGAATCATATAACTCTGTTAAGATGTTAGACTAGAAGCTGCCAGATACAGTGGGAAGAGCCCTAGGGAGGGGCAGAGAGTTCTGTTCCTATTACAAGCTTTGCCACTCTCTTGCTAATGTTGTGGAAGAGCCAAGAATTATCTGGGCTTCTCTTTTCCCATTGGTGCAATGAGAATAACACTGCCTGCCTTCTTGCCTCTCAGGAATATCATGAACGTCAAATAAGAAAAGAGGTCAGACGTGGTGGCTCATGCCTGTAATCTTAGCACTTTGGGAGGCCGAGGTGGGCAGATCACCTGAGGTCAGGAGTTCGAGACCAGCCTGACCAACAGGTGAAATCCCTGTCTCTACTAAAAATACAAACATTAGCTGGGCATGGTGGCAGATGCCTGTAATCCCAGCTATTGGGAGGCTGAGGCAGGAGAATTGCTTGAACCCCGTGGGGGCGGAGGTTGCAGTGAGCCAAGATCACACCACTTCACTCCAGAAAATAAATGCCAGGGGTTGGGGAGAGACTTTGAAATAGAAAAGTAAATTATTTGCATAATATGATTTAGTTATCTATAGATATCCCCAAAGGGGAATGCATAAGATAATCCACTGAAGTATAAGAAGAAATTATTCAAACTTCTATTTATATTTCATTTTACCTTAAAACAAAGAAAAATATATAGATATATTGATAAGGGTAGATGTACACAAATTCACAGATATTAGGAGTGGATGCCCTAAATTTTTTCTCTGATTGGGTGCATGATTAGAAAAATTTGAAGAGCACAAATTTATACAATAGACAATATAAATCCAAAATATTGTGGTAGGGTTATGGGTATATGAGTAGTAGTGGCCATTGTCACATAATGAAGCTACCAAGTGAATAGCTCAGAGCTGTGTTAATACATTATCAGATAGTTATTTTTACTGCTTAAGCATCAGAGCATAATGCAAAGACTATAAAAGTCATTTTTTTCTTTTTTTCTTTTAACGGGCTTCAATTGCAGAGTTGAATCATTCATTATTTTCAGTTCATAATACATTGTCATCATTGGTCCAGATAGGTTGAATTCTTATTTCATTCATTCATTACTCATTCATTTATTCATTCAGTTACAGTGCCATCAATGTCCATACACCCACCGCTCTACTCAAGAACTTGAACTGCTATTTACCTATATGTTCCTCTATTATCCTACCTCCTACCTCCCCACACAGCAGCAATCAGTATCCAGAAGTTTATGATTATCACTCCTTTGCTTTAAACAGTTGGATTACATGTATATGTATGCCTAAATTATAGTTTTGTGGGGTTTTTGTGAACCCCACAAGAGTGAAATGTTCTAAGTCTTGTGGGACTTGTTTTCATTTAATATCTTATTGAATGACACTCATATTGTTGTGGGTAGCTGTAGGTCACTCCACTTCACAGTTGTGTAATATTCTGTCATGTGATTTTACCATAAGCTCTCCACCCATTTTCCTGAGGATAGCTATTTGGATTATTTCCAGTTCTTTATTAAGAACAATACTATCTTGAACATCCTTATATGTGTATTTCCTAGTACTCCTTTATAAAAATTTCCTTTGGAAATATACCAAGAATTGGAAATTTGGGGTTGTAAGGGCATGCGAAAATTCAATGTAACAGAATAAAACCATAATTTTTCAAAGCACTTGCATGAATAGGTCACTTTCTTTGCCAGTTTATTCAGTTTTCTCACACACAAAGCCTGGCTACAATGACTAACTTACAGACAGTTATGAAGATTAAAGAAGTTTAACAGGAAAGTATCCAGAAACCTTTCTAGAAAACAGAAGATTATCAATAAGTAAGCACTTAAATCTTTCTCCTAGTTCCCTTAACACCATGCTTTATACAGATCCCTTGCCCTGTCTATCAAATCAGGGGGGTAAGACTAGGGGAGTTCCAGGCCCCTGCAGCTCGGACCCGTTGTGAGTTAGTGCCACAAATGCTTAAGAAGTAGACCCTCACTGCAGGCTCCAGGGCCTTACCCTCAGAGCAGGATGTGCTTTTCTGCCACCTTGGTATTTATTCCCTAATCCTTGGAGTGTATTCCTTAGAATTTCTGCAAAACTGGATGACAGCCAGCAGGTTCTTGATGCTAGATACTTGTTGAAATTATGATGGAGAGGGAAGAAAACCAATGATGAAATGGTACTTAGAATAAAATTCAAACTCTCTACCAAGGTCACGCGAGATCCATCCTGCTGATTTCTCCCACCTCATCTCTAGATCTTCGCTTCTTTGCTCTCCAGGTTCATCCCTAGTGGTTCACCTTTTGCAACCATTCATCTGCTCAATTCCTGGAACATTCCAAGCCATTTCCTGCCTCAAGGCTGCTGCACATGAATCCCTTTTGCTTAGAATGCTTTACCCCCAAATTTTTTCACAGCTGGCTCTTTCTCATGCTTTAGGTCTCTGCTTAAAGTCATCTGCCCAGAAAGGCATTCCCTGTCTTACCCTATGTGAAGTCATTTCACATTTACCCCAAATATTCTTCACCTCAGCCTTTACTCCCTTTATGACATTTGGCTACATTTATCATGATTATATATATTTGTTTTTTATATATTTTTTAATATATATTTTTAAATATATTTTTATATATTTTATTTTTCATCTCCCTTTCTTACTAAACTGTTAAATCTACAAGGACACAGACTGCTTTAATCGTTCTCATATTCCCCAGCCTCTAGCACAATGCCAAATGGTTGTTGAATGAATGGGTATATTAGTGACTACTAGGCAACGAGTTTTGTGTTAGTCACTCTACACAAGTAACTGTTTTCATTCTCTCAACAATCCTCTGACATGGCTATTAGTAACTTCACTTAGAAGATAAGAAAACAGGCTTGTGGAGGTTAAGTAACATCTCCAAAGCCCCACCTCTAGAAAATGATAGAGCTAAGATTTAAACACAGATCTGACTTCAAAGTCCATGCTCTTTCCTCTGAATCATGAAAACCAGAGGAAGAGGAATTGAAGGAATCCAACTGATGGTGGACGGTCTTTCCAAACTGCCAACCCAGAGTTTCCCTGGGAATTTCTCATTTTCTATGCTAAATCTTGGAGCTGTTAGTTTTGCAGCATTGCACAACACACCAATGGAAAATGTCACCTGACTTCTTCATCTGTTAAACAAACATTACGAATAGCGATTTGGCCAAACTCATGCTATTGTTCCCTCATCTATCACACTACGGTATTACTTATCAATGGAAAAGCATGTTCCCAAATGTCACAGCAGGACTTTAAAAGCTAAGTAGAACCGTAAATCATTCTTCTAAAAGCAACAAAGCTGACCTCTTCCTTAACACTCAGATATTTAATCTGTAAATTATTTAGCTTGCAGTATTTCTTTTTCCCAAAGCCAATAGTAAAGCAGCCACTTTCATTTCCTTTTATATTTCTCCAAGTGATTAGAAAGTAGCACTCTTCAGAAACATAAGCCACTTTTATGTTTTCTTTTTTTTTTGAGATGGAGTCTCACTCGTCACCGAGGCTGGAGTGCAATGGCATGATCTTGGCTCACTGCATCCTCCGCCTCCCAGGTTCAAGTGATTCTCCTGCCTCAGCCTCCTGAGTAGTTGGAATTACAGGCCCCTGCCACCACGCCAAGCTAATTTTTGTATTTTTAGTAGAGATGGGGTTTCACCATGTTGGCCAGGCTGGTCTCGAACTCCTGACCTCAGGTGATCCACCTGCCTCAGCCTCCAAAACTGCTGAGATTACAGACTTGAGCCACTGTGCCTGGCCCCACTTTTATATTTTCGATAAATAGACTAAAAGAATAGATTTCCTTGGCCTACTAGGTGAACTGTGCTCTCACTCCAGAAATGCAAACACCAAAGGAAAATTGCTGGAATATAAGTAATTTCCAGTTTTCAAGTAATAATGACACAGATACTTTTCTGTAGTCTATCATTTTGGAAAAGACCAGAGACAGCCATACACTTCTCTGTCAACCACATACATCGTTTCTCTCAACATTTAACTAAATACTGTGTCTTCCAGGAGCTCTCGCCTGACTAGTCTTGATTTATGCTGTTCAATCCCAGCACTGGCATATGACACACACCACATTATTAACTTCGAGTGTAAGTATTCCCTTATATTTTTGTTAGTTGTTCCAAAAACTTGCCACAGAAATAAGTGCCTGGTCTTCCCATGTTTAGATGGCAAGCATTTCAGGGACAGGGACAATTTCTTCTAACTCTTTGGTGCCCCCATACAAGCCTATGGACGCATGTGTTCATCCTTCTCTCCCTCCATCCATTCCGCAGACCTCCTCGGAGCAACTTTAAGACTCCAGATACTGTGCTGCATGCTCCTGGGGAAACAAAACTGAAAGATACACACACAACTTATACTTGATCAAAATGAAAAGTTGCTGATTCAACACGCTTGGGGAAAAGCGCAGCACAATGTTGATAGTGATTGTCTTAAAGGGACAGAGTTCTTTCTATTTCGCTTACTGATTTTTCTGTATTTTTATTAAGAATACATGTTCATTTTATATCAGAGAAAAGCTATTTTAAAAAAAAATCTAATCACTAAGTTGAAAGACCAACGTCAAATTTACAGAACAAAGAGGTAAATAAGAATGTAGTAAACAAGCACTCAAATAGGACTTAGCAGCTTGGGTCTGAGTTGAGACTTTGCTCCTGACAAACTGTGTGATCTTTTCAAGGTTTGGTGTCCTTAGTCTATAAACTGAAGATGAAAATATCTCCTTAATAGAGTTGTTCTAAGGATTCTATGAGACAATGCCACTGAAAATGCCTTACAGGCATTGAATAAAGAAAGGTATCATTACTGATGTTGTGGATTGCATCTGATTTCAAATGACAAGCTCTGGAAGTCAGGCCTGTTGCATATACCACTAAGCATATTATGAAATTATGAAGGTCAAGGCCAATTATGCCAAAAAGTAGTTTAAATGCTTGGTTCTCCCCACCCCATGGATGTCACAATTTGCTCAAGATGAATGAATACTAAAAGAGTCTTGCCAATTCAAGCGCCCTTCCTACTAGTAATTAAAACCCAGGCATTGCAGACCACAGAGAGAGAGTGGGTTGACAAATTCCTCGGGCTCATGTTTCTTTCATGGTCTTCCGGGCTGTATGAAATCACAAATATATGTTTGGATTTTATTTTCACAAGTCAGGGAAACAATAGGGAGCATGTTGATTTGTTTTTCTTACTTATAAAAAGAAAAAAAGCAGTGACATTCCATTTTCATCTACTAAGAAGAAATGATAAACTTTGGTTGAGAGGAGAACAAATTGCTTCGTTCCCCTGATCAGGCACAACGTCCTAATGTCCTGTACTATCCTGCTTCTATAATTCCTTCAATTGTTTTGGGATTTACTGTGCCCCCTACAGCTCTAAGGGGAATATTCACTCCACAAGTCACTTGCCTAACGATGGAAGCAAACTTCTTACAGCATGTATTAATGCATTATTTCCCCTTGTTCTAAATTTCTCTGCACCAAGCAAAAGAAGGAAGACATGCTCTTTCAAAATTACTGGACGAAGGTTGGCTAAAGTCAAAACTGGCCTATTAAATTTCTCTGAACCAAGCAAAAGAAGGAAGACATGCTCTTTCAAAATTACTTGACGAAGGTTGGCTAAAGTGAAAACTGGCCTAGTAATTGCCCAGTAAATCACAAGTCATAAGGCATCCTCACCTCCTCTGAACCTCAAGCCTTCAAGTTCTCTCTCTCTCTCTCTCTCTCTCATTAAATGGAAAGATAACAGCTGCTAGGGTCAGATTACCTTGGGCTGAAATCCTGGCTTCTCCATTTTCAAGGTTGATGGGCTTAGGCAAGTTATTTAGCTTCTTGAAACCCCATTTTCTTCACATGAGTAAGAACATCTAACTTGCAAGACTGTTATGAGGATTAAATGAGATGAATGTAAAGTATCGAACACAATGCCTGGCACATGATCAGTCTCAATAAATACTAGTTTCCAGATTCCCCTCCTTGGCCTCTTTTGCTAGTTTGAGTACAGCATATGTCTTCATTGTACATTCATCACAAATTCCTGGACCTCTGGCACATCAGATGTTCCAAGCATTCAGAGGTAACAAATTGGAGGGAACCCCCAAGGCTGTGGGAAGCCTGGTTTCCCAGCCCCTTATGCAGACCACCTACTGCTGCCTGCAGCAACCACCCTGTGAGGAGAGCAGCTGCCAGACAAAGGGACAAGGGACAGGCCTCCATCTGTACCTCCTCCCATTTGCCTCCAGCACAGCGGGCAGCCATCATCCCCCAGGAGACGCCTGGGAGAAGTTTCAGTGTTTCAGATGACAGATCAGCCCATGCTCTCTGACCCAGATTAGACCAGACCCAGAACCAGTCCACCCCTCTATGTCACCAGCAAAGGATTTTAATTCACTCCCAGGAGACTGTAAGGAACACTTGGACCAGTGACGCATGTAATCGGTTGCGCTCTGCAGTGAGCCTTCGGAAGGCTGTAAGTTTCACATGTTGCACTAATATTTCACCAGCCTGTCAGCCTTAGCCTGTCCATAGAAGCCAGGCTGCAAATTCAGCACTCTTCGTGTCCCCAGACAGTTGGGGGAGGAGAGGCAAAAAGGAGGCAGAAGAAGACTCAGAAGAGAAGAAGAAAGAAAACACATTTGAGACCTAATTCAGTGGTTCTCAGTGTGGCCCTGGTCCAGCAGCATCAGCATCCCCCAGGAGCTTGATAGAAAAGCAAATTCACAGGCCCCACCAGGGCCCCATCAGATATTCTATGGTGAAGCCTAGCAATCTGCTTCCACAAGCCCTCCTGCAAATCCGATGCATGTTATCACTTGAGAACCACCAAGCAAGCTAAATAATGTTTAGGTAAACTAAAAGTCTAAATTTGATGAGAAAAACAATGGCCCAGGGATCATTGTGATAAAGGAGAAAATCTCTACTTTGGGATCAGGAGTCCTTAGTATCATTTCCAGCTCCAATGATTGCTAACCATGTGATCTTGAGGAAGTGACTTATCTTTTCTGAGCTTCAGTTTCCTATGTGTTAAAGGTGGTAATCAGACCTCCCCTGCAGAGTTGGGGGATGAGATACACACTCTTTCGATGATCTAACATTTATAAGCCTGTTGTTTACTACACTACACCACAGAGCTTCCCCTGTATACTATCAGGGCGGGGTTCTCAACCTGTGGCAACTGAAAATGTCTCCAGACATTTCCGCAGGCCCCCATTCTGAAGCTCCAAGCCAAGTCAATATTGGAGTATCTTTATGCCATTCACATGAGTGAGGCAGATGGGAGGCAGGGAAGAAAAGGGAGTGGTAAGAGCTTGGGGTTCTCACAGATCTGAATTCAAATCCTAGCTCTGTACATGTTGCTTTTGTGAGCTTGGCCAAATAATTTAAGCTTTCTGAGTCTCAATTTTCCTATTGGTAAAATGGGTAGACAAATAGTAGCTACTTCTTAGGGTCTCAGTGAAAAGTTACATGATATCACGTGTGTGTAACACTTAGCATAGTGCTAGAAAATTATCACCTTGATGTACTACGTGGCCATATTTGGCTGGGCTCACAACAAATTGTGCATGATGAAACTGAAGACACTGTCTCTTAACAAGAATCCCAAAAATGATACATTTCAGTACAATGAGAAACTGGTTCCACATTTCACTCTCCATCCTTCAGTCCTTTACGGCCATTATGAACTTAGGGGTTGTCCATACAGAGAGGCTCTTTCATCAAGCCATAAGAGATTAACCACAATACAGCTTTAAAGGAACACTTTGTTTAATACCCCCCAGGGTGTGTGTGTGTGTGTGTGTGTACAGAGAGAGAGAGAACAAGAGAAAGAGACTCTTCTTGAACTCAGTAACAGTTGGCGAGAATGTGTCACCTCTAGGATAGAAAGGGAGTCCCCCTTTATATTATCAGTTACTGACCACTTACAACAACGTAGCACAGTGCACTACCTGCACTACTCACTTCATCTGCACAACCACCATTGTGAACATTATATAGGTACCACTATAATCCCCGTTTTACATGTAAAGAAACACGCTTTTAGGGGTAATTACATCCATACCACCTTAGGCAGACAGACTGATCTAATTCATTTCTTAGAGAGATTTTACAACCGATCTTTGTCATCTATTTAGCTAATATTTTCCACAGTCAGAAGAATTATCTTCCTCTGCATTAAGCTCCAAGTTGCTCTGAGACCTGATTTAGGGGGGTCAGAGGAACTGGACTAAAGCCAGGGTCATGGACTGGATTTGTCATCTTCTCCAAACATCTTTACATTCAGGCCAGACACAGCTCTGGGGAAGGAAAGCCACAGAACTGTAGATGGGTTCCTACGTTCTGTACCAAGATGGGGCTCCCACCTGGATTATGCCTGGATGGCAGCTGGCAGACACCTAGCTACATTCCAGCCACATTCAGCACCATTCTGGGGGAGATGAGGGCCTCCCTTCCTTTTTAAAGACCACCAAACTTCACTGATCCACACACTTTTCACTTTGTGGGTCACAGTTGATCATAAATATAACACGTCTGAAATCTGTGAATTTACGTTGGGTTTGTATCAATCGAGCCATCTACCTCTGGACCACTTGGGTGATACATCAGATATAGTTGGACTTTGCTCTCTTCCTGAATTCGCTAGAAACAGTTTGGGGCACATGATTAGGAAGATGTTTATTCAAAGGTAGAGTTCAGGGAGGAAAATATTATTAGGTGACTGTTGGGATTGGCTCATTATGCAAAGACTGGCTTAGAATTGCTTTTATCATAAAACTTTCACTTCTTCTAAGTTTAGTCCAATAACAAAAGTCTTCCTGTGGCAGTGGAAGGAGCCAAACAATAGCATGCTTTGTCTTTGGACTCACGAATTTTATTTCTAAGGTGTTGGGTGCCATTGGTCCTTGAGCTATAGTGCTCACTAGACAATGGGAAATTATGTAGACGAATTGAAGGACATAGCCTATATAAATTCCTAATCTAGTAAAACTTCAGCTCATGCTAGAACCAAACTTGTCTCCAAGGTTTTGAGCAACATTTGGTCTTACCATCTCTTCCTCTCTCAGGCACATGTGGACTGCTGGGTTCTAGGCTAACTGGAAAGGAAACAAAAGCTAAAATCTTACAGCCAGAAAACCTGTTTATATTTAATTGATAGTCTTAAAACTTGTGTCTGGGAGGAAGTGTGGTCTAATTGTTACAACTGTGAGCGATCCCTAATTTCATGAGTCTAGTCTCTTTTACTATTACCAACAAATCATACAAGAACTTCGGTGATTTAATTTAAACCAAAATGGCCTAGTTTTCTTGGTGAATGATAAGAACCTAGAATTAAAGACGTTATTCAGGTGTAAGTGTTATTCAGGATTAAATTCTCCGAAATGGAGAATTAAATCCTGGGCAAGGAGCTTGAATTTGTGAGCAAACGACCAAGAAAGAGAACCAGTAGGTATTGCTTTTGGAGAGGCAGCCTCAGCATCCTGATATTTACAAAATTTCTACCCAGGGACCCAGGAATGAATTTGATTCTCAAAAAGAGTTTAAAGACACCCCTCCCAGAAGTCTTTAAAGGCAGTAATGAGTATTGGTGAACAATTTCCATTACTTGAAAAAAAAAACCTTGATAACATTACATAGGCATGCTATCTAAAATACTAAATGTCTTTAATTTTTAGCTGGAGAAACATAACTTACTTGATAACACATATTCTGAGCAGAAGCTCTGATAGTCTTTGATTAATGAAAACCCCCAAATGAATTTTTATTACTAATTAAGGTTTGTTTGCTACATTAAGTCATTTAAAATACGGGGACTATGAGGAAAGAATAATAATAAAAAAGGTACTTGGAGGAGATATTTGCTTGTTGGACCATTGGCTCGTTAGTTTGTTTTGAGAAGGGTTGGAGAAATGAAGGAAAGAACTAAAATGAGTGTGAAAAGAAAAATAGAGTACAAAATTTCAGTTAGATGGCAGGAATTAGTTCTACAGATCCATTGCACAATATTATGACTACAGTTAATAACAATGTATTGTATTGTATTGTATTTTTGCAAATTTGCCTAGAGAGTAGATTTTAAATGTTCTCACCACACAAAAGATAAAAAGTGTGTGAGGTAATGCATACGTTAATTAGCTCAATTTAGGCATTCCACAGAGTATGCATATTTCAAAGTAACATGTTGTATGCAATAAATAGATGCAATTTTTATTTTTCAATTAAAAAAATAAATTTTTAAAAAGTAAGCAAGTAAAACAGGAACAAAAAGAGAATAGTCAGCAAGCAATCCACGAAGCATTTATAAATTGAGTAATAGATTATAGCGCCACCTCGTGGTTGGAGGAGTTTTTGTTTTGATCATTCATTTAGGTTTCATTCCCCTATTGTTACTGCAACAAAGATAGAAAATAATTACTCTCTAAATAGGATGCTTTAAGGGCAGGATACCCTAGGTATTGCCAGGGTGCCTTCAAGTGTGTTTTACTTACAAAAATATAAGCCCCTGAAATGCTGATGGACCACAACTTGATACTTTCCAGAGTGGCAATTAGGAGGCTTTTTTCAACAGAATTTTCTTCCTAACAGGTTATGAATAATACATTGCACCAACGTATAACCATTGTGGGTATACATTGTTACCCAACACACAGGCACAATTCTGCTTGACAATAGACTATGCCTCCTAGTAACCTGAGGCGAACCCAGCATACGCTCAGCCGGCCTGCTGCCTGCTGGCCTCCCCAGCCAAACACGTGGCCAACACCATTCATCAACTGGAGAATTTCACCCAACGACAATCTTTCTCCACACGGCATTCCAGGCACTACTACTAATACAGCAACTTTGACATAAAATCCTATTTGCCTACCCAGCCTTAAGTCAGAGATGTCACATAAATTTGAGATCTCACTCTTGGGAGGCAGTGAGGCACAGGAGAAACACTGTGTGTTGACAGTCACCCTAACCTAGTTTCATCTCTCAGCTCTGTCAGTCACATAGCTATGTGTGCTTGAGCAAGTGACCTCGCCCCTCTGAGTCTTGATTTTCCTCTTTCTTTTTTTCTTTATTTTTTTTGAGATAGAGTCTCTCTCTGTCGCCCAGGCTGGAGTACAGTGGCACGATCTCAGCTCACTGCAACCTCCACCTCCCGGGTTCAAGCGATTCTTCTGCCTCAGCCTCCCAAGTAACTGGGACTACAGGTGTGCGCCACCACGCCCGGCTAATTTTTGTATTTTTAATAGAGACAGGGTTTCACCATATTGGCCAGGCTCTTCTCAAACTCCTGACCTTGTGATCCGCCCACCTCGGCCTCCCAAAGTGTAAAACAAATTACAGGCTTGAGCCACCACGCCCAGCCTCCTCTTTCTTAAATAATGATTATATCACCCAACAGGATTACTGTCAGGATTAAGTGAGATAACATTTCCAAGTCAGGCAGCATAGTGCCTTGAACTGAGTATGTGTTTAGCAAATGCTAATTCCCTCTCCTGCCAATATTAATCATAAAAGGAGTTACGCATCTTACTTTGAACTCCAAATTCTCTCTTTGGTACCCCCTATCAATCTCCCCAGTTTTGGCTGTTCAGCTCTTGTGTGAACAGCAGTCTCCCTTTATTCGTGGAGAGTACATTCCAAGACCCCCAGCGGATGCCTGAAACCTTGGATAGTACTGAACCCTATAGACACTGTTTTTGCCTATACATATATGCCTATGATAAATTTATAAATTAGGCACAGGAAAAAATTAACCATAGTGAAATTAGACACTATAATAAATACTGTAATAAAATTTATATTAATATGGTCTCTGTCTCTCTCTGTTTCTCAAAATATCTTAATGTACTGTACTTAACCTATTTTTGGACCACAGTTGAGGTAACAGAAACTTGGGAAAGCTAAACTGTGGATAATGAGGGCCAACTATAATTAATTCCGAAAATAAGTAAAGCTCGAGAAGAGGAATAGATTAACTCTATTGTGAATTTTAGAGCAAGTTAAAGAACAAAATACAGACTGAGAATTGCCAAACACTTGGTCTGAGCAGTCAATTCTCATCCGTGTATAAGCTTTGACCCTATACAACCAACAAGTGTTAACAATCCCATTGTGCTCAAAGTGGCCACCAATCAGACAGTTAAACCTATGAAACCATGAACATAAGCCACCAACGCAAAGTGAAAAAACTCAGTTAGGAGGCACAACTGAGCAAATTCACCATTCCCCAGGCCATTTCTGCCCAAAACTCTGGTTCCACGTTCTACGACAATGGAATCATTTGCCCAGCAACCCGGCTTTACCATGCAATCTTCCTCTGCTTCCTTCCTTTGGAATAAATAGAACTTGTCCCATGCTCTCTGTGGCTGATCCCCAGTGCAGACGCCAGCTTTCACTGATTTCATGAGTACAGAAGGGAAAGCCAAAAAATCAACAAAGAGAGAAAGCTACTACCTTGATCTATTTCTAAACAGCAACTCTGCTGTTTTTCATGGGCAGACGGGAGCTGTGAATGTAATTGTGACCAATGCTGAGATTAAACCCATGAATGATTTGGCTTGAGCTTTTAAGAGTGATCAAAATTGTGGAGCATAGCCTTGTTTACGGGTTTATAGATCTGCCTGGGGCATCCGACGCCCTTGACTATGATTTATTATTACAGGACAGAGATTATCTCAGACTGGGCTGGAAATGGATCTTGGCTGAGTTATTTAACTCACCGGATGCAATGTGTGAGAGTTGATGGCCTTGTTTCTCAATTTGTCAGTTGTAAAGGGAGTCCCCAAGGCTCAATTTCAGACCCAGTATTGTTTACATAGCCCGGCAATAATACATCACATGTGGCAAAATATTACAAATTCATTTTTATGCTGATGATATGGCTCAGGCATAATGGCAGCTAATGTGCTGCTCTTTTTATTTGAAATTGCAGCTACGTCTCTAAAGGCACAAAGGGGCTTTTGTGTTTTGAACCATAAAGAAGAGAATGTATATGACAGTTTTTAGAAGGACTAATGAATGGTTTGATCAGGCTCGGCTGCCATCTGTAAAAGAGTCCCATTATAGCAGTTACGGTCATTATAATATCATACTATCTGAAGGTATCTGTCAGGATTTTTTCATACTATTATTATTATTATTATTGTTTGGGAAGCAATGGAAAACGGCTTTCCATTTTGCTATTTGTATTTAGATGATGGGAAAGGAATAATTTGAACAATGATTCCCATCTGGAACTTTATTCAAATGGCCTGCACCAGTCATATGGAGATGACACTTTGGCACATACGCGAAGTACCAAAGGGTACACTGTGTTTAAAATTTGGAGAAAATTCTCCATATAAATAAATTCACTATGAATCACAACAAATTGCCTACCCACTGCTTCTGAAACATCTTTAGCCGGAAAAACACCAGCACATTTTAAGAATACAGAAATGCTCCCAATGAGGCAGAACTGCATTTCATTTTTGGACTTAGAAAGTAAGAATGAAAATCATGGGCATCCATATCAAGAAAGAACAGTGCCTTTTAAATAAGATTTCATGCTCTAGGACACTAACAAATCAAAAAAATAAACAGATAAAACAGCAAATTCCTCAGGAATTTGGTGTGTTTTAAAAGAACATTTACAAAAAGGGAAAGAAAAAAAGACAGAGTCACTTCATATTTTTTTCAGATATTTTCTAGCCCTACAAAGCCCTGCCTTTTCCCACACGGAAAGACAGCCAGTGGCTGCGTGGCCACGGGTAATTTGGATTTAATTGTGTTTGCTTAAGCCATACATTCCACTCCCAAACCATAAAAACGAATCCTAGAAATCACAATAATTTGAAAACTCTGGAGTCTGTGTCCTGTTTGCTTTTTCAAAAGAAGATTCTCAGGAAAGCTTTATTGCAACCTGTATGTTTACCTTTGGGATCTTCCTAAAACACAGTACCTCCTTTAGAAGGATGCATGGAAGATCAAAAGACGCAACTGCAGTGCCTCCAAGTAGCACTGTCAGCCCATTGCTAGAGGAGGATCTCAGAGAAAGAGGGCTGGGTTTCCAGGGCCTTTACTCTCATATGTAGCCATTTACTTCTTTGACAAATATTTACTGAGTGCCTACTATGTGCTGAGGAGAAAAGGCATCCTGGCGAGAGCACAGGCTTAGAATCTGATAGGCCTGGGCTCAATGATTGGCTTTGCAGTTTTCTAAATGGGCAGCCTTGGGCAGATTAGTTAACCCCTGTATGCCAGGCACATAGTGGAAAGTCAGTGGAGATTTGTCAAGGAAATAAATAAATAAGTTTTTGTTTCTTCATCTATAAAATGTGGCTATCAGAGCCTGCTTTGTGGGGTTATTGAAGATGTGATGAGAAAATGGATAGATCGTGCTTTATTGCTGTTGCTGTTTTTCCATTAGTATACAGTGGTCCCCGATCTTTGGTACTGTGGAGAAGGCAGACAAGCAAATCAACAATTATTCTGCAATGTGGCTGAAAAATAAACTAAACTAGGGGTGGGAAAGCACAGTGGTGAGACTCAGAAAAGGCTTCCCAGGGAAATGATTCTCGAGCTAAGGTTTATCAGGTAGGTAAAACCCAGCCAGGCAAAAGAAGGGAGGAATGGCATTCCAAGCAAACGGATTGGAACCCAGTGGGCAAAGAGGCAGGAGGGAGGTCTGTGTCCTGACAGGTGGCTTGATGTGGCTCAACTCCCAGGCACACGGGGGCAGATAATAGGCTAAAGAGATAGGCTTTATTCAGTCATTTTTCTGGGTCTCAACCTTACATTCTTAATCCAAACCAAACACCAGTGATGGAGGCACGGGTAAGAAAGAAACTTGGTCAGGCACAGTGGCTTACACCTGGAATCCCAGCACTTTGGGAGGCCAAGGCAGGTAGATCACTGGAGATTAGGAGTTCGAGACCAGCCTGGCCAACACGGTGAAACCCCATCTCTACTAAAAAAAAAAAAAAAAAACAAAAATTAGCTGGGCGTGGTGGCACATGCCTGTAATCCCAGCTACTAGGGAGGCTGAGGCAGGAGCATTGCTTGAACCCGGCAGGTGGAGGTTGCAGTTAGCCGAGATTGAGCCACTGGACTCTAGCCTGGGCAACAGAGCAAGACTTTAACTAGAAAAAAAAAAAAAGAAAGAAGAAAGAAGAAAAGAAAGAAAGAAAGAAAGAAAGAAAGAAAGAAAGAAAGAAAGAAAGAAAGAAAGAAAGAAAGAGAAAGAAAGAAAGGAAGGAAGGAAGGAAGGAAGGAAGGAAGGAAGGAAGGAAGGAAGGAAAAGAAAAGAAAGAAAGAAAAGAAAGAAAGAGGGAAGGAGGAAGGGAGGGAGGGAAGGAAGGAAGGAAGGAAGACTTGCAAGCAGGAAAGCGTCTATTGCCACCATGGCTGTAGGGCAGTGGGGTGGTTCCAGGATTCAGCCTTCACAGAAGCCACCAGAAAATCTACAGGAGTCAGCAGGAAACCTGTTATTTTCCTGAAGCACCCAACTCTAAATGACACTTGAAATCTTAGAGTTTTAATATCTTTATCCTAGTATTTTTAGTCCTGAATTCCTGAACTTAATTGCTAATCCCATCTACAGTCACGCATTGCTTAATGATGGGGATATATTTGGAGATATGTGTCCTTAGGTGATTTCGTTGTTGTGACCATCACAGAGTGCATTACACAACCTAGATGGTAGGGCCTCCTACACACCGAGGCTATGTGGTATGGCCTAGTGCTCCTAGACTACAGACCTGTACAGCATGGTCCTGTACTGAATACCGTAGGCAACTGTAACACAGCAGTATTTGTGTATAAGATATCTAAACACAGAAAAGATAGAGTAAAAATACTGTATTATAATCTTATGGGCCCACCATCATCTATGTGGTCCTGTGGTTTAATAAAACATCGTAATATGGCGTGTAACTGTAGATTTACATTTTCAGCTTTTCATCTATGAGCATTTTATCTTAATATTTTACCTCCTCTATGCTTATGCTTTTAAACTTTTATCTTATTAACTTCAAGCCTCTTATCTTTTATTTTAAATATCATTCATTTTATCACATGTACCTTATCTTACAAACATTTTAAATTTTATTTTCAACTAATACTTTGTTTTTCTTACATTTTTTTTCTGGCAGTGTTTTAATTTTATTCACCTTGTAACTTTCTAGCTTCTTTTTCTTTTAAAAGAATTTCTTCTTTCTTTTCTCTTTCATTTTCCTTTTCCTCCTCCTCCTTTTCTTTGCCTTCCTTTTCTTCTATTTGACCATATTTGGGTTTGTTTTTTTAGTGTCCAGAGAAGACAAAAGCTGATAGAGAAGGGAACATGGTGAGAAGCTACCCCACAGACAGAGGCAGCTGGATCAATGTCCTTCTTCCCCTTGGGTAACTCTGTGGACCCTCCTGCCCCAATTGTCCTTGCAGCTTCCCCTAAAATGCAGCCTGAACACCCTCCCTCTGCCTGCTATCCCGCCCAGCTCCACCAATGATTTACCCAGCCCTTTAAAGAATGGATTGAGAAAGAGAGAGAGAGAGAGGAAACTTACCTGCAGAGAATAACATGTTAACCCCTTCCCTGGCTGCAGTTCTGTGACATAGTACACAAAAGATATTGCAATTGTTTTTCTTTCTGACATCATATCTACCAGGCCTTACAGGAATTTTTTGCATGTTTAGAATCCATGTGTGTGTGTGTGTGTGTGTGTGTGTGCATGTGTGTGTTATCAGAGACTGTTGTGCCCCTACTAGGAGGTTTTAAACATTGTCAGAACCTATACGTGTTCTCCCAGAACATCAGATATCAAAGAGCAAGGGGGGCCCGTGCATTTCGAAGATACGTGCCCAGGTCTCCCCTAGTAGTTCTCAGGGAGAGAAGTAGGTAAGGCTGAGCTTCTCCACTTTTTTATTGTCTTCCAGAAAAGAACAGAATGTTATTCTGAGGAGAATGGAATTTCTGAAGATCATTTAATCATCTCTCAGGGTCTAGGCTGCTTTGTACACATAAGAGTAATTTAGGGAACTGTTAATAATGCAGATTTCACCTACTCAACATCAGCCTTGGCAAAGAACTTATGGCTAAGTCCCCAAAAGCAATTGTAAGAAAAACAAAAAAACAACAGTGGGACCTAATTATACTAAAGGGCTCTGCACAACAAAAGAAAATAGCAACAAAGTAAACAGACAACCTGCACAATGAGAGAAAATATTTGCAGACTATGCATCCAATAAAGGACTACTATCCAGAATGTGTAAGGAACTTCAATCAGCAAGCAAAAAACAAATGACCTCATTAAAAGACAGGCAAGGCTGGGAGCGGTAGCTCACACCTGTAATCCCAACATTTTGGGAGGCCAAGGTGGGCAGATCACTTGAGGTCAGGAGTTCGAGACCAGCCTGGTCAACATCCAGTGAAACTCCATCTCTACTAAAAATACAAAAAGTAGCCAGGCATGGTTGTGCACACCTGTAATCCCAGCTACATGGGAGGCGGAGCAATAGAATCGCTTGAACCTGGGAGGCAGAGGTTGCAGTTAGCTGAGATCACACCTCTGCACTCCAGCCTGAGCTACAGAGCAAGACTCCGTCTCAGAAAAAAAAAAAAAAAAAAAAAAAAAAGATGGGCAAAGGACATGAACAGCTGCTTCTCAAAAGAAGATATACAAGTGGCCAAGAAACATATTTTTAAAAATGCTCATTGTCACTAGTCATAACAGAAATGCAAATCAAAACCACAATGAGATTCTATCTCACCCCAGTCAGCATGGCTATTATTAAAAAGTCAAAAAATAGCAGAGGCTGGGGAGGTTGCAAAGAAAAGGGAACACTTAAACACTGCTGGTGGGAATGTAAGTTAGGCCAGCTACTGTGGAAGGTAGTTTGTAGTTTTCTCAAAGAGCTTAAAACAGAACTACCATTTGACCCATCAATCCCATTACTGGGTATAAACCCAAAAGAAAATAAACTTTTCTACCAAAAGGACACACACACTCATATGTTCATCACAGCACTATTCACAATAGTGAAGTCATGGAATCCATCTAGGTGCCCATCAAAGATGGATTAGATAAAGGAAATATAGTACATATACACCATGGAATACTACACAACCATAAACAAGAATGAAATCAGGTCCTTTGCAGCAACATGAATGCAGCTGGAGATTATGATCCTAAGCAAATGAATACAGGAACAGAAAACCAAATACCACATGTTTTCACTTATAAGTGGGAACTAAGCATTGAGGACACATGAACATAAAGATGGGAACAATAGAAAGTCGAGACTACTAGAAGCGGGAGGGAGGAAGGGGAATGTGGGCTGGAAAACTTCCTATTAGGTACAATGCTCACTACTTGAGTGATGGAATCATTCATACCCCAAACCTCAGCATCATGCAATATACCCGTGTAACAAGCCTGCACATGTACCCCCTGAGTCAAAAATAAAAGTTGAAAAAAACATTTTTATTTATTTATTTATTTGCTTTTTTTTTTTTTTGAGACAGAGTCTTGCTTTGTTGCCCAGGCTAGAGTGCAGAGGCTCAATCTCGGCTCACTGCAAGCTCCGCCTCCTGGGTTCACGCCATTCTCCTGCCTCAGCCTCCCGAGTAGCTGTGACTACAGGCACCCGCCACCATGCCCAGCTAATTTTTTGTATTTTTAGTAGAGACGGGGTTTCACCATGTTGGCCAGGATGGTCTCAATCTCCTGACCTCGTGATCCACCTGCCTCGACCTCCCAAAGTGCTGGGATTACAGGCGTGAGCCACCACGCTCGGCCAAAAGTTGAAATTTTTAATGCAGGTTTTACAGACACTCCCCAGAGATTGTGACTCAATAGAATGGGGTCCAGGAATCCAAAAAAGTTTTTGCCAGATGTCCCCAGGAGACTCTGATGTAGGTGGCCCATGGGCTACACTTTGAGAAGCACTCACTAAGCTTATATGGACAGAATCTTTTTATAGATTCTGCCTTCAGAACTCTCCCTTTGCAGCATCCTGCTGAGGGGGTGTCCCCTTCCCAAAGATGGCCACCAGGCAACACGGCCGCAGTGGCTGCCCGGTGCAGCGAGGCCATGGGACGCATTCCTCCAGCTGCTCTGGATCCCCTAGAGTGAGGCTTTCATCAGTTGGATTCCTGTCCTGGAGCTCAGCCAGTTCCAGGATAAGGGCCTGGGACACTGGGCTCTCGAATAGATTTTGATGCTGGGTTTGTTTGCTGATCTGTTGTTCTTGTTTATTTTTAAGACTTGAGGGTGTGTTTGAATCCTGAAAGGGACGTAATAAAGGGGAGAAGCTAAGATGAAGGAGGAGAGGGCCTTCCTACCTGAAGGAGGCCCCAAGAAGGCAGCAGAGAGGGATCTGAGCACAGTTCCTCCAGTGTGGTTAGGAGCAAGAAGTGGCGGATGAGCGTAGGGGCAAGTGAGAGCCTGGGCTCAGCAACAGGCTCCATCTGGCAGCTCCACTATGAGGCTGAAACTGAGGGAGGGTTCCAGTGGAACCAACTTTTAGAGAGAGTACAGGGAATGGAGGCATCTTGGTGAAGGAGGGAAGAGTGAGCTCTCTGGAAAAATGAAGTAAGTTTGCTGTACTCCATCGGGATCCCAGTTAGCATTGTTATTTCAGAATTTATGATGTTAAAAATTGACACAGTTGTGCAGATTTCCTCCGGCGATTTTCAGACGCCAGGAGAAGGTAGAGGATGGATTGATCCAGGGTTGGAGTCTTGCTAATTCCATTTTGGAAGGACAGAGATGCATAGGAATTTAATATGTAAAAGATTAGTTTTATGAAATCTGAACTGAACAATAAAGACAGGAGGCAGGTGATGGATAATGAGAAAATGTATATATGGGGAGCTGGTCAAAGGTCCCAATTAATTCTAAGAGCAATTGAAGATGGAAGGGGTGTTGAATAGACGGCTGGAGAGGAGAAGAGGCTAAGTTCAAGAGTGGGATGTTTGTTTTCTATGGAGAAGTTCCCGGAACTGACAAGGATCAGGATGTGACCATGGGAGGAAGCTGCTGAAGTTGGATAGAAGAGGAAAAGATGACATAGTCCCAGAACAGAGAGGATGGTGGATGGGTTAGTTGCTTGAAAGTGATTTCTATGGTAAGCGAACCACTTTCTTACCATTGTGATTTCTATTAGGTATAATAACCGAAATGGATAATTCCACCCCAAACTATTACAGAGGCGATGGCATTGCATCAATGTGAGACATGCTTCTGGGGAGAGCGTGGTTCATGTCCCTTGCCCAGGGAGGATGGCATAGTATAGAGAATTTGCTCCTCTGTTCTCTATCGTCATTTTGAAGGACTCTGAATGGTATAAAAATGATTAGCCCCTATCCCTCACTTTAAAAATGGAATTTTACCATAGCTTAGCCTAGCCTGCCTTAAACGTGCTCGGAGCACTTACATTAGCCTAGAGTTTGGCAAAATCATCTCACACAAAGACCTTTTTATAAGAAAGTGTTGAATATCTCAAGTAATTTATTAAATACTGTACTGAAGGTGAAAAACAGAATGGTACCCAAAACACTGTTTTTACCGACTTCACCTTATGTTCCCACCATCATAAAGTCAAAAATCGTAAGTTGAACCATCGTAAATTGAGGACTGTCTGTGTACAATTTTTGTTGGTTAAAAATAAATAATCATAAAGAAAAAATAAAAATGGATTTTTATTTCTTAGTGTCAAAAATTTAGAAGATAAACGCAAGGAAAAAGAAACAGAGAAAATGAAAAACTGTGTATCGTATATTACTCAAAATATCACCTTATGAAGAAAACCACTATGTACATTTTAATGTATATAATTCTAGGATGTGTGTGTGTACACTTGTGTGCATTTTTTTAAAAAAATAAAATTATATTGCATAGTAATATGCTTGTCTCATCTGTTTAGTTATAAATGGATTCCCATGTCAGTAAAAAATCATCCAACATGGTTTATTTTTACATTGTTTTCTTCAACATGATTTTTAGTGTCTATCCTACTTCATAGGTAAACTACAATTTCTTCAATCCCCTATTTTCTCATTTTTAGACATTAGAAAAAATGCAATGATGAACATCTTTGTAAGTACATCTTTGGACACACCCATGATTATTTCCTTCAGTGAATTTTCTAGAAAGAGTCTTCCTCAAGGCCATACTTGTCTTGATGTGTTTTTACACAGCCAAACTGCTATGCAAGAAGGTTGTATCAATTTAGAAATATCAGAAGTGCCAGTTTCTACACACCCTCACAGGTATGAGGCATTATTCCTCTTTGGAATTAGTCTCTGTAATCTTTGCCAATCTGATAGCTGGAAAGTAGCATTGCATTTTTATTTACATTTTATGGATTCCCTGGGATGTTGAACATCATCTCACACAGATGCATTCCTGGCCCCACCTTCACCCCTTCCCAAACTACTTTTCCCAGCCTGAACTTTGGAATTTTGCCCTGAACGTACACTGAAGAACACTCTGAAGAAGAGTCCCACAAAGTGTGTGCTTGTATTCACTATAAAAATGTTATGGAGGGTTGGGATCATCAGGAAAGATGTCTTTTTCTAGGACCTTTTTTACTGAGAGGAATAGGCTGCTTCTGAATATCCATTTTATTTTCATCTCATTGATGCTGTGGAATGTGTAGTTCACTCAAGTCTATTCCACATGCCTTCCTGGGTACCAAGCCGACCTCTCTCTTGTCTCCTTGTTGTCTTTCCAATCTTTATTTTTCCTTTGTCATATTTTCTGCAACTATTTCTAATTTGATTGCTTCTTGCTTCTTGGGCATTTATGCAACACAGGGTGTAAAGAGATAAAATATGGTAATTGATGGGTTGATTATGGAGTTTTACGATGGGTACCAACCCCATACCTTGGCAGACACTGATACTGAGCTAATGTGGAGCTTCCCAGAGTTTTGTGCATTATGGTACACACAGAAAATGATGATGTTGGTATGACTCATTCAGGAAAAAGGAGGAGATTCCAGAGCCAGAGGAGATTGTTGAGGGATTCTATTCCCACCCCATCCCATTCCCTAAGGCGTGGGAAGACCATTGGTGGCATACAAGTTGAGAAGCCCTGGACCAGTGGAACAAAGATACTTTACTAAAGTAAAGCTAATAAAAGTAAATTCTTTCCCGACTTGTTCCTACTTCAAAAGAAATGCTTTTTTTCCCCTCAGGTAAATGTATATTATTTCAATATACTATAAAGAAAACGAGAATGATTCCCTAGTATGGAAGTTACCTACAGACCGCTGCTACCCTTACGTGCTTCTAGAATTTCTGTTCACCCATGTCCTTTTCCTTCTTTTCTTCCATGCTTTTTTTTTTTTTTTTTTTTTTTTTTGAGACAGTGTCTCACTCTGTCACCTGGGTTGGAGCACAGTGGCACGATCTCGGCTCACTGCAACCTCCACCTCCCAGGTTCAAACAATTCTCCTGCCTCAGCCTCCTGAGTAGCTGGGATTACAGGAGCCTGCCACCACACCCAGCTAATTTTTTTTTTCTATTTTTAGTAGAGACGGGGTTTCACTGTGTTGGTCAGCTGGTCTCAAACTCCTGACCTCATGATCTGCCTGCTTCAGCCTCCCAAAGTGCTGGGATTATAGGTGTGAGCCACCACGCCCGACTCCCATGCTTCTTTAAAAGCATCCAATCCCTTCTCAGAGCCTCAAGATGGCACCTTCTATTCATGGAGACCCTGGAATCTTTGGCTCTGCCTCTCCTAGGCTGGCTCCCGGGTGTCCTTTTCCTTCTGCTCCAGGCTCCCGGTCCTGCCTTTCTCTCTGTCTTCACCATCTCTTGGGTCCCTTCCTTCTGCCTCCGCCCAGACTAGGATTCAGACACCTCATCTCAATGTCTTATCTCACAGTGGCAGAGAGGACTCAGATGTTCGCCGTGCGTGTTTCAGTTTTCTGGACACAAGGCTAAGCTGCCTTTCCTGGCATGCCTGTATCTAGGTGGGGCACCACAGAGGGTCTCACCATAGCATGTATGTAGGGCTGGCTATGTCACTGCTGGGCCCAAGGAGTTCAGCACGTGTGTCTTCTTTACTCTCTCTCTTCCCCCATCTGCCAGCTGGACCACAGCAAGGTGACATTGAAGTCCCATTCTGGACATGGCAAAGCCACACAGTGGGAGAAGAATGAAACCCTGAATGACTGCACAGGGTAGGGCTCCCCACTAACTGCACTGAGCTGTGACATGGTAGAGAGATAAATGTATGTAGTTTAAGATAATCAAAATTCAGGGAGTTGCCTGTTATAGCAGTTAGCATATGCTAATTATGTACTCATTTTTTCTTCTGTTTCTAAAGAAAGGAAAAGCAGGCCCTTCTAACTTTTTCATTTTAAGATTATGATTACCAGTCACCAGGGTATATACCCCAGATACAGGTTTTTGTTTTTTTGGTGTTTTTTTTTTTAAAGGGCAAGGGAGGTTTTGGAATTATTAAATTCTTAGAACAGTGTTTCGCAGAGGGCACTTTGTGGAACACTAGTTCCCCCAGGAGTACATAGCAAAATTTAGAAAAGGAGGTTCTATGGCTTAATAATATTGGGAAATGCCGAATTAAAGGCAGTGGGCTTCTTTGCTACAGGCCTTCTCAGGGCCTTTGATAGACAGTTGTACATTGTCTCTCTCCACAAGGGGGCTCTGTTGAACATATTTGTCTCAACCCAGAAGACTAAAGAGCAAATTGGAGCAGAGCAAGAACTGGCTCCTTTCAGAGTGAAATTGGTACCTCTGGGTACCTTTAGAAGTAGAAATCACATTCTGCTGGGACCCTGCCCCAGCCTAGAGTGATTCACCTAAAGCAGATCTTTTAATGACCCCTCCCCCATAGCAGAGGACCCAATCTAGGGGCGCCTGTTCCATCATCCACCTCCTCATGTTGCATCAAACCCACCAAGGTGATGGTGGTACCACGGTCCCTGGTGAAAGCAACAAGCCCCTCCCACCTCAGGGCTGCTGGCGTGGAACCATCATGGCCTCTTCCCAGGAAGGCAAAGAAAAGACAGTCTCCAATTGCCCAACAGCTACTGCAGTTGAATAGTTGATGTGGTATAGCTAAAGGGAAGGTTGGTAAGAGTCATACCATGTGTGATATGAAGGGAAAGATTGAGGAAGGACAACCAAGTCCTCAGTAGAACAGAGGAAACCAAGTCAGCATGACAAGCATCGGATTGTGTACTTAGTGACAGTCTAGAGAGGGCAAGAGGTGTTGTTGCCCAAATTCCATATGAGCACATTAGCAGTCAACCGCCTGCAAGCCTTCCAGTAAATAGAGTGCAGCCTTGCGTCAATTTCTGAGAGAAAGACTGTCCGAACTTGCTCTGAATCACATCCAACTGAATGTTGTAACCCTACAGTCTTCAAGCCTCAACACTAACTCTAAACTGTATCACTTGCCCCTGCCTGAAACCCGAGATTCCATTTCCTGCCATGATTGCAGCACACAGAGCTCAGCAGACAAGTTGCTTGTAAGACACTTTTAAGACAAACTAAATGAGCATTTTAGGTTTTAATCTCATCTGGAAGATGGCTAGCACCAACACCAGGAGAAATCTCTGTCAGCTTAAACCAGAGGAGTCAATGTTGTCCCAAGAAAGGAAGCAGAATAAGGCCTGCCCTCAGTGGCACTCACCAGTGACTCCCCCATCTGTGGCACACTAACGGAGCAAAAATGCCAGCTGGCATTATAGAAATCATCCAACACCCAGGACCCTGGACTGCTCCTTGTGTACTTAAGAACTCAAGTCATCGTCTACCTAGATTTGGCAGGGAAAACTGAATGTCCAGGCTGAAACTGTACCTTTCATCTCTCTAGATACCAAAGGCCAGGCATTCATGCTCCTCAAAGTCAAACCACGCCTCAGTACCAGCATCATCCATGAATCCAGCCTCTGCCAGGGAGAAACAGTGCCTGGAACAGCTGCTGGGCCTTCACCAGTCTCACTCTCCCCACCGCTCTACCTCCTTTATTTGTGTTTCCCACAGTACTGGACACACCAAAGCACAATAGATCCCTGTCAAATGAGTGAAAACCAGGTGAAATACATGGAATAATGCCTTGACCAACTCTAGCTCCAACCAAAGTGCTGACAGTCTCTTTTGCTCCCCTTGGTGTCTTCATTGGATCTCCTAATTGTTCTCCAGCATCATCCTCTCTGAGTATATGTTACAGACACAGTTCCCAGGCCTGCCATTAGACATTCAGAAGTAGAGGCAGAGGGGAGAGCCCAGGAATCTGTATTCTGAAGCCTCTGCCCAGGAGACACTCTGCACATAGAGTGTGAAGAATGCTGCCCTAGGTTCCTACTCCCGGCAGCCTTCCTTCCATCCGGAGTGAACTGCAGACCTGCCCACACCCACTCACTTCCTGCTTCCCTGAGGACGCCCATTCGCAGGCTAGCCTCTCTCCTCTCTACCACTGCCAAACCAGAGAGCTCTGGTCTCTGAGAAAGGAGCACACCCTTCCCAGTCTTGCCCATAATCCCACCTCTACTGCCCCACCAGGCCATCGCTGCTGCCCACGTGTGCTGTCAGATGAGATTCTGCTGCTTCCCCTCCATGTGAGAGATCACACTCAATGTCCCCATTCTTAAAAAAAAAAAAAAAAAAATTCAGGTCTGTCTTCCCTTCACCACCAAACCCATTAACCTCCTGCCTACCCTGGTCCTCCTTATTCCCCACCTCCCCCTTACTCTCCAGTCCTGCCTGCCTTCCTGCACCACTCTACTGGACCACCTGCAGCATCTGTCATGAAAATGATGCTGTGTTACACCCAAAGGGTGCTTTATAGCTCATGAAACACTTTCACATATGTTTTGTCATTTGAACCTCATGACTCTGAAAAAAGCATGCAATATCTCAGTCCCAAACTTCAGGCTAGATGATCGTACCACCTTCCCCATGTTTGCCATATCCTTTTGTCCCTCAGTTACTTACTAAGCATTTTTCTTAAATAGACTCACCTATTTTAACAAATTTATTTTGAAAGAAAAATGTATATTGTTCTTATTAATAATCAGTATCATTGGTCTTAAATAAGAGGCACTAGTATAAAGAAATTCAGTGAAAACAAAACATTGTTGTTCAATTTTAAAGTCAGAGACTGTGGCCTGTGGCTGAAGGTGAACTCCTGAGCCCCTGGAGAAAGTCAGCTCTCTGGTTTCCCCCACTGCTCCCACCCAGAGGAGGAAGGCTCACTCCACCTACTGAGCTTCCTCCTGGCCCTTCCAGGTCCATAGAGGCCTGTCTCACTCACAAGGGTCAACATCAACCCTTCCCCTGTCCCCAGATGCCAGACTTTTCCCAGGACCTAGTCCCAGACACTGCTTTCTAACCACTGTCCAACCCACGAGGAGGAGGCTCCACCCCAGTCCCACCCATAAGGATCTCAGCGGAGCCTCACGCCCAGGTGCCCACAGATTTCTTTGATGGCCCATAGGAGAGGCAAGGAATGGGGCATTGGGAGGACATAGTGGGGGCCACGCTTGAGTGACCACGTTTCCCGCATTTCCTTTGTAAGTCTAGCCAGAAACGATTTCCTGACAAGGCTTAGAGCCCACAGTCCATTCACATTTTGTCTTAAAATAAGGATGCTGCAGGCATTGTGAAAAACAGTACGGAGGGTCCTCAAAAAATTAAGCGTAGAACTACCATTTGATCCACCAATTTCACTTCTGGACGTGTACACAAAGAAATCAAAAGCAGGGCCTTGAAGAGGTATTTGTATGCCCATGTTCATAGCAGCATTATTCACAAAATCCAAAGGCGGAAATAACCCGTGTCCTGGATAGTTGAATGAATAAGCAAAATGTGGTCAATCTGTACAATGGAATATTATTCAACCTTAAAATGATAGGAAATTCTGACACATGCTGCAACATAGATTAACTTGAAGATATTACGTGAAGTGAAAGAAGCCAGATATAAAAGGGCAAGTATTATACAATTCTACTTATATGTGATACCTAGAGTAGTCAAAGTAATGGAGACAGAAAGTATTAATGGTGGTTGTCTGGGGCTGGGGAAGGGGGGATGGAGAATGATTATTTAATGGATATAGAGTTTCAGTTTGGGTTCATTAAAAAGTTCTGGAGATAGGCCAGGCGCAGTGGCTTATGCCTGTAATCCCAGCACTTTGAGAGGCTGAGATGGAAGGATTGCCAGGAGTTCAAAGTTGCAGTGAGCTATGATCACACTACTGCACTCCAGCCTGGGTAGGAGAGCGAGACCCTGTCTCAAAAAATAAAAAAAAGTTCTGGAGATAATGATAATAATTGTACAACAATGTGAATGTACTTCATGCTACTGAACTGTACACCTAAAAATGGTTAAAGTGGTGATTTTTATATTATATGTATTTTATATTATATATATTTTATTTATCACAATAAAAATTGAGCTCAGCAGTTAATTATTGCAAAGCCATTACAGTCATACTAACATCAAATTGAAACTTTGTATTTCACCAAATTTGAACTGAAAAGCAGATTACTTTCTTACTGTGTGATTCAATATTATTTTGAAGGTCACATTCCAGTATCTTCAAAACCACCAACTGATTTTGGTATGTTTACCAAGTTTGGGGAAACACTCTAATGTCTTACACAGTTATTACACAGGTAAGAACAGTAATAATGAATCCCAGACATAACAGATGTAGTAAGTGGATTCCCCAAGGTCACACATAGTAAATGGCTCGGTAGAGGCTATTCTGATTCCTGACTTGATGTCAGTTCCATTAATCCAGAGTGTTCCTTCGCCTTCCTCCTCTTCTTCTCTTTTGGCATCCAAGACTGAACTCGTTTTGTTTTTCTCCTTCCCGTTTTTCTTTCTCTATTTTTTGTGGGTTTTCTTAAATTAATAGACCTCATTTTTTAGAGCAGTTTTAGGTTTACAGAAAAATTGAGCAGAAAGCACAGAGAGTTTCCACATAACTCCCCCTTACCCCTGCCAACTTCCCCATTATTAATATCTTGCGTTAGCATGGTACGTTTGTTATAATAGATGAGCTAATACTGATACAATATTATTAAAGCCCACAGTTTACATTACGGTGCACTCTTTGTCTTGTCCATTCTTTTGGTTTTGACAAATGTATAATGACAGGCATCCACCACTACAGAATCGCATCGTTCCACTGCCCTAAAAATCCCATTTGTTTCTCTTGATTCGCCCAAGTTTAGAGATTTCCCAGAGTTCTGGCCCTCTCCTCTTTCTCTCCTTGCTTTACTTGGGCAGAAAATGCCCTTGGGGGATCCCTTCCTCCCCACATTTCCAGGGATCACTTCCATCTTGACAACTCTCCGAGCCACCTCCCTGCTGGCCTGCTGCCCAGCACCACTGGGATGTGGAAGAAACCCCACTGTATTGTGTGTCTCTGCCCCCCACCCCTGACCACCTATTTCTCTTAATGACAAGCCATCCTCCTAGTCACCTCATCACCCTGGAATCAACTTTGACTCTTCCCTTCTTATCCTTTGAGGGAGAGGCCTTAAAAGGGGGCAGGGGGCAGTGACAGGTTAGAGTCATGTTTGCGATGATTGTAGACTCTCTGGCTGCGGGAATCTATCTTCAAGTCCTCTGACCCATGCAAGGTGAATGGCAAAAACAATGACCTGGTGAGCCAGCAGCCACTTTCACAGAAGAAGTGCTTCTTTGTAGTCAACCCACGAAAGACCCCTCCCTCTATTTTCACATCAAACAGGTCTTTCCCTCCCCACCCCCTCGGCTGCCTTTGATGTCTCTCTTCTCTGACCCAGGTCTTGGCACTGGTGGGAAAGAAGCTCAGGATGAGACAAGATTTGCTGAACACCAATAGAATGATTGAGCTTATTCTCTGAGGGAAACGTTCGAAGAATTTATTAAAGGTTTATTTTAAATATAAACTCATCAATTTAATAAAAATGTACTGTACAAGGCTAAGTCTGACCCAATGTTTGCCCTCAAGTAATTCACTGAAGAGTTGAGGAGAAACCTACGTAAATAAGGAATGAAAATTCAGTGTGATGTACTGTGTAATTATAGAAGTCAGAAGATGACAAAGGAATGTATTGGGACTAGGATTGTGTCCAGGTGCACGTAGCAAGAAACAGTGACATAACCAAATAGGAGTCATTTTTCCCAAATAACAGAAAGTGCAGAGCTATGTAGTCAGTCCAGGGAGGTAGCACCAGAAGCTCCATTAAGCCATCAGGTCTCAAACTCCCTTTATCATTCCCCCCCACCATCCGTCATTTGTGACTTTCATCTTTATGCCTATAAGATGACTGCTTGCACATCCAGACATCGAATGTGGGTTGTGGGCATGAAAAACAGCTAACAGTGAAGGTCAAAAGGCATGTACCAAGTGAGACTGTCTCTTTTAACCAGGAAATTAAGAGCTGTTCAGGAAGCTCCACCCAATAGACATCCACATACACCTCATCGGCTAGAATGATGTCATGGGGCCACCAGGCACAAGTGAGCTGGGAATTCAATTTTATAAAGTGGGCACATTGCTGCACTGAACAAAATTGGAGATCAGTGAGAAAGGAAGATCTGGGACAAGCCAGCCATCATGTGGTGAAGACACTCCATCAGCTATATGGAGAGGTCCATGTGGTGAGGAACTGAGGCTTCCTGTCAGCCACCAGCACTAACACATCAGCTGTGTGCTCAAGCCACTTTAGAAGCAGTTCCTCCAGCCCCATCAAGCCTTCAGATAACTGCAGCCCCAGTTGTAACCCAGTGCAATGTCATGAGCCCCTCAGCCACAATCACCCAACTAACCCCCTCATGGATTTCTGTGTTAGTGTGTTTGGGCTGCTATTACAAAAATGCCATAGACCAGGTAGTTTATAAACAACAGAAATTTATTTATCATGGTTCTAGAAGCTGGGAAGTCCAAGATCAAAGTGCCAGCAGATTCAGTGTCTGGTAAGGGCTTTCTTCCTGGTTCATAGACAGCCATCTTTTTTGCTGCATTTTCACATGACACAAGGGGCAAGAGGGTCTCTTTCATAAGGGCACTAATCCCATTCATGATGGCTCCACCCTCATGACCTAATCAACTCCAAAAGGCCCCACCTCCTAATACCATCACACTGGGGGATAGAATTTCAACATATGAATTTTGGGGAGACACAAACGTTCACACCATAGCAATTCATAACTCTCAGAAATGGCATGAGATCATAAGTGATTGCTGCTGTTTTAATGAAGTTTGGGGCTAATTTGTTAAGTAGCAATGGATTAACTCATGACTAATGCAGAAAATGAGAAAGAAGAGATGGGGGAAATGTGGATTGGGCAATTAGCCATGCCTACCACAAAGAGAATGGTTAGAAATTTCTTTCAGGGTTGGATAAATCTTTGAAGAAGAAATAATATCTTAACAAGGTGTACAATAATAAAACAGCTTGCCAGGCTGAGAAGGAAAGTCCGTGGGGAAATCCTTTAGATAAGGAGAATCCATGCCTAGTTAACTGAGCCCACACACTGTATGGATATTGGGTTTAGAGGAAGCACTGCTACTTCCAGCTTGTCCATTGGATTGGTGGCACCAGCAGGGTGGGGGTTGAGGTGGTGTTGGGGAGAGAAAAGTGAAAGAAACAGTAGATGTATGTGAGAGCTGAATCATAAGGGGCCTTGAAATTCTCATTTAAAATCTTAGTTTTGATTGGAGTTTTGATGGAGGGCCTGAAGGCTCTGAAGAGGGGATACTCATGATCAGATTCTATTTGAAAAAGATCACATTGGCAGTAGTGGGGAGCATAAACTAGACACAGACTTCCTAGACCATTTAAAGGAAAGTTCTATTGATGAAATTAGATGAACAAAACTTGGCAACCACATGACATTTAGGTATTTCAAGTTTTTGCAGAGATCATGGGCCCTTTCATGATGCCTAAAAGTAGCAGAAAATTGTGCATCCTTATATCCAAAATACAAGTAATGTACAATAGGCAGAGAATAGCTGCCTGACTCTGGACTTAGAGTTCAGCCTAAATCACACCCTGCTACACACCCTGATGCAAAACGAGATGCCACTTCACACTTATCAGAATGGCTGAAATCCAAAACACTGACACCCATGCTGGCAAAGATGTGGGCCAACAGGAATGCTGCTTCACTGCTGGTGGGAATGCAAACTGATACCACCACTTTGGAAGACAGTTTCACAGTTTCTGCTACTTAGGCAACGCCTCACCTTTGGAGACCCTCTGTACCTTGGAGCCCTCTCCAGTAAAATGAGGATAATGATGGAGTCTATCTCATAGCCAAGAGTGAGCTACAGAAATAAACTATGTAAAGATCCCAGCAAAATGCTTGGCAAGTGGTGGGATCTATCTAGTACTCTTCAGTTGATTGTCTCATTATCTGTAAAACCGTTTAGTCAGCAAGATGGTACCGGGCCGAGTCACCCGCTTCACAAGTAAGGAAACCCTAACAAAGATGATTTATGATTTATGGCAGAGCTAGATTTGAATCTGGGTGTCTTGATTGTCAATTCAATGTTGCTCCCCTCAGCAATGACATGCAGCCAAGCAATTACACTATTGGTAGTGACAATAAAAGTTAAGAAATTCTGATGAAAGATAAAATAAACAATCAAAATAAAGGCACAGGATTATTCCCAGAAGATGCATCTTCAGCCTTCTCTCCCCTGCTCTCAATCCACGTCTCCAACTGTTTAGTCCATTTTCACACTGCTGATAAAGACTTACCCAAGAGGGGGTAATTTATAAAGAAAAAGAGGTTTAACAGACTCACAGTTCCACCTGGCTGGGGAGGCCTCATATTCATGGCAGAAGGCGAAAGGCATGTTTTACACCGCATTAGGCAAGAGAGAAGTGCCGAGCAAAAGGGGGGAAAGCCCCTTATAAAACCATCAGATCTCGTGAGAACTCACTCACTATCACAAAAACAGCATGAGGGTAACTGACCCCATGATTCAATTACCTCCCACTGGTACCTCCCACAACACGTGGGGCTTATGGGAACAATTCAAGATGAGATTTTGGTGGGGACACAGCCAAACCATATCTCCACCCATCTTACTGCCACTCCATCTTACTCTTATTGGCAATGTACCATAAGGTGCTGTGGAAGAGGATCATGCTTTTCTGTGAATTATCTCACTTTACCCTCATAGGTGTTCAGTGAGTAAGCGGCAATTGCCACTTGGCTTTGTCACATTTGTTACAGGTGCATTATTTTAGTTCAGAGGAAATTGAGATTCTAACATGGTTGGTTATTGAGTATGTAAAGTTAAACAAGCAAGATCTCAGCCCTGGAGGAGTCCAGTATTCAGTGGGGAAAACAGGCCTTGAGCGAACACCTAGTGTGCCAGATGATAGACCATACCCTAGAGAGATAAGCAGCCTGCCCTGAAGAGCACAGACAAGGAAATATTTCATTGTAGTTCTGAGTGTCAGTGAGGAGGATGGATGGACCCCGAAGTTAGAATAAGGGTGCCCTAGAGTTAGGTTTTGAAGGATGAGTAGAAGCTCACCAGAAAGAAAGGTGTTTGAGCCAAAGGGGAGTAGCATGAGTGATGTCCATGAGCACAGACACCGAACTGCTGAGGAACTGAAAGAATGTGGGCAGTGCTGGAGGGGTGCGCGCAGCACTGCAGGCAGGGAGTGGCAAGAGATGAGGCTGGAAAGACAGGCTGAGGCCTTGATGCCTCTTCAGAGAGAGAGGTGAGGCTTCATTTCAAAGACAGTGAGGAGCACCTGGGAGGTTTGTGAGCACTGAATTCAACTCTTTGGCTTTTGGAAGAGGCACCTATCATGGGCTCCTCCTTCTGACACCATGTCTTGTCTTAACAGTACCGAGGCTGTTCACCCCACAGAATCCCACGGCGAATGCAGACCGTCCATTTTACTAGGGACTGAGTCTGTCCCTTTTGTGAGCCCGCTGGAGTCACAAATGAGGCATAATGGGAGTAGCATACATGATCAAAAGACACTTATCTGGGCCAAATCCAATTGTTTATGAGGGTGATTTATCAAGAAAGCAAACCCACTGCCAAGTTGGGGGAGCAGGAGTCTCCTGGAGCTGATGCACGCTTGCTGGCAGAGCATTAACATCACTGAGCTCCACACTCAGAGAGTCATCGCAGCTCCCTGGCCACGCCAGTGCCTCCCCGCCATTCACAGGACTGTTTGGGAGGGGACCTCACCTCTTAGACCACAGCACCATATGAGTGCACCAACCAAGCAGAAAGGACTTAGAATCCACGGAAGTTGTCATGAGCCCTTTGGGCTCCACTAATGTGATTTGTAAACCTCATGGTGACCTCATCTGGGGGCCAGCCCGGGTCCTCCAAGAAGACACTGGGCGCCACTAGGACTGAAGAATTTATTTATCACCTGCAGCATCCAGGATTGCAGGAGGAGGGAAGCATAGAAAACGACCAGCCACCCATGGTTCAAGAAACACCCTGCCCAAATATTATTCTGCACCAGGCATTTACTGCCCTTCTCAGCAGCTCTCTGGATTCCGGCTCTGGGCCAGTGCCATGCCCTGTGGGAGGAAGCCCTTTCCATCCCCACCATCCCGTCCAGCCCTCTCCGGTGACATCGGACCCAGCCAAGGAGCTTACCAATCTAACAGGCGAGGGATCGCCTCACTGCCTGTGAGACACATAAGTAACTCAGGGCCAGGACCTCCTGTTGTTTTGTAACATAAGTACTTTCCACCCAGGGTGCATAAGTCAAGGAGAGTTTGATTGTGGAGTCCAAATCGCCGCTATCACAGTGTTATTGTAGCCTCCCATTCTTCCTTCTGATTACTCCACTCAACATAATCTACAGCGGTCAGCGATAAACCTGCTGGCACTCAATTTATAGGCAAACAATTCCTGTCTCTTGTCAGACACTTATCTTTTCCAGCAGTCAAAGAAAAACTATATATAGTGTCTCTCTGGCGTCTAATCCTCTTTTTTTTTTGACAGAAGGGAGACATCAAGGTTTATGTTGGGTGAAAGGGAGCAGAGTTTAGCTTCTTCCTGGAACATAACAAATGGCTGTGTACCAGGGTGGAGCCGGCTGGCAGCGCAGGACTGGCTGTAGAAAGAACAGGTAAGGGAGGGGGAGGAGCAAGGCTGGAGATGAGGCCATGACGTAGCCTGTAGGTGATTAGCCCAACACACAAACCGAGTGAGACAAAAGCAGGATTGGTGTTGGGAAGGAAAATGGCAACAAGACGAATGACCAAGAGTGGTCCTCTAGAAAACTCTCCCCTTTTCTTCCCAGAACTTGGTGTCGTAGTAATGTCATAGGAAGTCTGTACGGTGCTTTCTTTATGAAGCATTTTCACACCTTATGATTGCATTCCCACGGTAATCCTATAAGGCAGGTTGAGATAAGAACTACTCCCATTTTTAGATGAGAAAATAGACATGCTAAATGTGCTTGCCAAAGGTCATAGCACTGGTAAGTAATAAAGAGAAGGATAAAAAGTCCTGGCTTTCTGACATTTAATCCACTGCTTTTCCCATTCAGTCCATTGTAGGGTTTATTCACCTTAGGCTAACTCAGTTGCACCTGCACATAGTCACACACACACACACACACACACACACACACACCCCTAACACTACCAGTAGCGAAATAGAAGGAAACATAGAGAAGTGGCCAAAACTTTCTTCTTATGGCAATATTTATAATACTGTCTGTCCTCTATAGAGATGCAATTGATTACTGCTCAGAAATTATTCTTAGCACTTCAGAAGAAAAGCCAAAATTAGACATCAGCAAAAGAAACCTTCGCTTAATTGGCTGTTTTCTGTCCTCCACTTTTGGAGAAAAAAATAAATGCTCCAAAAAACAAGTTGATGAAAAGGATTTTTTTGGCCCAGCACGGTGGCTTACGCCTGTAATCCCAGTACTCTGAGAGGCCAAGGTGGGCAGGTCACCTGAGGTTTGGAGTTCAAGACCAGCCTCACCAACATGGAGAAACCCCATCTCTACTAAAAATAAAAAATTAGCCAGGCAAGGTGGTGCATGCCTGTAATCCCAGCTACTCAGGAGGCCCAGGCAGGAGAATTTCTTGAACCCAGGAGGCAGAGGTTGCAGTGAGCCGAGATCGCACCATTGCACTCCAGCCTGGGCAACGAGAATGAGACTCCATCTCAAAAAAAAAAAAAAAAGGATTTTTTTTTTTGACAGTGTCTCTCTCTGCTGCCCATGCTGAAATGCAGTGACACAATTATGGCTCACTGTATTCTCAACCTTCCAGGCAGAAGCAAACCTCCTGCCTCAACTTCCCAAGTAGCTGGGACTACAGCCACCATGCCTTGCTAACTTATATGTATATGTATATGTATATGATGTATATGTATATATGTTGCCCAGGCTGGTCTTGAACTCCTGGACTCAAGCAATCATCCTGCCTCAGCCTCCCAAAGAGCTGGGATTACAGGCAAGAGCAACTGCACCTGGTTAATATTTTGTTAAGGTCATGACCCAAGATTACTCAGCTCAATTTCCAAAGCTACACCCCTAGTCCTCTTTGCGTGAGCAAAAAGCGTGCATCCCATTTGCTCTGCTTTCTAAAACAGAAAAGATATATGCAGTTAAGGCAACATTGCAACAAGAATTAAAACCCAAAAGGGGGTTTTGGTTACCATAAAATTAAAAGAATAGTGCTCCTCATTTCCCAAGTGTTCCAGGTAAACAAAGCTTATCTCTACAGGAATTTAGGAGGCTTTTAAAATACTTAGTAGAACAAAATACAATAATTGCTTGCTAAAGAAAAACACCTACCAGCTTTAAATGAATTTTTAGGGTATAGCCCCATTCTTTATCCCGATTCCAGATCAAAGTCCTCTACCCGAAGTACTGTGACAATCTAAATCGACTGTTTCTTTCCCCACTTCTGGTCCTGACCAGGCTTGTTTCTGACAAGACTTCATCAACAGCAGTACTTCTTAATGAGGACTGCTCTGGGCAGCCATGTGTGATGTAGGTCCAGGAAGGAGGCGGTTTCAGGCAAACTGGAGACAAATCCCAGACTTATGAGGTGCCTGGTGAGTGTCCAGCAGATGCAGGGCAGAGCCACGTGAGGCTCAGGAGGGTGTAAGGAAGCTGTTTTGACCCAAAACAAGAAGAGAAGACTGGAACCCAGACAAAAGGGCCTTGGTCCTCATGGGAGAAAGGAACTGAGATGTGACATTGGCCCTTGGAGCAGAGGCCACAGGCCCTGCTCTGCCCTTGAGGAGCTGCCAGTGGACTGTCAAGGCGATAAGTGCCATGCACAAGAACAAGGAACTATGGGGGCCCAGGAGAGATGGTAAGTGGGTCTGATCATGTAGTCCAGGCAAGGTTTCATGCTGAAGGTGACACTTGAGAGGAGACTTGCAGGATTTTTCTAGAAGGAGGAGGGTAGGGGACACTAGGTTGAAGGAACAGCTTGAACAAAATTAAGGAGGTTGCAGTGGGTGAAATGGTGGCCCCCAAAAGATATGCCCACATCCTAAGCCCTAAAAGCTGTGAATGTGGCCTGTTTGGATAAGGGATCTTTGCAATCTGGGTGGGCCCTAAGTCCAATGACACATAGAGAAAGATGCCACACAGAGGAGAGACACACAGAGGAAAGGAGAAGGCCATGTGCAGGAGGCGGCAGGGATTGGAGTGATGCAGCCCCAGCCAAGGCGCACCTGGAGTCAGCAGAGCCTGAAGGAGGTATTAGAAGGACCTTCCCTGAAGCCTCTAAAGGAAGCACAGCCCTGCTAATGTCTTGATTTTGCAAGTCTGGCCTCCAGAACTGTGGGAGTAAATGTCTGCTGTTTCAGCCATCCAAGGGTCTAGTCATTTGCTGTAGCAGCCACAAGAAACTAACAGACAGCTACGAAAGGAACCCTAGTCCTGGGCCTGTTTGCCCCGAGAGCCACTCCTCAACCATTTCCTGCTCTGCTGTCTATGGCAGGGGCTGACCCCTGAAGGCTGTGTTTCCCCAGCTGCCCCAGATCCCAGCAGGGCTCAGCCAAGGAGACACTGACAAGAGTCTGAGGGTGGGAGGAAGAGAGCAGCCAGGGAACTTCCTCTCTCCTCTCTCAGCCTGGAGTGGAATCTTCAGTCAGTGTCCATCTCCTCCACGGATCCAGCTCCCACTACATAGGATCACTGTGATTCCCGGGTGCCCTGAGTGACCCCAGCCTCTCACTCTAACTAAAAGTCATGATAGCTTCTGGGAAAATGACTCCAGAGATACTAGGGCACAGGGCACATGCAGGGAGGGAAGGCAACAATTTTTCCAGACTAGGGGGGAAGGGGGCAATGGTTTCTGGATGAAACTGTTCCACCTCAGATCATTAGACATTAGACTCTCATAAGGAGCATGCACCCTAGATCCCTCACATGCACAGTTCACAGTAGGATTCGCACTCCTATGAGAATCTAATGGGGCAGGTGAGCTGATCTGGAGGAGACGGAGCTCAGGCAGTAAGGCTCGCTCACCCGCCACTCACTTCCTGCTGTTCCTAACAGGCCACAGACCACAGACTGGTACCGATACATGGTCCCGGGGTTGGAGACCCCTGGGCTACTCCACAAACACTGAATGACATCGGCACAAACAGCAGGGTTTGGGGGCTCCTCTCCGAGGGCAAACATCAGCAGAAGCTGCAAGCTGTCATCCCTGACTTGACATCCAGCTTGGTCGTCATGAAGGTGCCAGACATTTCTTGGTAGTGGATTGTAATCATTTCCTGGGATGACCATGACAAAGTACCAGACTGTGTGACTTCCACAACAGAAATATATTTTCTCACCATTCTGAAGGCTGGACGTCTGAGATCAGGGTGTCAACTTCTTCCAAGGTAGGGTTGGTTCCTTCTGAGGCCCCTGTCCCTGGCTAGCAGGTGAGCGTCTTCTCCCTGTGTCTTCATATGATCTTTCCCTTTGTGTGTGTCTGGGCCCAAATTTCCTCTCCTTATAAGAACATCAGTTATATGGGATTAAGGCCCAGCCTAACAACCTCCTTTTAACTTAATTACATGTTAAAGGCCATCTCTGCAAATACAGTCACACTCTGAGGTACTGAGGGCTAGGATTTCACTTATGGATTTGGGGGAACAAAGTGCAGCCCCTAGTCGGGACTTAGGTGTCAGTAGCAGACAGAGAGAGTGGAAGACATAGCAAGCCCCATGGGAACTGCACACACCCAGCAGAAGAGGCCAGCACAGGGGGAAGGAAGGAAATGGAAAATGCCTTGGAGGAGCCGACCTGACTACTTGGGCAAGACACTACTGGCCTCACTTCCGAGAGCATGTGAAAAACCCCAAGGACTTCCAGAAAGCTCTAGCTGAAGTGCTGGTGGCTGGGAAGGAAAAGAGTCAGTGAACAAAAGGTTTGCATTATTAATGCAATTCTGTTTGTGCCCACAGGTTGATGAAATCTATTAGAGGAAAATCTGTAGATTTTGGAAGGAATTAAGTTCTTCCTATGGCCCGGCCCTCCCCACCACAACACAAACATACACAGGTGGTGTCTGGCCTCCTTTACATGGCATCCCTGCAGAGGTGAAAACAAGAAACCAGGCCACGCAGAGAGTCATTGCAAGTAGAGGGAGACTCAGACAGAGGCTGCGGGAGCCGGCCCAGCTACGTTTGTGTGTTGGCCACATGCAGCTTGTGCGGCCGCTCCAGGACCCTAAGCCTATATCCAAGGGAGCCATAGACACGTGCTTTTGCTGATGAGCCACAATTTATTAATAGGAGACTCTGTGGGGTGCACCGCAATAAATTGTGATTCGTGAAATTTATAAACTGAGATAGCACTAGCAAGAGGTCCTGTGAATTGTAATTCTCTCGACCTGACAAATGAACTGCTTTGAGCAGTGACAGCTTCAGCCAAGTAAGAGAAATAAATCAGCCGGTGGAACTGTGGTAAGAAAGCAAACAGTTTTATTGGTCTACGGATCTTGAGAAATGTTGATTAAGTCAGATCTGGAATCCCCCCATAGTCGTTTTACAAGCTGCTTTATCCCAGAGACCCCCCAGGCCTCTCCGTGTTACCACAATCTCCCAGGAAAAACAAGGAGTGAGTTACACTGTGTTTAGGGTAGGAAACAAAAATATATATTTTTATGGTCCTGGGAAAAGGTGAGTCCGACCATTCATTCGAGGCGGCTTCTGTATTCCCCAGGACTACATTAGAGGAAAACTTCCTGGAAGGCTTTCCACAACTGATAACCTCTCAGTCTCCAGAGAGCAAAGAATAGAAAATACCTTGAGTTGTGGAAGCCATTATGTGAAAACAAATTTAGAATAAATGGGACTGATCAGAGATTAGTGTTGGAACTAACAAACTATGGGTTTACTTGGCAAGTTAAGAGTAGAAACATGAATGCAACGGGCAATGTTGAAACTGTAGACACTAGAACAAACTGCTTTAAATTGTATTTATGTCCTGAGAGAACCCATTTGCTATCAAATAACTAATTACACTCCTGTCTGTTCATTGAAGGAAGCCCCAAAAGACTCCCTTCCAGAAAGCGGTCTGGTTTCAGCCAATGGTTACATTTATTTTTAAGTGTAGCCCTCAATCTCAAAATGGGCGACAGCGAGACTCCGTCTGAAAAAAAAAAAAAAAAGTAATATTCCAGACTTGTCTTCCCTCAGTTGATACAAATTACCAGGCAGGAACTATTTAATTCAGAAGTTTATTTGCAAGGCCCCAGGAGAAGACAGGTAGCAACTCCAGAGAAGGGAAGGAAGGGAAGGGTAGGAAAATATTGATTAGCCATCTATGTGCCAGGCAGCATGTTTGGGGCCTTACAACCTTCAAGAAGCTATTATCACCTCATTTTAGACAGGAGACCGAAACTCAGAGATGTTCATTAATTTGCCGTGGCCACACAGCATTGATTGGAAAAGGCAAGGACGAACTGACAACTAAGTTCATGCCCTTTCCAGGGTATCATGTCACCTTTCAAAATTGAGGACCCTAGAATCTTCCAGTTGATCACTCTCTCCATGTGCCCCAGCCTCTTTCTGCCTGCAAACGCAGATCTAACTGGATCCCAGAGACGATCACTACCTCCCTTATTCTTCACCATCTCTATGGAAGGAACCCCTACCTCCTCCCTGGGGCAAGGTGCATGGGAAACTGAGTCTGCACCACCCATGGGGCAAGGCTGCCATGCTTGGACAGAGAGGCCAGGCATTCCAGACAACTCCCCCTGCCCCACCCCCACAAGGAGAGCCTGAGGGGTAGGGTGAGGAGGTGCTGGGGAGTTTCCAGTTTCAGGAGCTGTTTGCCCTAAGATGGAGAAAGACAGGTCACAGCGGTGCTCCAGTGCAGATTTGAACAATTTGTTGCAGCCACAGGAAACTTCCGAAATGTCTTTCCCAGCAGCTCTGCCTCCGCCAGGAGCAGGAGCATGTTTGTGTGGCTGCAGGGCACCGGGAGCAGCGCTCTGTGCTCTCCCGGCTCCCTGTGGCAACAGGAGCAAGAACTTCGGGGGGTCAGGCATAGAAACCACAGCAATGAGATCTGACTTCAAAAACACAGAGCCGCGATGTCCACTTCCAGAACACACAACATCTGGATGGATCACCAACAAGATTCCTGCGACCTGAGGTGGAGGCAGGGCAGGAGGCGTGCCTCGGGCCTTGTGGCTTGTGGGGAAAACCTGTCTCCCTCGCAGCCCCCCACCCCCCTCCTTCACTCACGCCTGCATTGTTGTGGGGCTCCCAAGTGAGTGTTCTCTAAGCACTCTAGTGGCCTCATTCCCAAACACTCCTCCCATCACTTTATCCCCAGCTCTAAAAATTGTTCTTGCTTCCTCTTAGCCTAGAGCAGTGCTTGAAGGAGGATAGAAATTTCCTGGGGGTCTTGTTAAAATGCAGGTTGTGATTCAGCAGGCCTGGGGTGAGCCCGGGCTTCTGCGTGTCTAACAAGCTTTCAAGTCCAAGGATGCTGTTGGTCCCAGGACCACACTTTGAATGGCAAAGGCCAGTACGTATGTCCCAGATTCCTAAGTCTGGTGTTCAAAACTCTGGGCCCCTCCCCCTAGACTACCTTTCTTACCTCCTTGATCTCTTCCCCACCCCTGCGATGCTCCGGGCAGAGTCACCTGCCAGCCCACAGGCACACCCACACCCCAGCTTGCCCACCGCGGGGGTTCTGTGCCCACCATTTCCCTCAGCAGGAAAGCTAGCACCCAGCTCTGCCGTTCAAATCTTACCTCCTTCAAGTCCTAGCCTTCCCATAAAGACCATTGTCTTCCTTACAGGAAGAGCTGCATTCCAGAGCCATGGCATACAAAGGGAACAATCTCTGCTTTCTCAGGAAGTGTCAAACCCAGACACTGTTTGGGAGAGACAGATCTGGGCCGCCTCCCTAGAGTGGTGGAGCAACCCCTGAAAGCTGCCTTGGCTGGGACCATGGCTCTCCGATGGGAAGGCCTGCTGCATGATGGCCCTTTCGGAAGGGCATTCACTAGAGTCTGGTATGCTTAACAATTTGGAAACCAGGGTCCGTCATGCAGTGAATACATGTGTCTGAGAAAATCTGGCTGATACAGATAGAATTTCATTTTCATGCTTCACCTTGGTAAGGCCAAATACCAGCTAATGAAAAGTGGATTATGAATTCTTTTTCTTTTTGAGATACAGTGTCACTATGTCGCCCAGGCTGGAGGTGCAGTGGTTCGATCTCATCTCACTGCAACCTCCACCTCCCGGGTTCAAGCGATTCTCATGCCTCAGCCTCCTGACCTAGCTGGGATTATTGGTGTGCATCACCACGCCAGGCTAATTTTTGTATTTTCAGTAGAGACGGGGTTTCGCCATGTTAGCCAGACTGGTCTTGAACACCTGGCCTCAAGTGATCTGCCCACCTCGGTCTCCCAAAGTGTGGGGATTACAGGTGTGAGCCATCGCACCTGGCCTGTACTTTCTATAAAAATATTTTATACCATCTGATATTTAACTGGAAAATGACTGCAGAACTCTTAGCCATCCTTTGTTTTAAATATTCAAAAGCACTTACCTGACACAGGCCCCTAAGAAAGGCTATCTGGGGCACTCTTTTAGTTTTTCTGTTTTATTCCTGATGGTGAAATTCCAGCCAAGATTTTCTGGTTGTGGAACCTCTTCTGATTCTGCCGTTTCACTGACTGGAAATGATTGCTAATTGGAATGAAAATTTTCATCTTATCTGCCCCTCTGTTATTTTGCAGAGGAGGGTGTGGTGTTATCAGTTTGCAGTGGGGTTTAGGGGTGGTGTCAGCCTTGCAGAAGGTTTGGTGGGTTTTCATTTCCCTGGCTTTGCTATCTGCTGTTTTGAGGGAAATGGGTAACCGGATCTTAGAATCCCTGGATGTGAAGAGATAACATTGACTATAGGCAATTCTATTTACTGATAAAAATAATATAGTTTTCAAACAGTCCCACAATGAGTCACTTCTAAATAGTCAGAAATACATTTCCTGCTATTATTCTTTGAGACTGAATTGATAATTTTATAAAATTACTCCCCTCACTAAGGTAGTCCTATTGAATGCATGCCGAATTTGCAACATGGTCTTAAATCTGCAGTACCCTGGTCTTTTGGGACCCACCAGATATGAATCAAAGTCCCGAGCATATTCTCTCATAAGAAATGTACTCTACTTGCTTCTTGCTGTTCACGTTACCAAGAAAAAGAAATGTATTCTACATCTAGCTCCCCTTCCTGAAAATAACAAAGAATAGCATCAGAGCAAGAGTCAGACAAAATCTACTGGCAAGAGTCCAGAATGTCAGGGCACTAGCTCTTCAGCCATCCCCCTCTTTGGCAAAAGGCAAACATCACAAATCACTGATAAGCCAAAGCCTCATCTAAGCACCGAGTGTGGCTGTGGGCTCTTGAAGCAAAAGTCAAGAGACCTGGATGCTATGTCCTGCTGCTTTGCCCCTCAACAGCTTGGTTACTTTGGGCAAGTCTTTTAATCAATGTGAGCCTCAGCTTCCTTATCTGGAAAATGGGGTTAACGACTGCCCCACTTACCTTGCAGGATGGCTGTGACAGTCAAGCCAGATTGTTCCTGGGCAAGCACCTTCTAAATTTACACAAAGAGGTGAGTGCCATGTGATTGGCAGGGAGTATCCGCTGCCGGTTCTGGGGCTCAACAAAGCAGTTCTGTCTTCTGCTGTGCTCCCAGCCTTCCCTCCCAACCTGGGTTACCTTTTAAAGATAGAAGAATTGGCTGGGAGCAGTGGCTCACGCCTGTAATCCCAGCACTTTGGGAGGCTGAGGCAGGCAGATCACGAGGTCCACAGATCGAGACCATCCTGGCCAACCTGGTGAAACCCCGTCTCTACTAAAAATACAAAAATTAGCTGGGCGTGGTGGCACACACCTGTAGTCCCAGCTATTCGGGAGGCTGAGGCAGGAGAATCTCTTGAACCCAGGAGACAGAGGTTGCAGTGAGCCAAGATCGCTCCACTGCACTCCAGGCTGGTGACAGAACAAGATTCTGTCTCCAAAAAAAGACAGAAGAATTATGGGGGATAGGGGTCGAAGTGGAAGAAGGAAAGCAACAGATATTTTAGAGGGATCAGAGCCCTGTCCATTTCACATGTGATTCTTTGAATCTGTCTCCTGCATGTCCTCACTGAGTCCCCAAACAAATTCCCCAATCCCATCTTGTCACCCAGCTCAGTAACAGAATTAGTTAATCCCAGTTAACCTAGATAACTTATCTTTTCCCCATTCCTAAAGAACAGAGGCCATCATTGTGTCTCCACAGGCTCTCTCAAGGGAGATTACCCTTCATCTTCTCCAAAAGGTGGAGAAGGAGACAGTCCTGATAGAAAAGGGAACCTTCAAAGGATTCTAGTGTCTCCCCGGGACTGGAAGGGAAGGGAGCTGTGATCCCAGGTGTGGAGGCTCTCCTTCTCTGGCAACCCTCGGGAGGTGACAGGGCCTCAGGGAGAAATCGTAGCAATGGCAAAGCTCTGCCAAGGAATGGTGGAGCCACCAGCCTCCCAGGAGCATGAGGACTTAGCAGATGAGCACATCAGTAGTCACCCCTGTGGACCGAAGACCAGAGGACTCTATCCAAACGATCTGGGCGAGTGGCCACAGGAACTGAGAGGAAGGGGCATTTCAGGAAAGTCTGCAACTGAATTTCCTACCATCCTGGCAGGATGGCTACAGTGGCATATCAAATTTAGCTTAAAGTAATAAAAGAAACATGAAATTTCTTATGCCCTATAGTTAATGTAGAATTCACATGCCTGCTATCTTTCTGATACATTCTGGCAGATAACCCTGCTTTCTTTGGATACTCCAGAATTTGGGAGAAACAGTTCGAAAGATCAGCACAAGCTCTTTCTGAAATTACCTTCTGCTCCCTCCCGCAATGAGAACTTATGCAGGGAAATAGCAGCCCAGCAGATATTTCCTCCATAGCCTGAAAACTGAGCCACAGATGCCCTACCCTCAGCTCACCCACAAGCACTTCTCGGCAAACCTGGAGGAGAAAATAATGTCTTATCTTTCTTATGTTCAAAAAGGAACATACAATAAACACATCAAGAAATAAATACAAAACTTTATGACTAGAAAACATTGTCCACAGTTACCAGGCAAGAACTAAGGTTGAACTGCTCTCCCAACCAATGCTCACAATTTTGGAAATAGAAACGTTATTATGCTTATTTTACCCTCAGAAAATTGAGGCTCAGAGGTGTTAACTAACTTGCTAAAGATATCGAGCTATTAAGTGGCAGAGCTAGGATTAGAATCCAAATCAGCATTCTATTCTACTGCATGTCATAATCCCAGTTATCAGGTATTCTCTAGCAGCATGCTTCTGTTTTTTAGTTAGTAACATGGTGTGTGTGTGTGTGTGTGTGTGTGTGTGTGTGTGTGTGTGTGTGAGAGAGACTGAATGTAGAATAGAAAACACAGATTTTAAAATGTAACCATTGCCATATTTGTTGAACTCTGGAAGGAGAAACTGTGAGTTCCAGTAGGCGTCTGTTGAGTTTCAGCTGAAATGTGCCCACCGGCTGATTTAATGTGATAATCAGGGGTGGGGGCCCTGGTGACAGGCTATGATGTATTGGCTGTTGTTCAGCACTTTGATGTCCCTTGGAATTTGTCAAAACTTCACTTCAGCACTCCAAAAATGCCATGACGTCATCCGTCCCACTCTCTGCAGGAGCAAATGGCAGGGGAGTGGCTGTCCCTGGAGTTCAGGTCAACAGCAGGTCGGAGAGTGGCAGACCTTCCCTGAGGACAGGTGGCGGCAGCCGCTCCCCAGGCTTACCACTTCACAGCCAGGGGATTCTTGTCTCTGGGGGATAAAAATCTTTGCTGTCTCTGAGTGAAGGGGGACTGCAGATCCCTCCTGTCCCAGCTCAGTCATGGGCTTGTGGAAAAAGGAATCCTCTTCCACACCCTTAGTCATGGGGATTGAGCTGCAGGCGAGGAAGGTGGGCAGGGCTGGCGGAATGAGGGGGACGTGCCGGCTGAGCGCGCAGCCTCCAGGACACTCCCTGCCAGCAGCCTGGGTCAGGAGCCAGCCTCCGCCATCCCCTGAGGCAGCTGTGGTCACACTGGGGCAGCAGCAGGCAGAAGGGCATGCTGATGCACAGTGTCAGGAGCCAGATGAGTCACCCCCAGGGCTTGGGCAGCTGGAGAGCGGGGCCTGGTTGCTGAGGCTGGTCTGGACAACATAAAGATCTGGGAACACTGCTGGCTCCCAGCACCGGGGATCTATAGCGGCTTCTGACAGCCGCTGGTCTCTGAAGAGTCACCCTGTCACAGAGGCGAGGAATGGCAATGTTTGGGGCAACGGGGTTAAGTGGGAGAGTGGTTTGCCTAGAAAACCCCATCATGCTTTTAGGTTGCCTCACGTTGGCCTCTTGATAGGACTGGACCTGTCAAGTAGGATCTCAGTGGGTCCCTGGTACTGTGCCATTGGAATCATTGTCCCGATCTTCCCAGCACAACATGACACCACCTCTATTGAGAAGCCAACCCCCTATCCAAGCAAAGCCATATGCCTTAGCTCATTCAGGCTGCTGTAACAACATACCATAAGCTGGGTGGCTTATAAACAACAGAAACTTATTTCTCATAGTTCTGGAAGCTGGGAAGTTCAAGGCCAAAGCACTGGCCAGTTCCATGTCTGATAAGGGCCTCTTTTCTGATTCATAGAAGGCACCTGTCTGCTTTGTCCTCCCACCGTAGAAGGGGTAAGATCGTTCCCTTTATAAAGCCCAATCATGAAGGCTTCTTCCTCATGACCTAATCACCTCCCAAAGACTGCACCTCCTAATACTATCAGTTTTGGGGTTAGGGTTTCAACATATGCATTTTGTAGGGACATACACATTCAGTCTATTGCATGGCATAACTCTTCATTTTATTTTTCTCTCTCCAAACCTTAGTTTCCAGATCCATAACATGAGATTTGTAATGTCCTAGCTTAGAGAGTTGTTTTAAGAACTAAGTGATCATGTACATTAAAATGTTTAAGCACAGTGCCTGGTGTATAGTAAGTGCTCAGTAAATATTCATTGGTTTCCCTCTTCCTTGCCCTCTCTTTTCCCTCCAAATCCCCAAATAAAAATAAACACCATTTTGCAGTAACTAAAACTTAGAAAAGATGATGTGACATCGTCAACTACCACAAAGCTGGAGACTAAACAAGCTTCTAGAGACATCAAGCTGCTTCCCTGTCTACTGCTGAAGGAAACCACATTCCAGTCCTGTAAGCAGGGAGCCAAAAATCATGCCAGCCCCCTGTGCAGGGGTACAGCTAGTGAGGGTGGCAGTCACTACAACTAGCTGAGACAAAGAGACTTAAACTAGGAAGCTTGGGCAGTCCAGACATGGGTCTGCAGGGGAGAAGTCCTCAGCCAGAGAAGCCATCAATTTCCCTTCTATTTCAGCTGGAAGGAGGAGCCTCATTGGCCCAGAAAGGGCCACTTCTCATTGCAAACCAACACTTTCTGACAGGGAAGTGGGCTTAAGGGTCACTTGGGATTAACTACTGGGAAATAATTTCAGAAACGGGCCACAGACATCGAGACAGTTTGGCTCCCTGTGCTGAGAGGGTGACGTCAGCCATGCAGATAAATTCTAAAGAATCTATCACCCCTCAAGCATGTTTTACTAGCTTATAAAATGTTCCTGAGATCTTTCCATACTAATGACTTCTGGGGATGTCCAGGGCATCCTGGAAAATTACAGCAAGAGGGTATCCCTCCAATTCTTCCTTGGCCAGAGCCTAATTTCTTTTAGACCTAGCCTAATTGCTTTCTATCCCATGAATTCTTATTAAATGGGAAAACTTGATACTGCATATTTACTGTTGAGTGTTGTGCAGAAGAGCATGGAAACATGGCCAAATGCTAGGTTCTGATCAGAAAATATGCTAGACTTGTATAATGACCACAGCATTGAAATGATTACAGTTTGCCTTTCTGAGTTCCCACTACATCATTTCTCAAGACCTGCTTATGGGTGTGGTATCCATTCTACAGATCAAGAAACTGAACTATAAAGATAGGCCAGATAGAATCTGCTTATGGATATTGAGCAAAACATCTGCTGAACCAATCCAAAAGGTTATGACATCTTGATCCGCCTCACCATCATTCTTCGGAAAACAAAGTGAGATTCAAGAGAGAAAACAAAAGTGGAAACAGAAGGTCCAAACAAAGCAGGAGTTCCCTTGATCTAATAAGCGCCCAGTGTCCTTTAGGGTACTCTTTGAGAGAAAAGAGATTTCCATGCGGTGGAAGGAACTAGTTAAATCCAAGCAAACATTTGCTACCAGCCAAGATTACTTAGTAGAGAATGCAATCTACTTTTACAAAGAGCATTTGAAAATGTGTAACATCTTCTCACTTGTTGCTGACAGCAAAGCTGTGAATATGGTCTTATTACTGCCATTTTCCAGACAAGGAAACAGATGCTTGGAGAAGGTACCTTGCCCAATGTCATACCACTAATAAGCAATAAAGCCAGACCACCCAGCAACCCAGTTGTTCTGAATCCAGGTCCAGTGCTCTTTGCCTTACATTTCAGAAGTTCTTACATGGACAAGGTAACCAGATCCTGCATCATTGAACAACAAAGGAAACATTGATCCAAAGGGATCTGAACGTGCCCTAGGAGAACTGACTTTTAAGAGAATATTCACTCAACAACTCCCCAAAGTATTCAAACAAGATGAAAATGGCAGGGGGGTTCTAGGGCGAGGAATCACTGAAGGGGCCTATTCTGGGCCAGGAGGGGTTCTAGAAGCCTTTCCCAATGAACCCCTTAGGGCTGGTGTCTTTTCAAGATGGAACTCTTGTGTTCACTCTAGCATGGGCTCAGGGTGTGCACTGGGACCTTGGACCCTGAAGCCTTACAGAAAAGCCCTGGGATGTTTCAGGCCTCCTGCCATACCAGGATCTGGTCCAAAGGGGTACAAACCTGGGCCTCATGTTCTCCCAGGATCATTCACAGAGACCCAGACTCCTGCTCTCTGTCACATCTGCACTTACAGAGCTGGGCCTCAGGAGGTGAAGTGGGGACAAGACAACATCCCCAGGTGTTGACTCCAGCTTAGGCTCAGGATCGGGAGCCCTGGCCACAGCCAAATGACTTGCCCCGGCCAACACAGTCATAAGCACAGATGATCACACCCCAGGCTAAAAAGGCGGAAAACCAGTAGGCAAGGAAACCGTTTTGTCATCCAAGGACAATAAAGTTTATGTATTCCCAGATGTGGGTCCTCCCACTTAATCAAAGCAGAGGCCCATTCCCGTGAAAAGAGCTTTTCTCCAGCAAAATGGGAAGGCAACTTCTTTGGGGCTAAATTTAGACTTCACCCACAGGCAAAGGGCTCCAGTTCTTCTGGGCTGTCAACAGAACAAGCAAATGGTTCAGTGTCCCAGCTGGCTACAGCCAGCTCCAGAGCCAAGTCAGCATGAGTCTGAAATGTTCCAAGCCTAGGAGTGTGGGCTGTGCAGTCCCTGGGGCCAGGCTCTGCTCCAGGCTGGATCACATCTTGGAGGGTATGCAGCTTTGGTCACTCTGCTGATGTGTCAGCCTGTTTGCTTTCCCCACCAAGGAGTAGCAGCCCAATACCCACTACTCCGCAGAGCAGGCTCAGAGTTACAGAGGATGCAAGGTGCAAGAAGGCCTTTGCCTTTAAAACTTTCTTAGAGATATCCTGGGAATCATCACTGAGAAGGCGATGCTTTGCAAAAGGACCAAATCAGTATACAGGACATTATGGCTCCAGAGAAGTCAAGATAAATGACCTACAGTCACATAGAGCTTCAGTGGAAAAGTTGAGGTTTTTTCCCTGGGGCAGGGCCCCTTCGATCTGAAGCTTGCAGTGTCCTCTCCCTACATCAGCACTTTTTCTTAGTGGCCCCAAAGCCATCATGGCAAAATATTAAGAGGCATGCCCTGTCCTGGGGAGAAGTGAGTATGGTCTCTACTTAAAAAAAAAAAAAAAGTTTGTTATTTCTCGGCTTGGCCAAGCTGGCATTTTCCCAAAGGTGCCCTAAAGTAAAGATCTGGCTTCCCATCCTTAACTCTCAGGAAGTATATGCCAGCACGTCACAACGTGGTCACGAACTCGCTACTGCCAAACCTAATCACAACGTACACCAGGTGAAACTGGGTGAGACTTGGATGGGGAATGATAATCAGAATTTACTGTATCCTTCCCAGTCAGCATTCCTATAGATATGATCCAAGATTGTTTAGGGAGTAAAACAAGATAAAAATTCACCCCAAAACATGCCTCATACTGCATAGACACAGCTCCAATGGTGTTTCCTTAGAAGCCTCTGGCTGGTAGAGCAAACCACCGTTTCCACTGAGCTGCCATGGCCCTGTGCTCTTGGCTGGGTTACACCACCTACTCCTCTGTAAACATTAATGACCTACATTGGTATCCCCCAGAGACTGGGAGTTATTCCAAGGAAGGGTCCTGGTTTTTTCTCATTTTGAATCTCTAACTCCAGGGTATAGTAGGCTTTCTATAGACATGGGATAAGTGAGTGAATGACTGATACTCAAATGTGTAAACATTCTTGTTTAAATATCATGGTGTTCTCCTTAATAAAAGGGGCTGGTGTGAAGCTAAGGTTAATAGAGTTCCATCAAAAAAAGAAGTATTGGCCGAGTGCGGTGGCTCATGCCTGTAATCCCAGCACTTTGGGAGGCCAAGGTGGGCGGATCACAAGGTCAGGAGTTCGAGACCAGCCTGACCAATATGGTGAAACCTCATCTCTACTAAAAAGACAAAAAAATTAGCCAGGTGTGGCGGCACATGCCTGTAATCCCAGCTACTCGGGAGGCTGAGGCAGGAGAATTGATTGAACCCAGGAGATGGAGGTTGCAGTGAGCCGAGATCACGCCACTGCACTCCAGCCTGGCAACAGAGTGAGTCTCCATCTCAAAAAAAAAAAGCATTCCAGGACGGCACAGCCACCCCTCTCTACCCTGTGATGAAACAAACACCATCCTCTTTAAAGTGAGTAAGCAAATGTTAATATTTGATTATTCCCCAGCTGGCTTTTGTTAAATGGAAAAAACTGGGCTACCTTGTGTATCTCTTTCTTTCTGCTTATCCTGAGGTGTGGGTGCTGCTTTACCCTGGTGGGTCCCCTGGCAGCAGGGTTAAGCAGTATATCAAAAATCCATCCTGATTCAAGAACCAGAGACAGAAAAGAAAAAAACCCAGCTGCCCTTACTTTCTGGAGTAAAGTGCCTCAGCAACTTCCCAGTCTGTCTGTCCCTACACCAATGACCTGCCTGCTGATACACACTGTGGGGAAGTCAGACTGTACCAGATAGACTCCAGAGGTCAGCTTAACAACTCTCTCCACCAGTCCTAGGGTGAAATACACACAGCGACAGTCTAGCAAGGAGGGAATATAGGAATCACCTCAAAGAGTGACAGAATTCTCAGAGAACCTAATCAAACACAAGCAATTACACTATCTTCTAATGCCAGTGTCAAGAAAAGAGAAGCATGCTTGTATCATCACTCCTGAGCCAAATTTTGCACTGCATCTCACCCAGGCAACCAGGAAGGGAGGACAAGAATGCAAATCCCATTGAAATAATAAGTAAATAAAATCACTTTCTTTCACAGCAGCCAGACATTTCTAAGAGGTTTGTGCTAAGGCAATGTACTGAACAAAAATACTGGGAAGGAATTGCTGAATGGAAGAATGATTAGGGTGGATGAGCGTGTTTCCTTTAAAAATAAAGACATATAAATGATCATAAGTTGCCATGCATATTTCAACTTGATGTTTAAAGACATTGTACTTAGCAGGTAGGAACTGTTGCCCTCTACTGGCTGGAATGTCATAAGAATGCCAAGATTTCATATTTGCAGTTGCCTGGATGCTTTTTATCCTTCCAAGGGTGCAGATGGTCATGATGATGGTGAAAATGATGATGAAGGAGAAGGAGGGAAGCAGGAGAGAGAAGGAGGAGGTGATAACCATGGCAATAAGAATCCCTTAGATTTATACAGCACTTTAGTGTCTTACAAAGTACATTCACACAAACTGACTTACTTGAGCATCACAGTTATCTTGTGAAGAAGGTGATGTTGCAAATGAGATGACTTTGGCAAAGAAATTAGATCAGTTCCTACAGATACCAAGACAGTAAGAGGCAGAGCTGAAGTTCTGACTCAGGCTTTCTAAGTCCAAGCCCTGGAATGGTTTCCCTTCACTCTATTTATTTGGCAAGCTCTATTTATATTTACTTAAATCCAGTCTTTTGGGGAGAGCTTTTACAAATCTCTTTTCTGTATTGAAGATAGAATTCACTAACACATTTATTCACAAACATTATTATACACCTGTCCCGTGTCTGGCCCTTCAATTGTAAACTAGGGAATAGCAGAGAACAAGGCAAAGTCTACCTCTTATGAAGCTCTCATGGGGCAGTCAACAAACAAGGGAACAAATCAATGAGGATCATAATGTCAGAGAGTGGTTCGAAGGCAATAGGACAAGGTGAAGATTTACAATGGCTCCAAGGTGAAAATGAACTTAGCCGATGACCAATTTTGGTAGCTAGAATTTTTTCAGACAGGTGACTTCTAACAGAAAAGGACCAGCCTTGGTCTTCCTAAATATAAGTCTGGAAATCATAGGAAGATATCAGAGGGGTGAACTGGAGATGGTCAGTTTTGCAGACACCCCTTTAAGAAACCTCTGAAGTAGGTAGGTAGGAAAGACCTCTCCTTGAAATATGTATATTGTTCTATTAACTAAGATTCAGAGAGCTCATTTCTAAAAGATCTGCATGACTGATATTCATTTAAATGTATTCAGCCAGTTATATGACTCATGCAGCTTTATATACATAAATATCTAAAACCTGAAAACAACCCAAATTTCAACTGGTGAATGGTAACACAAAGTGTGGTGCATCCATACCATGGAATACTACCCAGCAACAAAAAAGGAACGAACTGTTGATACATGCAACAACTTGGATGGAGCTCAAGGGAATTATGCTAAGTGAAGAAAAGCCCATCTCAAAAGATTACACACTGCATGATTCCACTGATATAGCATTTTCAAAATGGCATTGCTGTAGAGATGGAGTGCAGGGGAGTGGTTGCTAGTGCATAGAAAAGAGGAGGAGCATGTGACTACAAGGAGGAATACAAGGTGCTTTCCCCCATAGTGACAGCATAGCTCTGGAACTTGATGTGGTGGTAATTATACGAATCTATATATGTGATAAAACATCATGGAATTAGATACAAAAATATACAAAAATGAGCGGATGTGAACACTGGTGAAATAAGAGTAAGAGCTGTAATCCAGTTGATGATCTGGAGCCAATCAATGTCCTTGCTTCATGATGTAAGAAGTCATCATTGGGGGAAACTGGATGATAGGTACTCGGGACCTCTGCACTACTGTGACAACTTATTGTGGTCCATAGTGATTTCAAAAGAAAAAGAGAGGGAAGACGAAAAGAAGACAAAGATGAAGAAAAAGCGAGGACAGGAGGAGGAGGAGCTGCTGGAGGAGAAGCAGGAGGAGCAGGAGCAGGAGAAGCAGGAGGATGAACAGGAGGAGCAAAAGGAGGAGGAGGAGGAAGAACAGGAGGGGCAGGAGGAGTAGCAGGAGGAGGAGGATAAGCAGGAGCAAAAGGAGGAGGAGAAAGAGGAGGAGGAGCAGGAGGAGGAAGAGAAAGAGAAGGAGGAGGAGCAGGAGGAGGAAGAGGAGCAGAAGGAGGAGAAGCAGGAGAACAAGGGTCAGGAGGAGGAAGAAGAGTTGGAGGAGGAGGAGCAGAAGGAAGAGGAGCAGGAGGACGAGGAGCAGGAGGAGGAGAAAGAGAAGGAGAAGGAGCAGGAGGAGGAGGAGAAAGAGGAGGAGGAGCAGGAGGAGGAAGAGGAGCAGAAGGAGGAGGAGCAGGAGGAGGAGGAGCAGGAGGAGGAAGAGGAGCAAGAAGAGGACAAGGAGCAGAAGGAAGAGGAGCAGGAGGATGAGGAGCAGGAGGATGAGGAGCAGGAGGAGGAGAAAGAGAAGGAGGAGTAGCAGGAGGAGAAGGAGCAGGAGGAGAAGGAGCAGGAGGAGGAGGAGCAGGAGGAAAAGGAACAGCAGGAGCAGGGCCAGACAGCCAGGGCCCCTAGACCCAGCAGCCAGAGCTCTAGTACAGGTGTCGCTGGGATCTCCATGGCAGCTCACATGGCAGCCTCTCCCAGTGCTAGGGCTGCAGCAGAAAGAGCCTGGGGAGGAGATGGACTCAGGCACCCACCTTGAGGGCACTTAGGAGAGCACCTGGCGGGGGCTGGTGCCGCTGCTGGGTGTGGGGGCAGTCACCTCTGAAAATGCGTGTTTTTATATTAAATGGAGGGATTGGATTAGGTGGGTCTCAGGACTATTCCATGCCTAATATTCCGCATTTCCAGGAGTCGCCTAAGCGAATCTGGTCACCGTGATTCAGCATTCACTTGTGCTGCTTGCTCTGTTTCCTGATAGCCAAAGTGAAATCACCTATTTTTTGTGCCAAGTGTTGACACTCATCATAGACAGCTTGTGTTATTGACTATAGTTTTATTTGAATATCTTGTCCCACAACTAAATTATAAATTCCTTTTGAGGCCATAACTGCCTATTATTTGTGACCCTTGGTGTCTTTCACATAGCAGGTCTAACTGCAGAGTTTATAATAATTGAACAGAGCTCAGTGACTAAAAAAATTAAAAGTTCCAGTTGAAAATATTGATATATTTGACCATTTTTTTAAAGTTAAAAGTTTTGTAGGATAAAAATCACCACCAAGCCAAAAAATTAATGGCAAATTGGACAACATATTTGTAAAGATAACAGGACAGATGTGAATAAGCAATGCACAAAACAAAAACGACAAATGGCCAATAAGTACATCGATAGACATTCAGTCCCATCCTTATCAAAGACATTAACATTAAAACAATGAGATGTGGCCGGGCGCAGTGGCTCACGCCTGTAATCCCAGCACTTTGGGAGGCCGAGGTGGGTGGATCACGAAGTCAGGAGATCAAGACCATCCTGGCTAACACGGTGAAACCCCGTCTCTATTAAAAATACAAAAAATAAGCCAGGCACTGTGGTGGGCGCCTGTAGTCCCAGCTACTCAGGAGGCTGAGGCAGGAGAATGGCGTGAACCCGGGAGGTGGAGCTAGCAATGAGCTGAGATCATGCCACTGCACTCCAGCCTGGGCGACAGAGCAAGACTCTGTCTCAAAAACAACAACAACAAAAAAAAAAACAATGAGATGCTAGCTTTTTGTTTTTAATTTGTTTTTATCTATTAGATCAGCAAAAATTAAAATGAATTACAATATATAACATTAGCAAGGATGTGGAGAAATAGACATTCTCATTAACTGCTAATAGGACCATAAATGAAGGTGGTGGGCTTGGAGTAAAATTTGTTGGTAGATAACAAAAGTCTTTAAAATGTGCCCAGTAGTTCATGACTTAGGGATTTATCTTAAAAATAATAATCCGGGAACAAACATACAGAAGAATAGTAATTGAATAACTGCCTGGAAGAGTATAAATTTGGAAATAAGCTAATTTTTCATTAACAGAAGAATGAATTGATAAATAGGAGTGTTTTTTATCTAGTGGAATATTATATCATAGTTTTAATGAATAAACTAGAACTACATGGATAAATCTCTAAAATACACTGTTGATGCCAAAGATCAGGTTGGAGAAGAAAATATATAGTATAATAGCATCTGTATAAATCTTAAAAACACAGAAAACATTATTATTTTGTCCACTACATATGGTTCATGGATATGCAGCAAAGTTATAAAATGGCTGTAAAAGATACTCATCAACTTCAAAATTGTGTTTGAAGGAGAAGGATGAGAATATTGTTTGTATGATGTTTTGGTGCCTTTAAAAAAAATGGTTGAATTAAATGAGAAAATGCATGTATGGCCTTTGGTGTAGTATCTGACTAAATAAATAGAAATATCAACTATTAACATAATGTTGCTACCTAAGTATATATTTATACGTATGTACTTATAACTTACTATTCTTGTGTATGTCTCCTTGTTCCCCAATTATTATTTTTTAAGACAAATCCATAAGTGATGAATTCTTAGGCACATTTTAAAAAATTTATTTACTTTCAAATTTTAGTCCATCTCTACCCCCTTCACTTACGGTCTGACTGGCAGGTTATGAGTATAGTCTAAGAGGGAGGCTTTGAACTTTACGGGGAAGAATACAGAATGAAAAGTAATGCTTAAGGTTGAGCATGAAAAAAGGGGAAATATGTGTTGAGGTGCTTCCTTCAACAGGAAGGAATTGTGCTAGATGTGTGCCATCCATTGTCTCCTCGAGTCCTCACAGCAACCTATGTCACAATTTTATTGGGCCCATTTCCCTCACTGGGAAACTGAGGCTCAATTACTAGATTATGTAATTTGGACAAAATTATAGCTCTATCAGTGGAAGATCAGGGATGTAAATACGAGCTTGTTTGACGCCAAACCTTAGGTTCTTTACATTGGATCACAGTGAGTTGAGAAGTAAAGAAATAAAGGAAGTTTCTACACAGATGCTGGAAGGGTTTACAAAGAAAGTCAGGGTGACATGGGCCTGCACCTCACCATATCTTGGACTGGATTTGCCATTGTATTTCCTGCTAATGTATTCTCAGAAGCTGTCCCAGGGCTGGGGACTGTGTCGTTGACCTATTAAACAAACATCCCTGCTGACAAATGTGGAGGCTGCCAAGATGGGATGCAGAGTAAGTAGGAAGCTGACAGTAGATCCCAGCACCCATGGTCTAATCAGCAGGATTTCCAGCAAAGCTCTCAGTCCCCCAGGGTCACAGGGCTCCCTGGTTCCTAGCTTTGCAGAAGCCAAACAAGAGTGTGAATGATAAGTAGATAAGGACTGCCTAGCATGAAAAACAAAGCCCAGGATTTGGGACTTTGCAGGGGACACGCGATCTGTAAGCAGTTTTTATTTTTCCTTTCTGTTAAAGTTTCCAAGACCTGAAGTATACGGGTTGGAGAAAGGGGGAGACAGTGCTATTGTTATTGTAAATAATACAATTGTTTAGAAACTGCAAGAGAAACAACTGAAGAAGTACTAGAGTGTGGCATGTAGTGTGGTGGCGAAGATCAACTCCATAGCCACACCAGCTGAGGCTGAGAGGAACATGTGTCTGTTTAACACCAAAGAGAAACCCTCTCAGGAAAGACAGAAACAGAACATTATGATGTGCCCTTGGAAAAAGAGCCCTGGGGGCATGAGCATATGACCTACAGCAAGACCAGGGAATACCTAACGTGTATCCTGGATAAGCAGGAATTAGGGAAGCTTGAGGCAAAGGGGAGGAGAGGGAAGAAGTAAGAAGGAACCCAGTAATTTAGCAGAGTTTAGAATCTGCAAAGAAATTAACACTGCTGATAATTTCTCCATGGTTGGAACAATCTTCAAATGTCCAAGAACATAGGTAACTGTCATAGGCTAAAGAATGGCCCCTCCTTAAGAATTAAAAAAAAAATTTAAGAGTTCCAAGTTGTAATTTCTGGAACCTGTGAATGTTACCTTATATTAATTCTTTTTTTAAAAAAAAAAGGACCATGCAGATGTGATTAGGTTAAGGATCTTGAGATGGAGAGATTATCCTGGATTATTTGATCACAGAAGAGAAAGCAATGTGATCACAGAGGTAGAGATCAGAGAGCTGTGGTCACCTCCAAGGAATGCCAGAAGCCACCAGAAGCTGGCAGAGGAGAGGAAGAGGCTAGATCCTCCAGAGTGAGTGTGGCCCCACCTCCACCTTGATTCTGGTACAGTGGTAGTGATGTTGGACTTCTGGCCTCCAGAGCTGTGAGAGAATACATTCCTGTTGTTTTAAGCAACCACATTTGTGGTAATTTCTTACAGCAGCTGTAGAACACTAATAGAACCAAAATTCAGTTTTGAGAAATTTGTTGTGTTGCTCTGTTAACTAATCCCCAAATAGTCATAAGCAGTCATTTAAGCTTTGTGTATAAAAGTAAAAAATTGTAAACATCCTAGAATGTCTATCAACAGCAGTTAAACAAATTATGATAATTTGTTAAGTGAAGTACTATGCAAATATTAAAAATGAAATGGCAGAAGTATAGAACTTATTTCTTGACATGGCCCTGTGTTCATAATATACTTACCATTGAGCAAAAAACAATAAATACCAGTTATATAATACTTTTTTACATTTAAATTTTGACCTGTTTGAAAGTTATTCTTCTATATGACATGCGGTGTAGATATAAATATATCTCTTCCCACTTGGCTACCCATTTTATAATTTGTCCCAACACCATTTATTGAGGAGTACATGCTTCCTCCCATATATTAAATTCCCATATATTGCATGTATTAAATTTTGCATATATTAAATTCCCATAAATTCCTTTATTTTTGGACTTCTCATTTTGTCCCATTCTTCTGTCTGCTTATTCATGCATGCATCAATGCTGAGCAGTTATAATATAATTTAATATATGATAGGATACCTCACTCCATTGGCCTATTTTTTCTGAATTTTTCCTGCTTTTCTTGCTTTATAGTTATCTCAGTATTTTTTTCAATAAAACCAGTGGGCTCTTTTTTGTTATAATCATGTTAAATTTGTAATTAGTGAAAATTGATAACTTTATGGTGTTGTCTCCCTAAGCAAGAATGGGTAGGTATCTTCTGTGTTCGTGTGTGTGTGTGTGTGTGTGTGTGTGAACATACTCATGCTCTCTTCAGAAGTGATTTTGAAGTTTCCTTCATATCTTTATTTTTTGTTATCTTTATGAAGCTTATTCGTAAGAAGTTTATCCCTTTTGTTACTATTAAACATGGGAATTTTTCATTATACTTTCTGATTGTTATTTTATATATATAATCGATTTTTATCTTTATTAATTTGCACTCATACTGCTGAATTTTCTCATTTTTAACTTTTTCAGGTGCCACTTTTGGGTTTTACAGATAAATTATCTTTTACAAATAACAATAGTTACATTTCCTTCTTTCCAATTTTTGTAGCTATCACATTTTCCCTTTTCTGATTCTATCAGTTTGTGTTTCTAGTAAAATGATAAAAAGAATAGTGATATCTATATAATATTCCTGAATTTACTGGGAATGCTATTAACATTAAGCATGGTTTATACTGGATTTGGACCTGAAATATTAATAGATGTCAATGAAGTATCTGTTATTAATGTATTGAATGTTTTATCAAGAATGGATATGAGATTATGTCAAATGATCTTTCAGCATCTATGAAAATAAACAGTTTTTCTTAGATTAACATAATAAATTTATTTATATATTTCTTAATATTGAAACAATCTCACATTCCTAGAATACCTACTTAGATATGATATATTATTGTTTCAACGTGTTGTTGAATCATATTTTCTAATATTTAATTTAGGATTTTAAAATAAATATTTATAAGAAAGATAACTCTGGCCAGGTGCGGTGGCTCACTCCTGTAATCCCAGCACTTTGGGAGGCCAATGCGGGCGGATCATGAGGTCAGGAGATCGAGACCATCCTGGCCAACATGGTGAAACCCCGTCTCTACTAAAAATACAAAAATTAGCCAGGCGCGGTGGTGGGCACCTGTAATCCCAGCTACTTGGGAGGCTGAGGCAGAAGAATCGCTTGAACCCGGGAGGCGGAGGTTGCAGTGAGCCGAGATCATGCCACTGCACTCCTGCCTGGGTGACAGAGTGAGACTCCATATCAAAAAAAGAAAGAAAGAAAGATAACTCCATTTTGCAATCTTTCTTGGTTTTGATATCAATGTAATGCATTTTCTTTGTAAAAATTGGAAGTTTTCCTTATTCTTCTATGTGCTATGCTTTTTCTATGTTATGGGGTTTTTTTCTTTATATATGTGATATAATTCCCCTATGAAATCATCCGGGCCTCATGCTTATGTAGCAGATTACTCTGAAAACTTCCCCTATTTCTTCTGTGGTAATATATTGGTTTGGATTTTCTTTCTCTTCTGGGTTCAGTTTTGGAAAGTTACATTTTTCTGGAAAGTTGACCATTTCATCTAAATGTCAAATTTATTTGTATACAGTTGTACCAAACAGATTTTATGATTTAAAATTTTTCCTCTATTTATTTTCCTTTATCATTTGCCATTTTTGTAGAAAATATAGGAAAATTCTTTTCTTTACCTTCAGAGTAGAAAATGAAAGCTTTTGTAACTATGACTTAACAGCCAAAAGCCATAAAAAAGTACAGATGAATTCTACCACATAAACTTTATATATTAAAAAAACTTTGCACAGCAAAAAAAAAAACACTATAAGAAATGTCTAAAGTTTGACAACAAATTGGGAAAAATGTGAAATTTACACAATAAATCAAGGGCTAATATCCTTACATATGTATAAGATATATTAAAAGAGCTTTTGTAAATACAGAGAAAAAAAATCCAGTGGAAAAGTTAGCAAAAGATATGATGATATGGTTCAGAAATAAATTACATATGGCTCAGGAACATATGAACAGATGTTTATCTCACTTATAAGAGAAATTCATATTAAAACAAAACTGAGAGACCATTTTTAAAATACATATTGGTAAAAATGTTAAAGTGTGATTACGTGCTTCTGTGGAGTGGCTAGGGGAAACAGGTAGCCTCATATATTGCAAGTGGAAGTAAAACTTCATGCAATACCCAAGGAGGGAAATTTGAGACTCTCCATCAAAAAGGAAAATGCTTTGACCAAGACATTCCACCTGCAGAAACATCAGCTACATTTCTGGGCCAGCTGGGACTGACAGCCAAGTACAGCCTCTGACACCATCTCTGCTTACAGCAAGTCCCATAAACTCTTACCGGATGGGGACAGTTTTCACACAATAGAAGACAGAAGCCACAACACACCCAACAAAATCACACTTGCTGATGTTGGCCAGAACATTTCTCACAGCTGTTTCTCTTTCCTGGGTTTGACAACGAGGGATCTTGTGCACTGAACAGACCCAGCCATATGATCTCAGCAACACAACACCTCTCAGCCTTCAAGCACTGAAAAACCACAAATGAGAAGTGTACTCCCACCACTAATTGCTTTAAGATGTGATATGAATTAAAGCTGCCTTCCCTCCCCTTTTTAATTCAGGCCACTCTATTAATTTTGCTACCCAAGGGTGATTACTCTAGTTGTCCTAAACTTTGCTGACAACCCGCCCTTCCCATGAAATATATACTGCATTTCTAGAGAAGCCCTTTGGTTAAAGATACCCTCCTTCTTTGTGATACTTTGCTCACCTTTCCCTAACTCTGTATTCTGAGTAGCAACATGAAACGTGACAAACATTCCTCACCAAAAATGATCATGATCCTAATATAACATATTCCATTTCTATCTCATTCCTCATTTACCTTTACCAAGGCAGCATTCAAAGGGTTAACTCCTTTCCCCCAACAGAGTGAAGCATTTTTGCTGACCCAGTGTGAGATGGGTTGGACCAAATTCAATTTAGCTGCAGTCAACAGGAAAGTAGGAAGAAAAATAGGATCTAACAAACCAAGCATTAAAAAAAGAGGGAGTCCACAGCAGGAAATAATTATTTGGGCAATTGTTCACTTTGTTAAAGGACCAGCCCGTATGAATATCCATCAGGATGCAGTGCTGTGTCCGTGGTTTCTCCGCAGCACCCTGTCTGGTCTAATTAGTTACAAAAGCAGTTCTATGGGCTGGAGAAATGTGCAATTGTGTTGTGTTTCAGGGGAACAAACACATATGTCATTGAAGTGGAGTCTGGCACCAGCTTATTTTGGTGAAACCTCGAGTGGTCGGCCAGAATGGAATCAATACGAAAGGAAGCTCTGAATGCCAACAGAAGTGGTTTACAAAAATAATTCACTGACCATTCCATCTGCCTCGGATTAAGCGTGTTAAACGGTTCAGTTCAAGTTAACATTTCTAATATATAGATATACATAAAATAAACAAAACCACATACTTTTATCAAATATTTGCATTTGAAAACCTCCACTAACATACACACACCCAGAACTCAGCCTGTGCTCTTTCATCTGACCGTATACTTTTCCCCTCAGAACATTTACACTAAAAACATGGAATCTGAAAGAAAACTCAGATTGGCCCACTAGAGAAGAGTAAACCCCCTGTGGAAAGGAAAGTGAAAATAATATTTTCAGAATAAAAATCTTTCAGTCTGTAAAAGGAGTTTTATAGCTCAGTCTTGGGAAAGTCAGCCAAAGGTTCACCTGACATGTGAACAGAGCAGGTCTTGGGGAATCAAGGCTTAGCAGATTTGTTCATTCACAGTCCTGACAATGGGTGCTGGAACCAAATCAATAACCTGTCGATATTGCAAAACTATCAGTTTGCATAGAAAGTCTACTATATGCATTTTTTAATTGCATAAATTAGAATCTAAGGAGACATGATGCCACAGATAAATAACAAATAAAAATGTCAACACATATTGAATACTTACTAAGTTAAATACTGCTCATGTAATCTCTGTAACCACACTGAGGCAGGCATTGTATTACTATCTCGATTTAGCAGATGTGAAAACTTAAGCACAGAGTGGTTGAGTAACTTGCCCAAGATCATACAGCCAGGAACTACAAGAGGCCTGGATTGGAACCTGGGCCATCCAACTCCGGATCATGCTCTATTCTACTCCCCAGTGTACACAAAATAGGCAAGAGAGGTGTCACACAGGAAGCCAGAGCAGTTTCCCACAGCAAGTCCTAGGAGCAGACAGGGTGAAATTAATCTACTCATTGGCAGGCCTTTGCCTCCCATTCACTCCCTTCACACAGTAGGCCATGAAACAAAGGGGCCCTGCATCCACTCAATCTGTACTGCAATCCTTTGTTCCCCACCTGCCTACCCTGGGGACTCTTGCCCCTTACCTGTGGAAGGAGGGTGAAATGGGATAGCTTTTCACAGCCCAGCAGGGAAAAACAAACAAACAAACAAAAAAACAAAGCCAGCTGCTTCCCTGGGAACAAATTCCTAGGCTTGGCTAAAGAATGGCTTTGCAGGCCATCAATGTCAAGTTCAAACTCTGCAAATGAGCATATCCTGCCAGATCAAGTAGCTCTAGAGATTCTGCTTCCCTGTAGGGTCCCACGACCTGTGCTCCAGCTTATCTGGTAAGGAAGCAGAGGTGGACCAGGAAGACAAAGGCAGAAGGACTCGGGAGCACATGCTCCTACACGCATTTGACGCAGCTTGTCTCGGTGAAGCCTCACAGGATCCTGTGTGGCTGATGAATTCAGAGTGTGTAAGTGGCTTGATGAAAGTCACACGCATAGTGAATGGCAAAGTGAGGATTCAAGCCGAGCTCTGACTCCTAGCCCTCACTTTGTTGGCTTGGTGATGCTTGGCAGCCCAGCCAGCAAACTCAAATGCGACTTGGTATGAGTTTTTCAATGGTGCCCTTACTCCATGCACTGCCAGCAAAATAGCACAAAAATGATAAAATCGGTGAGAGGATTGGCACCCCCAAAGAGGGCAGCCCTGATGCTGGAGGACAGGGGCTCAGGTCCCTGAGACTGGTCTAGTGAACCTCCGCTAATAGGGTCCTTGGCTTTAGTCTGCGAGCAGCATGTGAGCTCATGCGGCTCCTGGGTCAGGCTGAGCAAGACTGTGGAGTGTTTCCAGCACTCAAGGTGACGGGAAATGTTGAGCAAAGTAGGTGCAAAGCCTTGTCTAATATTTCCATTTACCTCCTTTGTCTGTCTGAATAAGTGTCATTAATTCAAACCATTTCAAAATGGGGCTTGAAGATGTGTGAGAGCGGAAGCCCCCAAGCCCCTGGCCTCTCCGCACCACATCCTTGCTGACTCTATCTCTTGTGTGCAGTGATCAATTGAACCCCAGCAAATGTGCTGTGAATATTGCAGCTAAACTGACCACTGATGTGCATGTGTCTGTGTGTGCACAGCGAGGGGAGGGGGACTAGAAGCAGCATCCTAAGCCGGCTCTTCTCCCATCCATTTCCCTGGCCTGACATCCCCCTACAATCAAGTTACCCCTCCTTCTCCAGCACCCCACCCCCCAGATAAAGCAAGACCGCACCAGGAACACTTCAAGGGAAGAAAAGACACTTCAAGGGGAAAAAAAGTGTTATTTTCTCTCTAGGAAATACCCCCAAATCAACTACTTCACTAACTTCTCACTGCTAATGCTTTTCTTATAGAGAGCAGAGTTCTCACTGAAATAACAGCTAGCTTCAATAATACTGTAAATTCTGCAGCCAGAAGGAAAACCCATCCTTTTCCAAATGCAAGAGAAAAGTCTGAAAGCTTAGCAATGTACAACTTTAATATTTTGGTTGATAACATGCCATGGACCCAGAGTATTTTCCATTTCCTCTTTGTCCTTTTTCCAGTGATCTTAAGGCCTTTATTAAATCTATCAAAACCTAAATATGAGTCGTGATGGTAAAAATTAGGTGACTTTTTTCCTAACAAATATGGTAGAAAAGTATATCCATCCAAATGAGTCTCATCCTCTTCAAAGTGGACTCCTATATGGGACTTAGGCTTATGTTAAGGAGGTCTCCACACACACACACACACACACACACACACACACACACACACACACACAGAGTTATCTATGTGTGTGGGAAATTCTTTTGCAGTTGCATTCAGCATAGGCACATCATTTTGAATACACTTCATGGTACCATACTATGATTTTTAGGAAAAACCCAAGATGTTCAGTGCCATGTCTGCTGTCTTTAAAAAATAATCAAGCTGAAGCATAGTATTTGAGGGTCAAAATGAGATTGCACTAGAGCAAAAAAAAGATTTTCTGATGTATCCTCAGAAGTCTTTTGTACTGGAGTCCATTATCCAAAACACATCAAAGCAGATTTAGGGCTGAGGAAGAGTGTGCCTGCCAGTTTAACCCCTCCGGTATTTAAACACTCCCCACCTTTCAGCAATTCCTGAGGCACCTCTGAGATCCCCTGCCTGCCCTCTGCATACAGCCCGGTATTCAAACATCTAAGCCAATTCTAAAAAAGCTGTTTGTAAACTGTAAAGCCCAGGATAAACATGAGTCTATTCTCCCCAGATCTGCTCTATTAGCCACAGGGTCTGTCATCTGTAGACATCTATGGCCACGACTAAAATAATGATTTCAAAACATTCATCTACTGCGGTTGACCCTAGCCCTGACCTCTAGCAACTTACTGTCCGCAAAGGGGTTCCGTGATCTCTCTAAAAATCACTACTGTAGTAGGCAGAATTCTAAAGATGTCCCCAAGATTTTTACCCACCAGTCATTCAATTCAACACAAATCTAGGTGATGCTATGAAGGGACTTTGCAGATGAATTAAGGTTACTGGTCAGCTGACTTTAAAATAGGGAGATTATCCTGAATCATCCAGTTGGACCCTACGCAATCACTTGGGTCCTGAGAAGCAGAAGAGGAAGGCAAAAGAGGGAACCAGAAGAAGGTGGTGGAAGAGGGAGGCAGGGGACAGATGAGCTAACGGGAGGTCAGAGAGATGTGAAACATGAGAAAGACTCAACCCATACTGTTGGCTTTGAAGAAAGAGGAAAAGGGCAATGACTCAAATAATGCAGGCAGCCTCTGGAAGCTGACAATGACCCTGATCAACAGCCGGGAATGAAGTGGGGACCTCAGTCCTACAACCACTTGAATGAAACTGGAAGCACATTTTCCACAAGGGCCCCTGCCTCCTTGTGCAGCCCTGCCCACACCTTGATTTTAGCTTGTGAGACCAATTCACACTTCTAACCCACACAACTGCAAGATAATAAATGGGTATTATTTTCAGCTGCTAAATTGGTAGTAACTCACTGTGGCAGCAATGGAAACCTAATACAGCTACCCACAATGTTTTCCTGACATCTGCAGTCTTCTAGAGAAACTAGATCACTCTTAGTATTAGAAGATATTGTTTCAGTCCAGTTCATTTGGCAAACATATGGGGCACCCACACGCTGGGCAGAAGCCAGGCGAGAGGACACATCACAGGTCATAATAGAGAAGACATTGCCAGGGGCTAGATGGGCTACAGCCTGATATTTGGAAACAGCCAGGGGGAAAATGAAATGATGTGAGTCTAGTCTTGGTGCTTAACACTGACTGCTCATTGGATTCACTTGGGGAGTTTTTAAAAATCCCCATTCCAGCTCATACCTCAGACCAATTACATCAAAACTTCAGGAAGATGAGCATCAATGCATTTTAAACCTCCACAGGTGATTCCAATGAAAGTGAACACTGAGAATCACTGGTCTAGGCATGAGGGAAGAGGAAAATTTGATTAGGTGGGGGACGATTTCATCTGCTGGTAGAACTTGTGGGAAATACTCAAGAACAAAATCTCCCATTCAGGTGCTGGCAGGTTGCTCTGATGGAGTTTATCTTCATCGTTGACATGTATTGCTCAACAGAGAAAAATGCAGACATTGTCTGTCTTGAAAACTGTCATATTCCCCAGAACTGGCAGAATGCCTGGCACATAGTTGATGCTCAAAATTTTTCACTAACTATCTTGTCTTTTCAGTAATTCTCAGTTCCACTCAGAGGAGTATGGAGACATTGCAGAGTTTCCTAATATAAAACAGGGTGTGTGTTTGCAATGTGGAAAGGCCCTCTGCTCAACTTTGCAGGGAGCATTTTAGGAAGACATGGAAGATTTTGGTCAGAAATGGGGAAGAGGGTAGAGTAGAAAGCTGTCTACCACAAGGCTCTTTCTTAGTCCTAAGTATGGATACCAACAGGGGTGTAACCCTTGTAGAGGGTTTCTTTCCAATGGGTGACAAGGCTTCTGCCATGATGGAACTGACAGTTGAACAACTTGGGCCAATGGCTGGTTTTCCCACATTCGTAAATTTCTACAGTGTGCTTTAGAATTCTCAAGTTACTCTGTGCATTCTCAGTACTTAGGCATCAAGGCAGGGGGCAGGGAAGCAGGCTTGTCTTTATGGTAATGTTTTCCGTTGAATATGTCCTGTGGGATGCATCCTCTGGCTAATATGTGAAGCCTTCCATGCCAGGTGGGTTCAGGGTGACCAACCGCCTTCCAGAATCTTTCCCACATGAACTGCATCCTTGGGTCTTCTCACTTACTCATGAGTTGGTACATTGAGCTGACATTCTCCATTGCCTGGAAAGCTTTTTCCACATTCCAAACACCTGAGAATCATTGCCCCTGTGTGGACTCTCCCACAGCGACACCAGTTGAAAACTGTCACAGGAGATTTTCCCACACTGCAAACATGCAAGGTTTCGCTCCTGGATGGATTCATCTGGGGTCAGTTCATGGCTGAAGCTTTTCCCCACAGTGGCCCTGTGGATCTCCCAGTCTCGTTAACTCACATACTGATCACACTTTGAGACAATCTGAAAGCGTAAGTTATTATTTCAAGTGTCCTTCTACTTTACATGTATGAATCCGTTTTTATTTGGCTGATGGCCTAGGCAAATACCATTAGCATTTTAAGCACAGGTTGGCACAACAAACGTTTCCATAAAACGTTTTTTGAACACACAAATATTACTTTGTCAAAGGCTTTCAATGCTGCTATTCCCTGGCCAAGGAACCTAGAGCTAAAGTTTCTCAGCTGTTGCTGCTGCTGCTGTGAACTCCTCCTTTGCAGCCCCAAAGCAATCCCTTCTAATAACCAGTAAGCTTAAAGGGAAATGCAGACATGGAGAAGCAATGTCTAGGGAGGAGAGTCTGAATATAAAAATTGTGCAACTAAAAGGTTTTTACAGTTAATGCAGCTCTTTCCCACTGTGAAAGACTACCTTTAAAAGCTGTCATTTCCTTTGCATTAACTAAAAATGGACACATCTGTTGAAAGAAATGGGGCGGGGAGAAGACAATAGCTATTATGATGGTCAGGCAAAGTGTGTGTGTGCATAAACCTCTGAAGAAAGTGCAAAGAGGGGCAAGACTGGTGGAAAGATTGCCACAGGGTTGCTGTCAGTTATTATTTATACATCACCATAAATGCATGGCCGTCAAAGTCAACGGCCATCTGACTTAACTGCCACCTAAATGCTGTCAATGCGAGACCTCAGAAGAATGACTCTTCTATTTAATATTTAACCAGATGCTTCCATGTTTGAAAATATACTTTGCTCCTTACAGAAGAGGGAGCGGTGGCTGACTTGCAACTTCCGTGACGTATGAGCTAACGTTGAGAGTAACAGAAAACCAGTCTTTGTTCATCAAATTTCATTGTCAGTATTTCCACCATGTTGGCAAACACAGCGTTTTTCTACAAGTTTGAATAACTTCCTATATTATTGCATTCATTAACATCTTGATGAAATAAGCTAAGGCAACTACTATATCTGCACAATGGAGATAGGAAAGCTAAGGCAGGAAGGTGTTACACAATCAGCCCCAGGTCAGGAAAGATGGAGGAAGGGCTAAACCAGAATCTGACTTTTTTGTTAGGGTTTGAATTTTGTGGTAGAATGGAAAGGTCGTGTTACCTGGACTGATGAAGTCTTTGGGAAATTACCCAGATTACCAAATGGAACCAGAACTGCCAATTGCACTCAACACCCTGAGATGTGCTAAGTGGCGATGCCCATGTTACTTGCAGAAAACTGGAGACTTCCCACCTCTCCTCCTTGAGTGCTCTCTCTCCTTGTCTCAGGTACATCCCTTGCCTCTCAGTCATTTCTCATCTTTGTCCTCCACCTCTGGGCCTTCTCCAAGCCCAGACATCATAGCCATGGCCAACCACCCATGGGACAAGGTACTCATGCATCCCATGGCCTCATCTTGAAACTGACTTAGAAGGCCATCAGTCAATCAATACAGTGACCAACAGGCACACAGAAAACAGTCACCAAGAGCCTCTGGGGCACACCTGCCAGACAGCCTTCTCCCTCTCTGCATCATGAAGAATTTACTTTCCTTCATGCCTTTCTATTCTGCTTCCGCCTGTGTGTGTGGCACGTCTCTTAATGGCTCTGTGCTCCTGCCCATGCTTGGGGAGGGGGTGGGTGGGTGATGGAAGTAGCCAGCCCCTTGAAAGGCCCTCTATTATTCCAGAGCTGTTATTGTTACAGCTTGACTGTCAAGCTCTTTCTCCCACGTCTCTCACACATCATTTCCTCTTGGGCCCGTATATCTTAAATGAAAAATGTAAGGACATAAGACAAAGAACAAGAAAGCAATAGCCACAAGAAGGAAGACTGTCTGTTCTTGTTGTTCTTGGTTTACTTTAATCTCACCTTTGGGCCTCTTTAATACATCCCACTCTCCTGAAGGAAAAATAAGAGAGACAGAGAAAAATTGAACAATGAAGCATTTCTGTGCTCCACTCACCAGTTCCCCCGTCCCACCATCCCAGACCCCCTAGGGCCAAGAATGACTCCCATGCTTCATAAAATTTCAGATAATATTGAGGGGGATGTCAGAATGACTTCACTGGCCCATACAGACAGCATCTGTACAGGCTTCTAAGGGAGATGGGATCAGGCACAGAGCAGCCCCTTGTGCCGGGGACAGTATCAGAGGGTCCCATTATCTGCAGAAAGGATGTGAAATTGGAAGAACTCCAGCTGAGAATGCACCAAGCCACACCATTTACATGAAATATACGGTGCTGGGCCCGCCACAAAACAGGCTGGCTTTGATCTTGGTGAACTTTTGAATCATGTGTGACTAAAGAATTCTTTACAAAGAATTATTTCAGCTCTCTGAGTTAATGAAAAGCCAGGCTGCACAATTTATGGAAGCAAGAGACCAAGCATTAGAAGGACGAAAAAAAAGGTCGTAAAAAAAATCCCCAGGAGCCTTTAATGCGACAGTCCTCATGGTCTGTGTGGATCTCTAACCCCACATTTTTCTGTCAGATTTATTAGGTCTTACTGGGATTCATTCTTCTCAGCACTGGGGTTTGTGGAGATGATCTTAGGGAGAAAAACGTATCTGAGGCAAAATGAACAATATTGATGGGACAAAATCAAGAGAGCAAGCTCCTAATTATCAGGCAGGGATCAACCCTGCATATGCCACTTTACAAAACTGGTGTCACTTAAACACTGCCATAGTACCAAAAGGATTTCATAGGAGTCCCGAATACCTAGGATCAATGATTGTAGCCGGTGTAGCAAAAATCCACAAAATCAACCTGCCGTTTTTATTGTGTGAAATGGGTCTGCTTCCTGAACAACTTCATGGTAGACGATGTATTCTCAGGGGAAAAGAAATATGGGAAGCTTGGGGAAAGTGACCACTTAAAAGCAGAGTGCATGTCTCTTCTAAAATGGATAATGCCTGCGTGCGTTGGTCCGGTATTTACTACAGAGCCATCTTCCAGAGAGCGTATCACAGGATACATACGAAGAGAGAAACTGGAGTAAAAGGGTTAAGATGTGAGTCATCTCAGATGTGGGAAACCATTTCTCGCCCAAGGCTGGGCATAGTTCACTTTCATTTATCCTTTTCCAAGGTTTTTCTTCCAAGAGGAGATTAAAGACAGCAGTGATCTCTGAGATTCCTTCATTCTTTATGCTGCAGTAATAATAAATCTAAACCTTTCCACTGGTTATCGCTTTCAATAAAAAGAAAAAATTCTACCCATAGGCCATCCTCTACACAGTGAGAAGGGAGTGTTGGTTTGGATAATTTTTCTACTATAGGGAGGCAACCTGGTGCAGAGGTTTAAAGCTTGGTCTCAGCATCATACCACCCTGGTTTGAATTTTCCTAGCAAGTTCTCCCTTTTCCGGCTGGGAACTTTGCACTTAGCTTTATTCTCTACGTTTCAGTTTCATCATGAGAATAATGATGCTGTCTCTCTCTTTAAGTTGTGATAAGGACCAAATGAGATAATAGATAATAAACTCTTTCTGGTACATAGTAAACCTTCAGTAAATATTAAATGACTTCCTGAAACAAGACGCTTTAGAAAATATATATGGGTTAGGTCTTTTTAACTTAATTTTAAGCAGTTTTCAAGTTTAAGGAGGAACATGCTGTTTAAAAACAGAACAACGAGAATGCAAATAACATCCGTTTATTGCTCCAACGAAGCTCTCAGTTGAACAAATTCCCAGTAGCTATTAATATATTTAGCGTGTACCTAGGTGTGAGCATGCCAGCTATTTTAATGTACATCATTTAATTTTTTTTTTTTTTTTTGAGACTGAATCTCACTCTGTCGCCAGGCTGGAGTGCAGTGGCACGATCTCAGCTCACTGCATCCTCCATCTCCCAGGTTCAAGAAATTCTCCTGCCTCAGCCTCCTGAGTAGCTGGGATTACAGGCACATGCCACCATGCCTTGCTAATTTTTGTATTTTTAGTAGAGACGGGGTTTCACCGTGTTGGCCAGCATGGTCTTGAACTCCAGACCTCATGATCTGCCTGCCTCAGTCTCCTAAAGTGCTGGGATTACAGGCATGAGCCACCGCACTCAGCCCATCATTTAATTTTAATTCTCAGAATCAATACATGGAGGAGACTACCATGTTGTAGCTTTGAACAGCGTTCAGTGATATTATGTGATTAGTTTACAGTTTCAAAGGTAGGAAGTATCAGGGCTTGCACTTGAACTCAGAGTTTCCTATTCCAAGTCCAATACTCAATCTAGACACCATATTTCTTTTCCTTTTTAGTTCCTAATAGGTCATATTCAAAATTCAGATTATAGGATGCATAGTCTTTACTAACAATAGCTTATCACATCATAAAATAAAAAGCAGAATCCTATTATAATCTGTCCCTTAGAAAAATATGCATGACTTTGCCAATAAGGGAAAGTAAATTCTGTGCCTCTTGGGTATCCAGAAACAAGAATGAAATTAAAGAATACTGATCATTAAAGGCAAAATTCAGAGAAACTAAAAAAATAAGTGAGGGAGTTGAGATAAACATCAGAGAGTGGTACTAAATCTTCGAGAAAATAAAGTCAAGATTTGGGGGGTTATTTGGGTTTTTTGGTGATTTGAAAAGGAAATTCTCAAAAATACCTTCTCTCCTTAAAAATAACCCACCAATAACCTGTGAATTATTTTAACTGCTGGTTAAAAGTAAGTATTATTAAAGTGCCCTGGGGCTGTTTCTTTCTCTTTTTCTTCCCTGTCCAACATTCCACAAAATAAAAGAAAGCTAATCTGCAAGTTCTTACTCTCTTCCAATACAATTTTTAAAAAATAAAAGGTCCCCATGTTGGGCCATATGCATTCACAGCCCATGTTAGGCATCTCTGGGGAAAAGTCTCGAGGCCCCTCCCGGCAGCATGGTGGAAAGTGAGCAGCTCTCATAGAATGAAGCGACGCTTCCATAGACCCATTCCCTCTACTGAAGCCACGATGTCAGTATATTAGTTTTCTAGGGCTGCTGTAACAAAGTACCACAAATTGGTGGCTTAAACAAGAGAAATGTGCTGCCTTGCAGTTCTGGAGACTAGAAGTCTGAACTTAGTGTGTCCTCAGGGTTGATTCCTTCTAAGGACCCTAAGGGTCCTCAGGGAAGGATCTGTCCCAGGCCTTTCTCCTTGGCTTGTAGGTGGCCTTTTCTTCCTGTGTCTCTTCACATTGCCTTCCCTCTATGAGCGTCTTTGTCCAGATTTCATATGATATGAAATCACATCATATCATACATATATATCATATATATGATATATATGTATATGATAGATATATGACATATATGATAGATGTGATAGATATATGATATATATGACAGATATAGATATATAGAGATATAGATATCTATCATATATATGATCATATATATATATATATATATATATATATATAATCTTGAGACAGGTCTCACTCTGTTGCCCAGGCTGGTCTTGGACTCTGGTTCAAGTGATCCTCCCACCTCAGTCTCCCAAGTTGCTGGGACTACAGGTGCACACCACTGCACTCAGCTAAAATTTCACCTTGCTATAAGGATAGAGGTCATATTGGATCAGGAGCCCACCCTACTCCAGTAAGACCTCAACTGATTACATCTGCAATGACCCAAATAAAGTCATGTTTTGGGATAAGGACTCTAACATACAAAGTTGAGGGAGACACACTTCAACCCATAATGGTGGGTATGGCTCTGCAATGTTGCCTAGAAAAGTTGGCTCTAGCCACTGAAAGGATGAGTTGAGTATTAGCCAAATACTGTCATGCCCATTAACACACTTTCTAAGATTCTTACACAAATAGGTAGTATTGTGTCTATAATCACCTTGCAAATTTTTTCCCCTAAGCAAATAAACTCTCAAACCACTGTAGTCATGAATTACAAGATGGCACCCTGACTCTTGAGATGCCTAACCTGTTATTAGTGGGTATCTAACTCTCTGAACTAAAAGGAGGAAGACACAGGATTGGGGTTGGGGAACCAATGAAATAACATTCAAACACATTTCTGTTTGAGTTACAATATCTTGCTTAGTAAGACAGACAAATGTTTCCCACTGGGTACTAAGGTTTAGGGCTTATTTTATCTGATTTATGTACCATTCAGAGTATTTGAGTTAGCCCTGGTGTGGTCTTCTCTGGATCCTTTTCTGGGAACCCTTCCTCTGCTCCCCACTACCAGAATGAATTGTCTGCCTTTACCTGAACTCCCCAACATTTTGTGTTCCTGACATGGCTCATTCAACAGACTGAAATCCTTGACAAAAGAGGCCATGCTTAATCACTACAGCCACAGTACAAAGAATAGTACAGTAAACATGTGTTAAAGGAAAGGAGTTCAGTAAGTATTTGCAGAATTAAAATTGGATAAAAATGGACCATCTTAACTCGAGAGTCAGCTGGCCAGGTGCAGTGGCTCACGCCTGTAATCCCAACACTTTGGGAGGCTAAGCCTGGAGGATCACTTGAGCCCAAGAGTTCAAGACCAGCTTGGGCAATATGGTAAGATCCTGTCTCTACAAAAAATAAAATACAAAAGAGTCTGTGACCACCTAATTGTCCCTTCTGAATAAAGAGGCACAGCCATCCTCCATTTTTTCTGAGGAGACCATAGAGGGAAGAAGCAAGAAGGGTCTTGAGTTGCACTGAGACTGCTACCCACCATGCAGACAGGTTCCACCTGTTTATGTGAGTCCTTTGCTGGGCACTCACAAGTGACATATCAAAACGCACAGACCACAGGTGACTCCCTTGTGAAGATGAAAAGATTAGATACTTTGAGCCTTTTTAAGCCAAAAGTATGACTGTTTAAATTTTGTCTTCCTTTATTTCAAACTAGCTTTGCTGAATCTCTGGACAAAGCTGCTGGAAAAAAAAAAGTGTGTATCTTTTTGCAGTAGTTTCTCTCCTATGAGAGTTTCTCTATGGCATTTACTGCTATTTCATTTGGGCACATTTGGTTTCTCCCACAAGGACTCTATCAGCTGGCATTAGGAAATCTTAGAAATGTGTTTACAACAAAGCACTCTTGAAATTGAATCCTCAAGATGACCCAAGTCTAAAGGGACTGTTATTTTATTAACACAACTCTGTTTTCTCTAAATTTGCTTTTGTGAAACTAAATTCTTTCACGAGTTGGGACTGGGTCGGGAGGCAACAAACAAACTTAGGTTAACTCCTTATCAACTATAAATGCTGCCAAGAGGGGAAAAGTTGCCTTTATTGGGTTCCTATCTCTGAGTGGCTTAGCACATGGCGAGACTTCTGGCAGCCCTGAATTAACTGCCTTCCAAAGTACTGTCTTCACGTGTCCTCTTGAGCCACCTTGCATTCAAATTCAAGACCTCAATGGGAAGAAGTTCAGGGAGGTGTCCCAGGATCCCAGGACAATGTGAGTCCAACTTAGTCCTAATTTGGTGACAGTCTTCAGAATGCAAAAGAAAGAAGAATTACTTTCTTATTTGATGGGATTTTTATCAGAAAAACTCCAAGTACTTAAGAAAAAAAAATTCCCATCACCTCTCATCTGTTTGGTTCTATATGTACATAATTCTGGGGCTATATGATCCAGCCCCAGATCACCTTGGGAGAAGAAAAGACAGCTATTATTATTGAATGCACTAGCCCATTGCAGTGCAGATGAACCCCCCTCCTGCTCCATGGGGGATGATGTCAAGGGTAGATGTACAACCAAAAGATGGAGAGCGAAGCCCCTTGGCACCATCACCCCCCTACTCTCCCATCAAACTCTGGTGGCCCCTCCTAACCTTTAGTACCACTGTCCTGAGCTCTACAAGCCACTCTTACTGAGCCAGACTCTGTCTGTCCAGGGAGGAGATGAACTCTTGTTTTGTTTCTCTTTCTGAAGAAAACAGTTTTTGTTGGAGGGGGATCTATACAGTGGTGAGAATGCAGTATGAAACGTGCTTCTTCCATGGGCCATGAGGAAGATGACTCATGTTCCCTTACCATTTAAATCCGGAGACGGATGAAAAGAATTTCTCTTCTGACTCTGAATAGCTGGCACATGGAATCAAGTTGTGGATGCATTAAGCCAAATGCAACGTAATGGATAAAAATTGTAAAATCTTTCAGTGGCATTCCATGCCTTGTAGGCTATCTAAACCTCATCCTATCTTTCAGCATTCTAGAGTCCTATCCATCACAACCTCATCCTTCACTCCTACACCACCCCATTCCCCTAAGCTTTGTGCTGTCAAGCTTCCTTCCTCCTCACACCATTCCTGCTTTCCCTGCTTCTGCTGTTAATCACCATAGCTTGCCCTCTCTGTTATTGCTTTGAAGACCTGCTAAATTATGTGTCACAGTCTTGTCATAGCCACCTCCTCAAACTGTTTTATTATTTTTAAAAGAGCCTTGCTCATGCTGAAAGACAGACTTTCATTCCTTCTCTTTTCTTTTTTAACATTAGATGTTGGACCCAAAGACCTTGCCACAATCGCTCTCAGTTCACTTGAAACATTACACCTGAAGCCAGTTGTGTTAAATGGGTTCACAGGTTTCCTCCTCTGACATTTTTCCCTTCCTATAAAGTAACACCAGCCTGAAATTTCTTCCAAATAAGTTCTTTCCTGGAGGGCTTTTCTATCTGGCCTAACTTTTCAAAGCTTGTATGAGCAGCTGCAGATGCAATGGGTATAGTTCAGTTTTGTTAAAAGTGGTGTTATCAGCTCTTCTTGGCCTAAAGTGGCCAAGTGGTGATCTGAGTGGTGATCAGAGAGGCAGTCAGAAAATCTAGAGGTGAGAGGCGGTTTGAAGAACCAGGCTCTGCACATTCCGCTGTGAACCCGGGCCCATCAGGGAAGGGGAGTTAGGAATCACATGGGGGGTAAAACTGCCTTCAAAAAATGGGCCGGTGCAAACTTAGCGTCTTCTAGTTCAACACATTTTAAAATAACCCAGTTCCTACAGCTAATTCATTAATGGGTACTGATCGGGGCACAAACATCTGAAACTATTCCGGCCCCTTGACAGCACAGGGAACATGTCTAATTCATCTTTGTATCCTTAGCACGTAGGAGAGACTTGATATAGACGCACAAAGAGTGACTAAATGAAGATAAATAACTGCAGTTGCACATCATAAGTCATCTAATCCTTGGTTTGGGGATAAACCTCATCTTTATCAATTCTCAATTAATTCTCAATTAATAAATGGGAGTGGTCCATGTATTAGTTTCCTATGGCTGCTATAACAAATTACCACAAATGTAGTGGCTTAAAACAACTTAATTTATTATCTTCCAGTTCTGGAAGTCAGAAACCCAAAATCAGCTTCAGGGGCAAAAATCAAGGTGTTAGCAGGGCTGCACTTTTTCTGGAGGTTCTAAGGGAAAGCAAGTTTCTTGACCTTTTTCAGCTTCTAGAGGCTACTCACATTCCTGGGCTCATGGCTCCTTCACCCAAAGCATGCTACTGCAACCTCTGCTTTTGTTCTTAAGTCTTCTCTTTCCCACTCAGACCCTCCTGCCTCCCTCTTAGGATTATACTGGGCCACTTGGATAAACCAGGGTAATCGCCGTATCTCAGGATCCTTGGCTTAATCACATCTGCAAAACCTCTCTCACCACATTAAGTCACATATTCAAGGGTTCTGGGGATGACAGTGTGATCATTTTTGAGGGGGGACATGATGTAGTCTACCACACTCTATGTAAAACATAAGTATTTTCTGTCACACCTCTGCTGAAGATTTTTCCAACTCTCTTCTTACTGTACTTCAGAAGAAAGTTAGATAACACAGTGCCCTTCAATAACCCACTCTTCCTACTTCTCTAGTAGTTCAAAGTTGCTGTTAAGACCACAGATTCAAAGTCCAGCAGCTCTGAGTTTTTATGAGCAATGAAATCTTGGACAAGTTACTTGACCTAACTTTTGTTTTCTCATCTAGAAGTGAGAGAAGTGACCATCTGTCCCACAGAGTTATTGGTGAGGATTAAATGAGATAAATCATGTAAGTATAGACATAAACTCAGTCCCTGGTACATAAAAAAGGTAATAAATGGTAGTTAGTTATACAAATACTATATCATATTACCATTATTGATTTAGTCAAGTCATCATCTATTGTTGGGCAGCTACTATGTGCCAAGCATTGTTCTATCCACTTGGGATACATCAATAAAAAAGAGACAAAGGTTTCCACTCTTATAGAGTTCACATGCTGATGGGAGATATACACTGAAGAAACAAAGAAATAAATAATACTCCAAGTTAGAGAGTGGTACACATTTTAGAAAAGTTTACAGGAGCAAGGTAAGGAAGACTGGGATGCTGGAGTGGGAGGAGGATATTGGTGCAATTTCAAATGTGGAAGAAGGAGGTCAGTGTATCCCACTGAGTAGGTGACCCACGAGCCAGAGACTGAAGTGGGTGAATGGGTAGCATTCTGGGCAGAAGGAAAAGCAAAATCCTTAGGAGAGGACGATGGTGCATTGCAGGAGCAGCAGGAAAACCTGTGTGGTTCAGTGAGCAAGGACAAGAAGAGGTCAGTCTGAGCAGAAGATGCTACTTAAATCAACTTTTTGGAAAGTGATGAGGGTTCCCAGGGCTTTTTAGGACACAGTAGAGACTCTGGCTTTTACTCTGAATGAAATGGGGAGCCCCGGTGGGGTTTGGAGCAGATGAGCAGCATGAGCTGACTTGGATTGACTGCTGTGTTGGGAATCCACTGCAGGGAGGTGAGGCTGAAGTCAGGGAGACAGGTAGGAAGCTGTGGTTACAATGCAGAAAGATCAATCATACTCCAAACCTCAGCATCAGGTAATGTACCGATGTGATATGATTTGGTTGTGTCCCCACCCAAATCTCATCTTGAATTGTAGCTCCCATAATTCCCACATGTTGTGGGAGGGACCCAGTGGGAGATAATTGAATCATGGGGGTGGTTTCCCCCATACTGTTCTCGTGGTAGTGAATAAGTCTCACGAGATCCCATGATTTTATAAGGGGTTTTCCCTTTTGCTTGGTTCTCATTCTCTGTTGTCTGCTGCCATGTAAAACGTGCCTTTTACCTTCCGCCATGATTGTGAGGCCCCCCAACCATGTGAAACTGTGAGTCAAATCTCTTTTTTCTTCATAAATTACCGAGTCTCAGGTATGTCTCTATCAGCAGCATGAAAACAAACCAATACACCATGTGACAAACTTGCATATGTACCCCCTGATTCTAAAAAAAAGTTAAAAATTTTAAAAAGAGATGGTAATACCTCACACCAGGGTGGTCACAGCAGAGGAACTGAGAAGGGCTCAGATTCCAGATACATTTTGAAGGTAAATCTAATAGAATTTCTTGTTGGATTGGATGTGAGATGTTAAGAGAGAGAAGTGAAAAATACTCTTGCTCTACAATATAGATGAACACTGAAAATATGATACTAAGTGAAAGAAGCCAGACACAAAAGGCCACACATTATATAATTCCATTTATATGAAATGTTCAAAATAGGCAAATCTATGGCTATGGAAAATAGATTAGTGCTTGCCATGGCCAGGGGGATGAACAGAACACAAAATGATTGCTAATGGGTAAAGGGATTAGTTTTTGGAGTGATGAAAAAGTTCTGGAGTTAGATAGTGGTGATGCTTGCACGACATTATGAATGTACTAAAAGCCACTGGGTTGTACACTTTAATTAAAATGGTGAATTTAATGTTCTGTGAATTTCACCTCAATAAAAAAAAGTAACTCATCATATTCTGATTTGAGCAACTGGCAGAATGGAGTGGCCATCGACTGGGGCGGAAAGGCTGTTGGGAGAGCAGACCATACAGGGGTAAGCTAACAGTTTAGCTTTGAACAGTATGAATTATTTTAATTTGAATTTTTATTTTAAGTTCTGAGGTACATGTGCAGGATGTGCAGGTTTCTTACATAGATAAATGTGTGCCATGGTGGTTTCCTGCACCTATCAACCCATCACCTAGGTATTAAGCCCAGTATGCATTAGCTATTTTGTCTAATGCTCTCTTTCTCCCGTTCCAACCCCCAACAGGCCCCAGTGTGTGTTGTTCCCCTCCCTGTGTCCATGTGTTCTCATTGTTCAGCTCCCACTTATAATTGAGAATATGCAGTGTTTGTTTTTTTTCTGTTTCTGTGTTAGTTTGCTGAGGATAATGGCTTCCAGCTCCATCCATGTCCCTTGGACTTTTTGAATTTGAAGAGTCTATTAGGTACACAAATAGAAATGTTGAAAAGATAGTTTGGAATGCATGTTTTGAGTTTGGAAGGGTATTTAGGCTAGAATATCTAGATTTGAGAGCTGTTGGCATGGCTCTGTCTTAGTCAAATTTGTCTTAGTATGTTTTATGCTGCTATAACAAAACCCTTGAGACTGGGTAATTTATAAAGAACAGAAATTTATTTCCTCACAGTCTGTTGGCTGGGAAGTTTAAGATCACAGTGCCAGGAGGTCTGGTTGTCTGGTGCAGGCTGCTCTCTGCTTCCAAGATGGCACCTTGTTGCTGTGTCCTCCAGAAGGGAGGATCCCTGTGTCCTGACATGGTAGAAGGTCTCGAGACTGAATGAAATCACTAAGGCATGACTGCAGAAAGAGGAGAGGACCAAGGATTGTACTCTTGTAAACTCTGAAGTTAAGAACTTACGAAGAAAAATAGGAACCAGCCAAGGAGATTGAGAAAGGGTATCCAGTGAACAGGAATACAGCCAAGAAAGATTATTATTGTCTTCTATCACTCTCCCAAGCTCACCTTCTTGATCATATATGAAGGTCCCAGACAGTGCCATGGTGTGTCGTATCGTAAGGAGGCTTCCTGTATGCTGTTTTCTCTCACTAGAATGTGCTTTCTCCTTTCTCAGCTGGTTAACTCCTTCTCATCCTTCAAGTATCACCACTCGCAAGAAGCCCACCTTTCCCCTCTATCCTGATTTAGAATGCCCCCATCTTTGTGCTTCCACAACATCGCCTTATCTCAGGATCCTTGGCTTAATCACATCCACAAAACCCCTTTTACCATGTTAAGTCACATATTCATGGGTTCTGGGGATTAGGATATGACCATATTTTTGAGGGGGGACGTGATGTAGTCTACAACACTCCATGTAAAACAGAAGTTTGTTCTGTCACACCTCTGCTGAAGACTTTTCCAACTCTCTTCTTGTACTTCAGGAGAAAGTTAGAGAACACAGTGCTTCCACAACCCTGGGCATAATTTACCATAGCCCTTATCCTGCTGAACATGTCATCCAGCTTACATGTCAGTCTCCCCCACAAGACTTGAAGACAAGGGTATGTCGTGATAGCATGCTTAGCACTTAGTCCAGGATTCTGCACGTAGAAAATACATTTAAAAATATCCACTTAATGAAAGACAAATATAGAGATGCCTTACTTCACCCAGTAGGCATGTTCTTAAGAAGTTAAGTGTACGTCAAAGTGCTTAGGAATTTTTTATATTCATAATCCTCTGTTAAACATACTGGGTGGGAATGCTACTTAACTCTATGGAGAGTTATTTTATAAGGCAAAGAATTCTATTATACCACCAAAAAAATCCACCTTCAAATCAGCTGTTATTACAAGCTGTAATTTCTATGCACATATTTGGAATTTATATGCCATTCTACTAAAATTAATTTGAAAGGTTGCTTTTATCTTGTATGTTTACATAAAATTTTAAATATATAATTATATCTAGATGTTTGGGGTAAAAGAAAAATCTGAAAACAACAGCCAGAATATTTGCAAATAAAGTCCCCCATCTTTTTTTTTTTTTTTTTTTTTTTTTTAGACGGAGTCTCGCTCTGTCACCCAGGTTGGAGGGCAGTGGCGTGATCTCGGCTCACTGCAAGCTCCGCCTCCCAGGTTCACGCCATCCTCCTGCCTCAGCCTCCCGCGTAGCTGGGACTACAGGTGCATGCCGCCAGGCCCAGCTAATTTTTTGTATTTTTAGTAGAGATGGGGTTTCACCGTGTTAGATAGGATGGTCTCCATCTCCTGACCTTGTGATCGGCCTGCCTCGGCCTCCCAAAGTGCTGGGATTACAGGCGTGAGCCACTGTGCCCGGCCAAAGTTCCCCATCTTTAAAATGGGGAGCTGGGACTAGCACATGCTGTAATGTCTCCTATGGATGCAAACTGTCAAATGAAGAAAAGTTAAAATTATATACAGGTATTGTAATGAGAATCAAAACATTGTGTTCAAGACTTTGCATTAAAAAAAAAAAAAGACGCCTACAAAACTTTTTATCACATGAGGGAGATTCTCTCTCAACTTTAAGAAGTTTCATAATCTTATTAAAGGAAACATAAACTCTGACCCCTCAGTCATGCTTAGAAAAAGTAATTCCATATGTTTATTACATTAGGAAAGGTAATTATGTCAGAAGCCAAACATGCACTAAACAGACAAACTCCAATAGAAAGCCACCTCATGATCACTTCTTTTTCCTATGCATTAATCTGTGACCATGAGAGAAGATCCCACACAAGGCAGAGCTGGTGACTTATGTGACTAAGAAGGGATCAAAATGTTGGATTTGCCTTTCAAACAAAAAATAAAACTACAGGGGGGATTGCAACAAAATCCTTTTAAGCATGGCCTGGCATTGCCTCAGTACCTGCTAGCAAGCCTTCCAGATGCCCTGGGCTTCCAGGCCCATTCTCCTGTTTCTACTTTGCTACCTTTGACGTCTGAGGAGTGTTTGGCAAGAGAAAGACAGTTTCACAACTCGGGATTTTCGTCTAGATTTGCTCCGAGCAGAGCTCAGTTACAGGCTGACTCTGAGAGTATTCTGCACTTCTTTCCGCCTCTTGAGATTTACCAAACATCATTCAATGAGGAATCGGCCAGCTAAGCCCAAAGCACCTCGCAAGAGTGTTAGGTTACCGCCTCAGTGCTTACCGAGTGGGACCTGGCGTAATCTTTCTCAATAGAAAGCTTGTCTTTCTGACAGACGGTAAGAGAGAGTTCTAACAGGAACAAAAGGAGAACACCCTGCAGAATCAGCCTGAGTGATCTCCCGCCTCCTGAACACCTCGCTCAGGCCTGGGCCGCGTGCGCCACACACAGCAGCCAGGATGCCCAATTGCGCTGCCACTAGAGGAGCTGTTTGTACTTGTCAATCATTGGACTAAACTGGCAGAAAACTGCTGCAGGCCAACCCATTCACAAATATGTCTTCTCCTGAGCAAAAACATGCAATGTGATGTCATCTTCTTAGAGCAGCTATCCTTCAGGGCTTGCAAAGAATGAGAGGCTTGCGCCTGTAGTGGGCTTGTGCACAGACTAAGCCTATGCGCTGAAGAACACATCTGAGGAAACTTTTTCCTTAATGTTGAAGACGAACTTGCTTAACCCCTCTGACCCACATCTCTCACTAGATTTCAGGCTCCGAGTCTGTCAGTTAATTTTCCTGTCAAGCGTATTTTTTTTCCTATACAGCATGTGTATAAACAATGAGCAAAATATACAGCTGTCAGGAAAACATATGTGAAAACATGTCATTAGAAACACTCTTCAGGCCGGAGCGTAGCCCTGAAACTTGATAACCTGTCTGGAGCGCTTCAGAGCAGCGGTCACACGCTTTTGTGACATGGAAATTTAGCTGTCCTGTCATCCTGGGAGATTTCCAGATTGAAACCAATCATCACGAAAAATTGGGTCTAGTTTTAGAGCTTCAGTGTTATTATGCTTACCTCTCCTGCAGCCTCTGCTCTAAAATTCATGCTTTTCTAAAACTGAAGATAGATAGACAGACAGACAGACAGACAGACAGACAGACAGATAGATAGATAGATAGATAGATAGATAGATAGATTTTTGTAGAGACAAGATTTCTCTACGTTCCCCAGGCTTGGTCTCCAACTCCTGGGCTCAAGCGATCCGCCCACCTCGGCCTCCAAAAGGTCTAAGATTCCAGGCATGAGCCACAGCGCCCGGCTCCCGAAACTGAATTTTAATGCATGTTGCCTCATCAACAAGGAGCATAAACCACACCTTACACAATCATTTCTTCCATCTCCTAGCACATGAGCTCCATGAGGGCAAGAACTTAACTCAGTGCCTGGCAAAGGTTAGGGCTGTACTTTTTAGTTAATAAATGCATACATCATACTAACTTAAGTCAACCTTGAAATATGTCTCACGGTTTCAACATTCCAAGAGTTTATTCATGAGAGAGCCGCAGGACTACTGCAAGCTTTTAACACGCATCTGGCAGTATCACTAAATTGCTGGGACTCCCATGAATTCTTGACTCTCCAGCTAGAATTCCCACTCTTCACAGAAGGATCTAGGCTTCGTGTGTCTTTTTTTAAACCCCTCAGAGCCTAACACTAGCTGCAACCAATTCTGGTGTTGGCTAGGAGGCAATATTTCACCTCCAAAATGTTATGAATGATGAATAAATTATGAATTCAGTCACATTTATTTTAGGTTGGGATAACCTTTATCTCCATGCAAGAAAGTTGTATAGAAAGAAATTAATGAAAACAAGAACAACCAAAGTAAATAATTGATACTTGTTTTTAACTTGTTTAAATTTGTTTTTAACAAATTTATACTTGGCAAATGGGTTGCTTCTCTATTTTACCCCAAAGTAATAAAATAGAATTTCCCTTAAAAATATGCAATAAAATGTACTTTTCAGTCATTTCTATTGCTCTTTTTTCCTGTTAGTCTCAACTGGTGAATTCTTTGCTACAAGAAAAAAAGGCTTCAAGGACCATAACTATTAGTCTTTTGATAACCTGCGTTTGACAGTGGATTTAAAGTATTTATGGGTACAGGTAAATATCATAATAGCAGTTGCAACTCTTATTTGAACAATCTGAAAATAATTTTTATGTTCATTTTTGTCCTAGGAAAATAACCATAGAGTTTACTCTTTCTAAAAGAAATGGAACAAATGACTTTCTTTTCTAATTCATCCAGAAATCTTTCTTTCCATCAGTATACCACTTAAAATGTAATATCCAGTACAGATTATGTCACTGTAAATACATCTATAAAGTCATGATGCTGTATTTAAAAAAAAAAACAACAGAACTTAGATATTCCTAACAGATCTAATTCTTTAGGGCAGTCAGCTTGGAAGGAAATCCTTAATTTTTTTGTTCATTCTACCCTAACAACCCAGGAACTGGTCACTATTGAATAGTATGTAATATATGTGATATAATAATATATCTAACCCATAGCACTTATCATATCTTATGTGATGTATTTCATGTATTTCTTCTGTCTCCTCCATTTCCCCCACCCAAAGTGGATTGAGCACTCATCAAAGAACAGAGTGAAATAGTGGCCGGGCGCGGTGGCTCACGCCTGTAATCCTAGCACTTTGGGAGGCCGAGGTGAGTGGATTGTCTAAGCTCAGGAATTCGAGACCAGCCTGGGCAACATGGTGAAACCCCGTCTCTACTAAAATACAAAAAAAGTAGCCGGGTGTGGTGGCGTACGCCTGTAGTCCCAGTTATTTGGGAGGCTGAGGCAGGAGAATTGCTAGAACCTGGGAGGCGGAGGTTGCAGTGAGCTGAGATCATGCCACTGCACTCCAGCCTGGGTGACAGAGCGAGACTCCAACTCAAAAAAAAAAAAAAAAAAAAAAGCAGAGCTAACTGTGTCTTACTCACCTTCTTTATTCCAAGCACCTAATATTGCATTAGAGTAATAATAATAGGCCCTCAATAAATATCTGATGACTAAACAAGCAAGTGAATAAACTAGAGTGATTCAATTAATGCTAAAAAGATATTTTCTGAAACTTCTTTCTAAACTACCTTCCAGAACCATTTTTGCAAGGCATCCAAGAAAACGCTTCTCATGACTTCTTAGTGGCACCTCATGGGTAAATTAAAATTATATTTCATGCTTCATTCAAGAGACATGATTGGGAGGTTTCCACAGTGGAATTTACCTTTACACATAAAAGGATGAAAGTAATTGAGAATATTCAATAAACCATGCTTCAGGATCTAAAGGCAGCCTTGGCACCAGAATCCACCTTCCCAAGGGACAACCATGATGTAGGCCCTACTAATCTTTATGATTTTCATCATCATTTTATCTCTACACCTAATAGGAAAAAATGCTTACCATTATTCTGAAATTAGCTGAACTCAGCAGTGACCAAGCCACACTATGTTGTTCATGGAAAATACAAGCACAGCCAAAAACACTAATGGAGCAATATGTGTGTGTTCATGTCAGCTCACCTCTGACTCTAAGAGAAAGTACTGAGAACTTATAGGTGATTAATCCATCCCCATTCATGAACAATACAATTTTAAAAATCCACGTTAACCTCAGCAGCAGAGTTTTCATATTGAGCTAGAATTCCCTGTGTGTCTCAAATAAGGGGGTTATGTCTCAATTCCATCGCAGCCCTTGGCAGGAATACCTTTTCAGGGAATTCAGGAATAGGCAAACCCAGCTCACTGCTAAGAAAAAGTCCCCTATGTGGTACCAGTCTGAGCCCAAGGATTTTCATAGAACATGACAGCGGTTTATAGAGAATTATACAGAGAGTTCATAGAGAAGTAGAGCAGAGTGTAACCTAATAGACCACATTAGCATATATTTTGTGTGTATAATATACACCTGCATATTAGATTATACCCTAATCTAATATATTAATGACAGAGGTCAAACTGAAACTGCTAAGAGGAAAAAAACTGGCTTTCTAATGAAACCCAATATAAAATCAACCAAAGATGACAGAACACAAGCCCATCTACACACATGTACACATATCTCTGTACACACACATAGACACACACAGACACACACACACACAATCCCACAGGGGCTATACCTGACTCATATGATGGATATCTCTACATCTTGACTCCTTGAATTTTTTTTTTTTTTTTTGAGATGGAGTCTCGCTCTGTTGCCCAAGCTGGAGTGCAATGTCATGATCTCAGCTCACTGTAAATTCTGCCTCCCGGGTTCAGGCAATTCTCCTGTCTCAGCCTTCTGAGTAACTGGGATTACAGGCGCCCAGCTAGTTTTTATATTTTTAGTAGAGATGGGATTTCACCATGTTGGCCAGGCTAGTCTCAAACTCCTGACCTCAAGTGATCTGCCCACCTCGGTCTCCAAAAGTGCTGGGATTACAGGCGTGAGCCACTGCACCCGGCCCCCTTGAATTTTTAAGACCACATTTAGAGGCTGAAGGGAGGATGTGACTAATATTTCTGCAGTGTCAGAGACCTTGTTAGGCAAGTCATTAACACAAAATCATGTTTACCTTACAATATTAAAAAATGTTGAATCTGGCCTCTGTAATCTTTGCTTATACTGTCCCCATAATGTGGAATATTCTTTTCCTTCCTCTTCACTGAGGTAATGCCTGACCTTCTTTTAAGATCTGGCATTCAAATCCCAAGCATCACCCTCTAGAGAGCATTCCCTGACATGCCACCACCCTCCAGGGTGGGGTTAGGTACTCATCACCTGTACTCCCATAATGCGTCTCTCTATCCCAGCACTCACCACTCTAGACCCTAATGATCTGCTCCTGGGCCTTCCTCCTCTGTTGAACTGTCATCAGGAATTTTTGGCCTATTCATCTTTGCATCAAGTATTATGCCTGGCACTTGAAGGGAGTTCAAGAAATGTTTGTTGATACGGTTTGTCTCTGTGTCTCCACCCAAATCTCACCTTGAATTGTAATAATCCCCACATGTCAAGGGCAGGACTAAGTGGAGATAATTGAACCATGGGGATGGTTCACCTCATCCATGCTGTTCTTGTGATACTGAGTGATGGTTTTCTAAGGGGCTTCCCCCTTTGCTCAGCACTTCTTCCTTCTGCCATGTGAAGAGGGATGTGTTTGCTTTCCTTTCTTCCATGAATGTAAGTTTCCTGAGGCCTCCCCAGCCATGCTGAATTGTGAGTCAATTAAACCTCTTTTGTTTATAAATTGCCCAGTCTCAAGGATGTCTTTATTAGCAGTGTGAGAATGGACTAATACATTTGTATAATAAATAAATGGATTAATTTATTGATTCATTTAATATCATCAGTATCTCTGGTATTATTTTTCCTGACTGAAGGGAGAGGAAACTGAGGTTCCAGAATTGTTTAACTTGCCCAAGTTCACATAGTTCATAAGGCAGAGTCAGAATTCACATTCTGAAATAATTATACAGGCAATCATTTTTCTTTTGCACCAGATTAAGAGATTGGAAGGAAAGATGAAGAGAGTTAACTCTTATAAATTATCACAAGTAGCATGAGGCACTGATCTCAAAGAGAGAGACCCACACAGTCAAAGCCTCTTCAAAGAGGAGGCTCTATTTCCCTTATCAATTCTCCTCCCAGAAATGCTTGGCACCTTTAGCTAACGTTTGATGTTGACAGTCTGAGGCAACTGAACATACAGTCAATAGTAAGCAGGAGTTCAGACTTCCAAGAAAACCAAACCCAATTATTGTAAAAAGAAAAAGAAGGCTTTCTGGGTTTCTTTAATATCCAGGTGTTATTTTATTTAGCCACAGAGTACAACGTCCCATTCCTAAGGTATTCTGATGTAAAAGTTAATACCAACATATTCATGTTTCAAGACAGTAAAGACATTTCTGTCTCCTTATTTTCTCCAAAATTACCCCAAACTGTAAGCAGGATGAGAAACAGAAACACAAACTTGCTATTGAAGCTAAATTCAATAGCATTAGGAAACGCCTATAACCTTATGCTGTAATACACAAATGCAGAAACAAGACGGACCAACAGGGTGCAGGAGGGTCAAAATAATGCCTCAATGGCACTATCAATGAGAAGCAAGCTAAGTCACCATGTTAAACTCTGGAAATATTCAGACACTGGAAACACCAAGATGGCACAGGTAAGGAGAGAGGCTGAAAACAGGGATTATTTGAAGTCTGTGTTAGAGTCAGTTATAACTCGACGTTCCGTCTTTACCTGCTGACAACCCTTCCCCCACCGGAGGTAGGTGGTATGGTCTCTGGAGAAATGGAACTCAAGAGACTCCTGAAACAAAGACACAGACACTGAGATGGACATCAGACTAAATATTGAACAGTGTTTACTCCGAGCTCCCTTTCCCACCCACCTCTCAACACCAGCTGCCAAGCTTAAAAGCCTTAGGCAGGAAATTGGAAGATTCTCTTCAGAGGTACCATACCATTGAGAAGATCTATAGATACATTTGAGTCACATATGAAAGATCAGTTAGCAACTAGATGCTATTACAGGGAAGCAGCACCTATACACAATTACAATCAACTTTTTGGTAGGCTACTTTTTACATATTAAAAGGCAGCCAAGAATCACTAAACACTTGAGAAAAGCTTCCAAGAGGAACAAGAGAGACACAAAACAAATAAATATAAGGGAATTCAGAGATTCTCTAGGAAGGAAATTTCAAAGAAATATTGAAACAAGAACAGGTTGCTACGTAAGGGGAATAAACAGGGAATAAAGACTTCTTGAATATTAAAAATAGCTAAATATTTTTAGTCAGCAAAAAATTAAAATGTCAGGTAAAAAAGTCTCCCCAAGAGTAGAATAAAAAAAAAAAGATACATAATAGAAAAGATGAGATAGAGACTTTATTCAGGAAGTCCAATTTCCAGAAAGGGAAATCCCAGAAAGAGAGAATAGAGAAGATGACAGAAAGAAAATTACAAAGAAATAATATGAGAAAAATTTCCCAGACTCCAGATTGGAAGGGCTTACTGAGTGCCCAGTGCAATAAACAAAAAAATACCCATCAAGGCATATTTTCATGAATTCGCCAGGATACTAGCAATAAAGAGATCTTAAAAGCTTCCAGAAAGGAAAACAGACACAAACAAAGGACTAGGAAACAGAATGACATCAGGCTTTTTAATACCAGTATTAGAAGCAATTTTAGGCCTGAAAATGCTGGGTGAAAAAAAATTTTAAGAATCCTATATCTCGGCAAACCATAAATCAAGTGCAAGAAAGAAACACAGATAATTTAAGATATACAAGTCTCAACAAAGTGTCTTACCCATAGACTTTTTTTCCCCAAATGTTACCAGAGGATACAATTCACCAAAATGAGGGAGTAAAGCCAAGAGAGGAGAAATGGGATCGGGAAAACAAATGATGCAACAGGTAACACCTGGGCAACAGGCCCAGAGAGTGACAGTTGTTTTTGGAGTGGGAAATGAAATAATTATTAACTGTAGAAAGAAAAAAACTTCTTAAATAACAGGAAAAAGAGTCATGATATATTACTTGGCATAGCTGATGTGTATATCACTAAATATAAATTTAATCCCAAATTCTGATACTGTTGTCCATAATGCCAGGTTCTGTAGGACACAGTAGTAGTGCTGGTCACCACAAGCCAACAACAGGATGACTAGGGAGAGAATATGGAGACAGCCTTGAAGCTCTTGAGCCTTTGGTTACACTTCCTTTAACAAGGCTTACTAAATATTCTTTGCATACATTGACAAGTAAATCAATGAGTCTTAGAATTGAATCAACTATATGTGCATTTCCCTTTCTGCCAAAGACACAGTTTCATTAAGTATGCAAACATCAGACATGCAGAATGAAAGATGATTTGTAGAAACTCTCAACATCCTGAAGTTTATTTCAGTTGTTACACTTTTTTGTTATACTTTTTTGGCATGCCATCCAGTTTCTTTAGCTTCTAAAAAAATAGGGAGAGCTATGCTTTATTAAGGGTGTATTTTGAGCCACTTTACAAATATCTATTTTTATCCTTATTCACCATCTTACAAAGTAGAAAATTATGACTATACATACATTAATTTAAAATAAATCGGTTGAAATAAAAAATTAGTCAAATGATTAATTAGGTAAAAATGAATATTTCCAGATACATAGAATTTTTGTTTGTATTAGTCATCTTGGTGCATATTAAGCTGTTTTGGTACTCTTTATAAATTTTTATGCATTTTTGCAGGTTTTTTAATTTGGAGAGCAACCCAAAATATTATGGATATTTCTGGATTTTGGTTCACTTTTCAGATCTTTGATTTTTTTTTTTTACATATTTGATTTACCTTTAGCCAGTTCTGTCCACTCTGTCTGGCAATAATTTTTGCTTTACATTTTTATCTCCAGCTCTACATGAACTAACTGAAAGTAAAATGGTCCAGAATTTCTTGTTTCTGATCAGTAATTCACATATTGATGATGTCTGTGTATCCTGGTATGACTTTTCTGATTTTTAATTATAATTTTTAATTTTAATTAATTTTTGTTTAGATAGTTTATCCCTTTCTAAGTACCTTGCTTTTTAAAAAGTGTAAACATATTTTGCAACAGTCACACCACTTCTGCCTTATTAGTAACTGTGAAACAAAGGACCTGCACTACGTAAATGCATATTAGTGAATGTGAGTAAAAGGTACAACAATGTCTACTGGGATGAGCAAATAATGATAAACCGTCTAGGCAAATATTTATCAACTTTTTATTCTACATTCAATTTAAAAAAATAACATTTTAGTGACCAACTAAGGAATAGCCAACAAAAATTGCACGCAAAAAGTAAACATGAAATAAGACATTGTGCAATAAATTTTGTGGAAATAATGACTAACGAGGCAAAAATAGGCATTACTCACAGCTTTACCACTATTGATTTCTCTTTATAGTTCTTTTGGCTTTATTTTATCTTCTATTTCTATTATCTTTTACCTTTTACTAATATCATCAATTTTCATAAATGGCTAAAATTGCATTAGAAATAGTTTTTAAATCTCAAAAGCTAACAGAGAAAGTATTAAGGTACATTAAAAGTTGTTAAATCATCCCAGAAGTCACAAAACACAAATTTGTAAACAAACGCTTTTAAAACAAAACAAAAATGCTTGTAAGGTGCGTTAAAACAAATGCTTTTAAAACAAAACAAAAATGCTTTTATGGTGCATTAAAAGTTGCAAATAACAAATGCAACAATTGGAGGCAGAAAATACCAATATTCAACCAACTGTCATTTTCACAAGTTAATCTTTCAACTTGTGACAATATTCAACTTGAATACTGAAATGACAATATTCAACTTGTCATTTTCACAAGTTAATCTGAAAGTAAATAATCTGTTTCTGTTGCTTTTGTGATGGTCATGTTACCTTGAGCAAACCAGATGAGGGGTTAACACACAGCTGGCTAATAAGAGGCAGAACTGGGAGGTGCATCCAGGCCCGCTGACTCCCAGGCTCCCTGGGATGGGTCTCCCTTATTGGGCTCTGTCTCCTGGCCTTCTGTTTTTTCCTGATTGATACCCTTTATACCTGATTCCAAATGGTTTGTTGGGTGAAAATAAAGAGAAAAAAAATCTCATGTCTAGTATTTCATTTTCCCTTAGCAGTTTTAAAAATTGATATTAGGGGAAATCAAAATCAGTAGTTAAAATAAGACTGAGATTCTAGATGAATTTCACAAATATTTCACATATTCCTGATCCTGAACCATCAAGAGTTGACTCTTCTGGCAAATATGACCCCCAAAAAGTACACTGGATTCCGAACAACACCTTTCTTTGCAGCAAAGACCAGGCATAAACAGGGAGTATCTCGGACATGTGTCTTCTTTGTATGTGGTTTCAAACTGGAATAGGGGTTTCTCTGCCAAAAATTTCCAGGCTGTTGCTGTGTTTTTCGGCCCCCCTTCTTGACTTATCAAATCAGAAAGAAGATTTTTAAAACAGGCAAGGTATTTTAATCCACAGCAGTTCATTTCTCTAACGTTTTAGCTATCTAAAGGATGTGAATACAAAACACAGTATATAGTCAGTATGACAGCATGTGCTTGCCAGAGAGATGAAGCTCTTAACTAAAACAGACAAAGCCAGATATAAATACTTAAATTAAAACAGGAATATTTTAAAACAAAGTAAGTTGGATTTGTGGCTTAGTTTCTTTCATTCTTTCTTTTTTCCCCTCTCTTAAAAAATTAAGTATGTAAGTTTGTTTATAATGCTAGTAAGCAAACCTCAGTTGGAAATTCATTATTATTTGATTAATCAGATTATCTTTTTTAAACATCATCACTTAGAAACATTTAAACTGGGGACAGGTAAGGGAGAAGTATGAGAGAATGAAACAATGTCATTCATATTATATATATTATCTCCTTTAATCCTTACCACAATCCTGTGAAAAGGACATTACCCTGCCCATTTTATAGATGGAGTGGGAAAATGTAGGCTCAGAGAAACTAAGTGGTTCACTCAAGGTCACATAGATAGTAAATGTCCGAATAAATTTTGATATTTATTCTGTCTGTTAAAAGCTTCTATCCAGCATGAAGCACTGCCTCCCAAAGGAGGAAAAGACTCTCAAACACATTATTAAGGTTTCTGAAAAACTATTAACTGGAAGGGAAGCTCGTGTTAAAAGCAGTGAATGAAGACTAAAGGTCACTTATTTCTCTGTAAAGGCTGCGATCTCTCCAAATGCATGTCTTTTTCTGAGCTGACCCCACTAAGCGGGAGGAAACGTAGGAACCAGCGCTGCTTCCCCCAACTTGAAATCCATCTCAAGGATATTGACTGGTTCCTGCATCACCCTCCCATGAGCTTTCAAAACGTTAAACAAACATGGTCACCTCCAACAAATCACCTCTCCTGTCTAGTGCACAGAAGACGATGCCTTGTGTGTAGATTTGCTCGTAGCTTTGATTTGCCCAATTCTGGCAGCTCACCTCACCAGTCCTAACTCTCAGTCGTAAGAAGTTAGTGCACTGGGGCTGAGGGGCTGCTGGCTCGAGTTTAGGATCTGCCGTTTGGCTTCTCTTTCCTTGACTGCTGTGCATTTCGAATCAGGCAGGCATGGGATACAAATCAGCTTACATATCTGTGCCCAAAAATAGGCTCAAAGAAAAAGTCATCTTTTGTTTAATCTGTGGGCAGTTTGTGGGAGTCATCCTTAAGAAGGTCGCACACACATACAGAGAAAAACTTGAAAGGGACTTTTATTCTAACAAATAGAGAAAGAAAAAAGGGCAGACAGAAAAACCAGGGGACAGGAATGGCGTGGCTTCTCACAAGATAGCACTGGTTTTATTTTTCAAATCACAGAGTATGACAAAGAATGGCCGAAACTGCTACTGTGAGCTTGAGGGAATAGATACCTTTTGTCTTCTTGTTCTTTTTTTCAATTTGTGAGAGCAGCTATTGTGCTGTTGTTTTTAGCTGGCCAGGGCCTGCAAGGGAGCCCTTCCCTCTGCTGGTGACGCTGTTTCTCTCACAGGTGTGTTAGTCTTTGGGGGACTCTCATCTAAAACTCAAGGGCATTCCCTGGATTGGTCTTTCAAGCCCTCTTGACCTTAGGGAGTATCTTATTCACTCAGCTCAGTCTGCACTGTTACATTTTAGAGAATAAAGAGTCCCCTGGAAGTATTAAAAGTGCACATTTATGTGCTGGTCCCCTCTGTAAACTCAATCAGATTTAGCTCTGAAAACATAACTCAAAAACAGTTAACTTCAGTAACAAGAAGTTACTGAATATAATATTCCAGGACCAAATAATAAGTCTCATTTTTCCCCCTACAGAACAACTCTCATTTTCCCCCCCAACATAAATTCTGTAATAACATGATTATGCATACGTGTGTATACAGCACCTATTTTTCCTTACCATTCTTGGTCTTCCAGAAAACCATATATCACTGTTATTTATAAAACTGACATAGTACTAATATAGTAATAAAAATTAATAATTTTCAATTCCATACATTTATCAAAGATACATAGATTAATACTAAATTTCCTAGAGACTCCTGATTTAATGTACTCTCTTCCAATGTACGATTATAGCTCATCAACTATGGTTCAAACACAATTGGATTCAGAAAATGTGGTCACTCTATATGGAATGCCAGCTGAAGCTCTCTAAGCAGCTATAAGACCATAGGTTGCCCAAGTAGGCAAAATGTTAAGATTATCACGGTATGAACAAAGTGGTCACTCTTTATCTGCCAAGAGGTGCTGGAGAAGGCCAGCCCCAGAGACCAAAGACAGAAAGGACTGCAGGGTCTGTCCTTGCCCCTTGAGTTCGCCCTGTCTGGAATGGATTTCCATCTTGAAAGTGAGGCATCCAGGTTAGTTCAGGGGCAACAGATACATGAAAGAGACCATGTTCTTGGCTCTGTTAACCTTTCATAGTGGGTTCACAGGGACCCAGTGCCAGGGCACACAGAGGGCACGGCTGGAAAGAGCTATTCCCAGAAAGCTATTGATTCATATAAAGTGAATCTACAGGAAAACAGCCTTCTCCTCACTTTTGTATATCACGTAGCCCTTGGTTCACCTGGCCTGGAACCCCCAGCTTACTACAGTTTTGTGAAAACGACATTATGGACACCCTGGACAACTGTTCCATGGCATCCGGTGCCCAACAACTCTCTCTCTCCTTTTATCTAATTAACAACTAATAGAAAGGGGACCCAAGCCAACATATGAATCCGTCACGTGACATCAAACAGGAAGCCTCATCTCCTTCCTCACCTTATTTTGCCAGTTAATATCTACAATGCATTTCAAAATCTATAAAAAAGATGTTATCAATAAACCAAACATATTTATCATTAATCCAAAATAGATCAAGCATAGTACTGAGAATGAAGCATATTTTTTAATTCTGGCTCTGGGATCAAACAATAATTCATAGAGAAAGAGATCCCCAAACACCTGCTCCCTTTTGCCACAGCCAGGGGTATAATGAGATAGCAAGCAGGCGTGTAAGGCCCAGGAAGCCACAGATATTCCTGTCTGCCCAGCTCTTCGAAACGGCCACTTGCTGTAGGAAATCCTCAGAGACATTTTCTAGACTCTGAAGTCTCCTTGGAAATCAAAAGTTTGGTTTTCCAAATTTGGAAGTAGCCAGAAGCAGCAAGGCAAGCTTCTGCATAAGAAAAGAGATTTCCCAGGGAGATCTGCTGGGGAAGAGCGTGAGGACAGTTTTGAGGTCTTTGGAGAATGATGAAGCCAAATAAAGACAAAATCCTAAGTAGGATTCCAACACTCTAGCTAGGGGGCAGTATCCCTGGTTGCTCCTTTTGCCTCACATTCCTGCATAGCTCTGCAGGGCACTGCAAGTGTCTGGTCCATATTTAAAATCTTGACATTTTCTTCATCTTGGAATTTTGTGTTAATTTTGATTATTTAAAATATTGCAGTAAGATATTCTTTATCTTGTTTACTGAGTTTTTGACCCCCTCCTTGTAGGTTGCACCCAAAGCAAGTGCCTCACTCACTTCGCCCTGCACCTGAAGCCCTCCCTTTAAAGAATGTTTGTTGACCCCTGGCTAGAACATAAAGGAGGCCAACCGAGTTGTCCTTCTAGTGAGAAATAAAATCAGTAGTCACTGAAACTAAGCTCAAAGGAAAGGCAAAGAAAAATGGAAGCATAGTATGTCTTTTAACATCAGCACGATATTGTGGTTAAGACATTGCCAGTTGAGTCAAATAGAAGGGCAAAAGAGTCTCTCCCACTAGGTTCTGTAGCCATCGGCTTGGTTTTCACCTGGGAAAAAAACAGGCCTAGTGGAATGCATGAGCGAGTAATCAAGGTAGCATGAATATTCTGCAGCACATCAAGTGTGATACTCTCAGGCACAATCACAGTTAGCTATGGCCTCCTCAACCAAGCCCAATGCACTAACCCTCCCAGAAGGCCTCACACATCCCACTGGATTTCCATGAACCACTAAGCCTCTAGAGGCAGGGACATATTTGCCATATTATTGGTACTAAATTATTATGAAAGAAAGAGAGGAAGGGAAGAAGGGAGGAAGGGAAGAAGGAAGGAAGGAAGGAAGGAAAGAAAGGAAGGAAGGAAGGAAGGAAGGAAGGAAGGAAGGAAGGAGGGAGGGAGGGAGGGAGGGAAGAAAAGAAAAATTAAAGACAACAGGCTCTGCAGACAGAAGCCCTGGGCACTAATCCCACCTTGTGTGACCTTCAGGAACTCTCTGAAGTTCAGTTTCCTCATCTGTAAGATGGAGAGGAGAACAATAACTATTTCACAGGGTTTAGGAGAGGATCAAATGATAAACTGCTCCTGAAAGTGTTTCATAAAATGTAAGAATGTAGTTTAACAAAAGACTGTATTGGTTTAAGTGCTACTGAGAAAAATGCTGTATGGTCTGGAGGGTATTTTTGGAGGAAGTGAAAGTCTTTGGAGCCAAAATAAAAACAGTGAGGGAAGGTCATGAATGATTAAGGGAGGTGATTGTCTGTTACTGTCTATGGAAAACAGAAATCAAAACATAATTCCCCAAAAACAGAGAAATGAAGCTTTCAAGTATTGAAAAAAAAAAAAAACCATGGCAAGAGACCATGGTCCTCGTTCCTGCATAATGTGAATATGTTTCAGATTATAGGTCTAGTTTACTCAGGGCACAGTCAGAATCCCCCAAAAGCCATCATTTTCTCTGTTGAATGCTTTTCCAAATATGTAGTATTCAAAATAAATGGTCAGATGCCACACACACCACACACAAAAAAGGAGAGTGCTCGTGTTTTTAATAGCTTGTGAAATGCAGCCATGGGCCTGCTGGTTGGGGTTGAAAGGAAGTAGCCCATAAACAACTCCATCAAGCGTGACAGAGCATGTTTGAGCTCAGCTTCACACAAAGAAAATTATTCCACAGTTCCAAGTGCCTGGGACCCTCAAGCAAGATCACATCCTACTGGTAGAGACATAAGGTGCTTCAAGGAAGCTGCAATGATACCTTGTAGCCCCAGCCTGAGGACTGAGGTGTGAGATTTAAGATTTATAAGAAACGTGGGATCTATGGATTGCTTACTTACAAAACTGATAAAAAGCTTTACTGACAGTTTTATAATGTTAGAGTTTGAATGGAAGCTTACTGTGTAGGGAAACAATTTCAATTTAATTTGTTTTTGACCAATTAAATGTTCATAGGAAAAGATATGTCTCTTTGGGAGGGTAGGGGGAGTCATTCACTTAGATTCCTTCTCCTTGTACACAGAATTACCTCTCAAAGTTGTTACAGAATCTATTCAAATGAGTCGTTAGATCCCCTAATGAGATCTAATTCAATATATATTCAAGTAGACAGAATGAAAAGCCAAGATCTGTGTTTCATTCTTAATCCTTTCAGTTACTGCTGTCTGAGTATGTCTAAGTCCTTCAACATCTCTTCATCTCAGCCACCACCTCGGATAAGTGGGAGCCATGGTTCTCAGCCTCTGGAATGAGTCAACCTGGCTTAATACCAGGTGATGGCTCCTCTCTACCCTCAAAGGTGCATGAGAGCCATCTTGTCCCTACTATATGCCCCCACACTCTGGTCCAATGAGACCCAAGCTAGGGAAATCAGTTTCTACACATTTTCTATCAGATCTACGAGAGTCATTTTCTGCCACCTGGATAGGTAAACGGGCAAGACTGTTCCTCAGGAAAGAACAGACCATTTGACTACAATTGCCCAGGAGAGGTAGAGAAAAGACACCAAGAGGACAGAGATTTGGAGGCTCTCAGTGTCCCAGTTGTAGGATCCTTTTCTGAAGCTCAGCTGCCTCCCAGGTTCTTAGAACTCATGATGTGCTGCCAACATGAAATCAATAAAAGCCCCTAACTTGAATATAAGCTTGCTTAGGTCAGGTTAGATTTTCATAATTGCAGCCTGAAGAGCCCCAACTAACATAGTTCTGTAATATAAACCCTAAAACTAAATTAGGTAGTATTTGTGATGTCTAGCCCTATGTTCCTTACCACCACCACCTCTCTTTCTCTGTTTGTTGAATAAATCAGATTTATAGATGAGAAGACTGGAGAAAACCATAGGGAACATCTGATCACATTCCACTTATAGATGCAGAACCAGAGAGGTTAAGTGACTTGCTCAAAACCAGCTTGTTTACAGTGGAAAATTCCAGAAGCTTTCTATTACAGCCACAATATTTTAGGCAAACGTCTTACAGGTTTTCTATTTTTCTCTCTGCCTCTCTCTTTCTCATTGGGTAACCCTTGTTTCAATGTGCTCTGAGAGTGTGCTCTAAGAAACCTAATCTAGGAATTTAAGAGGTTGGGACAGAAATCCTATGCTACAAGTCCAGATACCACAGGGAGACAGTGCTTGGGGTAGAAACATGGTTTGCATGTCGGACTGCCTGGGTTCAAACCCAGCCCTACCACTCAGGAGCTACGTGAGCTTGGCAAGTTAAACTCATTTGAACTACATTTTTTCATCCCAAAATGGGGATGACAATGCCTGTCTCATAGGGTTGATGCCTGGTACCCCATCACATAATGTTGGCTATTACTTTTATTAAAGGGCAGACCATTTCAGCAGACAGAGAGAAAACTGCCACATACAAGACCTTTCAGCCTCATTGGTTATACCTTTTCAACAATACCCTCTGCCAAGCCTGAGAGAAGCATTACCTACCCACATGGTAAGAAAATAAAGCAGACACATTAGAGATTATGGGGAGCTTAAAAAGCCACATGCGAGACATTTACAATACACCCAACTGCTCCAAACAGATGTGTACCAGAATAGGTTTCGTTGTGCTTTTTAACTTACTCTCCTGATTTCTGCCTCCAGGTGACTGGGACACTCATTCACAGCTTGGAGCCAAACACTTTCACATAGATGCTCAGAAATACTCCACTTACTTCACGGCATTGCTATTTTAACTATTTGAGAAATTTATCTTTCATTTTGCCCATCCCTCGGGTCTTCACTTCTAACCTCAAACAAAAGCTCTCAGGCACTCCTTTCCTCCCTGACACTGACAGAGAAAGTAATTTAGCAAAGCGGATATTTACTTAAGTGACTGGGTGTTGATTTAAACGCTAGTGATAAATTTGTTGATCTTGCTCTAAAGGCTGTTATTCTTGGTAATGTAATTGTCATGGATCATAACTACAAGACAAAGTATAGCTTCAGCCCTCCTGCTTGTTGCCAGAGGATGGAATGTCAAGTGATGTTTTGACTATGGAGCATTTCCTGGAGAACGGAGAACAATAGACCCGTCTCAAGACGGGATTAAACACATAAGAAAACATGTCTTGAAATTGGTGGAAACATGGATCTACCAAGGAGTTATAAGACAGTATTTCTTTCATTCCTTTCTTTTGTAGCACTAAACAGCATTTAATTAATGATATTCAATGGCACCCCACTGCCTTCTGAAAATACTTTGCCTTCCTTTTCCTGTTCCACTAACCCACCACATTTTCTTACCTGTCTCTTTGCCCATGCTCTTTCCTCTCCCTCAAATCCTTTTCTTTTCTCATTTACTACACCAAGATCTAGCAGATAATTCCTTTTTTTTTCTTTTTTCTTTTTGACAGAGTCTTGCTCTGTCGCCCAGGCTGGAGTGCAGTGGTGTAATCTTAGCTCGCTGCAATCTCTGCCTCCTGGGTTCAAGTGATTCTCCTGCCTCAGCCTCCCAAGTAGCTGGGATTACAGGCGTATGCCACCACACCAGTTAATTTTTGTATTTTTAGTAGTGATGGGGTTTCGCCATGTTAGCTGGGCTGGTCTTAAACTCTTGACCTCAGGTGATCCGCTCGCCTTGGCCTCCCAAAGTGCTAGGATTACAGGCATAAGCCACCGCACCCGGCCTAATGGAAAATTCTTTATCATTCCTCAAGGGTCAGCTCAACTCTCCTCTCTTGGTAGGTTTCCATGAGAGTCCCAAACCAGTGGGAGATCCCTGCTCAGTGTTCCTAAAGCTGTGCTCACTGTAATGACCCCTCACTGTAAATCATGGACATACATGTCTGTTGTCCCAGTAAGCGTGAATTTCTTCAAACAGGGTTAACAATTCCTTCATCTCTGCATATTAGATGCTGAATAGTATTGTTGAATGAATGACTGAACCAGTTCGTGAATAATGAATGAATGGTCTTTATGCAGAAAAACAACAGAAATGAAGACAATATCTTGTAACCTAGACAAACCGGGAATTCTCTGACATTCCAGCCCAGCTGAAAGTGCCCACTGGGTTTACACAGGTCAGAGCAGTTACAGAGTAGAAAAAAGATTTACCTCTACTTTGTGAAAGCATTTGTTTTAGAAACAATCTGAGGTAACAGATCATATTTTCTGCATTCTCATTTTCTTGTTTCTTATTCCAAAGCTATTTTCAGAAAAATAGGATGTTACGTGATTCCAAGTTCATTTTTTTTCTGCTCACTCACCTCCCCAACAGAAAGCTTGGTCCTTAACTGGTCAGCACTAGAGAAAATCACAGTACCCACACCCCCTGCTCCACACACACACACACACACACACAAATTATATATATATAAAATTTCAGATGGATAATAAGCCAAGGTGCAAAGAGGGAAAATATTAAGCTATCATCATGAAGGTCTTATTTCTATTCCTGTATCAGACACAAATGGGAAGGCAGAAAGCACAGAATCACACTGTTACATGATACATGGGTATTCATAGGGGTTGTTTTGAAATAGCCCACCCTAAATCTTCCTGCATAAAAAACTCTGATCACACAGGTTGGTAAAACATGAAGAAACAACATGCTTTCAAAGTGAAGACCAATTTGGAAGTATCCACCTTTTAACACTGAACATGGAAATTACCTGGACTGGCAATATGGCAGCAGGCAAAATTAGAAAGTAGATGACCAATTTTCTTAGCAACTGTCCTGCTGAGAAGCTCTGCAGTTGAGGCTCATGCAAAAGGCACTGTGTCTCCATAGGACACTAGGCTGTCCATGGGTGTTCCTTCTCTGTGTCTGAGTCTGTAGGAACTCTGATGTAACAGGAATCCCTCTGAATCATTCCACACTGACAACCTGTACTGCTCATGAAATGCTGTCTTCAAGACAGACTCTGTAAGATCTTTCTGTAGGCCATTCCACAGCAACTAATCCAATCTGGGAGTGCTGGCCATGTATTGAAATGCAATTCAAATAACAGCACTTAAAGTACATGCCTGGCACTGTGTCAAGCACAGTCCTTACAAAAACTTGAGTCTTATAGGACTATTATCCCCATTTTACAATGAATAAACTGAGAATCAAAGAGACTGGCCAATTTGACCAGTCATAGAGCTAGGATGGAGTTGATCCAGATTGAACCGAGCCTGTCTAACATCTAGGCACATTTTCTTATTCGCTACATTTGGACAGAATCCATGGTCTCCACACTCAGTGTATCAGAATACAGAAAAAGCAGGCACCAGCTCTGCATGAAAACCTCTGTTTGTTTCATGACTGTTTCTAAGGACCCTCTCTCCCTAGAGATGAACAACCTTAGTCCTTTAATATTTCCTTATTCAGATGATATTTCATTTCTCCTTGTCATGATCATCAGTGTCATCAGAACTACCATTTACTAAGCCTGTACTATGTGCCAGATCCTTTATTATAATTCTACACAGTAAGCTTGAGAAACAACTCAATTAAAACATAGGCAAAGGACCTGAATAGACATTTTTCCAAAGAAGACATATAAGTGGTCAATAAGTGCATGAAAAAAATGCTCAAATCACTAATCATCAGGGAAATGAGAATCAAAACCATAATGAGACATCACCTCACTCCTGTTAGGAATCTACTGTCAAAAAAGACAAGAAATAACAAGGGCTGGCAAGGATGCAGAAAAAGGGAGCCCTGTACACTGCTGGTGGGTCCTAAATTAGTACAACCACTTATGCAAAACAGTATGGAGATTCTCAAAAAGTTAAAAATAGAACTACCATCATATGATCCAGAAACCCCACTACTGGGTATGTATCCAAAGAAAATGAAATCAGTACTTCAAAGAGATATCTGCACTCCCATGTTCATAGAAGCATTATTCACAATAACCAAGATATGGAAACAACCTAAGTGTCGATCAGTGGATGACAGATAAGGAAATTGTGGTACATATACACAATGGAATATTATTCAGCCATAAAAATGAAGGAAATCCCGCCATTTGTTACAACATGGGTGAACCTAGAGGACATTATGCTAAGTGAAATAAGCCAGACACAGAAAGACAAATACTGCATTATCTCACATGTGGAATCTAAAAAACTCAAACTCATAGAAGGAGGGTAAAATGGTGGTTACTAAAGGCTGGGGATGAGGGAAATGGGGAGACGCTGATCAAACTGTACAAACCTTCAGTTATAAGATGAATAAGTTCTGGGATCTAATGTACATCATGGGTGGTGAAGAATGTTTTAATTATTCTGATAGTGATAATCATTATACATTATATACTTAAATAAAATCATTGCATTGTATACCTTGAATATATTCAGTTCTTATTCATCAATTAAATATTTCAAAATTTTAAAAAGTCTGAGATGTTCATTATCTAGAAACGAAACGTTCAATGAGATGAGCTCACTTGCCCAAGCCCTGGTTTCCAGCAGGTGACAAAACCAAGATTCTAACTTGGTTGACCCTATAGCCCAGGCTTTTCTTGTAATTCCTTGCCACAGCTCCACAGTTAGAGATCTTGACTTCTACTCTAGGTCTTGTAAGTCCTCCTTTAGTCACAGAAACTCATACTGGACCCTCCACCCTGCCCAGAGCATGATGGAAAGATGACAGACCCACACACCAGCGCCATATGGGCTTTTAAAATTAGAATCAAAGGGGAGCAACATGCTCCAGGATAGACAATCACATTCCTGTTTAAAGAAACCAGACGGGAGATGACTACAGACTAGCAAGTTGAGGGGGATCCTTGGAAGGTGTGTCATATGCTGTAGAAAACTTCCCAAGCCCTTCCTGATTTTAAGGCATTTGGCTACTGACACTGGTTCGAATTTACTAAGTACAAAAATTTTAAAAATTAAAAAAATATAAAGCACTTGGCAAGCAACTTAGAACTTTCACTTCCTTAGTTTCCAGCCGAAACTTTGGCGTCACTGTGGTGGAGCTAAGTGGCCCTGGGTGGAGCGTCACTCAAAGGGTTCGCTTTGGAAGGGCAGTGGGAGAATGAGCAAGTTGAAAGAGAGGGGGTGTCTTGAAGCACATTTGTAGAGCAAGCACAATTTCATTTATTATGCACAACTGTATGCAAAACTATCTCAATTGTATAATTACTTATTAGATTAATTTTAGTGGGTGTTTTGGTGCTGGTGATAGGAGCTAGGGAAGCCCTTGAAGCCACCGCTTAGCAATGCCCCCCCTCATTCAAGGCATATGACCTTCCTGAGCCTCCATTCCTAACCTATAAAATGGAGATAAAAACACCCACTTCATAGAATTTTGTGAGGACTGAGTGAGTCTGCATATCCAGGGCTAATACACAGTAGATGCTCAATTAATAGTGGTTACTTATTAACCCTAAATTGAGTTAAAACTACTTATGGCTCCTCTTTCTCCTTCATGAAGCTGTTATTAAAATGTTTTCTCTAATACATATGAAAATGCCCGGACTATCAAACCCTGGTTTGGAGGACAGTTTGTTCTTAACGTTGACTAAATATTATACAACATCAAGGACCAAAAAGGATTTGAGGTGGCCCACAATAAGAAACACAATGTACGAAATTCATGAAGCCATTAAACGAGAGTGATGATAGAAAAGATTCCAGTAAAGGGGAGAGAGAGAAATGGTGCACAGCCTAGAGCAGCTCTTCTCTCCCTGCAGAAGCATCACTTGCCAACTTATTGGAATGCAGGTCCTGCCTCCCCAGGTCCCCGAGTGGAGCCCGAGATTCTGCCTTTCTCACCAGCTCCCCCCAACCCCACCCCCAGGAAGCAAATGCTGCTGGTTCACACTTTGTAGGGTGAAGGAAGTTAATGAAAGAGGACAAAGCTACTTTATAGTTCAAGTCAATCTTTCTGAACAAATGCAACATAGAATCTCATATGCAAATGCATTCTGATGACTTTTTTAATTAACAGAAAACTCCGGGGATGTTGGTGTGTGTCAAACAGTCCTCCCTGCTTGAACAAATGTTTTCTACTCCTCTGTCTCTCCCTTTTCCTCCAGGACCTTCTGGACCTGACACAGTGAGCAAGAAATCTGATGTGCCCAACAACCCTCTCTCTAAATGATTTCAAGGAAGAGGCAGCAAGCTGCACAGATACTGGAAATGCGTGATGTAACCTTTTACATTCAGAGAAAGGGCTGTCCCTAATTCAAGCCATATTTCACCCAATGAAGTAGACTTATTTAAAACTGGAAAACATCCAAAGAAGATATGAAATTCAATATATTTCAGTAGGTCGTGGCCTTTGCCTTCTTGTGGCCCCAATTACTTCCCTGTGCCCAGATGGGTCGTCCCTCTTTCCTCGTGCTGGATACTTCCTAATGCTCATTCCAACCTGAGCTCTCAAGTGAGGCATCTGCGGGTGAGAAATCTATAATGCACTTAAAGGTTGTTGAGAGCTTCCCAGGAGTCAGGCTATGTCCTAAAAGCTGTAATAGATTATCTCATTTAACCCACTGTGAGGACTCTACAGATGAGGGTGTTTATAAAGATGGAGTATATTATAAAGTCACACCTGTATTAGGTATCATCACAGGGATTCAAACTGCAGTCTATTTAGCCCAGGATTTCTCCACCTCAGCAAAATGTCAAGGGACATTGTGGCCCTGATAATTCTCTGTTACTGGGGGCAGAGGGGCTGTGCTGTGCATTGTGGGACATTTAGCAGCACCCCTGGTCTCTATTCACCAGATGTTATTAGCAACCCCTAATCCTAATTATGACAAACAAATATGTCTCCAGACATTGCCAAATATGCCCTGGGGGGATAAACTGCCCCTGGTTGAGACCATCCCAACCCAAAGCCTGAGCCCCTAATAAACAAGGACAGGCATTAGTTTTCAACACTTCACAAGGGCCTATTGTAGGCTGAACTATGTCTCTCTAAAATTCGCATATTGAAGCCCTAAACCTCAGTGGCTCAGAATGGGAATGTTTATAGAGGTAGGATCTTTATGTAGGCTGAACTATGTCTCCCTAAAATTCACATATTGAAGCCCTAACCCTCAGTGGCTCAGAATGGGAATGTATACAGAGATAGACTCTTTAAAGAGGTGAGTTAAAATTAGTTCATTAGGGTGAGCTGTATTCCAACCTGACTGGTGTCCCTATAAGAAGAGGAAATTCAGACACACAAAGAGATACCAGGGTTGCATACACACAGAGGAAAGCCTACGTGAGGACACAGCGAGAAGACAGACAGCTGCAAGCTGAGGAAAGAGGCCTCAGAAGAAACCAGCTCTGCTGACACCTTGACATTGGGCTTCCAGCTTGCAGAACTGTGAGAAAAGTCCTGTCGTTGAAGCCACAAGTCTGTGATATTTTATTATGATCACCCTAGCAAACTAATACAAGTCCCCGAAAGCCACACTCAGCTTTCTGTCTTTACTTTTCCATTTTGTTTAGAATATATCTTGGAAGGTTTCCGAACCAATTCCAAGCCTAGCAAAAGAAAAGGTCAGTTCATGAGTTCTGTGGAGACATATCCCAAAATATAACCTGGCAATACTGTGCCTGATCCATATTTGTCTTGAAGATAACCACTGCTAGGAAAATATTCCTGAAATTCTTAGCAGGCCATAGCAAGTTGCTTTAGGACTTTCATGACTGGTTGTCAGTCATACCCTCACACTAACCCTGTTTGTGCCCTTGTCTTTATGTGTTTTTAGTGAGAATATACTTTCTAGAAACTAAACAGAATGGCAATATGATGTAATGCCAAGATAGCAAGGACAGTTTTGATGTCCCTCCCCAGTCTAGTTCATGGCAGACATTATAGAAAATGAGTCCCAGCTCACTTTCTCACTAAGACAAGAAGGCATCAGCATCCTTCTTAACACTAGGCTCCAGGCAAGACTACAAAATGATCAGAGGTGGCAGGAGAGGTGAATTCTTAAGCTATCTTAGGTGCAGTGCCATGTTCTGTACGCTGGCCGCACACTGGAATCATTTGAGGATTTTTTTTAAAATACCATGGAAAAGCAAAAATTGACAAATGGGATCTAATTAAAAGCTTCTGCACAGCAAAATAAACTATCATCAGAGTGAACAGAATGGGAGGAAATTCTTGCAATCTATCCATCTGACAAAGGTCTAATATCCAGAATCTACAAGGAACTTAAACCAATTTACAAAAAAAAAAAAAAAACCCCATTACAAAATAGGAAAAGGATGTGGATAGACATTTCTCAAAAGAAGACATTCATGCAGCCAACATACATATGAAAAAAAGCTCAACATCACTGATCGTTAGAGACATGCAAATCAAAACCACAATGAGATATCATCTCATGCCAATCAGAATGGCGATTATGAAAAAGTCAGAAAACCACAGATGCTGGCATCATGGAACAGAGGATTCCAGCCTGCCTGCAGGCTCAAACACACTACCTGTAGGGCTACACAAAAAGCTCTCAGGGTCTTGGGGCCTCAGTTTTCCCATTTGTAAAATGGCCATCATAACTCTTGCCTTTCCTATTTTATGGGATTGCTACGTTCAAACAGATAAAGCTGAAAACCACACAAAATATAGAGTGTGATCAATTTTAAAATCAAGCAATATTCTGCTGACATTAGCATCAGTGGTTCTCATCTCATCCCTGCACCAATCCACTGTGCAACCTCAGGTGAGTATTTTGCCTCTAGAGGCTTCAGTTTAGACTCACATAAAATGAGGAAGTGTCTAAAGCCACCTTCAGAACAAACATTACACGTTCCTGGCGGGAAAGTTTAATATGTTGTACGTTAATCATGGCTATTTCAGTTGAGATCTGATTTTCTCATTAAACATCATGGGTTTACATTCCTCCTCTTAACACCAAGATGACTTCAGGAATCAAATTTAAATTACGTTGTAGCCTGGAAGCTAATTTTGTTATTGGGATCAAGTACCTTAAATGTTCAATATTTGGCCCAGAAGTCCAATTCTTGGAATTCATTTTAAGAAAATAATCAAGATGTGGTCAAAGCATTAGGTACAAGGATGTTCATTACAGCATTATTTATAAATGTGGGGGGCAGGGAGTAAATATAACATCTAACAAGAGAAATGTTTCTATAAATTATGATACAGTCATAGGGTAGAATATTATATAGTCATGAAAAAATACCTGTATCAAAAAATATTTAATGACAGAGAAAGTATGATATATGTTAAATAAAACAAGAGATAAAGGACAGAAAACTTGATACAACACACACACACACACACACACACACACACAAACACACACACACACATCCCAGAAAATGATTAGAAGGAAATACATAGATCAAATTGTTAATCAGTGATACTAATTTTAATGATTTATAGGATGCTTTTATTTTCTTTATATTTTCTGCACTTTCTAAATTTTCTTCCATATGCACAACTGCTTTTATCAACAGAAGGGGAAAAGCATTATTTTAAAGAGCTACTGTGGATTCAGACATAATAAAGACAATACATTTGCGGAAACATATGGTGAAGGAAAACATAACAGGCCAACATCTCAGCAAAGAAACCAGCACCATCCCCCAGAAGCAGGGCCTGTGTGAAAACTGGGAGAGGTCAGGACTTCAGGTGAAAAGGGAAGACCAGCTGCGGCCTCTCCCACCTGCAGCAGGTCGTTATGCAGTTGGAAAAATGGCAAAGTCTCCCAGCTCAGTGCTTAGTGGGCTTTTACCATCTTATCTGCACAACTCACATTGTATCTTTGGAGGACGTAGGGAAGGGAGAAAGAATCCAACGTAAAGCACCAAAGAGGCTTAAAACGTTATTACTATAAAATGAATGAAGCCAAAGCTTCAGGACACCTCACTTCCACTGGCCTCTTCAAAGCCCCTAACCCCCTAGCAAGGTGTTCATGTCCGTGTGGTTGATGTTTCCCAATATTTGCAAAAGCAAACTATTTTAACTGTAATCAATGATAACTGCAGTCACTTCCACTTTTACCTCCATCACAGCTCTGCTCACATCGGGGGACACTGGAGTGGCTGTGGCCTTTGGGGTACCCCTCCAGTCAGGGTTCCTCAGCCTTGGCACTCTTGGCATTTGGGGCTGGATTCTCCTTTCTATTGGAGCTACCCTGTGCACTACAGGATGTTTCCAGGCACCCTGGCCTCCACCTGCTCGATTTCAGCAGTACCAACACCATCCAAAATGGTCATGACAACCAAAAATGTCTCTAGACATTTCCAAAAATATCTGAGGCAGTGGTGGGGCAAAATTCCCAGTCGTTGAGAACCACTGGCCTAGGGGGACATTGAATACATTTGGTTTGGGGTTTATAGTGGAATATAGTTATGTGGTTCATGGTTACTTCCCTGCGCAATTAAGTTCCCAGATATCCTGGTAGGAAGTTTTTCCAGGAAAACTTCCACAGCTCTCTATTGATTCACCTGTATAAGATGAAGGTGCAAGGCCAGAGGGGTCATGTGTGATGGGAACGAGACCATGGCACTTGGCACATAAACTATGTGGGTAGTGGAGGAGAAACAAGGTTTAAAATATACGGAGCCAGAAACTACTCAGCAGAAAGTTCTTCCAATCAGATGTGTAAGAGAATTTCATTTCTCACCAATGCTGATCAAAGTGAAAGTTTTAATATGCACCACATAAATTATAAATGCACCAGGTAAGGACATCTCATTTATTTTTGGATGGAATCAATAGAAACAGTTTTGACATAAAGAAACAAATTGGTCCAGGCACGGTGGCTCACGTCTGTAATCCCAACACTTTGGGAGGCCGAGGCCAGGGGATCGCTTGAGTCCAGGAGTTCAAGACCAGCTGCTTGGGTAACATAGCGAGACCCTGTCTCAATAAAAAAATTTAAAAAATTACCCAGGCATGGTGACATGTTCCTGGGGTCCCAGCTACTCAGGAGGCTAAGGCAGGACGATTGCTTGAGCCCAGGAGGTCAAGGATGCAGTGAGCCAAGATAGCGCCATTGCACTCCAGCCTGGGTGACAGAGCAAGACCCTGTCTTTAAGAAGTAAAAAAGCAAACTGTAACCAAAACATTTTCAAAGCACGCAAAAATCAGTAATTCCTTAAGAAGGAGAGATGTATATTGCATAGAAGTCATGAAGAAGTTCGTAGATTTGATATTCCATCTAACAAGAAGAATGGATTCATATAAATACAGAAAGAGTTTTCCTTTTTTTTTTTTTTGAGACAGAGTCTCGCTCTGTCACCCAGGCTGGAGTCTCACTCTATCGCCCAGGCTGGAGTGCAGTAGTACGATTTCGGCTCACTGCAACCTCTGCTTCCTGGGTTCTAGTGATTCTCCAGCCTCAGCCTCCCAAGTAGCTGGGATTACAGGCACACACTGCCACGCCCAGCTAATTTTTTGTATTTTAGTAGAGAAGGGGTTTCACCGTGTTGCCCAGGCTGGTCTCGAACTCTGCAGCTCAGGCAATCCACCCACCGTGGCCTCCCAAAGTGCTAGTATTACAGGCGTGAGCCACCGCGCCCGGCACTTTTTTGTAAATTTTTGCTGTTTGACATGAAATTACTGCTATGGATGAAGATCACATAAAACTTATAATTCTTAGGCTAGGCATCGTGGCTCACACCTGTAATCCCAGCACTTTGGGAGGCTGAAGGAGGCAGATCACTTGAGGTCATGAGTCCAAGACCAGCCTGGCCAACATGGGGAAACTTCGTCTCTACTAAAAATACAAAAATTAGCTGGGCATGTTGGCGTGTGCCTGTAATCCCAGCTACTTGGGAGGCTGAGGTGGGAGGATTGCTTGAACCCGAAAGCCGGAGGTTGCAGTGAGCTGAGATCTTGCCACTGCACTCCAGCCTGGGTGACAGAACAAGACTCCATCTCAAAAAAAAGAAAACAACAACAACAACAACAACAACAACAAAACCTTATAATGCTCCACTGAAACAAGGATGTGAATGACAAACTGTTTAAGGAGCACTGTCAATTCAAATACTTAGGTTTCATTACTATGCAAGAACACTTCGAGATCCTTAAAACAGATTTGATAGAGGCTTTCCTAAATTTGACAATAATTCTAAAATTTAACAAGACATTACTAATAGCAATTTGTGAAGCAGAAAGAAACTTTTGAAAATTATCAATAGCAAGAAAGGTTAATCTGATCAACCACACCAGAGGAAAAACAAAATTATCTTCTTACTCACTCCACAGAAAATCGAACACAAATTGTCATGTGAAGAGGTAGTCAAAGAGTGCGTAGCTCAAAAATATAGGGAAAATGTATTAATGAGGTTGGATATCCAGCAGTTAATTAATACAAATATTATATCATTCTGGATGTTATGATGTTTGTGACAATGGTTGGCTTTTAACATTTTTGAATTTGTGGAGATCTATTATATTTTTAATTCAGATTTTTGCATTTTTTCTTTTTCTTATGGGATCCCCCCCAAATTTCAAAAGCTCCAGGCCTCACCACCCTGGGCCTTCCCCTGAGCTCTCACCCCAGCCAGGCCCTGGGTATATGTCCTCTCAGTCACACTCACATCCACCGAATAAAGTGGGTCTGTTATTATCCCTTTTACAGTTAATCTAATTTATTGGCTCATATTCCTTTCTCCAAAACATGTTAAGGATTCTGACACTTAATTTGGAAGTGCCCAAAAGTCTACATCACAGAAGAAATCCCCATTACCCTTTATTACCACATTATAGAGTCCACGCGTGTCAGTGACTCTCATATCAGAGGACAGAGACGATACCCTCTCACTGTGACCTACAGTGGGTACTGAAACTCTCAAGACAGCAGCTAACGTGACAGAGCACATATCCAATCAGCTGTAGACTAGTCAGTTCCATTAAATTGTCTCCAAATGTAAAGGTAAAAGATGTCTTAGTTAGATTATATAGTGAATAGGCCAAAATAAATACACTTAGTTTAGTATCAATCCACCGCACAAATAGCTAAAGGTCAATCAGTAATACAGCATTACTTATGCTATTAGGCCACTTACATTGAGAATATGTATTTTTCAGTGTTCTGAAAAGAAAGATTTTTAGCCTGGGAGAGACTATTAGCCTGTCATATTTTCCAGAAAGCTCTGTGAGTGCCAGGACTATGCCTAGCATCTAGCACCATACCTGGAACCTACAGATGCTCAACAAATATTTGTTGAATGGATGAGACTCTACCACTCTTTCCTGTTTCCTGGGAGTGAAGGAGAGAATAAGAAAATATGAGTAGCCACTTTCTTCATGCAACGACCCCTGCTTAACAAGGGAAACCCACTGTTCAGAAACCTGAGATTACAGTAACAAGTAGACTCTTAAAAAGGAAGTCACAACAGATCCCACTGACCGATGAAGACACAATTCAGCAGCACCAAGGGAGCGCAAGATGGCTCCTACTAGAACCAAAAGGCAACTAAAAGCTAGAAATCCCCACAAGGGTCATTTATTTATCTTAAAGGCTAAATTTAGCAAAATTCTCTCTCATGTCAAACTCGAGGCAATCCGAAGATTTAGCTTTGGGAGGATGTAATTGATTGTAAATTATTTTCATTTTCCATGCAGTGCCTGCATTGCTACATATTTGACTGTTAGAACGATTAGGCGGGAAAGTATAATGTATATCCTAAAACGTGTGATTTATAAAAGTCGCTTCAATCTCAACACTGATTTTTATTGCATAGTGGGACTATTTCCTTCCTTCTCTTTTGAAAATGTACACCTCTAACACTATGTTCCACAGGAAAACGTTTTCTACAGCCAACTTTATAGAAACATATATTTAAAAGAATTCTAAAGACCATGCCAAAATCCTTTCCTCACCAATGACTGGTTTTGTATTTGTTAGACCTGAATCAATATACAACATTCCTGTATTCTCTTGCTTTTGCACTTTTTAGATTTTATTTAGATGTTTATTCTCATCTATAAATATATACTTTCTCCCACTCTTTGAAGAATCAAGTGCAAAGAAAAGTTTTAAAGGAGACAGTATGAGATGATCATTTGCAGAATCAAGAGTTTGCTATGTTTGATTTCTGTCCTTGGCAATACTGAGGCTCATGGTATGTTTCACCTCTTAGCATTTTATATTCCTTGCTGCCTACTTAGCAATGGGCAATCAGAGTATTTACTTAGATTAATTAACTGTTACTTAAAATACAATGATTTTTCTATTAAATCATCAAATTACGAGCCCAAATTTGTGGTCTATTTGTATAGGATATGCGAGATATTACTTCTTTCAAAAGTATTTTTCAGGATCATATAGGTGATGGCAACCTAGTTTTCCAAGTTTATTAAATTTGAAACTGGACCATTGGAGAAAAAGTGCAAACAATTCCAAATGACTCAAAACAGCACTAGGCTTAAATTATATTTTAATGACTTTCACAACAAACTTCAGTGTCTGTTTTGGCAAAGAATGTCTCCTAACTTTATTGAAAAAAACAAGCTCAAAATGCCAAAACATTTTTAGCAAAATCTCAGACTGACGGTTTATTTGCTTTGCGATTTAAAATAATAGGGAAAAAAATTTCAAAAAAATAAAATAGTCTGGAATGAAACTGCTAAAATTCAAATTTACATTATTCTAACAGGGTTTAAAATCTGTTTGAAGATAGATAATTGAATGATGTAGGTACCAGTTCCACATCAGTCATCTGCCATGCTGTTCGTCATGAGCAGACATGATGCCTGCTGGGAATTAAATTGCTTCATGTTGCTCAGAGTGAGGAGATAGGACTGAACTCTGACCCATGGGTTCTGTATCCCAGAGCCCACTGGAGATGCCAATAATGGCATTATAATAAAGCCTGAAGAACAGTAAATCTGAGTGAGGAGAAGGGCTGGTCCCCACCAGCACTGACCAGCCCACTAGCTATCAGCATGTGATGTTGGCCCTCAGTGTTGATGGAACTAACACTTCACAGTAGGAGCCCCATGAAGTTCCCTCAGGTTAAGCAAAACCGCAAAGAAAATAAAATCTGAGGCTGAGTTGGTTGCACTACAGCATTACAGAATGCACCTACCTGTACAAACGGCCTTTCTGGGCTGGAAGTAGATAGAGTTTAGAAGCTCTACCAAGCCCTATCTCCTGAGGTCCGGAAAGGGGAACAGCCGGCCACACAGTCTGGGGCAGAGCAGGAATGGGGATTCAGGGCTCTCCATGTGCAATTCAAGCCTTCCACACAGCTTTGCCATATCCTTCCACCTTGAAACAAACCAATTCTACTCCCTTACCCTTAAAGTGATCATAATTTATGCTTTGGGTCTGAGCTTTCACTGAAACTCTGTGCCCCTTCAACAGCAGCGCTCTGTTAGCACCAAATTCTATTCCTTCTAGGCCATTTTTAGGCTTGCCAAGCTTTAAAGTGGGCCCCAAAGGAGGAAGATAATGATGTTAATTGAGTCTCCTAATTTCTCCCCATAAAAGTTATGGAGTTGCTTGATGAAGCGAATTTATTACAGAGTCAACATGTAGCGGGGTGAGTGTGGGGGCTGTTCCCTCTCAGTTCCCGGATCTTTTGCTGATGAGGCCTTTGAACTCCTGCCCACACAAAGCACATGAATCAGTGTCATTTACCATGTGCATTTAGATAATTGAAATAATAAAGATGAAACGTATACAAAAGATCTACTATTTCATGAATAGTAACCCCTTTTTATCAGCACACCAACTGTGAAGCAAATTAAATCACCTACTTCCTTGCTCTGTAAGAAAGTTCCTATCCTCTTGCCCCCATCTTTCCACCATCCTACCAATTTTCATTTTCTTCCTCAAAAGGTCCTAACACACACACACATATGTGAACTTCCAATCAAATTTACCATTTTGAATGGAAATAATATGAGAAAATAATAATACACAGGAAGAAAATTGAACCCAAATTTTTATATTTTCCTGCTTCGCTATAGTTTTAAAAATTTAAGCATACAAAAACTGGAAGTTTTAACAACTCAGCTCACTTTAAACTTTGAAATGCTATGCTGAAAAGGAATAAATGTGTTCATATTTAAAGCCACTTAACCTGCCATAAAATCAAAAAAGAATATCATTATTAAAAATTAAATACTCCTAAAATAAACAGTCAGGAAGACATTATTGTTATGAGGGGACTTCATTACTTTTGAACATTATTTTGAATGTCCAAACCTGTCCTGAAATCCCAGTGATGACAATAAATCATGCTTTACCTCCCTTACTAGAAACTTACACAAATTTAAAAGGGACATAGCACATCTGAATCAAAAGGATTCCTCTAGATCAGTTTCCAATTTCAACATTGGTTTCCTATCTATAATTGAACTTCAAAATGTTAAACCATCCACAGCTTTAAGTCACAAAGACAGCAGTGAAGGAAAAGAGTACATTCTCTTGACAAAGAATGCCAGAAGAGGAAACTTTTAAGGGAAACCTCTGTAAACATAGACACTTAGCTAAGACATGCACAGTGTTACCAACACACTTGTCTCTTGCCTTCTGTGCCACGAGATTACCCCTTGACAATCTTCTGAGGTCTAAGTGTGGGCCTCTGAGCAAACATCTGGTGGCTGTTTGCATCCTTCTCCCATTGCAACCTCTCTTCATCATCCCGAGTGGCATCAGCATCTTGGACAGTCATTCTCTCTGAAGATAACCTTTGCTCAGAGCATCAAACAGCACCAGACACACACAGGACTCTCAAGAAACAGTTGTGTGAGTTAATGAGCCAGCACTTCTCTTCCACCTGGCCTTACAAATGCTGGGACTCAGAGCACGATACTCCAAAGACAGCTCTTTGGTGTGCTAAGTACTTCAAACTGAAGGATATCAGAAAAGTCTCACAAGCAAGGTCCCTCTGACCTTCTCCATCCTCCTGTCTCCCATCCCTCTTCCTCCTCTGAAGTGAATCACAGAAACCAGAATTCCTCCTCCCCAAGGTGGAGTCATAAAAACTAGAACCCCTCTCCCCAAAAGTAAGCCAGAAAACCTACCAAGGTCACTCTCTTCCTTCTCCCTTCGGTCCTGCCCCATCCCCAGGGGGAAGGAATGCTACACAGAAAGGCCAGGAAGAATCTGAACTGACAGGCCTTGCTGGGGTTCCCCCCTTGGTCTATTGCCATGAGGTCACACCTTTTGTCCCATCACAGTTCTACATGGCTATCCATTCTTCATGGAACCTAAGCATAAAAAACAATTTTCCCTGGGGTTTTGGGTCTTCATTTCTAAAGGCTCTCACATCACCTAAAACTTTGATTCAATAAATTTGTTATGCTTTTCTCTTGTTAATCTGTCTTTTGTTATAATAGTGTCAGCCATGACCCTTATGATAGGTGGGGAAAGTAATCACACCTTTCCATCCTGACACAACTCAACAGGAGAAAGTTCATTTCCTCAGAGGTCTTTCTGCTCAAATGGTCAAGATACCTCCTTGGCCTGGCTTTCAAACTGGATACTTCCCCACACAGGAGTGCTCTAAGGAAACTTTTCTACAGGTGCTCAGATGAAATAAAAAAAAAAACAGCAAAGAAGAAATCAGAAAGAAAGTAAATCACAAACTCTCATTTCTTTCTCCCACCAAATATGTTCAAATAAAACTAAAAATTCCAGCAACCTCTGGGGGACTTTTTATTTCCTTTTTTTCCCTACATTCCTTAAAATTTCGGTATCAGCACTCTAGGAAGGCATAAATTCCAAATTCCAGCATTTCAGACTATCGTGGTTTTTATTAGAGAAACTTGAGATTTTAGAAGGGTTAAAACAACACTGAAAGCCAGGCTTTGGGGATCAGAAGATCCCTCTGCTTTGGGTGTATCAATAATTAACTTTATAAAATTTCGAGAAAATAGTAGTCATTGGCATCTATTTGCCAAATAAAGCATGGACCACTCACTGAAAGGAATTCACAATCCAGTTCAATTTCAAAAGCATCTTACTGAGCAAAAGTGCCAGACATTCTGCTAGGTAACGAGGAATCAGAAATGACTGAGACATGAGGCAACACGGCAGAGGGGAGAGGGCTGAGCATGTAGCAGGTGGGGAGGGCTAGTGTTTACTCCAGAGCATTCCTCAGTGCCAAGCTGAGAGCCAGCAGGTCTGCCCTGGGACCTGGCAGAGCACACTGATCTCCTGGAAGAGCCCAAGCAGAGTATCTGAGTCGGGGAGTGGGTGCAAGACCAGGAGGCATTGAATCAACAAAGAGGAGCCACCCAGCTGAGAAAGACCAGGTGACATGTTTGTCAGGCTGCAGACATCAGAAAAACAGGCCAATAACACACAGGGGCAAGGCTCCCTGGAAATGCCAGGAGCTTCAGTGCAGCAGGGGCCAAGGTAGGACCAGAGTCCATCCACAGATCCAGGCACCATCTTGATGTAGATCCAGGGACCGGCTCATGAGAGCAAGCGCTGTGCCCACTCCACACAGCCAGCCACTATCTAAAGACAAGCAGGGGACAGGAAATGGAAATTAGAGAGGCTCAACAATCACCATTAAAGACAGGTTTACCTACAGAGACTCTAGAAAAATTACTACTGGGGCTAAGATTGAAGGTGGATTATGTACTTAGTTATCTTTTTCTTTCCTATTACCTAGAAGGGTAGAGGTTCCTGCAGAGCATGAGATAGTTATAGAGAAACAAACAAACAAACAAACAAATTTTATTTTGCTCTTGCACAGCTTAATTGCAGTGGACAATCCAACTGACCAAAAAAAAAAAAAAAAAAAAAAAAAGAATGGCTGTAAGGATATGCCAGCCTTGGAGGATGAATAAAGCAAAGGTATGGAGTTGAGAATATGAGCACCACATTTGGGAATTAATAAGATTTTCGACTTCACTATAGAAGAGAGTTTAAGAACAAGACCCTCAAAGGTCAGGGCAATATGGAGGTTTATGATTCCCTCAATATGGAGTTTAAACCTTATTATTTGACTTTAAACTCCAGTTTCATTTGCAAAACAGCAGCATTTTTTCTGAGTTAAAAATAAATCCAAATTTCAAATTAATGTCATCATTCACCTTCGATGCTCTAGTCTGCAGATCTTTTCTTTTATGGAGAAATGCACTAACAATTTGACTACCGATGGAGAGAGGAGAGATCCTTGGGGTAAAATAAATCTCATGTACAAGAGGAGCTGAATTCATTATATGCATGTTCACGTAAAAAGTGATCAAAATGAGCAAAATAATAAAAAGAGACACATAGTAAAACTGTACCACACCAAGGGATTGCATGGTTTTACTTTCCACTGGACTGTAAACTGTCTGAAAGAAATTAAAAAAAAAAAGGGATGTCTGGGTTGAATTTCAGCACATCGCATGAGGAATTAATTACCTCCAATTTCAAAACTAGCCTTTCTGGGGTTTGCTTTCAGTTTGGGATATTTATGACTTTGAATCTTTTTTACGTCAAATTAGCAGGGTTTTCCCCTTTTATTATCCATGGTACAAAAATAGCCATATCCTTCCCCATCATACAGCACTGAGGTCCTCATGACCTCATTGGGAAAGGTGGCTGTTGTCAGAAGCCTTCACCCATCCATCCATCCCCAGCAAGGGTCAGTAAGGGGGCTCCCCCTCATCATCTTTACTTCTGGCAAAGGAGGGTCGGGGTAGATACCAGCTCACCTCAGCACTGGCTGTGTCATCTGACAGGCAAGGCAATTCTGCAGCAAGCACTATGCAATGGAGTCATACACTGATGGTCAAGGGCTACTCCTTCCATGTTGATCTACATGTATGTCCTTCAAAAGGAAATAGACTTTATCTTCTAGGACCACAGGCATCTGCAGTGCACAGGCTGTCTCACAACAAATTTCACTAATTTAAACTGGAATTTTATCTGGCAGTTTGGAATGGCTTTTGTTTGAAACTCAGTGGGACAGTGCTCCTGCCTCCCAATTTACATGGGCTGTTGAGTTACTGAGGGGATGCACACATGCAGAATCACCTGCAGTTCCTCGACCATGCTGAGCTGTTTTATGTCTTTTTCCTCTACCTGAAATACCCTCATCCTCATCCACTTATCCTTCACTGAACTCCTATACACTCTTTAAGACCCAGCTCAACCGCCACTGCTTAGGCTTCTCTGACCTTCTACAAGGAGGGGTAATTGCTTCCTCCTCTGAGCAAGCACACACCCCTCCCATTTATGGCATACATCACGGTTCACTGTACTCATGTGTCAGGAAGTTGGTCAGTGCCCACACTTCTACAAGGGACTCTAATAGCCTTGAGGATAAAAAGTTGATTATATGCTTGGCAAAGAGTAGGTGTTCAATAAAGGCTAATTGAATGTCGCAGATACTAAGAGAAGGACAAAATGACAATGGGGCAAGCTATACAAGGAGACAATCAAGCTGTCTCAATGGATGTGCTTTGCAGTAGACTTTGTTAAGTAACAGAATGGGGTGGCAAGTGAAGTGGTGGAATGCCCACATGAAATTCAAGTCAATGACTAACTGATAGGTACTGATGAATGACTAATGGAATGAGAGAATATTAATTGAGCAAAATATTTGAGTTGGTAGGATAAATAGAGTTCCCCAAAATTAACTTGTTAACTGATTGTAGCTGCCACAATAATCTACAGGAGACACAGTGTCTGTACATAGATGAATGAGGCAGAGAGATGCAGAGTCTGCTTGACTGAGGGTGGTCCTGAGTGAAGCACCAATCCTCGGAGTACGGGCCAGGCCTCAAGGCATGAGAATCATCAGCAGTGAATCAGCATCCCTGGGGGTGGCCTAGGTATCTATATTTTAAACACATTCCATGGTGATGCCTATGCATAACAATCTGAAAACCTATGCATAAGAGAGTCATCTCCCTACTAAAGATTTTGACCTTGAACTTGCTTCAAAAGTAAATTTCAATGGAGAAAGTGCGGTAATTTCAATAAAAGATGCTGGAGCAATTGCAAATCTATGTAGAAATAAAGGCGAATATTGACCCCCATCCCAAACCATGTACATAAATTCATTTCCAAAGGGTTTGTAGATCTAAATATAAGACACAAAACAATAGCTCTTATGGAAGAAAACACAGAAGAATAGCTCCACAACTTGGAGGAGGATAAAATTTCTTAATAGATCACAAAAGCATTAAATAATTTTTCCTTCAGGAAAAATATATATAAATTGGAATATATTAAAATTAAGAATTTTGTTATCAAAAGACACTATTAAGAAAGTAAAATCCAAGCCACAGGAAGGATAAGAGTTATCTATGATACAGATAGCAAACCCGACAAAGGACTTCCCACAAGAATAAATTTAAAAACTCTCATAAACCAATAAGGAAAAGGCAACTTTACAGTAAAATAGATAACAGACGTGAATGGGCACTTCACAAAAGGAAATATACGAATCGCCAATAAACATAGGTAAAGGTGACCAGCATCATTAGTTATCAAAAAAGTGAAAATTAAAACCACAATGAGATGGATCAGGTCATGCTATCCCCAAATTATGGCATGTTGGCATTTGAGAAATCAGCAGAAGCGGGAAGTTCTCTCTGACCTTCTCCAGCCATTCTCCCCTAAAGGAGGCCATAAAAGAATCATTCAACCTTCCTCTAAAGTAAGTTACAAGAGCCTCATTCCATCAGTCCTCCTTATAAGAAATGAAGACACAGAGAAGAATCTGAACAAACAGGCCTATGTTCCCCCGTTTGTTGCCAGTAGATCATACCCTTTTTTCTCCAATCATACTTCTGCATGACTGTCCATAAAAATACACAGCTTTCTTTACTTCTTCAGGGCTTCATTTCTGGATGCTTCAGTGTTATGTAAAACTTAAATAAACTTGTTATGCTTTTCTCATGTTAATCTGTTTCTATTACAGAGGTCTCAGCCATGAACCTTGCAATAGGTGAGGAAAAGATATTACTGCTTCTCCCCTACACATCCAACAGAATGGCTAAAACTTAGAAGACTGGCAATGCCAATGTGAGTAGTGTAGAAAACAAAACAAAACAAAATCTCTTCCTCTAACCATCTCAGGTTCTCCAGTGGGGTACTGTAAATTAGACTGGCTAAAGTCAGATGAACAACAGAAAAACAGAGGTTTATTCGCATGTGCATGGGGTTTACACATGGGAGTACCCAGTGATGAGTCCCAAGGGTGGTTAGAACTTGGGTTTACACACCATCTTAGGCCAAAACAAAGGAAAAGAGGCTTGGGGCTTCTTGGTAGGGGAGACAAGTTACAGGAAGATGACTGGGAAAAGTATGGTAAACAAGGGTTGTTCAATAAAGTATGTTAAGTGGATTTAAGTTGGCTCCTTCTCCATTGATAAGAGTTGTTAAGAATCCTCCTCTTCCCGGTATGGGAGAGGAAGACATTCTACAAATGGAATTTTCTTTATAAATGTAAATTTGCTTTACAACAGAAAAACTCGTGCCCTGTTTTAAGAGCTTTTCCGGCATCTGCTGGTTCTTAATGGCCTTTAGCTCAAAATAATCTCTATGCCAAAGAGGCAAATGGGGGCAGGCGGATAATCCGGTGCCCCTCAGTAAGGTTATGGAGCAATCAGAGCACTCACACACCACTGATGGGAGCAAAAATTGGTACAACAATTTCTGAAAAGTGTTTGGCAATATCTCCCAACGTCAAGCATGTGCATATGCACTTGGTGGCCCAGGAATTCCACTCGTATGTACCTATCCAAAATAAATACATACATATGTTCATCAAAAGACATATACAAAAATGTCATTAATAGTGGCACTATATGTAAGCCAAAAATTGGAAACAACTAAAATATCTTTCAGTAGGAGAATGGTTAAATAGTATACTTGTACAATAAAATCTCACATAACAAAAAGACCTGAAGAATTGCGGCACAGATGAACATCACTCACACTGTGCTGAGAACAAAAAGCCAGGTCCTAAAGAGTATATTCTGTGTGATTTGAGCTTTATGAAGTTCAAAATCAAGTGAAAATAATCTATGGTGATAGAAGTCAGAACAGTGGTGACCTTAGGGGGTGTAGGGAATGAGAAGGGGCATGAGGGATACTGCAATGTTCTTTTTCTGGCTGTGGGTGCTGGTTACACGGGTGTATTCAGTATGCTGAAATTCATCAGGCTGAATACTTACGATGTGTGCACTTTTTTGTATGTATGTTTACTTCAATAAGAAAGCATACTTGAAAAATAAACTCCTGAAACCAGCCACCATCTGAGTAGACACTTTGGCATTAGCATTCCACAGTCTAGTACACTCTTCCATCCAACAGCTTTGCTAAGCTGGACTTCACCCATAAAGCCACTCTTCTGTATGATTATAATGGATTTCTGCATTTATATGGCGCCTTTCCTCTGTAGAGATCAAAGGGCTTCTGCATAATAAAAGATAGCATATCAAATGCAGTTAGCTCTGAGGGAATAAAGGGGGAAAACTGAACTCAGGGACATATAATCGAGGAAACTTACAGAAAATAAGTAAAATAAGTCATAAAAACTGTAATGTAAAAACAATCATAAACATCAACTATCAGAAATTCACTTGTGTGAAATAAAAGGCTCACTTCTCTTGAGGTTGCTTTCTTACTCTTGACAGGGGAAGGACGGAGAGCAGCCGAGGCATTCAATTTAGGACTTAGACTCCTAGGCACCACATGGCAAGATTTCTCTGGAGTCAGCTTGGCACCTCACCGCAGTAAAACAGAACAACTAAATAAACTCTCTGTGCTGCTGTTCAAAGAGCTTTCGTATGTGCTTTAAGACATAAACTCACTAGCTCTGACAACTAATTAAATGGGCCTTGTTCATATTTGTGAAATAAATATTCTATTGCTATATCTCTCTGAGGCATGTAGAATTATATACATCACTTTCATGTTTTACATTGATATTCACCAAATGTGTTTTTCTCAAGCTTTAATTCTTGAAATTGCCTAAGGAAAGTACATACAATGAGGAATTTTTCACTGACCTAAAGTCAGTTTCGAAAACTGTGCGGGTGACATTCTGGCTTGGCCAGTGACCCCAGGAGATGTTTCCATTGGCCTAAAAAACGATACCCTTAGCTTTGTGGATTGTGAAACAGTGGCCCAGGCATCTCCCTGTAATCTCTACACATGTGGAAGGAGAAAAAGGAAAACAGTTTGCCTTGAATAATTTAAATAGTCCCTGTTCAGCAAATGGATTAACTTCAATAAAGGGAATCAGATAAAGAAAAGCAGGGTTTTAATTTCATGCATATTTCCCTTGTGAGGGATGACAATGGTCAGTGATGATGGAAAGGAGAAGGAGGAGGAAACTGGCCGTGAACATTTGATAAGCCCTTTAAATGGATAACCTCATTAAATTTTCACAACAACCCTATTAAGTTAGTAGTTTATTATCTCCATTTTACAGATAGAACAATGGGGATTTAAAAAAAAAAAAGTCTAACTAGCTTGCCTGAGGGTCACACTACATAAGTGATAAAGCCAAGGTGTAATCCCAGACAATGTGACTGCAGAGCTTTTGCTCTTTGGCTGGGCAGTTGATGAAATCAGGTGGAAGGGACACTTGGGCGTCCCATGGTAAGGTTTTGTGTTAGAAGACGGCCTTTGCGTCTCCAAGGGATCTTACTTTTCAGGGACTGCTCTGGCAGCACGCTACTCTTGTCATCTGTGATAAGCTTCAGAGAGAGAAATATCTGCTTCCCTAAGTAGAATGAGCCACAAGTCCTGTGTGCCTACAGGGACTCTCAAACAGTGTGCCAGGAATCAGGGCACTCCTTGGAATCATGTTTTGACACAACTCACATGCCTTTAAAATATTAAAACCACGCCCCCTCATCAGAGTTTGCCCTTTTGAAGATTTCCAACTTGTCCTTGTGTTCAGGATTTTGGCTAGCAGCATTTACAAAGGGTTCCCTGGAAGGTAAGTTCACATTCCTTGAAAACCCTATGGAACAATCCAGATTTCCTCTATAGGCAGTAGCAATGATTCATTCACAACAAGAGTGTTGCTAACTCGTTCAATAGGAGACCAGTCTTTAGGGAAAAAAACACAGCTAGGAGATTTTCATCTGAACAGGAGGTCACTTTAAAATTCAATTGAGTGACACACTTGTGGGTTTTCCCTGGCACCTAGAATATATGGACTAATAATTGGGAACAGCTGCATGTCTTGACTGGAACCACTCTATTTAAATAGCTCCAAGATTACACCCTTGGCCTCTGCTTCTTTATATACTTTGGAAATAAACTACTGTGGATGCCCAAATGTATTCAGACAATGGAAGAAATGATTTATGGAGACTGACCATATACATCCAGCGCTACAAGCCCCATTCATTTCTCTGGTTCAATCATCACCACCCATGCGATGGACGGAGAACAAACTGACAAGGTCACGCGGTTACTTATCCCCAAGAGTCACCCTGAATAAAAGTTACCCTCAGATTGAAGTTCTTTTTCATGACCTTCACTCTAAGACACAGTTGTTGCATTCTGACTCCAGCAAACACCTTAGTTATCAACTTTATTCAATCTGACAATCCCAGAGCATTTATTTCTGGTGGGCCCCAAGTGAAGTCCTAAACAGTTAATGAAATTCCTTTAGGATATGGGATTTATATGTTTTAACTGGACATTTTAAAAGATGCTTCAGTTTTCTTCACATTTGGGCAATGTTATTCAGTTTTATTTTTCTTTTGAATCATTGATTCCACAAAGATTTATTATATGCTTATCCTGGGCCAAGTGCTCATCCCTCAAAATGGCCTGAGCTAAATCTCTTCATGCCAAACACACTTGTAATCATCCTTTTCCAATGTAAATATCCAACAATAGAAAAGTAATAAAATATAGCATGGTATCTCCACTTGGAAAAAGATTATGGGCCCATTGACAAATAATGATAGCATCTACAGGAAATTGGGAAAATTAAAATGATATTAAGTTAAAAAGAAAGAAATTGAATAGACACATGATGACAATTATGTAAAATTATAACAGAAAAAAAGGTGGAAAGGAAATAAAACTCAAAAGGAAACAAATAGTCTATATTCTGAATCTCTTCATAAATATTCCCGAAAACCACATAGATCAACAAAATGAACAAGTAAAACCACCAAGAACCCATGCCTGTAGCATAACTACGGAACAGAGAATACTCCAAACTTCAAATTATGCCCAAACAGGTAAATAAATGACCAAATTCAGAAGAAAAAGTGCAGAAAAGAAGAAAGGAAAGCAGAGGAGTAGGTATGGAAAACACCCCCCAGGGAAACAATGTCTCATCCCAAATGGGAAAACATTGAACACAGTTGTGAGACGTGGCGGATTAGGGCACTGGCTACTGAGAATCACAAGGAAGGAGATTGAAAGTCTGCAGGAACAGAGGTAGGTATCTTGGGAAGCCAGGGGTTCCGTAGGAAAAGGATTAACTGGAAAGGGCGGCCTTCAGAGATTTGATGTTGAAGAAAAACAAGAAAGAACTGGAAATTAAAGTACTGGAAAAACAAGAGAATTACAAAACCAGAAGGCAAACTGCCACTCCCCAAAAGGAGGGCAATTTTTAAGGAAATTGCACTTCACAAACAAACAGAAGAATCTCTTGAATTCAGAAACCTCATGTATCACCCGGTCCTCACCTCCTCACCTCTGTCTACATGTGACAGTCATTGCTGGCCGCTCCAGGAAAGAAAACATCTCAAAATGAAGGGTAAATAGCAACATATCCATACAAAGTGACTAGAAGATGAAAGCAGATCATAAAAAACCTTTTAGCTGATGAATATTCTTCCTCCCCAAACAATAATGAAGCATGAGAAAATGTGAACACCCCAGTCTTAATTAAATAACAAGTAAACTTGGAGGTATGGGAGAAAAAAAACACCCTGCCTCAGGAAATGTAACCCATGGCATCACTAGGGGTATTTTGGCCAAAATATTTAATCTGAATTGAGTCATTCAGAAACAGCCAGACAAATTCAAATTGAAGGCTATTTTACACAAACAGCCTGGACATGAAAAATGCCATTATTAAAAAACAAAGAGAGAGCAGAAAGACTATTCCAGATTAAAGGAGACTAAATGAAGTCAAGCAATTAAATTATAGGAGATGACTCATTATATCATATGTAGTTTTTAAAAAACTATACAATTTTTGAAATGATTGGGGAAATCTGACCATTATAACTGCATTGCTTCATCAATGATTAATTTTATGAGGGTGATAATGGTATTGGGGTTATACAGGAGAACGTCTTTGTTTTAAGGTGATAACTGATAAAGCATTTGGGGGAAAACATGATGTTTACAACTTTAGAATGGTTCAGAGAAATAAGAAAATACGGCAAAATGTTAGCAATCAGTGAATCTGGGTAAGGAAAATATGAGTGTTCATTGTACTGTTATTTCAGTTAACCTAATTTGAAATTTTCAAAATTAAAAAAAAATTGAAAAAAAAAGTCAAAAGTATTTAAAGATGTTAGAAGAGGAGGCAGGCTAGTGATTGATTACCTAGGCGAGGGGACAGAGTCGTGACTGGAAGGGACATCAGGGACTTCTGGGACTGGTGATGTCTCCACTGCTCTGGATGGTGGCTACCCAAGGCTGTTCACTCAGAGAACTGTAAACATACAATTCAATTGAGCCAGGCTTCCATTAAAACTGTATTTATTGTTTGTTTAAGGCAAGAGTCATGAGGTTAAGGAGATTTTGTTATTTTACTTAGTTACTTTTCTTTTCTGTACATTTTTAAAAATGTCTTTTTAAATAACTCACATTTATAATTCAAATGCTATAAATAAATGTCTTAAAGTTTAAATCTTCCTTTTCCTCTTCAGAGTTGCAAGAGAGTGTGATGGTCTAAGGTGTAACAGGGTGTCAAGATTCCATTTCCTGTTGTTCAGGAAAGGCTTGATCTAGGCACTTCTTGAATGGAAACATCACTGCATTTCCTTGTATGCCAGGTGACAGCAAGAGAGGTTTGTATTCTAAATATTTCCCTTTGGAGATAAGTGACCATATTTCATGGTGATTAAACAATGGCTGGTTCAAAAAAAATGTTTAGAATATTTACCCCAAGTGATTATTGCATCTGAGTCTATGCTTTTCTTCGAGCTCTCTTATGTTTTCAGATTGGTATGGAGATGCCATACCCAGGAATCTAGAGACAAAGTAACAACTAGGTTAGCAGCAGCATCAAGACCTGCCGTGTTCCCTTCCCAACTTGGGCAAAGCTATTTGCAATACATAGTATAATAAAATCCGAGTAATAAACATGTCCTTCTCCTTCTGTTCACTCATTTTAGAACTGACTTCATAACATTACCCTGCAGATTTTATTGGTTATCTACATTTTATGTATCTGCAGGGTAAAGATGAAAAAGTGAATAAAAATAGTATATCTCTGTAAGCAGGTACATCTGTGTAAAGAAGAATGGCAGTTTTCTAAGGGAAGAAATGTCAGCTTTTTAAAAAAGATTCTAACCCACACTCTAACTTAAACTTTTTGATAAGAGAAAAAAAGATAGTCCAAGCACTTCTAAAACAGATTAAAGAGCAAAAGCTGGGCAGCGTCCTTGTAGTGCAGAAATGAGAGATGAATGAGGCTTCACTAGGTCATTCTCAATATCCTCTAGAAAGTTTCCTGGGTGTTCTTCTTACTTCTCTGACCACATGTTTTGTAAAATTATAAGCTTACCTATTTTTCAAAGCTTCACTGAATTAAAAGCTTTGTAATTATTTGAGGAATGAAACAAAAAATGATTAAGAGAATAATTCATCTCTTAATGGATGTAATTTAAAACCTTGGCAGTCTCTTTTCATGTCAACATACCACTGTTCAGAGCTCAGTGGGTCTGAGGTGGAGCAGAGGGACAACACTGACTCCAAAGAGAAAGAAAGCCTTTTCTTTTTCTTTTTTTTTTTCAGATAGAGTTTTGGTCTTGTCACCCAGGCTGGAGTGCAATGGTGCAATCTTGGCTTACTATAACCTCCACCTCCTGGGTTCAAGCGATTCTCCTGCCTCAGCCTCCCAAGTAGCTGGGATTATAGGTGCCCACCACCACGCCCGGCTAATGTTTTGTATTTTTCAGTAGATACAGGGTTTCACCATGTAAGCCAGGCTGGTCTCAAACTCCTGACCTCAGGTGATCCACCCGGCTCAGCCTCCCAAAGTGCTGGGATTAACTGCACCCGGCCAAGAAAGTGTTTTCTACTGGAGGCCACATCCACACAGACCTTGTTCACCAAAGTCTAGAAGGGTTCCATTCAAAGGCAGCACTGACTGTCGCAGAGTCTTAGTCTACTCCTCCATGTGCTGGAGCCCCAGCCATTTCAAACAAGTCGCTGGTTGCCTGTAGATTTCTAATTCTCCAGACAGTGGAGAAAACTTACAGCAGAATAGTGCTGAGGACATGGGAGAGTAAGCTTCCAAAATCCACCAGATGCAGATACCAGCTGGAGCAATTACTGTTGGTCTTCAGCTCTGCCCATCCCAGAGAGAGGCAGCACATTCACAGGCAAAGCCTTCATGTCTGGCGACTCACTCATGTCCTAGGGAAAGAAGTAAAATAGACACAGCCTCCCTTTTCCAGCGAAACATCATTTCCCTTAAAGGAACACAATGCAGTCTTCCCATGGAAATGGACAGAAATGCTCAGCCAGGCACAGGGTGGGAAAGGAAACACTCTTGAAAAATCACAAATCCTTGCCTCTGGTTAAGATTAAACCAAAGTTATCTTTCAATGAGCACTTACAGCCTAAATTTTAAAATGTCCACAGAAAGAAATGGATTTCTCCTCGTCCACAAATTTCTAAACATGAAAGAAACATATTTTCCTTTTTCTATGTAAACTTTTCATCAGTTCTTGATAGCAATAGATAACATTTCCTATAATATTCCACACACACATTCAGCCTTCATCCACTGGAGCCTGTTATTTAGTCTCCTCAGATGAGCTTTCTTCACGTTGGGCAATTTTCATCCCTTATTGATTCCTCATGTGCCTTGCTTTTCATGTAAAGATGTATTCCTAAATGCATCAAGCAGACCCTCTATAACACATCCATGTGTTGCAAGGTCCTGGTCCACATGCCATACAAAATTAACTTGAATAATCCTGTCACCTATTTAGAAGTCAGCATGGTGGTCACCCCTGGGGGTGGTGACTGGAAGGGGGCACGAAAGTGTTACATTGTTCTGTTTCTTGACCTGGGTACTGATTCCATGAGAGTGTTCTCTTTGTGACAATTCATCAATCTCTGTCGTTATAATTTCCTGCACTCCTCCGTATGCGCATTACTATAGTTAATGAACTGTTAAAATGTTTGCAAGAAAACAACAAAACATATCATGTCATCTACTGACTTCGCCACAGGTTCCTCACACATTAGATGGAAACCTTACCCTCGCCTATCTCTCAGGGTTGCTGTGAAAAAGAATTCTGATAATATCAGGGGCGGGGCTTTGTAAACTGTGAAGCTGGTGGTGCCATTATGGCGGATCACATCAATACTGAGCTTCTCAAAGGGCTATGTTTTGCAGGACTAGCCTTTACCAGTGTAATGTATTTACAGTTGATAAGCAGACAAAGCAGAATGAAGGAATACATGATTTACACATTGTTAGACCACAGTTGGAACTTCTATTGCCCAACCCTTCTCTCACCCACAGTCCCAAGACAGATTATTTTGCAACTAATTACTTACAGATGTGAAATCATTTAGAGTGTTATGAAAATAGCAGTATGGATCCTGGAATGGGAGGCAGTGAGTCCGGAGTAGACAACATAACACAATTATTGTTATTCCGGGCTTGAGGCCTCATTTCGTGGCTCTCAGTTCTGTCTCCCTCTGATATTCTACTAGGGAAGAAGTAAAAACTGCACCCATCTCATTAAAAACAAATCTAGATTGTATTTTCTTTCTTACTTATTCACACCCTTAATACCAGAAACTGAAAATATAACTTTAGCCCTTCCATTATTTTCAGTTTTTAGCTTCAGCCAATTGGAAAGAGGACAAATTCTTCAAGAAAAGTGACACAGAAGGGGCATTATTTCAAAACAGAAGGGAACAGAAGGAAAATAATGAAGCGCTTCTGAAGCAATAAATGGAAAGAGGGAAACCCTAGTGGAAGGAGCTAATGGCATGGGATTTTCTCTCTCTCTCTCTTTCCCCCTCCTCCCTCTCCCCAGCCATACCCCCTTGCTCCCTTTGCAAAATATTTAGCCAATGTTAGAAGCATTAGAACAGAATGGCACAATTATTGCTTTAAGCAATTATTAAACAAGAAAAGACACTTCTGAATTTTGGGAGCGAAGGACAGAGCTTGAAACATACATTCCTCACAAGTGGAAAAGGAATAAAGATAGAAGAAAAATGTTCGCTTGAGACCCCATGGGACCAAAGCTCTTCCCACAGGAGTAGAATCCCTCAGACAACAAATAACCCATGTGGAGGCCTCATTTAGGGGGCTCAGAACTGAGTGAGGGGAGAAATCTGTAGATCATGAATCCCTTAGTTCTGAATTATTGCTTAATTCATGCTTGCATGTCTTCAAGTAAATATTTAAAATCAGGCACATCAGCACTATGAATTTCTCTCTGTTGGTTTAATACATTACAAACAACTTTGCTTATAAATTAATTACTGGGCACCCCAAAACTAATAAGAAAAACAGTTTACCTACAATGGAAGAAGTAACCCCAGATGCAAGAAGACAAAAAGTAATGACTTCGAAGTTAAGAGAGAAAATGATGTTGTTCTAATTAGCATTTTTACCAGGAAAAAACAATTATTTTAAACTAAAATTCTACTAATAGGGAAAATATTATTCACTGAAAGTTTATCAAACAAGAACTTTTCTGTTCTTGCTTCTAAGAATTATTAGAAGATATCTTCTAGGAAAAAAAATCCAAAACAGAGATCCAAAAGAGGAATGCATGGGATCCAAGAAAAAGGAATAAATAAAGAAATTAGAAAAATTCAAATGTAAACCTAAAAATGTATTGGTAACATGACCAGCACTTCAAACATTTGTCACGAAATTATGCCTAAGTAGAAGCATAATATAAAAAATACTTTTAGTATTATCATCAGTTTTTCTTTCAGCTAAATCATTCCCATCTGCCAAATAAACGAAAAGCTCTGCCGTTAATTTTCCTAAACTTTTTTAAAAATCTTGCTGCAAAATAATCCAAATTGGTGAGAATTGATTGTTTTTGAAGCAGAGTGACACATTCACAGTTCTCTTCTTTAGTGTATGTTTGAAATTTTCCACAGTAAAAAAAATTACAAATTTTCTCCTGTTGAAAGAGATACAGACTGAGGGAACGGAAGAGAATCTATGTTGATATTTCAAAGAGATACATTTAAGCTGAGCGCGGTGGTTCAGGTCTGTAATCTTAGCACTTTGGGAGCCTGAGGCGGGCGGATCGCTTGAGCACAGGAGTTCAAGACCAGCCTGGGTAACATGACGAAATGCATGAACTAAAAATACAAACCCATTAACTAAATATATAAAAATTAGCTCGGCATGGTGGCACACACCTGTAGTCTCAGCTACTTGGGGGGCTGAAGCAGGAGGATCACTTGAACCCAGGAGGTCGAGATTGCAGTGAGTCAATATCACACCACTGCACTCCAGCCCGGGCAACAGAGGGAGACCCTGTCTTAAAAAAGAAAAAAATATCGTTACGACAAAATTATTAAGAATGATTAAAAATGAAGAGATGAGGAATAATATACCAGATGAATGTTTTCAAAAAAAAGAACTAGATTTAATATATTAGTATCACCAAAATATAACTCAAAATGAAAATATTAAACATGACAAAGGGAGATTACATTGATAGAAGGTGGAAACATTTTTGTGAATCTTTATTCACCTAAATAGTAGCATATAAAGTAAAAATTTTGGAAGGATAAGGAGATATTAACAAATCCAATGTCATTGTGGAAAACTTTGACCTAATCTCTCACAAATCAACAGATCAGGTTGGGCAAATGTAAGATTTCAGAATATTTACCAAAAAATGGTGATGTAATGGTCCTCAAGGAAAAAACCTCCATAAATTATGAAAGTAAAAATCACAGAGGGCTCATTTCCTGATCATAATGTAATAGAACTAGAAAGTAATATTCAAAACATAGGGGAAAAAATCCCCTTCATTTAGAATGTATTTAATACTTCTTTTTAAATAACTTGCACACAGGAGGAAATCAAACCTGAAATATCACAATACTTTCAATGCAGCATAGCAAAAGTTATGGAAGGTTTGCAAGCTTGTGTCAAAACATCTCATGTATACCATAAATACATACACCTACTATGTACCCACAAAAATTCAAAATAAAAAATTATTTGAAAACCATTATGGAATGCAGTCAAATTGGTACTCAGAGAAAATTTTATCATCTTAACTATATGTATTAGAAAATTAAAAAAATTGAATACAAAAGAACTAATTCAGCTAAAAGAAGATAGAAAAAGACCAAATAAACCTAAAGGAAAATAAAATAAGTAAATGTCATCTTATTCCATTGTCTCTTTATGTCAGTTTGAACTCTCCTTTGAGTGTGTTTTTTTTCAGAGACTGTGTTTTTGTTTTGTTTTGTTTTTTGCTTAGGCTAATTGCTGGTGCCTCAATCATTTTTCTAAAAATTTCCTTCCAGAGCTTATAGATCATTTTTTAAATCTTCAAGATGTTCTCCTTCCTTCTATAGTATTTTCTCATCAGCCTAAATTGAAGTTTTAAAAACAATGTTTCTATCCTTTACAGGAAGAGTCATCTAAACTCAATATTTGCCAACACCCAGCAATATATTGACTTCCCATGGCAATGCTGACGTGAGTTATGTTCAGACTTGTATGTAGGCTAACATAAATTCCTCCCTGCCCAATTTCATGTAACTAGTGGGCACTCATCACATATGGCTCCGTTGTGGTGAGGTGGAATTATTTACTCCCTCTGCTGTGGAGACTGAATTGGAGATGGGATATACTTGATCCACGTGGGAGCACCAGAATCAGCTCTGCTCAGACTACCTGCCACTGATAAATAATCATGGCTGCCCCATTAAGCCCACATTCAGCCTCAGACTATTTCTGGACACAATTCTCCCCATAGTCTTCATTATCTGTCAAAAATTGTCATATAAGATGAAACCTACTTTTCTACCCTACGCTCTACCCAATGGACCATCTGCAAACTCCTGTCTGGTGTCCACTCTGCTCAGAAACCCGCCCTCGGCTGGGGCTGCCTCCTTGCTGTTGCCCTTGGCTGGCTTCCAGAGCTGCCTCTTCTTCCACAGTGCCCCTTCCCTTTAGAAAATTATCCCTTTCCTCCAACCCAATAAATATGTATAGCTCAGAGGTAGAAACCACTTTCTTGTGTTTTTAAAATTATTGTAATCTTCCCAACCTTTTGGATATCCTCAAGTGACCCTTGATTGGGTCATAATCTGAAATTGGGACGCAATAACCAACATTTAATTTCTGTCAGGTCTCCAGTCATCAGCACGTTGACTTGAACTCCATCTGGAATGATCTAAAATTAAATTACCATTGTCTTTGCCCTTTAAAAAATAAAATGTCTGTATTATAGCTGCCTGCTACCTACGCTTTGAGCATGTTAGGCTGAAAAAGTACATACAGACCAATAGTCTTTCAATGAATTTAATTTCCTACTTATTTCCTGAATGTAATTCATTAAAATGAACAGTTGAAAGAAAAATGCCTTACACTCGCCTATATTTGGATACCTAACAGTGACTAAGAAATCCACCTCAAGGAGGAAGACCCTGGAGTCAGTCAAAGCACAGAGGATTTTTCCAGAAAGAAGCAACAGAAAATGCAAACTGATTAAAGCAAAACAAGGCGGGGTTTGTTGAAAGGGCACTGAGTAGCTCACAGACTGGAAGAGCCGCAGCTGCATGGAGCAGGCTGGTTCCAGGGCCTTGGGGGGCTGGTTCCAGGGCCCAGGCCTGGCAGCCTCTCCCTGGCACCCCCTTGGCTCAGTACGGCTCTGGGCTCCTCTTTCTCCACACAACAGGAAAGATCCCTGTGTTCCTCGCATCACAGACCAAAGACAGAAGGACCTTCTCCATTGGCCTGTCCCAGTTTTAACCATCCCAGGGAAGGTGTCTGATTGACCCCGCTTAGCTTTTGGGTCCCTCCATCAGCTGGAGATGCTGGCTCAGGGAGTGGGGTATTCTTAGGGTCCAGGCCTCGATCCTCTGTCCAGTCCTGGGGTCTGTGAACAGAGAGAGATGGAGGGAGTAATGGCAGAGGAGGCATCCAACACCCACAGCTACCACATCCATGCCATGTCCCTCACACAGATCGCAGCATCTAATTCTGAGCACAGGATTGAACCGGGGGAAAAGGAAGGACACTGGGTACCGATGGTTTCGAAGAGAGCCACTGCGAGTGTGGGAGGCCAAGGACACCAAAAGAGAATTTCAACTGCCCGTGACAGGCACCCGCACCTCTGAGCAGGGATGTGTGAGGAGTCCACTGCCCATCTCTAACCCCACACTCCGGACTAAGCCTGTGGCTGGAAAATCTCTTCTTGATGTCGTCATTTAGCCCACTGTGGGGCCTACTCATCCTCCTTCAGCCTGATGGCTTTCAAGTTCTTACCAAGTCTTATTCCAGCTTTTATTCATGCCCTGCCCTGTCCACATACACACTGCATGCTTACACATCCTCAGCTCAGGGGCTCCCCAGCAGGGCTTTGTGGTTGTTTCTTTAGCCGTTTCCTACAAATGTGCACTGAATCTGTTTTACGTGACACAGCCTGGGCCTGGACAGAAACTCACACCTGGGGTAATAGGACCAAGGTAAGATAGCACTGAGGGTAGGGGCATCTGACAGGGTGCCTGTGGAAAGGTCTAGAAATGCTCTTATGTGATTCCTACTATGTGCCGGGAAGGATGCAAAGTATTTTACACTTATCATTCAATTTAAACCTAACAACAACCACGTGAATAGGCATTATTATCTCTGCTTCACAGACAGGAAAATGAGGCTCAGAGGGCTTAATAGTGTGACCACTGAGCTGCAATTCTGACCTCAGGCTGCCCACTGCAGAGTCCAAACAAGCTCCATGCACCACCTCTCACGACTCACACACTGCAAGGACAGGAGCCTTTAGGCTCTGTTGGGTCTTGTCCTCCTCCCTTTTGGCAGAGTGCTTTAGCCAAAATTGAGCCTTGTATCCATCCACCTCCCTACCAAGGCTCAGGCACTCCTGGGGGAGGCAGGGACTTGGGAGAGCAGGGAGTCTGCAGGTTTCCACTCATGGATCTCCATGGGAGACGGGCCTGCGTGAGGAAGATGTTCTGTGCAGCTTCCTGAGGCGGGGTGGCCAGATTGCTGGGGACCAGCGGGAGGCTGTGCAGGGCTTGAGTCAGCTACGGATTCCCAAAACAGTCCTTAGGTCTCAGATCTGAATTGTGAAGAGAAGGGCCATGGCATTAGGTGCAGCACTGTTTTCATGAGTAGGGGAAGACTCTGCAGGCAGGGTTGGCAGAGAGCAAAGAGGGCTGGATAGGGAAACAGTTCTGATGTCCAAGTGACAAACTCCAACTCACACAGAGGAAAGGTAGGCTGTAGGCAAAAAGTCTCCCTTTTATTGACCTCAAAACCACATAACCCAAGATAATTACAGGAACACAGTTTTTACAAGAGGAAAATAATTTTTCCTCTGAATCTGTAAAGTCTACAGAAAGGAATACTGCAAGTATGCCTTTAATAGTTTATAAGGAAGCTATTCCAGAGATCGTGGGAAGCCACTACCTGCAGTAAAACCCGTAAAGATCACAGGAGAACTGTATTTTAGCATTTACCTGGTAAAGAGCTCCTCTCCTATCACTAACCCAAGGATTTTCAAATCTCAAAAAAAAAAAAAAAAAAAAGAAAAAAGTTAACTTTACCAACTTCACCATACAAAGCAATTGTTCATGGTGTTCATGCATTCCCAATCTTCAAAACCTGTCAGCTGAGTAATATGATTTTCCCCAAGAAATAGTTCCAATATGTAGCCCTGCTTTCCAAACATATCTGGCAGTTTTCTCAGAAGAAAATACAATCAAGTGCTTTTTAAAGTTTTTTTTTTTTAAGTCTTTTCTTAGAATATTTTCCAAAACAAAAGCAAACTATATAGAACTATTTTCTAGTAAAACCGGTGACTACATTTCCACTTTGCCTTATAGGAACAAACAATTCAATCAAATCAGAAGTAAGAAGTGTAAAGAAAGGAATGTTGTGTGAGGACAATGCTTCGGGCACACAAGCGGCTCTTTCAGGGATTAAGTATTTGGGGCAAGTGGCTTCCCCAAAGCAGATTGTCTTAATTCACAGGCCTTGTTTGGTTTGGTTAATCCTAGTTTGGGCCGCCTGATTGGGTCACACCAAGCTTTAGAAAGGGTTAGAGTGCCGACCACTCACCCAGCTGAAAGGTTTCCTTGATCCTTTGTCACAAACCAAAGAAATTCTTCCTTAAGGCTAAAATGAAGACGTGGCCTCAACAGCCTCCAGCCATCCCCTCATTCAAACTCACCCCAAAAGCAACCACAACTCAGTCCAATGCTTCATTTACATCTATCTCTGTATTTCCTTTTTTTTAAAAAAAACTAAGAATGTTTGAGTAGTGTGGCCTTGTTATAAGCTATGTACATTAAAGCCAACACACGGAGGCCCCTAGTCATTGTCTTCCTTTACTGCGGAGACTGGCGGGAGGGGTGGGACGGGAGGTGCTGGGACCTGGAGTCCCCGGGGCTGGGCAGTGGTCGTTCTGAAGCCAAACACCGAAGCCCGAATGGGTCATTCTGGGACAGGGAAAACACAGGATCCGGCGAACCCAGAGGGAGGACAAGGCAAAATCGCAAGTCTACCAGAACGAAGCAGCAAGCCACCCAGCAGCCGCGAGCGGGGCGAGGGCGCCGGTGGAGCGCGGCTGGAGGGGACAGAGGCCCGGGCAAGGTGGGTGCGCGCCAAGGCGGTGCTCACTTGTGGCTCATTGTACAAACAGAAGATAATGGCAAACAAAGCCTTTCCATTCACACCATGATTTTGAAATAAGTGGAAAGCAGCGATCCCCCCACCATAGGGTCGGTGGAACATTGAAGAGTGAACATTTCTCAGGGGGCGCTGCTGCTGCTGCTGGGAAGCAATCGCTGAGCAAAAGGGTTTATGATTGTCCAGGCAGGGCGAGCGCCAAGTAACACCGAGGACAGGAGGAAGTAAGCCCTTTGGAAGGACAGAAGGGAAACACTAAAGAAAACCCACTTATGAGAGCACCTACCCCGTTCTCCTTATGCCATATTCCATTACATTCCTGGCACACCAGTCTGGCCCGCAAACAATTTCTTCCCTACGGTTTCCAGCCTAATTTGTAGGCAAATCTCTCCTTTCCCTCAACACGAAATACAATACCTTTCTGTGATGAGAGGGAATTTATTCCATTCTACGCACTAATTAGCTCTGTGATTCCCCATTTTTGGTCCCCTGTTGCTCACTGGAACATCCCAAAAAGCACAGCCTCCCTCTCCAGGCTCTCTTCATAATCCCCATCATGGGAACACCAAGCAGGGAACAAGGATGGGAACAGGCCTGGCCCCGACAGTGTGGAGCACGTCAAGGTTGAGTTCCTCTGTAGAAACCACACACTTCCACCACACATCCAGTGTTTCCTTACCATCTGAAATTGCATCGAGCTGGAATTTGGTTTGCATTTAAAGGGAGGGGTTTTTTGAGGCAAGGGGCCCCTGCACTGCTACTGGATGAGTCTGGGCCACCACTGGGAGGGCCTCTGAAAATTGGATTCAGATGGCCAAGTTGCGTCCATGCATGCTCAGCAAACCAAGCCTCGAAATCATGCTTGGCCCTGCTTTCTACACACATGTTCCTCCACTTCATGATGCCTGCTGCCTGTGGGAGCCTGTGAAAGGAGCTAAGGATGCAAAGATCAACAGGCCATGAGGCCAGAGTGGGGACATTTCATCCTTTGGAGAGGACAAGGTCATTAAAGCCTTTCCAGAGAAGGGGACACTAGAGCTGAGCCTTGAGGGATGAAGATGATGGGAGAGGAGGGTCCAGAGAGAAGGAAGAGCCCGCTGGCATGGAACGCTGCTGGGATAAATATCACCATCCTTAAGTCGCCTGCAGGGCCGGCATGGGCTGAGGGTCTCCCTGGAACGGTGCAGTTCGCCATGCTTCTCTCCTCTCTGTGGACCAGACACACGGCCTTTTCGCCTTTCCTCCAACTTACCACTCTGCACACTCTGATGAGCCTCCTGGTCTCAGGGCCTCAGTCACTTCCTCAGAAAAGCTTTCCCCACTTTCCAACAAAAAACAAGTCTCTGCACTTTGCAGGGGCCTGTATCACCCCCTGTGCTTTGCCTCGGTAGCACTCCTCAGAATGGTCATTTTGTAGTTATCTATGGAATTCATTGAGTAAAGTCTATTTCCCCCCACTTGGCTGTAATCCCATGAGGGCAGGGAGAGGGCTTATTTTGGGCTATTGTATCCCCAACACTAAGCACAGTGCCTGGCACATAGTAGACAATAAATATTTATGAGATGAATGTCTGAATGGCTGAAAGAATGCATAAATGAGTGAGTGCAGAAGGCAGGAAACCATGCCTCTGCATCCAGAGGAGTGCAATGTCACCAGAGGGAAAGGTATGCATGGCAGGTAGGGATGCCCAGCGAGGAAGTCAGAGGAAGAGGGGTGATGAAGGAACTTGGCTCCACTGAGGGTGTGAATTTGAACTTGATACTGAAAGCTGTGAGGATCTGCTGAAGACTCTTCAGCAGGGGACTGGCTGCCTGACAAATCTAACTCATAGAAAACATGCAGTGTGCTTAAGTATTTAGGGCCTTACTGAACTCACGAGGAGAGAGTTTGATCCTTAACGGACGCAGGGGTAGGGGCATTGTGGTTTAGTAATCCAATTGAGTTGGCTCAACAGGCAGTAAGTGCAATTTACTGTGAACCATAATTATAGGAGTTTAATTTTTTACTCCAAAAAAACTCCCCAGAAGAATCAATTATGCTGTGATTTGAAAAAAAAAATTTGAACTTGTACACTTTAAATTTCTCTTACATGCTTTTCGCACCTCATTTATTTTTTGTTCTGTTTCAATTTGAAATAAATCCTCCATATATGTGTAAATTAAATGGATTTGCTTTTGTTACATGGCTTGAAGTGGTTTTCATGTGGATCTGTTTTGCTTTGCTTATGTCTCGTTTCTGTGTGTTTTAATCATTATTTGACAAGGGATTTTTAGACGTAATTAAAAGCAGCTAATCATATCAAAAATTCAAATGGAAAGTTTTATAAACCTGTGGCACATTACAAAAAAAAATGTAAATAGTAGCAATGTGGGAGCTGTGCTAGGTTTCACAAATAAGAATCCAAACCTTATAAAAGGTCTCGAAATATAAACTGTTGACAAGAGAAGGCCCAAATCTGAAATTAGCCTTTTAAAGTCTTTTAAATATTTACACAGCAATAAAATACAGAGGAGTTTTAGAGGAACTCAGAGGTAACCACAGTAGCAAGTGTAATTATTGAAGTTTAATTTGCTGATACATTTAAGAAAGATTGTATTGATTTAAGAGCATTGAGCTGAATACATGGTTTCACAGAAATGCAATTTTAACGTTGAATCAGGATATGTCACAGTGAATACTTGACCTGTGAAGTTTAAGTACCTTATTTCTGACAAAGTTCAGTGACTAACGTTTTAAAATACCTAAAAGGGAAAGAAGCAAAATAGTATCACTTGAGCTCCTACTATGTGTCAAGCATCATACCAAACGAGTTATACATTTCAGCACAGTTTAGTCAGCACACAAAGGGCTGAGGGAGGCATTTTTGTACTCATTTCACATATGCTAAGAACAGAGGTTCAGGAAGAGTCCCTCACTGGCTGACGTCACATAGCGATCGAACAGCAGAGCCAAGTTTGCCACCCAAGTCTATCCCTGAGTCCCTTTGCCCTTTCCACTGTCACTTAGAATTAAAAAAACAAACAAACAAAAAACAAAGGAAACAAAAATTGTTAAATCATTTTTTAAATGAGCTCACACAAGAGTATTTTAGCAAGAACCCCCCCATGCAGGATTTAAGAGCAATTATGTAAATGACATTCTTTGGCTCTGGAAACTAACTCCCTAATTCACACAAAATGTACATTCTCCTCATTCGTGTTTTTGCCCCTGTATGGGGACTTTAATGTGCTAAGTCCTAGAGGTCAGCGTTTACTTTGCTCCTTGTGTACAGGCTCTATTCAACAGGTTGCACAAATGAGCACTCAATAAGGACTTGGATAAGGACAATGACTCAGTTGCATCAGAGTTCATCCCCTTTCCTTCCTTGAATTCCCATTCCAATACCTGTCCCAGGTTAACTAGGGAGCCCCTCATGCTCATGGTTCTCTGGGTGCACTACTGTGAAGTGCTTGTTACATTGCATTTACTGTGTTGTTTGTGTCTTTCCTGTTCTGAAAGCAGGCAAGAGTATTGCAATTTTACTTTCCAATTGTTTGTGGGTAATATATGGATATTATCAAGTGTTTACATTAAGCTTGTATTCTGCAACTTTGTTAAATTCAGTTATTCTATAAGAATTTGAAATTCTAAATTCTAGTTTCTGAGAATGACATTATCTGGGAATAAAGACAGTTTTATTTATTCCTTTCCAATTTCTGTGCACTACCTGCTGGCCTCATTGCACTGGATAGCATCTCTAGTACCTGGCTGAATAGAAGGCAGAGCAGATACATTCTTTCCTGATTCCCACTCTTGAAAGTAAAGAGCTCAGTCTTTTACCAGTAAGTATGATGTTGACTCTAGGTTTTCATAAATGCCCTTTATCACCTTGAGGGAGTTCTCTTCTATTTCTACTTAAGCAATAATAGGTACTGAATTTCATCAAATGCTCCTGCTGCATCTACTGAGATAATCTTAGTGTTTTTCTCTCATATTCTGTTAATACAGTGAATTATCTTGATTGATTTCAGAATGTTAAACCAACATTGCAATTTGGAGGTAAACCCCACCTGGTTATGATGTGTTATCCTTTTCATATATTGCTGGCTCCTACTTGGAAATGTGTTAGTCAATATTTTGCATCTGTATTCATGAGGGACATTGGTCTCTAGTTTTTTTATTCTTCTGTTTGTGTCTTTTGCTATTGTCCTTGTTTCCTAAATACTGTTTTTGTCTGGTTGGGTATCAGGATGATGCTGGCTTTTAAAAAAAGGTGGAAATGTTTCCTCTGACGTGTTTTCTGAAAAAGTTTGTGTAGGATTGATATGTCTTCATTAAATCTTTGACAAAATTCTCCAGTGAATTTGCCATCTGAGACGTTTTTAAATTACAAGTTTAATTTTTTTTTGAGACAGAGTCTCATTCAGTTTCCCAGGCTGGAATGTAGTGGCACAATCACAGCTCACTGCAGCCTTGACCTCTTCAGTTTGCCAAGTAGCTGGGATCATAGGCATGCACCACCACATCCAGCTAATTCTTTTATTTTTTTGTACAGATGGGGTTTCACCATGTTGCTCAGGCTGGTCTCAAACTCCTGGGCTCAAGTGATCCACCTGCCTCGGCCTCCCAAAGTGCTGGGCATGAGCCCCCATGCCCAGCCTGTGTGGTATAAATATTTATTTAGAGAAAGCCTAAAACAAACAACAGCAACTTACTTGATCACTATCGGCTTTGTGGTATAATATCAAGTGTCTCATATCCAGGCCACACTGATGCAAGGGGTGGGCTCCTAAGACTTTGGCCATCTCTGCCTATGTGGCTCTTCAGGGTACAGCCCCCTTGGCTGCTTTCACGGGCTGGAATTGAGTGTCTGTGGCTTTTCCAGGTACATGGTACAAGCTGTCAGTGGATCTACCATTCTGGGGTCTGGAGGATGGTGGACCTCTTCTCACAGCTCTACTAGGCAGTGCCCCACTGGGGACTTTTTGTGGGGGCTCCAAGCCCACATTTTCCCTCCACACTGCCCTAGTAGAGGTTCTCCATAAGGGCTCTGCCCCTGCAGCAGACTTCTGCCTGAACATCCAAATGTTCCCATACATCCTGTAAAATCTAGGCAGAGGCTCCCAAGCCTCAACTCTTGCCCTTTATGCACCTGCAGGCCTAACATCGTGTGGAAACCAAAGCTTACAGCTTGCACCCTCAGGAGCAGCAGCCTAGATGTATCTGGGACCCTTTTAGCCACAGCTGGGGCTGGAATGGCTGGGATGCTGGGAGCAGTGTCCTGAGGTTGTGCAGGGCAGTGGAAAACTGGCCCCAGCCCACAATACCATTCTTCCCTCCTAACCCTCCGGGCCTATGATGGGAAGGGCTACCACAAAGTTCTCTGAAATGCCTTCCAGGCATCTTCCCCATTGTCTTGGCTAGTAATATTTGGCTCCTCTTTACTTATGCACATTTCTGCAGCCAGCCTGAATTCCTTCCCAGAAAATGGGTTCTTCTTTCTACCACATGGTCAGGCTGCAAATTTTCCAAACTTTCACACTCTGCTTCCCTTTTAAATATAAGTTCTAGTTTCAGGACATCTCTTTGCTCATGCACATGACCATATACTGTTAGAAGCAGCCAGGCAACATATTTAATGCTTTGCTGCTTAGAAATTTCTTCTGCTAGATACCCTAAGTCATCACCCTCAAGTTCAAAGTTCCACAGATTTCTAGGGCCTCCAACCTCTTTGCTAATGCCTAACAACCTCCACAATGCCTCCAACCTCTTTGCTAATGCATAACAAAAGTGACCTTTGGTCCAGTTCCCAATAAGTTCCTCACCTCTATCTGAGACCACCTCAGCCTGGACTTTATTGTTCATGTCACTATCAGCATTTTGGTCACAACTTTAACAAGTCTCTAGGAAGTTCCAAACTTTCTGTTACCTTTTTATCTTCTTCTGAGCCCTCCAAACTGTTCCAACCTCTGCCTGTTACCCAGTTACAAAGTTGCTTCCACATTTTCAGGTACCTTTATGGCAATGCCCCATTCCTGGTACCAATCTTCTGCATTAATCTGTTCTTGCATTGCTATAAGGAACCACATGAGACTGGATAATTTATAAAGAAAAGAGGTTTAATTGACTTCACAGTTCTGCAGGCAGTACAGGAAGCAGGGCTGGGGAGGCCTCAGAAAACTTAGAATCACAGCGGAAGGTGAAGGGGAACCAAGCATGTCTTACATGGCCAGAGCAGGAGGAAGAGAGAGAAGGGAGAAGTGCTACACATTTTTAAACAACCAGATCTTGTGAGAACTTACTCACTATCATGAGCACAGCAAGGGGGAAGTCCACCCCCATGTTCCAATCACCTCCCACCAGGCCCCTCTCCTCCAACACTGAGAATTACAATTCAATGTGAATTTAGGTGGGGACACAAATCCAAACCATATCACTTCCAAAATGGATACATATTCATAGCTAGTCTAGTTAAACTAGACTACCCACCATCCTAGTAATTTCTCTTTTTAATTTTCAGACATATAATTTAGTGTGACAACTTAGAAATGTTATGAGAGCTTAACTAAGATGATTATATATTTATTCTAATTGCTAAGATAAGTTATAAACAACTGCTAATCCTTAACTGTGGCTAAGTAAACAGTTAAGCATATCTTATGACCGTATCTTTATGAGGAAAAATATCAGCATTACCCACCTAAGTAGGAGAATTGGATCTGTTAGGCTCCATCACTAACAGACATAAAAATCATGGTAAGGTGCTTCCTGAAATTAATGTATTAATTACAATAGCAGTTGTTTACATGAAACTTAAGAGTCACTTTAGGAATGTGCAAAGGGAGCCTGACCCTTGCACCAGCAGTGATACAGTTGGTAATCTACATAATAAAAGAAAAAATCCAGAGGATCAGTAGTCATAGTAGATAGAAGACAGGTTTTTAAATCAAACAGACTTAAATTTATTTCCTTAAGTCTTCCACCTATGTAACCCTGGGCAAATTTCTTGGCAGTTTCCTCATGTGGACAACAGAAATAATACCTTCTTCATATGGCTGTTAAGATGAGTAGGTGCTATAATATGAGTAGAATTCAGGGCCTGGAACATAGTAGGAACACAATAAAGGCTCATTTTCATAATTTTATTATTATTTATAAACCTGTACAACTCATTTCTATTTCATCTCCAGATAAAATTTTCATTCTTCCTGTCATATTTCTAGATTTTGAGCCCATATAGAATAGGACCCAAGGTACTATAATTTTGTGCTTCGTCAGGTGGTAATCAAACAAAAAAATGACAAAACATACAAAATGACCTTTCCCTCATAGAATAGTTGGGCACTTGTTGCTTCACATGAATTTCCAATAAAACTCCTTATCAATAAACAGGTACATCATTGGTTGGTGTCAATGAAGCCTAGCAGACACATCTACTGAGAGTACTGGTTCAGGACTACAATTATGGCCGTACACATTTCTTAACCCAGGGTGATTACTGTTTATGATGTTTCAATCGTTGAAAGGATAACCTGTACCAGACCAGATGTGCCTTCAGCTGGGTACTCACTGAGCTAGCTTCCTCTATAATCAGGATGACCTACACCCAGGACTATTCTATTTTACACCTGTTATTTCAGCATAATTATTAATAGTGCCCCCTTTAACTCCCCCAAAATGTTACAGTTTGGATAATCAATTACATGGTTTCTCTATTTACAATTATCTTTTATCAACTATATTCTGCAACTCATTTGGTGGCTGTCATAAAGTACTATTGCGCTGTTGTTACTCATGAAGCTGATACAGGGTTAAGACCTATATTAACATCTGGAATGTGTGAAACACCACCTGGTGAAGCAAATTACTTTATGCCAAGCTGGTGGTGAATTTAAAGAAAACACATGGAAAGTTAATTAGAAAGTAAAAGAGGAGAAATAGATCTCAACAGTACTGCCAAACAGAATGTTTACAGGATGAGGAGATACAGATGGGATTGTTAGCTCAGAAGTTAACAGCTGCAAAATTTTCTGCCCACTAGCAATCCTTGGCTTCTAATGTGGCCACTGTGTGGTAATATTCAAGGGTTGAGGGTGGAGGTGGGTGGTAGGTGGTGGGTGGAAAAGAAATAGACATCTAAACAGACAAGGATAGGTATTTATAGTTATAAAAGTCATATTCAGTATAGTATTATATATAATTTTACATTTAGAAAACTAAAATAGCCATTGTTTTCTTAAACCAAGGGAAATAAAGTCTGACAAAAAGCTCTTTTGGCCAAGATACACAGAGATTTGCAAATTGGGCACATCTCTCTCAAGGGCTGAAATTTATCAGAATCATGAGGGAAATTAGAGGCATGTCGTTTTCTGTTTTTAAATTTTTTATGGTAAAATAAATTAAACAGTCAAAAGAGTAAGACTTATATGATTTTTTTTTTTTTAATAATAGAATGAATGAAAGATTTGCTCACCAACCAGCTTAGGAAATAAAACAGGCCTTCTGGCCCCTCCCCAGTGGTATTTTCTCTCTCCTCAACTTCCAAGAAGTAACCTCAATTTAAAAATTTTGTTAATCTTTGCCTTACAGTTTGCCATCTAGGTATATACCCTAAAACAATATGTTGTTATGTTTGCCTGATTTCAGACTTTCATAAACAGAATCGTAATATATACATTCTATAATTTGCTTCTGTCTCTGAGATTCATCCATGTTAATCCTTGTAGCTTTAATTAACTTTTGTTGCTGTGTAGTACCCCACAGTAAGAATATATTGAAATTGGTCAAATCTACAGTTGATGCCTTTTTAGATGGTTTGGGGGTTTGGTTTTTCTTTTTTTTAATCATGCTTTTATGAGCATTCTCAAAATTCCTATTGGGCAAGATTTTCTCTAAGTTATACATCTAGGAATGTAATTCCTGGTGATAGGTTATGTGCACGTGCAACTTTACTAACAAATGCCAAACTCTTGGCCAAAACAGTTGAGCTGAGCCAACAGATTCAACAGATGTGGGTATTTTCTGTTCTATGTCCTTTCCAACTGGTATTTGTAGACTTCTCCTTTTTCTCCTATCTGGTAGATGCAACAAAATATTGTGTTTTAATTTGCATTTCCTCAATTACTAATGAGATTAGGTTTTTTTTTTCCAATTTTAGCATATTAATTGTTTATCTTCTGCAAGCCATCCATGTATGTTTTTGCTCATATTAAGATGTTGCTTTCTTATCAAACTGCTGGAGGTTCCTTAGACACTCTAAATACTAATTCTTTGCCAGTTATATGCACTGGAAATATTTTCTTCCACTTTATGACATGATTTTTATCTTTTCTTATAGTGTCTTTTGATGACTATAAATTCTTAATTTTAAGGCAATCAGTATTTTTCTTTTAGGCTATGATGAAATTAAGGAATCCTTCACTGCACTGAGGTCATAAAGACATTCTCCTACATGTGTTCCTAAAATATTTGTTGTTTTGTCTTTCACATTTAAGTATTTAATCCAACCAAAATTGACTTTTCTGTATGGTTGAAGTATGAGTCTAATTTCATTTTTCTCAATATGGTTATCCAATTGCTTCAGCAACACTTATTGAAAACTATTTTTACCCACTGATCTGCAATATTATCTCTGTCATATTTGGACATTCTGTTTCTGGAGACATTATTATGATGCATTGGTCTATTAGTATATCCCTACATTAATTCCATACTATGTTTTAGCTTTACAATTAGACTTGATATCTGGTGGAGCAAATTTTTCAAGAATGGCTGTTTTGAGGCCTTTGCTCTTCCATGTAAATTGTATTTTATGTATGTATTTTCTCAAGCTTTATTAAAGTATAAATGACAAATAAAAATTGTATATATTTACGGTATACAAAGTGATGCTTTGATATTGAATGTGTATACGCTGTGAAATGCTAATTAACATATCTAGTATTTCACATACTTTTCATTTTTTGTGTGGTGAGAGTATTTAGGATCTACTCACTTAACAATTTTCAAGTATACATTATTACTAACTATAGTCACAATGTTTAACTGAAACTTGGTATGCTTCAACCAACACCTCCCCTTCTTCATCTGAACCCCACAAACTAGAACCTGAGAGCCACCATTCTACTTTCTGCTTCTATGAGTCTGACTTTCTTACATTCCACAAATAAGTGAGGTCATGCAGTATTTTTCTTTTTTATTTATTTTTTTTGTTTTTATTTTTTGAGATTGAGTCTCCAGCACCGAGGCTGGAGTGCAATGGCGCTATCTCAGCTCACTGCAACCTCTGCCTCCTGGGCTCAAGCGATTCTCCTACCTCAGCCTCTGGAGTAGCTGCAATTACAGGTGCGTGCCACCACACTCAGCTAAATTTTGTATTTTTAGTAGAGATGGTGTTTCACTATGTTGGCCAGGCTGGTCTCAAACTCCTAACCTCATGTGATCCCTCTGCCTTGGCCCCTCAAAGAGCTGGAATTACAGGCATGAACCACTGCGCCCAGCCCATTGTAGTATTTGTCTTTCCATGCCTGGCTAAGTTCACAAAGCATAATGTCCTCTAGGTTTATCCACATTTTCACAAATGACAGGATTTCCTTCTTTTTAAAGGCTAAATAGTATTCCACTGTATGTACTACCACATTTTCTTTATCCAGGTTAGGTTAATTCCATACCTTGGCTATGGTGAATAATGGTGCAATAAACATGGGAATACAGGTATCTCTTTGACATACTTATTTTATTTCCTTTGGATATGGTGGGATTGCTGGATGATATAGTAGTTCTATTTTTAATTTTTTTAAGAATCTCCATACTGCTTTCTTTACACTAATGGCTGCACTAATTTACATTTCCAACAATGTGCAAGGGTTCCTTTTACTCCACTTTCTCGCCAGCACTTTTGTCTTTTTGATCATAGTCATTCTAAAAGGTGTGAGGTGATATCTCATTGTGGTTTAATTTATTTTCCTGATGATGAATGATGTTGAGCATTTATTCATATACCTGTTGGCCATCTGTATGTCTTCTTTTGAGAAATGTCTATTCAGGTCCTTTGCCCATTTTTCAATCAGATTCTTTGTTTCCTTGCTATTGAGTTTTTTGTGTCCCTTATGTATTTTGGATATTCATTAGATACACGGTTCACAAATATTTTCCCCATTCCATAGGTTGTCTGTTTACTCTTTTGATTGTCTCCTTTGCTGTGCAGAGCTTTTAAGTTTAATGAAATCCCCTTTGTCTATTTTTGCTGTTGTGGTCATGTCCAAATAATCACTGCCCAGATCAATGTTAAGAAGCTTTTCCTTATGTTTTCCATTAGTAGTCTGCAGTTTCACATCTTACTTTTAAGTCTTTTTTCATTCATTTTTGTATATGATGTGAGATAAGGGGCAATTTTTCATTCTTCTGCATATGGATGCCCAGGTTTCTCAGCACCATTTATTTTCTCCATTGTGTATTCTTAATACCTTTGTTAAAGATCAGTTGACTGTAAACACATGGAATTATTTCTGGACTCTGTTATGTTCCATTGGTCAGTGTTTCTGTATTTATTGCAGTACAATGCTGTTTTGATTACTATAGCTTTGTAGTATATTTTAAAATCAGGTAGTGTGATGCCTCCAGCTTTGATCTTTTTGCTCAGGACTGCTTTGGCTATTTAGAGTCTTTTGTGGTTGCATACAAATTTGAGAATTGATTTTTCTATTTCTGTGAAAAACGTCACTGGAATTTTGATGGGTTTGTATTGAATCTATAGACCACTTTGCAGAGTATGGACATTTTAACAATATTAATTCTCCTGATTCAAAAAGACAGGATATTTTTTCATTTGTGTTTTTTTCCTTTTTTTTCATCAATGCTTTATAGTTTTCAGTGTATAGATCTTTCACCTCCTTGGCTAAATTTATTCCTGATATTTTTTATTATTGCAAATGGGATTTTTCTTGATTTCTTTTTCAGGTAGTTTCTTGTTAGTGTATAGAAATGCTACAGATTTTTATATGTTGATTTTCGTCCCGCAACTTTACTCAATTTATTGCTTTTAATAGTTTTTAAAAGGAGTCTTAAGGGTTTATTTAACAGTTTTTTTAAGGAGTCCTAAGGATTTACTATACACAAGATTATTAATCTATTCAGATTTTATATTTCTTCATAATTCAGTCTTGGTAAGTTGTATGTTTCTAGGACTTTGTACATTTCCTCTGGGTAATCCAATTTGCTGGCCTATAGTTTTTATATTAGTCTCTTAAGATCTTTTTGATTTCTGTGGTAGAGGTTGTAATGTCTCTTCCTCCATTTATAATTTTATTTGCATCTTCTTTTTTTCTTACTCTAGCTAAAGGTTTGCATTATTTTGTTTGTTTTTCAAAAGTGCAACTCTTCATTGATCTTTTCTATTATTTTTCTAGTCTCTATGTATTTCTGCTCGGATCTTTATTATTTCATTCCTATGCTGACTTTGGTCTTAGTTTGTTCTTCCTTTTCTAGTTCTTTGAGGTGTAACACTAGGTTATTTATTTAAAATCTTTCATATTTTTTGATGTAGGCATTTATTGCTATAAACTTTCCTCTTAGAACTGCTTTTGCTATATCCCATAAGTTTTGTCTGTGTTGTGCTTCTGTTTTCTTTTGTCTCAAGATACTTTTGGATTTCCTTTTTGATTTCTTCTTTGACCCATTGGTTATTCAGGAGTATTTTGTTTAATTTCAACATATTTGTGAATTTTCCAATTTTCCTGTTATTATAGTTTCATAGCATTGAGGTAAAAGAAGATACTTAATATTATGTCAATCTTCTTGGATTTGTTAGGACTTGTTTTGTGACCTAACATATGATCTATCCTGGGTAATGTTCCATGTGCATTCAAAAATATCATGCGTTCTGCTGCTGTTGAATGGAATGTTATACATATGTCTGTTAGGTCTACTTGGTCACTAGTTTTGTTCAGGTCAGCTGTTTTTCTTATTGATTTTCTGCCTGGATGATTTATCCATTGTGGAGAGTGGGGTCTGAAGTCCCTTACTACTACTGTGTTACTATTTGTTTCATCCTTCAGTTCTATTAATATTTTCTTTATGTATTTAGGTGTTCCAACATTGGGCAAATACATATTTACAATCGTTATACCTTCTTGATGAATTGACCACTTTATCAATATATAATTATATATATCTTTGTTTCTTGTGACATTTTTTGACTAAAGTCTATTTTGCCTGACGTAAGTATAGACACCCCTGCTCTCTTTTGTCTACAGTTTTCATGAAATATCTTTTTTCATTCCTTCATTTTCAGGCTATGTGTATTTTTAAAGGTAAAGTGAATCTCTTCTATGCTGCATGTAGTTGTGTCTTGTTTTCTAATCCATTCAGCCACTCTGTCTTTTGATTGAAGAATCTATTTATATTTAATGTAATTAATGAGAAGGACTTCTATTGCCATTTTGTTGTTTCTAATTGTTTTGTAGTACTTTTGTTCTATTCTTCCTCTCTCGCTGTCTTCTTTGTAATTTGATAATTTTTTTCATAGTGGTAAGCTTTCTTTCTCTTTCTCTTTTGTGTACCCACTACAGGTCTATTCATGTGTGTGTGTATGTGTGTATGTGGTTACCATGAGGCTTATGTAAAACATCTCATAGTTATAAGTCTATTTTAAGCTGAAAAGAACTTCACTTGCATATGATAAATCTTAAACTTCTCACTCACATTATGTTATTAATGTCATAATTTACATTTTAAAAAAATAGATGGGGGTCTTGATATATTGCCCGGCCTGGTCTGGAACTCCTGGGCTTAAGTGATCCTCCAACCTCAGGCTTCCAAAGTGTTGGGATTACAGGTGTGAGCCACTGTACCCAGCCATAATTTACATTTTGTAGATAATGTGTATCTGTTACCAAATTATCATAAGTATAGTTATTTTTATTACTTTTGTCTTTTAATTTTAATACTAGAGGTCAAAGTGATTTATGCACCACCATGATGGTATTAATGTAGTCTCAATTTAACTACATTCTCATCTATATAGTGAGTTTTATACTTTCATAGGTTTTCATATTGTCAGTTAATGTCTTACTTTTTTTTTTTTTGAGACAAGGTTCTGCTCTTTCACCCAGGCTGGAGTGCAGTGATGCGATCACAGCTCACTGCTGCCTCAACTTCCTAGGCTCAAGTGATCCTCCCATCTCAGCCTCCAGAGTAGCTATGAACACAGGCATGTGACATTATGCCCAGCTAATTCTGAAACAAAAAAATTTGTAGAGACAGAGTCTCACTATGTTGCCCAGGTTGGTCTCTAATTCCTGGCCTAAGGCAATCATCCTGCCTTGGCCTCCTAAAGTGTTGGGATTACAGGCATGAGACACCATGCCCAGCATGTGTCCTTTCATTTAAACCTGAAGAACTCTCTTTAACATTTCTTGTAAGGTAGATCTAGTAGTGATGAACTCCCACAGCCTTTGTTTGCCTGGGAACATCCTTATCTCCCCTTCATTTTTGAAGAACTTCCATAATGCATATGTTAGTTGGCTTGATTATGTCCCACAATTCTTATAGGCTGTCTACATTATTTTATCTTTTTGTTCCTCAAACTGCGTAATCTCAAATGACTTGTCTTTGGGCTCTCTGATTCTTTCCTCTGCTCAATTGAGTCTCCAATTGGAGCACTCTTGAAGTTTTCAGTTCATTCACTGTGTTCTTTAGCACTAGAATTTGTTTGGTTCTTTTTCATGGTTTTTATTCCTTTGTTGAACACTTTATTTTCTTCATGCATTGTTTTCCCAATTTTGTTTAGTTGTCTACTGTGTTTTCTTGCAGTTCACTGAGCTTCTTTAAGATGATTAATTTGAATTATTTCTCAGGCACTCAATAAAGCTCCATTTCTTTAGAGCTGGTTACTGGTGCTTTATTTTACTCCCATGACAGTGTCAAGTTTCCCTGATTATCTGTGATCCTTGTGGCCATGCACTGATGTTTGCACATTTGAAGAAGGAGGCACTGACCTCTTTATCATTACAGAGAACTGACCTCTTTATCATTATGTTTGGCCCCTCTTTATCCCTGATAACTTACTTTCTCTGAAGTCCCTGTCTGAAATTAATACATTGACTTCTGCTTTCTTTTGATTAGTGTTATGGTATATACTTCTCCATTCCCTTCTTTTAATCTATATGTGTCTTTATATTTAAAATGAATTTCTCGTTGACAAGATATAGTTGGGTCTTGTTTTTTGATTCATTAAGACAATGTATCTTTTAATTGGTGTATTTAGATCATTAGCATTGAAAGTGATTATTGATCACAGTTGTCCATCAATGGATGATGGGATAAAGAAAATATAGTATATTTATATATACACTATGGAATACTACCCGTTTATTTAAAAAAAAAGAATGAAGTCATGTCTTTTTTGCAACACTGAATGAGCTGGAGGCCATTATCTCAAGTGATATAACCCAGAAACAGAAAGTCAAATACCACATGCTCTCACTTATAAACAAAAGCCAAATATGTGTACACATGGACATAGCAAGTGGAATAATCGACATTGGAGACTCCAAAAGGTGGAAGGTTGGGAGAGGGGTGAGGGATGAGAAATTATACATGGGATATAATGTATACTATTTGGGTGATGGTTACAGTAAAAGTCCAGACTTCATTCACTATGCAATATATCCATGTAACAAAACTGCACTTTACTCCCTAAATCTATAAAAAGAAAAGACAAAAAGCAAAAATTAAAATGAAAAAAAACCCAAAGTGACTATTAACATAACTGGATTAAGATCTATCATATTTGTTACTGTTTTCTATTTCTTGCCCACCCCCCATTTTTTTTCCTATTTTTCTCTTTCACTCTTTTTCTTCCTTTTGTGGTTTCATTGAGTATTTTATATGATTCCATTCTCTATCCTTTCTATATATATATATATATATATATACACACACACACACATATATTATATAAAGTTATATAACATATATGTAACTTTTTAGAGGTTGCCCTAGTATATCTACAATACATATTTACAACTAATCCAAGTCCACTTTCAAATAACACTATACTTTTTCATAAGTAGTGCGAATACCTTATAACAACAAAATAATCCTAATTCTTCCATCCCATCTCTTGTATCATTGTTGTCATTCATTTCACTACGTGTATGTATATATGTATTCAATATATATTTCATTTCACTTATACATTATATATATATTTTAATACATTGTTTATTATTTTGAATAAACATTATCTGTTAGATCAATCAAAACTAATAAAGATAAAAATTTTTATTTTACTTTCACTTACTCTTTCTCTGATGCTCTTCTTTATGTAGATCCAAATTTCTAACCTATATTATTTTCCTTTTCTCTGAATCACTTCTTTTAACACATTTCTTGCAAGGCTGGTCTGCTGACAACAAATTCCCTCAGTTTTGTTTGTTTGAGAAAGTCTTTATTTCCCTTTCATTTTTGAAGGATCATTTTGCAGGGTACAGAGTTCTAGGCTAGTGAATTTTTCTTTCAGCACTAAATACTTTACTCCACCCTTCTTGCTTAGTTTCTGAGAAGTGGATAGGATTATTTTCTCCTTAATAGGCAGGGTTTTTCCCCTCTAGCTTCTTTCAAGAATTTCCTTTATCTTTGATTTTCTGCAGTTTGAAACTCATATACCTATGTGTGGATTTTTAGTATTTACCCACTTTGATGTTCTCCGATCTTCCTGGCTCTGTGATTTGGTGCCTGACATTAATTTGAAAACATTCTCAGTCATTATTGCTTCAAATATTTGTTTCTTTTTTCTCTTTCTGGTATTCCCATTATGTGTAAGTTACATCTCTGTAGATGTCTAACATTTCTTGGATATTTGTTCCAGTATTTTTTTTTCTTTGCTTTTCTGTTTGGGAAGTTTCTATTGACATATCCTCAAACTCAGAAATTCTTTCCTCAGCCATGTCCAGTCTACCAATGAGCCCATCAAAAGCATCTTCATTTCTTTTACAGTGATCTCTAGCACTTCTTAATTCTTAGAATTTTCATCACTCTGTTTACATTGCCCATTTGTTCTAGCATGCTGTTTATTTGATCCAGTGCAGAACCCTTAGTATACTAGAGTTGTTTTAAATTCCCATTCTGACAATTCTAACAATCATGCCATATCTGACTCTGGTTCTGATGCTTGAAATGTCTTTTCAAACTGTATTTTTGGCCATTTAGTATGCCTTGTAAGTTTTTCTTGGCAGCTGGATATGATGTACTGGGTAAAAAGAACTGTGGTAAACAAGCCTTTAGTAATGTGGTGGTAAGGTTGTGGGGCAGGGGAGGGCACAGAAGGCATTCTATAGTCCTATGATTAGGTCTCAGTGTTGCAGTCAGCTGGCATCTGAACTGCAAACTTCACAAGTCCTTCTTAGCTCCCCACCTCCACTCCTTCAGTGAAACAGGATTGACTGTGGACTGACATCAGGTATTTCCCGTCTTTCACGTTGGTTAGGCTCTGTTAAAACTCCAGTAGTTTATGCTCTGGAAAATAGTTTCACTTGAAGGAAGGCCTTGTTAAGAAGGATAGGATGCTCTGGCATATTTCAAAATCGTTTGATTTCCTCTCACACTGTTGGAAACATGAAAGGATTTTCCTTAAATATTCACTTCAGAACATGGTCAAGCTCCTGAAAGGAAAACTCATGAAAGTGTGGAGGCTCCCTTATGACTGGGTCTTCTGGAGTTTTTAACTCTCAGACCTGTCCACTCTGGGCCTCCAGCAATTAGTTAATTACACTTCAGGTTTTCTTGCGCTGATACTAGCTCCCATAGAGGTTTCTGCTCATGGGTTTCTGCTGCAAAAACTTGTGATTCTCTGTATGCACCTGTATTTTTCTCCAAACCACAGGGCAGTGGTTTGCCCTCTGACCTCACTTCTCTGACAGATAAGAAGAGTTACTGATTTTTTTCAGGTTTTCCCTTGTTAGGACAGAGTGACGTTTTCCAAGCTCCTTATATCTGGGACCAAATAAGTACAGACGGAATTTTAAAAATGTATGTATACATAATATAAAAGAAACTACAATATAAAGAGGGTGGGTAATGGGAACCATAAGGCAAATGTCAGTAGGATTCACCTGTAAAGTCATGTGTCACGTTATTGTATTTTTTGTGGCAAGGTTAACTTCTGATATTTTTAATTGTTATAGGATTATTCAAGTTTTCACTTTCTTGTTTAGTCAATTTAAAACTGTATTTTAAAAAGAATAACCATTTCACTGAAGTTTTTGTATTTACTGGCATGAAGTTGTTCAACACAGAATTTAGCAGAAACTATCAATGTGAAAGCTGGTTTGGCACAGGCTGACCTCTCAGGATTTCTGTTTTCATGCTTTTCATGACAGCTCAGCATATCATAAAAAGGCATATTTATTGTATTTTCCCAGCATTTAGTTGTGTCAACTGGTAGAGTTAGTCATGGCATATAGCCTGCCATGCAGAAACAGAGTGTATGGTTGTTCTTTCTTAAATTAGGACATAAGTCTTCAAAGCCTGAGAAACACTTTACTCTAGACTAATGGTAGAAGTCCAAGCCTTGGTGTTATTCATGATATGTCTTTCTCTGTAATATAATGAACCCCGGACTGGGGACAAGAAGCCTTGGCTTCTTGCCCAGGTCACCTATTTTTGTCATTGCTGGGTCACTTTAAGGGAATACTATATACTCTGATCCTACACTTTTCCATCTGTGACTTGGGATGTTAATTTTTTTTCGTGTATGTTGCAAACATAGTGAGGTTGTTGCGAGGATCAAAAAATATCCACTTAAGCGAATGAGGTTTTTGTCACTTTATAGAAGGTATTATTTTTCTGTGTGGCACTACACTAAATGGGATGCATACAAGTCATATTTCCAATTCCAACCCTCCCCTCACAGCCTTCCAACTCTTATCCAAGCAATCCTGATGTACAGCCAGTCTGAAAAACCCCTGTACCACAGTATACATTCTCCATAACATTATGGAGAAGTGAAAATATACAAACTTTGAAGTGACAAGTAAAAGAGCACTACAGGAATTTCACGGTTATAAAAGACGTTAATCAAGGAGAATTCACAATTGCTCTTCCAACCAATAGGGAACAACAGTCTTACATTTTAGGGTTCTTTCAAGCATTTGAAGCCCTTTTCTTTGATTTCCAGAACAATACTTTGAGGATGGTGACACAGGTGGGACAGGCCCCCCACTTTGCAGATGAAATAATAAGAGCTTGGAGATGCTAAACTACATCTTCTAGCTCCCTTTCCTAATTACTTTCTTCTAAAGTTGAGTTTTTGTCATCTTGTATTGCAACTGTCCATTTTCTTCTCTGTTCCCCCACTGAACTGAAAGTTCTTTAAGGACAAGATCCATGTTTTATTGTTCTTTGGAGCCCTGGTGCCCAGGACAATGTCTGAAAACAACTTAATTTTGCTGTTGAATGAATAGATCTCTATTTAGTGCATATAAAAATGAGGTGAAGAGAGGCTAAGTGACTGACACAGATCAGAAAGCACCTTTTCAAGAGGACCAGGCCTAAAATTGAGGCCATCTGATTCCTAGTCATAAGGTCTTTTCTCTATATCATATTGTCTCCTTAAAGAAGTGGACTTTGAGTGGCTGTCTAAAAATAGAATGAACCCTGACCAGACAGAGATGAGTAAAGCTTGGAAAAACATCCGGAAGAGGTACTGGGATAATCAGGCAAACAAGACTCCTAGCAGATGAGCTTTGATGGGATGAAGGAATAGACTACACAATAGAAGATAAGGGAGAGATGACATGAGCCAGTGCCACTGTAGGGACCAATGATATACATGCAAATGATGGGAGGGACTCAAATGAAGGACAAAGACAACCAGGCATCAGAGGAGGTGATGACATTGGAGGGCAGCCTGGGGAAAAGTACATCACTGTTACTGAAATGGAAAGGGAGGACCAGATCCAGATGGCACTGGTTTTAGAAGTAGGGAATGTGAAGTGTATGTGTATGTGTATGTGTGTATGTGTTTTATGATTTGTTATTGACATTTTGGGGGAAAAGTTGAAAATAAATCCCAACTCTCATCCTCTATCCATCCTCATGTGATTAAAGTCTGGAGAATGTTTAATGTTTTCTTTCAGAAATACTTGTTGATTGCTTTTTTCATTTTTGTGAGCTGCTGAGTGCAAAAGATGAGTATTACACACCATACTTTCCCCCAAGGAATGAGTAACTTAATTTTTATCCCAAAAGACTTAGTAAAATAAAAGCTTCAGTTTCCTCACTTAACGACTAGAGATCTAAAGTAATTTCCTAATTTTCATCCTTAAATAAATAACAGTTCACTTAAATGTTATCTGTTAACTATTTCTACACAATAGAAGATAAGGGAGAGATGACATGAGCCAGTGCCACTGTAGGGACCAATGATATACATGCAACTGATGGGAGGGACTCAAATGAAGGACAAAGACAACCAGGCATCAGAGGAGGTGATGTTAAGAAATGTTAACTTCTTAATATTAAAGGATATATTTTATCCTTTAATATTAAAGGATTATATTTATTCCTTTATATATTATTATATAATAATATTATATAATAATATTATATATAAGGTTTAAGGTATAATATATACCATATATAATATTATTATATAATAATATTATATAATATTATATAAAGGAATAAATATAATCCTTTAATATTATATATAATACACCTTATATATATTAATATTAATTATTAATTAAGGATTAAATATCAATCATTTAATATATAATATACCTTATATAATAATATTATTAAATAATTAATATTAATTAATTAAATAATATTATTATATAATATATACCTTATATATTACATATAATATATAATATTATATAAAGGAATAAATATAATACTTTAATATTATATATAATATACCTTATATATAATATTACATTATTATAATATATTATATTATTATTATATTAAATATTATAATATTAAAGAAGATAATATTAAAGGATTCAATGAATATTACAGACCTAAATTTCACAAAGTGGTAAGTGACTTGTGTCTGGGCTTAATCAGTACTCTGTTCTAACTGAGAAGATAAAGTTTCTAGATTTTTTTGTTTACATAAAAGAATTTAGTTCCAACTGTTCTTCATATTCAGATGATCTTAATGTTCTTTTGGGAGGCCTGGCACATAGAAATGAGAGTTCACAGGTGACATCATGAACTTCTCTTTCTGGAACTGGTACCAGACGGAATAAACATGATTACTGTAGCCTGTTAAACAGAATTTCATCAATTTAATAGCATTTTAAACCTCTTCACTTTCTCCAATCTGATGATCCTGGAGCCAATGAAGCGGCTGGGCCCTCTTCAATCTGACAGCTTGCTGTGAACTTTTTATCTAAAACCGACCCTTCAGCCAACTGAGATACAAGACTGACTCAGTCCCTTTTGGGACAATTCATGGAGTGGCTGCTAAGAAATAAGCATTAGTAGAACTGTCCCTGAATGTATAAGGTGAAACATCTCTCCACAAAACCAAGACAGCGAACAGAGAATTGCTGTTTTGCTAGTCCATAAAGGTTTGCTGATATTTCTCAGGGAACAATTAATTACTAAAAATGAAAAGTAAAAGTGTACTTACATTTGAGCCCAAAGCTAGGTCGAGGCTCACACTGGCAAACTTAAGAAGACCTATAGTATATTTAAGGGAATTTTGAATACCTCCTTACTGTTATGGTTTGAATGTTTGTTCCCTCCAAAAGTCGTGTCGAAACAGTATTTAGAGGCGAGACTGTTAAGAGGTGATTAGGCCATGGGGGCTCTGCCCTCATGAAGAGATTAATGTCATTATCTTGAAAGTGGGTTCATTATCAAAAGTTGAATTTTGCCCCCTACTCCCTCTTTCTCTCTTGCCCTCTCTTGGCTCTTCTGCCACGCAAAGAACAGCATTGCTTCCTGCCTCTGGAGAATGCAAGGCGCCGTCTTGGAAGTGGGAGTTGGACCCTTACCAGATACCAAACCTTCTGGTGCCTTGATCTTGGACTTCCCAGCTTCCAGAATGCTAAGAAATTAATTTCTATTCTTTATAAATTACCCAGTCTGTGGTATTCTGTTATAGCAGTACAGAAATAAGACACTTACAAAATCTGCCCTTTCCACCCGCCACACTCATAGTGCTATCCCATACATATTTTGGAGTTATTTCAACCATGGAGGAAATTAACAAACCAATAATTTAAAGTGTAGTTTCTATTCTCTCTCTCTATCTCGCTCGCTCACTCTCTCCTGTTATAAACAGATTTACTGTGATGCTAATCAGGCTTAAACTTCAGGGCAGTTCCTTGCCCAGGTGTATGGTCATATGCTTTTGCACAATTTGAAAAAAGACATTTTAATCATGATTGGTGAAAACTACTGTCTCTTCTGCCTGTCTTCCCCTTGTAGCAGGCATTGGAAGGGTGGTGGCCTTGACAATCTGGCTAAAGGGAAGTTGAGTTGGGGAGACATTCAACTTGGGCTAACTGGATATATTTATGTGGATTACAGACAACTCTGTATATGGTTAAATTACTGATAGCTATTCTGCTGGAAGAATGGATTCCAGGAATATCATTACCACCCACTGCTCTCACTTAAGCCAGTGTCATAAGAGGAAGGTGTGGAGCAAAACGCTGTATCACTAAATAAGCATGTTCTATGCAGCCTGGCACCAGAAGCATAAATGTGTTGGAGATAAAATATGATTTGAAACATATGAAATCTGACGTCCTGACCATCAGACATGTAAAAGCAGAAGCAGTAAGATTCCAGTTTCATGGACCCCAAGTCAAAGGAGAATTTCTTGCCTGTTAAGAATATATTTAATAATTCAGAGTATACAATTACAAACTCATCATAAAATAACTTTCCCAATTAACTCCTATATAAAATGGATAAAAGTTATTCTGTCAATAAGCAAATTATAACAAAAACATTTTCAAATCATACCAAAATTAACTCATTAAGATGAGATGATACATTTGAAAGAGAATAAGCAGACTTTGGATTGTCTAATAATCTAGCTAATGAAGAAGAGTAAATCGCATGAACATATTCGAAAAATATTTAAATATCTTCTTGCTGATTTGAAATAAAATACTAGTGGTAATGAAGATCATTTCAATGAGGATTTTGATGATAAACTGGCTAATGAGTTGTCAATTTCCACAAAGACCAATGGAACAAAATAGTGAACCCAGCAATAAAGTCACACGCCTACAGCCATTTGATCCTCAACAAAGTCAACAAAAATAAGCAATGGGGAAAGGGATCCCTGTTCAATAAATGGTGCTAGAATATGTAACTAGTCATAGAAAGAAAAATAAAACTGGACCCCTATCTGTCATTATATACAAAAATTAACTCAAAATGGATAAAAGATTTAAATGTAAGACCTCAAGCTATAAGAATACTGGAAGAAAACCTAGGAAACATCATTCTGGACATTGGTCTTAGGAAACAACTTATGAGTAAGTCCTCAAAAGCAAATGCAACAAAAACAAAAATTGATAAGTAGGACCTAATTAACTAAAGAGCTTCTGCATCATAAAAGACACTATCAACAGAGTAAAAAGACAACCCATTGAATAGGAGAAAATATGTGCAAACTATGCACCCAACAAAGGTCTAATATCCACAATCTATAAGGAACCTAAACAAATAAACAAGCAAAAAACAAATAATCCCATTTAAAAATGTGCAAAAGACATGAACAGGCAAGCATTCAACAAACATGAAAAGATGTTCAACATCAATAATCACCAGAGAAATGCAAATTGAAGCCACAATGAGACACCCTCTCACACCAGTCAGAATGGCTATTATTAACAAGTCAAAAAACAATAGCTGGCAAGGCTGTGGGGAAAAGGAAATGCTTGTACACTTTTGCTGGAAATGTAAATTAGTTCAGCCACTGTAGACAGCAGTTTGGAGATTTCTCAAAGAACTTAGAACTACCATTCCACCTAGTCATCCCACTACTGAGTATATATCCAAAAGAAAATAAATAATTCTACCAAAAGGCATAGGTACTTATACGTTCATTGCAGCACTATTCACAATAGTAAAGACATGGAATCAACCTAGGTGCCCATCAATGGTGGACTGGATAAAGAAAATGTGGTACACGTATACCACAGAATACTATGCAGTTATAAAAAAGATCATGTCTTTTTCAGCAATATGAATGTAGCTAGAGGCCATTATCCTAAGCAAATTAATGCCAGAACAGAAAACCAAATACCACATGTTCTCACTTATAAGTGGGAACTAAACAATGGGTACTCATGGACTTGAAGATAACAACAATAGACACTGGGGATTACTAGAGGTAGGGAGAGGGGCCAAAGGTTAAAAAATAGCTATTGGGTACTATGCTTAGTACCTGGGTAATGGAATCAATTGTACCCCAAACCTCAGCATCACCCAGTATACCCAGGTAAGAAACTTGCATGTGTACCTCCTGAATTTAAAATAAAAGTTGAAATTATCTAAAAAAAAAAAAAGAGAGCTATCAATTGCATGGCTATTTAAAATGTATCACTGCATAAGAAAAATTAAAATGCCCTGATAATATAATCCTAAAAACCTGGCTGACATTACAAATGATGAGTTGTAAAGCTGAAAGAAGCTTTTGCAAACTATCAGTAATTTTTTTTAAAAAAGTCTGATCAACAATTTCAGAGAAAAAATTATCTTTTAATTCACTGTATACAAAATGAAATTACAAATTGTCTATAATTAAAGAAGTGAATAAGAAATGTGTGCAAGAAAATGCAGAATTGTTAAAAAGGTATATCAAGTAGTTAATATAAATATTTGTATAGATTTTGTGATATATATGGTGATTATCAGCTTTTTACAAATGTGACTTGTTATTCTTTTCTTATTCTAAATAAATGTTCATTTTTGTAACTAATGTTGTATTAGAATTTTTATTCATCTTATTTAAAACCTGAATCCTGTGTTTAAATCAATGTTACCCAAGTACTCATGAACAAAATCATTAAGTATTGAATTTTCAAGATTCAAATCTCTCTTCAAAGCCAAATTTAAGAAAAAATAGTAGGACAGTCACATCAGCTTCCTCTCAGCATAAACTGAAATACTAAATTAGGAAGGTTAGACCACAATGTTCTAAATCACCGGCTTCTCCATTTCTCTATGACTTGTTGACTTCTTTTAGGAGATTAGTTGACCTTTTGATACAACAAATATTTACCAAGCAGCGAAAAGAATCCAAGAACAGTTATGTCCAAGGAGCTTGCAAATCTATCCTACCAGGAAAGGAAAACATGACTTCTGAAATACAATAAGTAAGAGAGAGGTATGTAGAGAGGCATAGAGTTCTCCAGGGATTCTAAAGAGCGGAAGATGAATGCCAAGAAAGGTGATTAGGAGAACCTTAAGAGGAGACAGTGGGACTATATTCATTTCCCCATTCCATTATAGAAATGATTTAAGGGGCATATAAGAGAGACACAACAAGAGAGAATACACTAAATGTTGAAGCAAAATAAAAAGACAAAAACGAGGAGAATATAATAAAGGGCCAGAAAATAGGGCTAAAAGTACAGTCCATGATGCCTTGTCCACTTATTCCAAGAGGACCTCGAATGTGGCTCTTGGTGTAGGGATAAGGAGATAATTGATTCAAAATGAGCCTTGAAGTGAAGGGTTGGGGTCTGAGTTTACAATTAAAATGAAATGATGGCAAAAAAATCTGGGAAGTAGGGTGTTGGTAACGTTTTCCCCACATTAGCCAGAATAGAGACCCTCTCTGCTCCAGACATTAAGCACTGGGGAAAGTGGTTATTCCAAGAGGCATCTTACTCTGATTAGGCCTTGGCAGTTGTGCCGTACCATAAGTTATATATTTTCCAGTCCAAAGCAACAAAACCCTTAATGCATGTAATGTCCACATAGCTTCCATAGTTCACCTGCTAAAACATAAAAATAATGCCAGCTAATTCAACACTGCATAAATCACAAGGCCGTTGAGAAGACAGCATCCAATAGAATCCACACAGCCTTCTGTTGCTCTTTCAGAACCATCTCTATAATTGTTTTTGTATTTCACTGATAGGTTTACTTTTTGACATAAAGGACTTAAAGAGAAAATGATAATTTCAGTAAAATTTTATGCTCATATCATGGCTATAAATGATCATAATGATGTTATTTTGATAATATATCTGCATCTCCTAAAAGAGGATGCTACAAATAATAAGTAATACATCCTCTGCAGTTTTTTTTTGACATTTCACATATAGAAAAACCATGAACAACTTTCCCCTTTGTACTGAGAGGCATTCCAAAACTGGCAAAGGCATATTTTTATTTAAATAAATCAATCTCACAACTGTAATTCGAACTTGAAATTAGCAAAGTTTCTTTCACTTCTTACACATAAAAACCTTAAATTTTAACTGTAATAAAGTGTGAATCCTTTAATAACCTGGATTTTTAAAAGGTGCCACCCAATGGGGTAATGAAAAGGGGATGTTAATGTACTAGCTTCCTTGAAAATATTTAAACATTTTCATACAATACTAGAAAACTTCCCTTCTTCCACGTTTAGCTTAATAGAACAAATCACATGAAAGTTTCATAGTGGTTCTTTTATTTATAAAATAATCACATTCAAGTCTTACCAGAGAGTAGCAAAGTCTTCAATTCCTTTCCTTTCCTTTGAAGAAATAATGTAGAGCAATCACTCATAAATCCCTCTAATTATAAATAAAATCCAAGATATTATTTGACAATGAGATGCTTTATTAAACTTGATACATTTACTATATAAGAATTCTGTGAAAAAATGGGGTATGAAATTATTTTGGATCTGAATCTTTGCATTATAAAATCTAACCCAAAACTATGTCATTTCACTGTATTCTGTGACTATTAGCAGATGGATGACCAAAGGCAACTACTTCCTTTCCTGGCAAAACAAGACAAGTTTCAGCTGACTTCCCCATGGTGTTACAAGTTCTCCTAGTGAAGTAAAAAGTCCCAACCCCTCTTTCTATGCATGTCATCTCCAGGAAGGTGAGCTTTAGGAAGCACCTGCGCCAGCCCTATATCTGTGCTTGGCATGAGGTTCACACAGGTTCGGCCTTGAGATGGGGATGTTCCTCTCAACCAAACAACTCTACTTGAATTATTCCGAGACTCCTTGGAGGGGTGAAACTTCTGGAAAAAAAGAGAGTAAGAGAGAAAGAGAGAGAAAAGATCTGAATAGTGACAGGAATACACAAAGGATCAAATTCAGCTGCACCAGTGCTAAGGGGAAGAATGAAGAAATTGGAAAACAAGCAGCTTTGCGGAATGCTCTCTGGTATGACAAAAACTGACCAGATTGTCACTGCTTCTGACTTAACTAACGCTTGTGAAGGCCATCCAGTCTCTTACCAGGCCTGGGTGTCTCTGCAGTGAGATGTCTGTGGTTGGTAAACAGTTCTGTAGAGTCTTGTTCTACTGATCTTTCTTCTAGGTCTGACTCTGGGATTGTAGTACAACCACCTAGTTGAAAAATACAAACAATATTTTAAGCAATGTGTAAGAAAATCTGCCTCTCTACACAGCAATCATAGCTTAGGAACACACTGATCATAAAGATAATAAATGACGTGACAACAATCTTCAGGAGTGGCCTGAAAAGAATAACCTTAAATGTTTCTTTTTGGTGAGAATACTGGGAATGAATTACTGCCCCTAAAGACATATTATACTGATTATGACTTGGCAACAGCAGCAACAGTATTGTCTTTAAATTTATCCTTTTTAAAGTCAGAAAGGACAAAACCTATCCTATAGCATATGTGATATCCAGAATATAAAGGCCCCTCGGCAGGAATTCCCTTTAATACCAGAGCATCAGAAACTATAAAAGAAGCAAAGCACATGAACCATGAGGGAAAGAAGCCTTCCTTGAGGAAAGAGAAAGGTTGCTGGTGTTCTGGGACGGTGGTTGTGGTGGTATTTCTCTGGAATTTGATTCTATTCCTGAATCCCAACACCTTACAGCACAGACACAAACACTTCATAATTCAACAGCAAAGTCATGAACTGCATTGTGGAAGATTTCAATCCAAAGGTGACTTGAGGATGAGCTGGCACTGCTGTGCTTTTGAAGTACTGGGTATAACTCATTTGACTTTATCCACCAAAATCTTGTATGGGAAACTCACAATCATGAGAGAATTTCCTGACTACATCTGCAACTTGATTTGACTGATTTGCCATCATTTCCTGGAAATGTACTAACATGTTGTATACTGTACATGCTTTTTTCCGAAGCCATTCTTCTTGTTAATGAAGTGTGATTTCTTTTTCTGAGGCTTCTCACACACAGAGTCCAAAGCCTCAGCTCTCAAGTTTGGTTTTATGCATAAAGGGGTTTATGAAGCTCACATCATTCTGAGGAAAGAGAGGGTATCAGCAGCACTGATTTCAAAACCACATCATTCAAATGAGAGGGAAGTGGCAAGATCCCAGGTTTGAAGGAAAACACACCTTACTATCCACGCCTCTGCATCAACTCTGAAACAGAAATCGATGCTGAGGGAAATGAGAGAAACACATTTCCACACTCATAAAATAAGAATTAGAGCTATCCTCAGAGATTCCCTGAATAGAAAACATTAGAATTATCCATCAATGCAATGGAACTTGCCCAGCCATACCCGAAAATGACAAGGGCCTTACCCAGAAGGAGAACCAGGCTTATTTTTAATCTCTCCAAAGCCTGTAGATCACAGTAACAAGAACTATCATTATTGAGTACTTTCTAAGGGTTAGAAATCTTGCCCATATTATCTCACTTAATTCCTACACACTACACCATGAAATAGGTATTATTATTATTCTCATTTTATAAGAAAACTGAGGTCTCATGAGATTCAGTAACTTGCCAATGTCACAGAACTCCAGTCTTGTCACACGGTGGGGCTGAGACCTTTGGAGAGGCCCAAAAAGCCAGTTCTTTTCTTCTTCTTTACACTCATCCAACTGAGTAAAAAGGCAAAGGGTATATGCGGTGGTGGCAGGGGCTGAGGGGAGACCTGGAAGACTAATGACAGGGAAGAGCAGAAAGAAGGGATGTGCACCCTGCTGAACAGAACCCTGAAAAAAAAAGGCAGAAAAGTCACTTCTCCATCCCTGAGACAGAGGGAGGTGGGGGAGGCCAGGAATGCTGTACTCAGGCAGCGGCCTTCACACACAAGACAACTTCAGGAGCAAGGAAGAGACGTCCCCCAGCCAACAGATGAGAGCGAGTTTGATGAGCAGTTAAGACAGCTGCCATGTGCTTGGGGACAGGCAGGTCTCCACTGATAAATTAGTGTCCTTTTCATTCCAGCTGACTCAGTATTTTGACAAAACAGAAATAGAAGACTTCCTAGTTCTCTATCACGTGGGCTCAAAAGGAAAAGCCAGTTGCTATAGATTATCAACAATGAACGTAATTTCCTCTCTTCTCTTTGCCCTATCCCACATACAGAGACGGCAAGGTGCCCTGCCCTGGTGCTCTAACCTTCAGGTGCTGTAGTGGACACAGATTGCATGCACCTCCTCAGACTCCACACCCACAGCAAGGGCTGACCAGCCACTTGCCCTGGGAATGCCACCCACCTTTCTTTCATTCCTTCTTTTTTTTTGAGACAGAGTTTCGCTCTTGTTGCCTAGGCTGGAGTGCAATGGCGTGAACTCGGCTCACCGCAACCTCCGTCTCCCAGGTTCAAGCGATTCTCCTGCCTCAGCCTTCATGAGTAGCTGTGATTACAGGCATGCGCCACCATGCCCAGCTAATTTTGTATTTTTAGTAGAGATGGGGTTTCTCCATCTTGGTCAGGCTGGTCTCGAACTTCCAACCTCAGATGATCCGCTTGCCTCAGCCTCCCAAAGTGCTGGGATTACAGGCGTGAGCCACCCTGCCTGGTACCACCCCCCTTTCTTTGGATGCCTCCTGTAGCCAGACTGCCCAACAGCACACCCAGAGTGTCTGCCACTTCCAGTTTGGGAAGAACAATGTTGGTGGGCTCTGGCATCCTGCCCAGCGGGTGCATCATAGGAAAAGAAAAGAAGCCGAAGCTGAGCAGAGAATTCCCCCTCTGCTCCCACCAACTAGGAATATGCCAGATGATTAGTTCTCTTCTGTAGGCCTCGAAAAAAAGGGCTGTGTAGCTGCACCTGCTCAGCCTCTTCATGGCTCTTGGAAAGAGGCACTCCCAGGTGCAGGCAGCACCACTCTGCATGGCCTCACATATTCCCTTGGTTGCTGCCCTTTGTCCTCACCCTCCCTTCCCTGAGTTTGTGTTCTCAAACAGCCATCACTTTAATCCTTGCCCCAGGCTCTGTCCTCTTGAGAAAATCACTGATACTGGGAGTAGTTGTATAACAAGAAGTAGGTCTTCACAATGGAATTTTGAAGTTAGACTGGCCATCCATCTGAAAGCACTAGGGGCTCCATAGCTGGAGGTGAACGGGATGGTAATAGCCCCTGGTGTGCAATTACTTATGCTTTTACCCATGCTTAACTAGGATGATGTGCAGGCAGAAGTCAAGACACTGGGAGATCAAGGGGCTGTGGCATGTAATTATAAGGATTTCAGATGCTGCTTCTGATGACTGCGTATCTTGCAAAAAGAAAATGGCAGCTCATGGGCTAATGGGCAATGGGAGGTAAGTCCACAAATTCGGAAGGCCTCTTTGGCCTTGCTCATGTAATGAGATCACACCAGCCGAACAGGAATCACCTGGGAGCCTGTCAGAAATGCAGAATCTCAGGCCCCATCCCACATCTACTAAATTGACATCTGCTAAGAAACAACAGATGAGTATATCTGATACTTTTGCTAGGAAAAAAATATGTATTTGTTAAAAATTTAAGGTTAAGCAAACAAAAGAATATAGATAAAATATAAAACTTCCAAACAAACTGAAACTCTCTGAGGTCATCCATGGAAATGAAGCCTGGGTTCTATGGACTCCAGATGAAGTACCCTTGGCTTAGAGTCCATCCCATAAAAGGAGAAGGGGAAGAAAAGCTGCAGCTGGAGGAAGTCATCCAAACACAATGGCAAGTGTGACACAAATGAGCCCTCAGGCAAGGACAAGCAGAACTGCAGGCTTCTGGCCTGGAAATCAGGCAAGCGTCTCGCCTCGAGGAGGGCAGGAGACTTAAAATCCCATGGACCTACTGTGTGCTGAGCACTCTACCTTGCATTTTCAGTACAGTAACTCACTCCATCCTCAAATAACGCTGTCACAAAGGGCTCAGTGCCCTCACTTCGCAAGGGTAAATGTATTGATAGTAATGTGTGCTTTTCTTCTACTGGCCCTCCCCCTGCCCCTTTTCCTACAATGTTACCCCAGATCATTTTGTGCCTCCTCACCTCCAAGGAAGTTTGTAATGGGGCCCCCATGAATAAAAGTAGCCTGGAAATACTTTTCTTTCCAGCTTTGGTTTTCCATAGCCAGGGCTCCCTGAAGAGACGGAACTGAGAGAGTAAGAGGCAGCCGGTACCTGAGTTGGCTCAGAGGCAGCAGCCCACAGCCCAAGGTAACAAGACATCATCCAGAGATGGAGGCATGGGACACAGAAGGACTGGGCACCAGAAGCCCCAGCCTTAGCCATAGTGAGCCCTGGAGTTGACTCCACTGATGGCTCAGGCATTGAGGCTGTGGGTAGCTACTGTGTCCTCATTTTCTGAGCCCCATGTATAAGCCTCCCTGGATGCAGTGGGGTGTGGCAAGGGTGGGCAATAATAACTGAGACTGAATTCCTTACCCTCTCGCTATTAAAGAAAATATAAATTTTACATTTCTTGCATCTCTGACTTAGCTATGCAGAGTCGGGCCTGCTAGAAAGTTTCAATTTATTAAATAAAACCAAGAGATATGGTATTTGCTAAGGCTTACACAAGTTTCTATACCACTGTAACCCGGCTCTCTATAGTTTACAGCAATGCTTCTCAAAAAAAAAAAACTTGCTTTTCAAATTTCCAATCTATCTAAACCAATACTTTTGTAAAAGGCAACAGAAATGAATAAAAAGAACTAGTAGAAAAATTAAATGAATAAGACATCAGCTTTCACCTTTTAGAATTAGGTTCAACAGTCGTAAAAAAGCCCTTTCAATTGCTACAAAAGTTTCTCAACACTTTGTGAATGTCAGGTAACAAAAAGTTTGCAGACAGATGCCAGTCTTCCGGCGATACTTTGAGTAGCACTAACTACTTAACTAATAATTAAGTTAGATATGATCTAACTTAATTAATGTGATATGTAGAATTAGGGTTAAAAATAATAATACAGCAAATTCCTATTTATCTAAGGTTCAAATACCAGCAAACTCCTTGTGGCAACAAAATGGGCTTTCCCAACTTATGTTCATTCTTTCTAGTCATACATCTAGTGACTAAATGTGGCAGCTCTCTCTCTAGTGGTCATGGTGTTCAGAACAATCTCTCTCTCCCACCAGCGCAGGATGTCTAGGTTCCCCTCACCACTGCTAGGTGGAATATAATTAAGGGAATCTGGCATCTTGAGTCAGAACTCTAGATGCATTTCTACAATGGAATATTGCTGTTATATGTGATAGTTTTATTATTGAGCCCTATTACAATTAAGTTATTACTTTAAAAACTTTTCTGGACTAATCTGGAAAACTAACTCGTGAAATTATAAAATATGAAGCATATATAATGAATTTTGAACAATCAGCATAGAACCAACCATTTATAAATTGGAGACTACATCAATGGATGTTAAAAAGAATGTCTTTGAGGCACTTTATTATGGGGCCTATGACTGAATTGCTGACAATCAAATTATGTATATGGCCCTTTGTGTTAACTAAACCTCACTGTAAAAATTTGACTTTTCCACATTGATAACATATTCATACATATAGCAATCATTAGCCAGCCAAAAATTTATTTAAGTAGAAAATTTCACTGACTATTTTCAGGCCAAAGTCAGGAACACCAAAAGAAGAGTAGGATAAACAGGTCAAGATAAAGTCCCTAAGGTGGGGGATAGGCAGGGTAGGTTTCAAACAAACTGATATATCCCTGGGGCCAAAGACAGCTCTCCAGCAAAGAGAAAAGTGCCTGAAAACCTTAACCAGATGGCCACCTAGGGAGTTGGCTAATCTATTTTACTCAAGCCCTGCCTAATATCTCTCCTGCTACTTGATCTGCTGGGTTCCAATATTTGATTCTACCCCAGGTGAATTGGGCCTCTTAGCTAGCTTGCCTCAAAACCTACTTTGTAATTCAAATAGCCTAAACCAGGGGGTTGGCCAGATAGTAAATATTTTTTAGACTCTGTGGGCCATCTGGTCTCTGGTACCACTATTCCATTTTGCTGTCATAGTGCAAAAGCAGCCATAGTCAATACATAAATGTGAATGAGCACTGGCTGTGTTCCAATAAAACTTTATTTACTAAAACAGGTGTTGGGCCAGGTTTGGCCTGTGGGCCATAAGTAGTTTGGCAACCCTGGCCTAATCTAAGGCTCACGGAAAGCTTCTCTGCATACAGTATTGTAATTTTCAAACTTCCTAGAGGCATTTAACACTGCCAGATGTCTTATCTTACAATACTACTACCAGAATATCCTATGGTGTTATTATCATAAGTTTGAAAGCATAGTTTTTGCCCAACTGTGACAAATGTTCTTTCTTGTTGGGTAACGGTAAAAAAATTTTTCTCTAATAGATTTTATTTTTTAGAATAGTTTCAGATGTGCAGAAAAATTTATCAGCTAGTACAGAGAATTCCTATATATCCTCTGCATAGCTTCCCCTATTAATATCTTTCATTAGTGTGGTACATGTGTTACAACTAATGAACCAATATTGATACATTATTATTAACTAAAGTCCACAGTTTATTCAGGTTTTTTCATTTTTACTTAATGTCCTTTGTCTTTTTCAGGATGCTATCCAGAATACTTCATAACATTCATTGTCACGTCTCCTTTGGCTCTTCTTGGTCATGATAATTTCTCACACTTTGTTTTCGATAGCCTTGACAGTTTTGAGGAGTACTGGTCAGGTATATTGCATGATACTTTTCTATTGGAATTTGTCTGATGTCCTTCTTATGATTACACTGGGGAAATTTTTTTAAAGAAGGTTTTTTTTTTTTTCCCATAAACTCTTAGATTTTCCAATATTTTACAATTGTTTCCAGGAGTTTCTCTTCTCCTCTATCAAAAGTGAAGCCAAGTGGGGAGTGAACAGAGAGGCCCCTGAAGGAGAGAAGGCAAAGAACAAGGCTTAAGTCTTGAACAGTGGAGTTCAAGTTATCACAGTAGTGGACCAAGCTGCACCTAGCTGTAGGACCCGAGGCAGATCATCAGTTGCCCCATCTTTAAAGAGGGGGTGATGCTGAGGCCGACTGTGAGCATGCCATGAGATCATGTAAACCTAGCATCACGCTCAGCACACCGTGCATTTTATCACCTCCTGCCTTCTATTTGTTTTTGTTTTGTTTTTTTTTTTTTTTGGTATACATGCACTTTCTGCACCATTTTTTTGGTGGAATCAAAGAACTGTAGCTTTAGGTTTAATCACTTTCATGTAGTAGATATCAAGACAGAGGCTCAGAGAGGGGAACTGATGCCACAAATGTCCCAGAGCTAGTGCAGGTTCCCCTCCTTCCTATCGCACCAGGGCTTTCTCAATAACACATTTTTTTTTTGCAGGAAGATCTTAATGGATTTGCTTGTGAGTTGGCCGTCCTAACTAGTCCTTCCTTTCAGTGATACAGAAAATCCAGAGGGCTGGCAAGCTGTTCTGTGGGTATATTTGAAGACTTTGCTGGTTTATTTTCTTGCAATAGTGACCTTTGTAATAAACTGGGTATTGGATGAGAGTGTCCCACTCCTTCACAGAGGAGAAAATCTTTTCTTCTTTTTTTCTTCATATATTTAAGAGGAATCAGGCAAGGAGACACATTAAGAGAATCACAAATGACCACAGACCTTGTTCTGACTTGCCAAAGAATCTTCTGTTTGCATGACCTGAATTGCCACTAAGAATTAAAAACAGCAGAAACCTCAAAAATATACACCAGTGACATTTTTCTTTTGATCAAGATTTACTTGATGAATAAAGTGTTTTTTTGAGATTTCATTTCAATGGTTTATAATTCATGTGCAGTGTGAGGAATGGGTCCTTTGAAAAGAATATCGCACTATCTTAAATATGAAGCTTCCCTCAGACTCAGAGACTCTATAAATATATTCATTTGGAGAAATTTTACTGTGTGTGTGTGTGTGTGTGTGTGTGTGTGTGTGTGTGTGTGTGACAGAGAGAGAGAGAGAGAGATGATTCATATATATGCACATAGGTACATAGACATGTATAAATTTTCTGATAATTCTCTACTCTGTTAGTTTTCCAGTTGTTTCAAATATTTTTTTCTAGCCCAAGGAGAATGTAAGCTATAAAAAGCCAGGCATCTGCTGTATGCTTGTGTAGCAATACTGGCTGAGTATTTAGAAAGTTTTTGGCAAAATGGAAGAATAGAAGGAAGGGGGATGGGCAGGAGAGAGGGAGACAGGATTAAAAGCAAAGGGGAGGAGAGAGAATGGATCATAACATATTTTATCTTTCTGTGTATGCACTTCTACACAAGACATTAGAGGTGATTTACAAAAGGTGTAAATGACAAAATAGTAAATCATACAAAATATATTAGCAGTAAGAAGAACGTAAACCAGAATAGGAGGTATAGCGAGGAAGAATCATGGATAAACACAGACAAGGACTTACACAAGGGGTACAATGGAGACAAAATGCAAAAAGTTATGGAGAAAAAGTGGGACTGCACTTCCTCTGATCCATCCTCCATGACCTCTCTTCTTCCACACTGGACTTCAGACCAAAGGGCTTAGTCTGCCCTCACTTGGACTTAACTTTTCCTCAAGAGCACCCAATTGGTAAAGGTATGATGGTGGGAATTTTTTTGACTAATTATATATAGATAGATAGATAGATAGATAGATAGATAGATAATTATATATCAATTATATATCTACAATTATATGTATCAATAGTCACACACACATATATAAGTGTGTGTGTGTGTGTGTGTGTGTGTGTGTGTGTGTGTGTGTTTCTGTTCTGTGCTCAGGGGCCATCTTGGAAAGCCAACATTTCTGTGAAATTGTTGGGTTTTTTTTTTTATTTTACTTTAAGTTCCAGGATACAAGTGCAGAATATGCAGGTTTGTTACAAAGGTATATGTGTGCCATAGTGGTTTGCTGCACCTATCAACCTGCCATCTAGGTTTTAAGCTCCACTTGCATTAGCTATTTGTCCTAATGCTCTCCCTCCCCTTGCCTCCAACCCCATGACTGGCCCCAGTGTGTGTTGTTCCCCTCCTTGTGTCCATGTGTTCTCACTGTTCCACTCCCACTTATAAGTGAGAACATGTGGTGTTTGGTTTTCTGTTCCTGTGTTAGTTTCCTGAGGATGACGGCTTCCAGCTTCATCTATGTTCCTGTAAAGGACATGATCTCATTCATTTTTATAGCTGCATAGTATTCCATGGTGTATACATACCACATTTTCTTTATCCAGGCTATCACTGATGGGTTTTGGGTTGGTTTCATGTCTTTGCTATTGTAAATAATTACACATGCATATGTCTTTACAGTGGAATGATTTATATTCCTTTGGGTATATACCCAGTAATGAGATTTCTGGGTCAAATGGTATTTGTGGTTCTAGATCCTTAAGGAATCGCCACACTGTCTTCCACAATGGTTGAACTCATTTACATTCCCACCGACAGTGTAAAAGTGTTCCTATTTCTCCACAGCCTCACCAGCATCTATTGTCTCCTGACTTTTTAATAATTGCCATTCTGACTGGTGTAAGATGGTATCTCATTGTAGTTTTGATTTGCATTCCTCTAATGATCAGTGATGTTGAGCTTTTTTTCATGTTTGTTGGCTGCATAAATGTCTTCTTTTGAGAAGTGTCTGTCTGTATCCTTTGCCCACTTTTTGATGGGGTTGTTTCTTTCTTATAAATTTAAGTTCCTTGTAGATTCTGGATATTAGACCATTGTCAGATGGGTAGATTGCAAAAATTTTCTCCTATTCTGTACATTGCCTGTTACTCCGATGATATAGCTTCTTTTGCTGCACAGAAGCTCTTTAGTTTAATTAAATCCCATTTGTCAATTTTGGCTTTTGTTGCAATTGCTTTTGGCGGTTTTGTCATGAAGTCTTTGCCCATGCCTATGTCTTGAATGCTATTGCCTAGGCTTTCTTCTAGGATTTTTATGGTTTTGGTTTTTACATTTAAGTCTTTAATCTATCTTGAGTTAATTTTTATGTAAGGTCTAAGGAAGGGGTCCAGTTTCAGTTTTCTGCGTATGGCTAGCCAGTTTTCCCAGCACCATTAAATCCTTTCCCCATTGCTTGTTTTTTTCAGGTTTGTCCAAGATGAAATGGTTGTAGATGTGTGGTCTTATGAAATTGGGTTTTCAAAGGCACTCACTGAGCAGACATTTTCCAGAATAACATATATATAGGAGATTCTTAATAAATACAACAGGCACAGACCTCATCAAAGCACATCTTGGAAATAAAGCCCTTGGGAATGGAACATTTTGCTTACTGTGCTCTTAATACAGCATGGTGAATCAGGTTGACACCATTCAATGCTGCTGTTGCTCTCTAGGTAAGACTGGAAGACTTATGTCCATTTCTCTCTCATTTCCATTTCTACTCTACTCTTCACTGTGTTGTCATATAGAGGCAAAACCCCCTTAACCAGGTATAATTTTACAGTTGCAAACTCAGCAAAGCAGCAGAAAAAAATGCCTTTCTATATAGTCTTAGGTTTCCAGTGCCAACATATGATATTCAGTTTTCTACGTTCCTTGTAAATCCATCCCATGACTTTTCTTTCTCCCTGTTTTTGCAAAACAATGCTGACCACATTGACAGAGACAACAGTGTTCAGCTGCAGAGGGGCAGGTGAAGGTCACTGTAGTGTGTGTCCAATAGGATGCCCCGCGAAATGTATGGAGCTCAGTTCCGCTGCCTGATAACCAACTTTGATCCCCACAACATGGTGGGAACTGAAAGCGTGTTTAAGACTATGCATGTACCCATGTATGAAAATATTTCCATTTCACACCTCAGAGCAGAGATAAAGCGTGTGAATAAAAGAGAGTCTAATACATTTTAAGAGGTCCAGCATGTGTCTCAACAAGTTTTAAAACCCCCGTAAAGGCTGAACACTAAGTCCCTTAGGGTATAAGGGCTCCAGTCAGAGAGTCGGGATTTAAGAGAGCAGGGTGCTCCTAGTATTAAGATGTTTCCACAACTTGAATAATGATAGGTGTCCAAGTATTCTTTTAGCTGGATTGCTGGTTAGAATTTAGACTCACTTGGTGGCGAGAATTAAGAAATTACAGAAACATAGCCATTTTCATCCATTGATAATTATGTAAACACAATGTACTAAGCAGAAAAAGAGTTCTATTTACAAAAAAGCAAGCACAGTCCATAAATCCTACAGATTGGAATGGATCCAGGTTAAGAATTTCTCCAGATGTCAGTCTGTAAACAGGGCTTCATAAAGTGAATTCCCCAATTAATTGTTGGCAAGAGCGGTCTCTACACTATGTTGGTGCATTGCGACCCCCTACCATATGTAGGTGAATTGCTGTCTGGCCCTATCAATTGTTAATCAGTTATGATACAACAAAACTCAGAGAAAAGCAGCTGGGTTCAGCACAAATTCTTCTGATATGGTGAGAAGGTACTGTAAAATTACTGCTCAGGAACTCAGAGCTCTGTTCACTGAAGGAAATGAGAACTCTTCTATTTATTTGCATTACATCTGTTTTTTCTAACACATTTAGTTCTTAACCTAGAGCACTAGGAAAGACACACACCCAGTAAGAACATAAACATGGAACCTAAAAAACCAAAACAAAACAAAACAAAAAAAACCTCTACTCACTATTTTGTTAAAGTCTTCAATCACAGGGTTTTTACACATGTTAACAAGGCCATTAAATCCTCCAAACAGGAATACAAAAGTATTGCCCAGCCATTGTGAGAAGGTGGGGAGGAAAAGAAAGTTAATATTTGCTTTTCCTTGCCATTTGATCAATGTCTGGAACACTCTGCAATGAAATGTAAGATCTACTGTCTTTCAACTAATTCTTCACTATACAGTACAATGTTTTCTAGTTTGAAAAGAAGGTATTTGTGATTTTTTATTTTCCATTTTGTTTCTAAATCCTAAAGAAGTCCAATGTACAATTGGAAAGACACATAATTTTAAGATATTTCCATTTCAAATACTTTCCTTTTCTAACTCCCTCTTCAGAGACCAATACTCTCTCAAAAGTACACATGCACAAATAAAACATTACAGCTACAGTTGAGAAAGAAAGGAAGCCAATGGTTCTGCAATAATAATTTCTCAAAAAAATGAAATGAAATGAAATAGTAAGAGCATAACTCCCCTTTGCCTGGACACCACATAATAAGAGAGCTAGTGTTCTTCACAGCTTTCCCTCTTGCATCAAGTGGCTATTCATTCCCCAATGATCCTGGCAACATTTCTTCAACTTGAGTTTCTTTCCACATCCCAATTAAAAGCCATAATCTTGACCAAATTGTGTTGTTTTTAATAATGACAGAGTCTAGGTGGTGATTAGGAAACTGAGAGTCCAGCTGGGTCACTGGCTTGGAAACAGGTTGAGAGAAGACAGAAAAGAACACAACAGCTCTGGAGTGTGCCTGTTTTATCATATCCTTCCACATAGGACAAGGAAACTGAAGAAACACTCAGGACTCATTCCCAGGCAACTCTACTATCTAGCGATATATTTGTTTAACAGCCCATTAAACAATGTCGTATTTTAAAGAAAAGAGAAATACACACAGAGTGGCAAACTAAACCATTGATCATAGAAAGGGACACTCTGAAAGGGGACATGACATGGCAAGTATCATGTATCTTGAGCAAAGTCAAAGTCTGGGCCTTCATTCCCTTTCCTTTCAATGCAGAAAATATAGCATGTGCTTTCTGAGAGATTAGGATTAAATTAGATGCTTGTAATGGGGCTCATCACAATGCCCGGCACAGAGAAAGACTCCCAGTAAATGTTAGCTATTATTTTCAGTTCTAACTCCCAATATATATTAGTCATTACAAGTTACAGCCAAATACACATGAAACTGCAGGCCATGAATACAGCATAAATTTATATATGACTTTCTAAAAAACGCTCAGGTAAAAAAGTTGAGGATGGAGTAAGTAGACCAGTGGTGGAATGTTCATAGCTGAACTCAGTGGTGAATGGCAAAATTGTCACCAAGGCATTAAAAGTAATTCACATGAAAATACTGTACACATCCCTTTTAAAATGAAACCACGGATAGTCTACTATCATAGATAACCACTCCTCTGAGATTACAATAGGAATTTTTAAAGGGCTCAAATGATGATGATGATGATGATGATGATGATGGCGACGACGGCCAGGGGTACATAATCACATTCATTGTTTTCTATTTACCAGCAGTGCTATTACTACTGAGAAATGCAAACCCACAAGATAATATGACACAAATGGATGAAACATTAAGATAAAAGGGTAAAACAGTGGTAGGTTTGCTTTCTCATGGGAAATCGTAATGGCCAGCAGCTGAACCTTGAAAGAGGAAGTCTGCTGATCTAGTGTTACTAAACATAGGAGGCAGCCAAGGAACAGAGAAATAGAGCAATGTATTTAAATGTATGCCTTGAAGGAAGCAAACACCAATTATTTTTATATGACTTTAATTCTCCCAGTGAATACTTTACGGGTGTTGGCAAGTCCTTCTGGAAAAGGAAGGGATTATTAATGAAGGATTCAGTGGCAACTGCTCACCAGTGCTCTAAGAAATAACACTTAACAAAGAATCATTTAGTTCACACCTCATCTCTAAAGACATAGAAATTTTAAGGATCCTTTTAAAAAATAGTAAAATATTACATTCACATGCAAAGCCCTTTCTATTTTAGTTTCCAAATGATTCTATAGCCTGTGTGATAAACAAATCAGCTTCCCACAGGAAAATAAACATATAGAGGGAAGGAGTTAAATTTTTTTCCTCTTATGCAAAGAGTAGGTGCTTAATATTTACTTGTTGACTTAAAAAGGAATTCATGAAACTTGAGGAAATACAGCCTTTAAAAAAAAAGTCATCATTTAAGAATGTTCCACCACATCCTTCCAGGATTGTGGGCTGAGCACAGCCCACTAATGTATAGGCTAGTAAATCTAAGGAAATGACCAATCAGCTCCTGTATTCTATCCTGTTTCTCCAAAAACATAACCCATTCACTCAAGCAAATTCCTATATTATGTAAAATGAAATCTCTCTAGCTAACTGCCTGCTCTTAAAATTCTCCAGTTGCTTCAAAAGCATGGCCTCTGGAGCTAAACCGTCAGAATTTTAATCCCAGCTCCATGATTATTAGTTTTTTTTTTAAAAAAGAAAAACTATTTACTTGATCTTTCTCTGCTTCAATTTCCTTATTTGTAAAATGCAGATAATAATTATACCTAGTTCATAGGGTATTGTAAAGATTAAGTGAGTAAATGGATGTAAAGCGCTTCAAATGGTGCCTGACTCATAGTAAATGATACACAAGTGTTATAATAATAAGCATTTACAGCATCAGCATCATTTTTGCCCTATACTGCCAAATTATTCCAGTCTAAGCCTGAGATTCTCATGTAAGATGAGTGGGGAACTGAAGGTACAAAGGGTAGTAAATTTTAGGAAGACAGAGCAGCAACTATAGCTATCTAGGAACACCAATAGTTGGGTTAAATATTCAAATAAAACCTTAATTGGTTGTCTGATCTGGTAAAAAAAAAAAAAAAAAACAAAAAAACAAAAAAACAAACAGTGGCCAGTAAGAAATAACAGCTTTGTAAAGAAAGAACAAAGATTAGGGTCCAGATCAATAATAGAGGACAACAATATACATCAAATCAAGAAAAATTAACTATCTCTTGACCCCACTTTCATGCCAGCATTTTCTTCCGTTTCTTTGCTCCTCTTAGCAGCAAAGCTTCTCCGAAGAGTTCTCTATATATGCTCTTTACAACTCTTCTTTTTTCCTTTCTCTCACACATCCATCCCAGTCTAGCTTTTGCCTCTGCCACTCTACAGAAGCTGCCCAAGATCACAATGATCTTCACATGGTTCCATCAATGGGCTAATTTTCAGCTCTCAGCTGACTTGATCTGTGAGCAGCATTTGACACAGCTGATCATTCAGTCTTCCTTGAAACTTTTTTTGCTTGACTTCTAGGATACCACATTCTACTGCTTTTCCTGTTACCTCACTGCAGGCTCTTTTTCAGTATTCTTTGCTGGTTCCTTCTCTTCTCCCAAACTTCCTAAAAGTTACAATATCCAGCACTCAGTTTTTGGTCCTCATCTCTTTTCTAAACTTACTCCCTTGGTGACTTTATCCAGTCTTCTGGCTTTAAAGTAACATTTTCATGCTGACAACTCCTAATTTTGTAACTTCAGCCCAGATTTCTCTCCTGAACCCCAGATTCATACCCAACTTCTTACTTAATATCTCCACTTAGATCTCTAACAGCATCTCAAACTCAACATGTCCCAAACTTTACTCTTATCCTTCACAAACCTTTCCCATCTCACCCCACAGCCTTCCCCATCTCAACTCCACCCTTTCAGTGTCTCGAGCCAAAACTACTAGAGTCATTCTAAATTCCCTTCTTCCTCTCACATATCATGTCCATTTTGTTAGGAAATTCTATTGTTTCAACATTTGAAATATATCCAGAATAAGACCATTTCTCACCACTACTACCACTTTGGTACAATCTATCATCATCTCTTACCTGAATTACAGTAATCTGCAGTTTTGCTGTCTGCAGTTTAAGTTACCTGCAATCAACCACAGTCTGAAATATTAAATAAAAAATTCCAGAAATAATTCACAAGTTTTAAATTGCACTCTGTTTTGGGTAGTGTGATGAAATCCTGGGTCATCCTTCTCCATCCTGCATGGGACGTAACTCATCCCTTTGTTCAGCACATCCATGCTGCATATGCTGCCTGCCTGTTATTGTATAGGAAAACACAACATTTTTTCATAGTACAGGGTTCAGTACTATCTGCAGTTTCAGGCAACCACTGGGAGTCTCAGAACACATCCTCCATGGATAAGGAGGGAATTACTGTATTGCTAAATTGCTTCTCTGAGTAACCCTTAAACTGGACTGCCCATTTTTACCTCTGACCCCCACTATAGTCTATTCTCAAAAGAGTAACCCGTGATCGTTTTAAAAGGTAAAGTCATGTCATTCCTTCATTCAAAATGGCTTTCCCCATTTCACCCAGAGGAAAAGCAAATGAGCAAATGTCTGCACAAAGGCTGCACATGATCTGGTCCCTCCAGCCTCCTCTCCTACCACACCACCTCACTGTCCTCTTTGCTGTCCCTGGAACACACCAGGCCCATTCCCACTTTAGGGATGGTGCTGACCATTCCCTTTACCTGAAACACTTGTCCCTCTGATTTCTGCATGAATAATTCCCTCACCTTCTTCAAGTCTTTCTTCAAAAATTGTCTTGTGAACAAAGCCTATCCTGACCACCCAATTTGAAATTATGACCATGTGGCCCCCACCCCTTTTCTGACACACATTTTCTTTTTCTGTAACACTTAACATTAGCACTTACTACTTTCTCACATACATAGTTCACTTATTTATCATGCTTATTGCTTATTGTCTTCACTTGTGAGAATAAGAGTTCCAAAATGGCAGGGATCTCTATCTAATTTGGTGGCTACAGTATCCTAAGTCTTGGAACAGCGCTTGGCACACAACAGGCACACGATATTTAGTTGTCAACTTAAATGAATGAATTTAGGCTGAGAGATTAGGAGGAAGCAACGGAAACCAAAATCAATTCTAATTTTTACATAGTATTATCTGCCTTTTCCGCTGGGAGGTTGGAAAGCAGTTACAACAGAACACAGTATAGAATCTCTTCTTTCTACTCCCCCAGTAGACCTGGCTGCTCTGTGAACCAAAAAAGGTTCTCAAAAAGTTCTTTGCTTTAGCTGATACAAATCTTTAGGAAATGAATTTCACTGGATAAAAACACATGGAGAATTTGTGAGACTGAATAGGTACAACAACAAAATGTCCACCCCAGAGAAGAAATAAGATCCCAGTAGTAATTTCTGTAGGAATCAAAGTTAAAAAGAAATAACAGAGCATTTGTAATTCCAGTTCTTGATAATAGTTATTTATGGATGAAGAAACTGCAAAAGAAGGTATAAAGACATCTGTCTGCTTGGGAAATTTCTCAAAACGAATGAAGAAGGATCCATGTTATATCCACTGGGGCATCAAGTTATGGCCTGGAACAGTTTATTTTTCCCAGGCTACTTCAAATCTAAACGTGTTTTTAAAAGCAAGCCCAATGAAAGATTAGATAAACAACTGGACAATGTTTTTTACACTCTGGTAACATAAACATTTCAAATTCCTCCCTAACTCTTTACTAGCATAAATCTCTAATTCCAGAGAAGGTGAAATATCCTGAAAGTTTAAACATTACTTTGAATTATTCACATTTACCTCCATCTCTATCTTATATTTTTTTGGCAATAAAAAGTCAGGTTTTGTCCAAACTATGGTACTAAGACTCCCTTGCAATTGTCAAACAATTGGACTAACCCCAGCTCTACTTTCTTTGAAGATGGAACATAGCAGCCCTTCCCAATGGTTTCTGTTCTTTTCTTTCTTACCTCCTATACATCCTGCACTGCCCTTTTTCAAACCAAGCTTTTATAAACACAAAGAGGAAATGTAGAACTGTCTGCCTTCAATTAAGCTATGAAAACAATTTTTAAAATGGTATCAAACACCAAAAAGATCAACTGAAACAGAAAACATCAGGCAGAAGAGAGAGCTCTCTCTGGTTAAGGAAAGGGGATGTAGAATAGGAGCTCCAAGAAGCAGCTCTGTGGAAACACTACAGAACAAAGAAAAGGAAGGGAGAGAATGGAGGGAAACAAAGGATGTGAAAACCCAGAGGGAATGAGGGTAAGTGGCTCACTGTACAATCCACAAGTCAGAAGGTATAGGGATGACAGGGTGGTGGCCAGGAGAGAAAATACTGAGCTGAGAGAGCTGTTCCATTGACATCATAGTCCACAGTTTATGAAAGAACTTCACCTGACCCTGGGTCTCACAACTTTGAGCAGTAGAGTAGGTAAAAATCTGCACCTTTTTTGTTCCCAATTTTTATTTTAGAATCGGGGGTACATGTTCAGGTTTGGAAGGGGTATATTGTGTGATCCTGAAGCTTGGCGTATGAATGGATCCATCACTCAGGGAGTGAGCATAGTACCCAACAGGTAGCTTTTATTAACCTTCACTCCTGCCCTCCCTGATCTTACATTCTGCAGTGTCTATTGATTCTATGTTTATGACCATTGTACCCAATGTTCAGCTTCCACTCATAAGTGAGAACATGTGGTATCTGGTTTTCTGTTTCTGCATAGTTCACTTAGGATAATGGTTTCCAGCTGTATCCATGTTGCTTCAAAGGACATGCTTTCATTGTTTTGTTTTTTATGGCTACATAGTACTCCATGGTGCATATGTACCACATTTTCTTTATCCAATCCACTGCTGATGGTCACCTGGGTTGATTCCACGTCTTTGCTACCGTGAATAGCACTGCGATGAACATACAAGTACATGTGTCTTTGGGAAAATGATTTATTTTTCTTTGGATATATACCCAGTAATGGAATTGCTGGGTTGCATGGTAGTTCAACTCTCAGTTCTCTGAGAAATCTCCAAACTGCTCTTTATAGTGGCTGAACTAATTCACATTCCTACCTACAGTATATAAGCATTCCCTTTTCTCTGTGGCCTCACCCAGATCTGTTATTTATTTTTTTTTACTTCTTAACAGTAGCCATTCTGACTGGTGTGAGTTGGTATCCCATTGTGGTTTTGGGTGGCATTTCTCTGGTGATTAGTGATTATGAGCATTTTTTCAGGTTTGTTGGCTGCTTGTATGTCTTCTTTTTAGAAGTATCTGTTCATGTCTTTTGCCCATTTTTAATGAGGTTATTTGGTTTTTACTTGTTTATTTGTTTAAGTTCCTTATAGAAAATCTGCACCTTTATGTCCCAGAAAAACCACACATCAAGTTAGCTCCCGGGCAAATTACCCAATACCTTTGAGTTTCTATTTCTTCATTTGAGAAATGAAAGTATCTTCCTAAAACTGATTGTGGGGAGTAAATAAAACCTTATATAAGGCATCAGAGGTAAAGTGATGCTCAGTAATTGGCAGTTATTATAATAAATGATAAAAAGATTTACTGACCCAAGGTCAGACAGTGAGCCAATGACCCTGTTAGGAGTAGAGCCCAGGTCTGCTGTGTCATGAGTATTTTCTACCAAAGCACACTGCAGTAGTGAGAGAAACACAGAAGGCAGAAATTGAAGAAACTCAAAAAAAGGTACGAATGTACAAGGCAGGAATGTACAGATTATCTACACTTTAGATAATCCAGACAACTAGATCCAGACTATGGGTTTTGAGGGGTGATGAACCGGATGCAATTTTTATATAAGAATATGTTAATCATAATTGAATAATAATTACATTAGTACCTTTTTTTTAGCACTTATGTGCTAGCCATAGTGTTACTTATTTTGTGTTTGCTCATTTAATAGTGATCTAGAATGGTAGTGATTAGTGTCTCATTTCACTAATGATGAAACTAAGCTGTAAAAAGCTTAAGTGACTTGCTCAAAGTCACATACATAGTGATTGGGAGAACTTGAATTCAAATCTGTTATATGCTGATTCCAAAATTCAAGTCTAAACTATCCCATTCTCTCGCTTCTCCTTGTCAGAAAGGAAAGACACATAGAAATGCAGTTGTGAATTACTGTCCAAACAATCTGAGTTCTAGACTGGCAAAAAGAAGATCATGGTATATACTCCATATCCTCAACACCTACTACACCCCTTGCTCAAAAGAAAAGTGAAAGGGTTTGGGAAAATCACTGAAGTTTCCTCTTAGTAAAAAAGGAATTAGCACAGAAGTAACTTAAAGAGACACCAATGAAGATAGACCCTGAGACTGTCTAAAAACATCTTGCACTGTTTTAAAAGAATTCAGCATTGGTGGATACTTCTATAGGAATCCAGCATATAATTACAAAGGAGAGAAAGTGGCTCATTAGAGTAGATAGGATTTACAACTAAAAAGAAGTAAAATAATAAAGTGGAAAATAAAGCCTTTACCAATTCTGTTGAGGAAAAAGACAAAATCAATCTTCTGAAAGTTGGGAAAATTCAAAGGAGCTCATAGAGGATAAAATTTAATTACAACAAATATAAAGGAAAAATAATTAAAAGAATGATCTTAGGGAAGGGAACTTGGCATTTTCTAAAGATGCTGGACAGTGGTAGAACATTTAACATTTCTAGGAAGATCTATTTTCCAAAGTTAGCATCACCATGCTATAAAACCACCCAAATCCCTGAGTACAAACTCATTCAGGAAAAAATTTGAGAGCAATCTCATGCATGTATATGTATGCAAAATCCATTAAGGTATTAGTAATTCAAACTCAGAATCATATTTTTAAAAGTATAATTAAAGATAACTTGATCCAGAAATGCAAAATGATTCAATTAAGTCCTCAAATAAATATATCAAAACGGAATCTCAATAGAGGATAATATTTAACATCCACTTCTAATTTTCAAAAAAAAATAGAGATTCCATAGTGTAATGATGAGCACTCTGGACTCTAATTTTTTTAAAAATGCCAGTGAACTAGGAATAAGGATCTAAAACTAATAGGCAACATAAAATTTATAAGTAAAGCAGACAAAATATTCACGTTAGCATTAGGTTAAAAATGAGGATCTTAGCTATCACAACTACTACTTGACATTGTTCCAGAAATTCAAAGCAGTATAATAAGATATTTTAGAAAGGAAGAAATGTATGCATTAGAAAAAAGAATAATCATAATTTCCAGATGATATAATTGTAGACCTAAAAAATTCCAAAAATATAAAATAAAAAGTCTTATTTTCCACCTATCACATAGACTAGGTAGAAGATTACAAAATACATGTAAAATATAAGTATAAAAATATTGATCATTTCTCTCTGCATTAACAATATCCACTTAGAAAATATAGTGGAGGGGTTATTATATTCAAAGTAACACCAATTAAATTATATCCTCTGCCAGGAATGTTCCTTTAAATAACATTCTTCATGAATCAGCTTAAAGAATAACTATGATAATAATTATAGAAATAATAATAATAATGACAATGGCTAATATCTATCAAGTGCTTCTAAAAGGCAAGTGCTATTCTAAATGAGATATATATAATAACATTCAACACTGGTAACAACATCTACAAGGTAATGCTATTATAATCTCCCCTTTACAGATGAGAAAACTGAGGCACAGAGGGGTTAAATAACTTACCCAAGGTCACACAGCTAGTTAGTGCGAAGCTATGATACAAACTCAACCAAAAACGTGGCTCTAAAACCATGTTCGTAGCATTTGGCCTCTCCAGGTCACTTCCTCTGTAAAATTTTTTCCAGCCCCAAATCCAGAGTCAAGCCCTAGCTCTCAAATACCCTAGATGTTCCCAAAGGGCACATCACATGTTTTGGCGTCTTTATTTGTGTATCTCCTGTACCAGACTCTCCTATGCTGAGGATTTTATCTTATCCTGGCTTGTATCTCCCATAATTAAGTACAATCACTTGGATAAAATGGCTTTCAATAAATAAATAAACAAACAAAAACTATATGTGAAAATTAAAGAAACCAAATATCAAGAATCCAATGTGAGAAATATATATATAAAGAGAATCAAGGGGGAAAGGACAGGACAGGACAGGAAAGGAAAGGAAGATCTAGTCTATAGATAGTCTGTCTATAGATAAAGAAGTCTATTTATCTATCTATCATGGATCTATCAAATGCATGTAAGCTGATGCAACAATATCAACCAAAACACCAAAAAGCAACACAAATAAATAAAAATAGGGAGAAAGGGTAGAGGGGAGAGGAAACGAAAGTACTGAGCATCCCCCACTTGTCAGGCATGGTGCTAAATGCTTTCATATTAAGATATGTCACTGAAGTAGTCAAAAAGGAGATTTCTTTACTACTATGTCTGAGCTTGGTAAGGTTAGTCTTAGAAAAAATAGAATTCTGTTTTCAGACATATGCGGGTCAAATTGTAGATACCAGCAAAATGAAACAAGAGGGTATATTCAAGATAATGCAAAATACAGGAGAAAGTACAGGCTCCCACATTACTTAGTTCTGGACCAGCAGTCTTGTTCCAAAGGCTGGTCCTCTGGTAGCAGGCAGGAATAGATGTGGTATGGAGCTCCCACAAACTGAGCAGACGTGCAACACCATGGCAGTCATAAGGGGACACATTTAACAAGAAAGTATGAGGATGGGAAAGGATGTTGCCAAGTTTAAATTAAGAAAAGTCTTTCATCACCCAAATCCTCATATTCTCTTTAAGTCCATGTAAACATACAATGTGGCAGATCTGCTCCTGGAGGGCTTTAAGATGTTCCTAACTAAATGTTTACTGAATTGAATAAAATGAATGGGCAGGAGGTCAAGTGAGTAGAAATAGAACCTGAAGGGCAAAAGTGTCCAGAAATGTTAACTATGTAACTTTGACCTTGTGAGCATCAGATGCAGTGTGTGTATGTGTGTGTGTGTGTGTGTGTGTGTATTGTAGAAACAAGGTATAACTATGAAAAGGGAACAGTGATCATATCATCCTTGTACTTAAAAGCCTTAAGTGGTTCTGTTTAGCTTTTTGGAGTAGACTGCAGTTCTCCCAACCTGTCCTGGCCTTCACTTAGCCCCTTCCCAGCCTCCTCTGATGGACACCACCCCTTCCAAGCAGCCCCATGGGTCTGCTCACATTACATTTCCGAGCCTCCTCACACTGTGCCCCACCTCTGTGCCTTTTTGCATGCATACAGTTTACTCAGCCTGGAACACCTCTGCCTCCTAGTTGGCCTAACTCCTCCATATTTTCCAACAACCACTCAGATGTCTGATAGGCCTTCCCTCACCCAGTGCCCTGACTGAGATAACTCAAGGACTTAGGGTCAATATCTATTACAGCAAAGAGGGGCTAGGGGTAGGTGAGAAAACCAAGCAGAAAAAAGACAAGTCATGATTTTACATCAAGTCTTAAGAAAAAGAAAAGAAAAGAAAAAATCACAATGTTCTGCAAAGGCCTGGAAGCTCACCGATGACTAACCATGGTGTAAAATAATTGGAAGTAAAACTGTCTAGACAACACAAAAGAAGGAAAATAAGAAAAGGAAAATAAGAAAAGAAAAAAAAAGAGTACATTAGTCTATTAAGGAATTGATAGTAAATTATTCTGGAAATCGTGTGTGTTTAAATTCATGTGCGTGAAAAACAAACTGAAACAGTATATGCTATATATATTATGGCTTTTACTTTCTAAAAACCTTGTAAGGATAAAATGAGATCATATAAATGATTTTGAAAAGGTCAGAATATCATATAAATGTTAGTGGCTATCATCATTCTGGAACCAGCAAGGCTTTTGAACCCAAACTACAAGAATAACCAACCCTCTTGGCAGGTGATACTTCTAACTTTCATGAAAATTAAAACCAGCTATTTATCAGCTGGGCTCCGTTTGTTACTACTGAAGGCTGTTCAGGTAAGTAGATCTAGCCAAAGTCTCTGAGTAAGTTACATGAGCCTTCTTGCACAATTGCTTCTTTATTTGATGTCTATTTGTCAAGCAGAGATACAGCTAGACAGGCTATAAAACAAAGCTCTGTTTTTACAGGAACAAGTTAAGGCTGAGGTAAAGTGGCTTTTTATGTACAAGAATATGGGCTTAATGTGCCACAGTCATAACGTTTATAGGTGTAAATAAAGTCTCTGGACATACAGTGACCTTCCATTTCGCCAGTGAGAAGAACTTACTCTGCTATCATTTAATTCTACTAGAAAAACTACTTATTTTTGAAACAAGTGTCCTATTTTATAGTCTTTTTCCCCGAAGCAAGTACACAGTGTCTTGGCCCAAGATGGACATTTTAGAACAAAAAAAAACAAATAAAAAAGATTCTTCTCACTCTCTTCCTCTCTCTCTCTCTCTCTCTCACACACACACACACACACAAAAATACACACAAAATACACACCTTTCGGTAAGTGGTAGACAAAGGCTTTCTCTGACGGCCATGGCCAATGACTGGCTGTATAACACAGCTTGGTATGGATACTTACCAATGTTCAAAACAACCTTTACTTTTTCCAAAGGTTCTGTTCTAAATGATGTGGTTCACAATGCAGAGAGAGCATTAAACCTCTAGCACTCCAAGTTACTGAATCACGGGTTTCAGTGATATTCATGGAAACCCTAAGCATATAAAACTGAAAAAATCCAAAACTGTCTTAGCATCCTGGCTGAATCCATCACCCTATATATGTTCAAAATAGAATGATTTCTATTGTATTCCTTTCAGCTATTTCTGGAAGAGATGAATGAATAACTCCCATCTGCCAGTTTCATCTGTAAAAAATTTCTCCTCAGTGAAATTATTCTTTAACAACCTTCCAGAATATTCTCTGGTTCAGCCTCTTGTAGGGTTCTTTGATGTTTTCTCTGGTCTCTTTTGAGCAGCATATGGGTAGTCATCACTTAAAAAGGAAAAACAAAGTCTTTTCTTGGCAACATAAGCCATAGGCTATTGTTTTGCATACAAATAAGCAATCTTATTTCTTGACTGTTACCTACTTCATTTCTACCTAAGTCTACTTCTATAAAATTACTTCTACAGGGCCCACTACAATTATACAGATGCTAAATAAGCATGTTAAAAAGTCAATTTCTCCCATTGTCCCTGAAAAACAATGCCTCGTGATTAACTTTCTTTTCTCGAGTGATCATCTAGTAGACGTGTCATCAACCAACCATGTTACCCGGGCTAATTGAGCTACATGACAGAAAATCATCTAGTGAAGAGGGTACCGTGCTGGAGTGAGACTCCTGGGCTTCAGTTCCTGCTCCACAGCTGGATGGCCTTTGGCAAGTCACCTAACCAGCAGAGGCCTCTATTCAGTCATCTATAAAGTAGGGGGGTAATAAGTACCTATCTTGTAGGATTTTTTAAAAGATTAAATAAAAGTTCCCATAAGGATATGCCAGGCATACAAAAGTGGTCGACAAATGTTATTGTTATCATAAATAAATTGGTTTTAAAACAGCTAATAATTAAATAAAACTTTTTGCTGCATTTATGGTGTTCCAATTGAGTAATGACACAGAAAAGAGAGTTCTTCATGAAGAATATACTAGGTATGAAGCAAACATTATAGATTACATTTTTTGGTTGGTGTTCTGTCCCAAATGAATGAATTCATCCAGTTGAACATAAACTGCTTAGTTTTAAATTTTTAAACAAACATTTGCCTTAGACTTAGAGTGAGGAGGTGGAGGGAATTGGGTAATTCTCTAATCTGTCTTGAAATGCTTGGCTGACATTTTATTTTTTTCACCATCATCAGGGGTACTGGGAAGCTCACTAACACTTTATTGAAATGGATTCTGAAGTCTGGTTGTTGTCCAGGTCATCTTATAATTTAACTTCTCTTCATCTGATCATTAAAATGACAGGTAATATCCTAGCCACTGTTGAAACTTCTTTCATGTTTGAGGCGAAAATTGATGGAAAACAAACCTCAGTGCTTCAAGACAGGGCTGTGATACACGCCGGGCCAAACCTTCCAAAGAGTGTAATAAACATATTTTAACTCTTAACAATTTAGAAAATGAATTCCCCTTTGCATGACACAAATAAATAAGACCAACTTGAGACAGTGGATGGCTTGGTGACCCTAAGACCTGGCAATACTAGGAAACAAGACAAACATACTGTCCTGTTCCATCTCAGATAGAATAGGGTCTTCTGTACTGGCTCCCTTTCAGCTCATAATGAAGTGTTTCAGAGGATGAAGTGGTTTGTCTTTTTTGGAGGCCCCTGAAGGGCAGGATGAATTCCAAGCTAAACACTGAAAAGGATGGCCCTTCAAAAATTTCCCACTTTTATTAGGGATTTCAAATAGGAATGCCCAATACTAAGATTTTCAAGTTGTCAGGACTTAGGGCCAAAGAGCAAGCTTTAGCTTTCTGACTGTGGAGAAACAGACAGCCCTGAAGCCTGGTGGGAGAGCAGAGCCTGCAAAAGGCAGCAGCCTAAAGCCGCTGAATGCGCTTCTTTGAACACAGGATTTTCATGTTCTGGTACTTTTAATGCATATTTCCTTTGGGCTTTACTCCAATGTTTCATACTAGTTCTTGCATATGTTTTTGCATATGCTTTGCTAAGTATATTCTGAATCCAGTTGGAAAACTACACCATTGTCCTTTGTCCTAGAGATACAGGAAATATGAAAGCTTATATACTGATATGGGATAGATTTTAACAGCTCAGGCATCTCAGAACACAGCTGTGACGATGAGTCCTTCCCAAAAGGCAATGCAACGTAAAAGCATAAATTCCTACCTGAAACCTTGGTTTTTGTTTTTGTTTTCAGGCTGTGTGTGGCAGGGAGATTATGCTAGGTGAGTGGTAACACACTCAACTTCCTATGTAACTTCTGGTTTATCTTTCAGAACTTGCCAAAACTAGGCTTCAAATATTTAGCAGAGTTCTCCACCAAAACAAGAGAAATATGTAGAGCAGTGCAAAAGTAGTCTTAAAGGGCCTGCACAAGCAGGTGACTTCCTGTGAAAAAAGAAGAAGCAGTCTCTGGCATTGTCTTGCTCCATTCCAGACCACAGCTGAACAACTATTGTGATTTCTGGGATCGCAAGTCATCCCACTTGGGAGTGTCCTGCCTTGTAGGGAAGAACAAGCATTGGAGTCAGGAGTCCAGCTTACTCATTTCCTACCAGCTCTACCTCACCACTGTACTGCAACCTGGGGCAAATTGCTTAAAATCTCTAAGACTCAGTTTTCTCTACACACTGGTGGTAATAGCTTCCCTCCTTATTTCAAGATCTATGTAGAAATTAAATGTGATAACTTGTGTGAAGGCATGATAATAGTATAAAATTATTACAAATAAAAAAATAAAGTGATAGGGCAAAGATATGTCTGAATCCAATTTTCAGACTTCTTAGCAAGAGGACATTTTTTAAAATTATACTTTAAGTTCTAGGGTACATGTGCACAATGTGCAGATTTGTTACATAGGTATACATGTGCCATGTTGGTTTGCTGCACCCATCAACTCGTCATTTACATTAGGTATTTCTCCTAATGCTATTCCTCCTCTACTCCTCAATCCCCCATCAGGCCCCAGTGTGTGATGTTCCCCGCCCTGTGTGCAAGTGTTCTCATTGTTCAATTCTCACCTGTGAGTGAGAACATGCGGTGTTTGGTTTTCTGTCCTTGTGACAGTTGGCTGAGAATGATGGTTTCCAGCTTCATCCATGTCCCTGCAAAGGACATGATCTTATCCTTTTTTATGGCTGTATAGTATTCCATGGTGTATATGTGCCACATTTTCTTAATCCAGTCTATCACTGATGGATATTTGGGTTGGTTCCAAGTCTTTGCTATTGTGAATAGTGCCACAATAAACATACGTGTGCGTGTGTCTTTATAGTAGCATGATTTATAATTCTTTGGGTATATACCCAGTAATGGGATCGCTGGGTCAAATGGTATTTCTAGTTCTAGATACTTGAGGAACCTCCACACTGTCTTCCACAATAGTGGAACTAATTTACACTCCCACCAACAGTGTAAAAGTGTTCCTATTTCTCTACATCCTCTCCAGCATCTGTTGTTTCCTGACTTTTTAACGATCGCCATTCTAACTGGCGTGAGATGGTATATCATTGTGGTTTTGATTTGCATTTCTCTGATGACCAGTGATGATGAGCATTTTTTCATGTGTCTGTTGCCTGCATAAACGTCTTCTTTTGAGAAGTGTCTGTTCATATCCTTTGCCCACTTTTGGATGGGGTTGTTTTTTTTCCTTGCAAATTTGTTTAAGTTCTTTGTAGATTCTGGATGTTAGCCCTTTGTCAGATGGGTAAATTGCAAAAATTTTCTCCCATTCTGTAGGTTGCCTGTTCACTCTGATGGTAACTTCTTTTGCTGTGCAGAAGCTCTTCAGTTTAATTAGATCCCATTTGTCTATTTTGGCTTTTGTTGCCATTGCTTTGGTGTTTTAGTCATGAAGTCCTTGCCCATACCTATGTCCTGAATGGTATTGCCTTGGTTTTCTTCTAGGGTTTTTATGGTTTTAGGTCTAACATGTAAGTCTTTAATCCCTCTTGAATTAATTTTTGTATAAGGTGTAAGGAAGGGATCCAGTTTCAGCTTTCTACATATGGCTAGCCAGTTTTCCCAGCACCATTTAAATAGGGAATTCTTTCTCCATTTCTTGTTTTTGTCAGGTTTGTCAAAGATCAGATGATTGTAGATGTCTGGTGTTATTTCTGAGGCCTCTGTTCTGTTCCATTGGTCTATATCTCTGTTTTGGTACCAGTATCATGCTGTTTTGGTTACTGTAGCCTTGTAGTATAGTTTGAAGTCAGGTAGCGTGATGCCTCCAGCTTTGTTCTTTTTGCTTAGGATTGTCTTGGCAAAGCGGGCTCTTTTTTGGTTCCATATGAACTTTAAAGTGTTTTTTTCCAATTCTGTGAAGAAAGTCATTGGTAGCTTGATGGGGACGACATTGAATCTATAAATTACCTTGGTCAGCATGGCCATTTTCACGATATTGATTCTTCCTATCCATGAGCATGAAATGTTCTTCCATTTCTTTATGTCCTCTTTTATTTTGTTGAGCAGTGGTTTGTAGTTCTCCCTGAAGAGGTCCTTCACATCTCTTGTAAGTTGGATTCCTAGGTATTTTATTCTCTTTATAGCAATTGTGAATGGGAGTCCACTCATGATTTGGCTCTCTGTTTGTCTGTTATTGGTGTATAGGAATGCTTGTGATTTCTGCACATTGATTTTGTATTCTGAGACTTTGCTGAAGCTGCTTATCAGCTTAAGGAGATTTTGGGCTGAGATGACAGGGTTTCCTAAATATACAATCATGTCACCTGCAAACAGGGACAATTTGACTTCCTTTTTTCCTAATTGAATACCCTTTATTTCTTTCTCTTGTCTGGTTGCCCTGGCCAGAACTTCCAACACTACATTGAATAGGAGAGGTGAGAGAGGATATCCTTGTCTTGTGCGTGTTTTCAAAGGGTATGCTTCCAGTTTTTGCCCATTCAGTATGATACTGGCTGTGGGATTGTCATAAATAGCTCTTATTATTTTGAGATATGTTCCATCAATACCTAGTTTATTGAGAGTTTTTAGCATGAAGGGCTGTTGAATTTTGTCTAAGGCCTTTTCTACATCTATTGAGATAATCATGTGGTTTTGTTGTTGGTTCTGTTTAGGTGATGGATTATGTTTATTGATTTGTGTATGTTGAACCAGCCTTGCAACCCAGGGATGAAGCTGACTTAATTGTGGTGGATAAGCTTTTTGATGTGCTGCTGGATTTCGTTTGCCAGTATTTTATTGAGGATTTTCACATCGATGTTCATCAGGGATATTGGTCTAAAATTCTTTTTTTGTTGTGTCTCTGCCAGGCTTTGGTATCAGGATGATACTGGCCTCATAAAATGAGTTAGGGAGGATTCCCTCTTTTTCTATTGATTGGAATAGTTTCAGAAGGAATGGTAACAGCTCCTTTCTGTACCTCTGGTAGAAATTGGCCGTGAATCCATCTGGTCCTGGACTTCTTTTGGTTGGTAGGCTGTTAATTATTGCCTCCATTTCAGAGCTTGTTATTGGTCTACTCAGAGATTCAACTTCTTCCTGGTTTAGTCTTGGGAGGGTGTATGTGTACCAAGAGGACATTTATTTAAGGCTTTTAAGAGACATACTGATGAACTGTTTCATGACAGCATGATTGAACCCATGAGAACACCACTCTAATTCAACTAAAAAGTTGAAAGGAATACTGGGCCAGCCAAGAGCATGCAGCATCAATTCTTCTCTGTCCTCCTCTACTTGGGAGAGGTTGGAATATCTTTTTTTAAATCATTTCATACTTTTAAAAGACAAATACTTACCAGCCTCAAGTCCTGAAGTTTAGAGTGGTAAATCATCCTATCACCAGACCTGTTCAAGTCAGATAAGGTTACATAATAGTAGAAGCCAGATAAAAGCCCCACTTGTGAATAAAAAGATCACTTCTTTTTAATTAATCGTAAGCAAGAAGCCCAAGTTATAACTTCAAGAAATCTTGAGGTATTTAAAGTATGCATATTTTAAATTTAAAAATAGCAATCAATTAACTGCTGAAAGGAAAAAGTTTTAAAATGTCTTCAAATTTTCTTTTGAAAGTCTTTCCACTCACTCTGAAATAACCTGTCAAACTCTCTCTATATAGTTTACACATAACCTATATAAAATAAATAAATAGTGAAAGTGTGTGTGTGTGCGCGTGTGTGTGTGTGTGTGTGTGTGTGTGTGTGTGTGTGTGTGTTTTCTATGACTTCCAGTACAATTGAAGTACTTATTCTTCCCTGTATCAGAAATTTCTAGGATAATCTGTGTGGTCCCAGGGGATCTCTGGCTCTGGTACCAAATATGGCAGGGGAAAAAAATAAAAGACATCAGGGAGACATATTCTTGTCTGTGCTGCCAGGACTTTATCAATCAGCAGCCCAGACCTTGAACATGCATGTGACCTTGAATGAGTTACTTAGCTTCTCTGGGCCTCATCTTCTTCATCTGAAATCATCTCTACCTTGTTGGATGACTGGAAGGGATAAATGCTTTAATATGTGTAATGTGCTTAAAAAGTGGCCAGCACATAGTAAGCACTGTGTATCTGCTGCTTACCACTGACCCACAGTTGGTGAGAAGAAAGGGCAAAGAGTTGCAGCAAAAATTGGAGCAAAAAAATAAAGGACCTTAAAAGTTAAAATCAAAATAAGTTATTTAGCTTCTTATATTCACTATTTGCAAAAAAAGTTTTTCCCACTCCATGCCAAAGTCTGATGTTTGTAAAAGGAAAGATGATGTGGTGTAGGTGGAACAAGCATGTGTTTGGAGATCTGGTTCCAGTCACAGCTCACCATTAAAATGCTATGTGATATCAGGTAAGCCTGTGGGCACTGGGACCCCACATGCACAATGGAGAAGTTGAAGTGGACAGTCTTTGAGGACCTTCCTTTTTAAATATTCTACCAGTGAACCACCTGAAGACAAAGATAGCAGCGCCACCACTAATGCCAGCAACTAAAAACCCCAAGCTAGGTGCAAATAGCCTTGTACATGTGAAATGGGAACAACTAAGTAGCCAACCTTTATTATTTAGGAGTTAATGTTCTCATACCCTACTCTCTTCTACTCCTTGGCTATCTGCATCTTCACTATTTCACTGTACATTACTATATCTACCAGAGAGTAAATGAGAAATAAAAAATAAGGTGGAACAAATCAGTCAGTAACACCCCTAGTGAGCGCCTTTGATAAAGTTTTAAGAAATAGCTAAGATGAAGTCTTAAAATTAATTATCAATACCTTTAATAAAATGAAAATATATCTGCACAAAGTAATAAATTACAGCATTTTTTTGCAGTAGCAAAACAGTTGAAACTACTTAAATGAGAGTGGTTGAATAAACTATGGTATATCCATAAATTGGAGAACTATAAAGCTTAGACAAGAATAAGAAAGAGCTCTATGAACTGGTAGAACCTGATATCTAGGGTACACTGTTACCCTGCAAAATCAAAGTGCAAAAGAGTATATTTCATGAGCTACCATTTTTAGATGTTAAAAAAGCAGTCTAGGGAATAGAAGAGCAAACAAATCATAAACATTTACTTCTTCGTACGTTTTTCCTGTCCACTGAAGAATCAAGAAGCAATAACACACCAATAGCAATAAGCACAACTACTACTCAGATACTGGTTTCTTAATAATATCCTATACTAAAAAGAACCAGGAGAAATTGCTTATTTCAAGCTTGGGAAGGTACAAAATAGGCCAAAAATGTCTTATTGTACCAGAAAATTAGAAAATTAGGGAAAAAAATGATGGGGGCATATTAAAAGGACATAGGAGGGTGAATTTTGTGGCATGTGAATTATATCTCAATAAAATTACAAGAAAGAAAGAGGGAAAGGGAAGAACAGAAAGAGGAGCCAGGGAGGGGTGAGAGGGAAGGAGGACACAGGAGCCTGAATTATTTTCCTCTGCTCAAATCTGGGAAATTTTCAGTATCAAAATAAGCAAAGGCAGTAGTGAAGTATAACCACTGAATAAAATGAATCCATCAATCCTATATTAATTTTAAAAATGGATAGGTAAATAGTTGATTGATAGACAAGAGAAAGTTCTCAAACAGCTCAATAGCAAAAAAAAGAAAGAAAATCCAATTAAAAATGGGTAAAAGATTGAACAGACATTTCTCCAAAGAAGGTATACAAATGGGCAACACATACATGAAAAATATGCTCAACATCGCTAATCATCAGAGAAATGCAAATCAAAACCACAATGAGACATCATCTCACTCCAGTTAAAATGGCTTTTATCAAAATGAGAAAAAGTAACAGATGTTGGTGAGGATGTGGGGAAAGGGGAATGTTTGTACACTGTTGGTGGGAATGTAAATTAATACAACCACTATGGAAAACGGTATGGAGGTTCCTCAAAAAACTAAAAATAGAACTATTATATGATCTGGCAATCCCACTGCTGTATATATATCCAAAAGAAAGGAAATTGGTATATTGAAGAGAGATCTGCATTCCCATGTTTATTGCAGCACTATTCACACTAGGCAAGATATGTAATCAACTTAAGTGTCCATCAACGAATGAATGAAGAAAATGTGATACATATAAACAATGGAATATTATTCAGACATAAAAGAATGAAATCCTTTCCTTTGTAATAACATGGATGGAACTACAGGACATTACGTTAAGTGAAATAAGCTAGACACAGAAAGACAAATATTGCATGTTCTTATCCTGCCTTAACTCATATGTGGAAGCTAAAATATTGACCTCATGGAAATAAGAGAGTAGAATGACAGTTACTAGAGGCTGGGAGGGTAGTGAGGAGCAGGGGATAAAAAGGTTTGGATAGTAAATACAAAAATACAACTAGATACAGGGAATAAGGTCTAATGTTCAGAAGCACAATAAAAAGACTATAGCTAACAATAATTTATTATATATTTAAAAATAACGAGAGGAGTGGAATTGATATGTTCCTAACACAAAGAAATGATAAAATATTTGAAGTGACTGATGTTCCAATTACCCTAATTTGATCATTGCCAATGGTATCCTTGTATCAAAATATCACATGTACTACATATTTATGGTATGTACAAATATTATCTATATGTAAAAATTAAACATTTATATTGAAAAAGAGAGGGTTCTTTTAGCAGAATGCTGCCTGATGAATGTAAAATTTAATTGCACATGGAAGTTGAGTGTACCTTACTGTGGCATCTCAAATTCCAAAATGATAAGAGTTCTATACTAATGAAACCATGTAACTATAAAAAAATATAAACTTCCTCTGTAGCCTGGGATTGAGAAAAATTTCCTAATTATAGATAAAAATTAAAAGAAATATGGCAAAAAAATAAGAAAAATTAAATGATCATTTCAAAGATGCAGAAGATACATTTAATGAGCTTAAAACATCCACTCATGGTAAGAACTTTCAGCAAACTCAGAATAAAAGAGACTTTCCTTAATCTGGCAGAAAGAGCATTTTATGTTTTCCAGTTGTCCTCCCATTTTCTTCTTTTTTCTTGTCTCCTTTAATATTTTCTGTTTTTTCTCTATTCTATTCTGTTCTTTCAGTAGTTTCCCTCAAAATGGTAAAACACATACCTAAATTATAAAAGTCAAAAGTCAATCGATAACCCAATAGCTTTATCCTAAATATCTGTATGTATTTGTTTTTAGGAAGAGACCATAGAGCATATTTGTAGTTCCTCTTTATAAACTTTTTTGTTTTAAATAATTTTAGAGCAAGATTGAAAACAAAATAGTACAATGAGTTTCCATATACCCCTCACCTATATAACATCTTATATAACCACAGTAAAATTACCAAAACCAGGAAATTAACATTGGTATTATATCGTTAGCTAGTTAGCTGACAGACTTTATTCAAATTTCACCAGTTTTTCCACTAATGTCCCTTTTCTGTTTCAGCATCCATTATGAAATTCCACATCACATCTGTTGTTATATCTCCTTAGTTTCCTCCAGTCTGTGATAATTCCTTAGTCTTCATGACACTGGCACTCCTGAAGCATACTGACGAATTATTTTCTGAAATGTTTGTCAACTTGGGGTTGTCTGGTGCTTCATCATAATTAGATTGAGGTTGTGTGCCTTTGTCACTAATACCACAGAAATGATGTTGTACACTTCTCAGTGCATCACATGTGTGATACATGATGTTGATATGTCTCATTACACTGTGATCATTTGGTTAAGGTGATGTCTACTAGGTCTCTCTCCTGTAAAGTAACAGTTTTCCCTTAAAATTAATAAATATATTTGAGACTATGCAAATATTTTGTTTCTCTTCAAACTTTCTCTCACTGATGTTAGCATCCACTGCTGGATCTTGCTTGCAGTAATGGCTATTGTGATGTTTGTCTAATGGTGATTTTACATTCTCTCATTTCTTCTTCATTTATCAAATGGAATTTTACTGTAAGGAATAGCTGTCCTTTCCCCCCTATTTTTATTTATTTATTTATATCAGTATGGGTTCATATTTCTTTTATTCTACAGGCTATAATCTAATATCACCATTATTTGTTTTGTTGCTCAAATTGTTCCAGCTTTGGCTGTTGGAAGCTCTTTGAGGCTGGCTTCTATGTCTTTTGAGCGCACTTTCAGCCTTCTGGCACTAGAAGATGCTTCTGGCTCATCTTGTGTTTTCTTGAGTCTGCCCTGGAATCAACCACTTCTCCAAGGAGCTCTGGTTCCTTTTTTAAAGTATTTAATTTTTATATCTTCTGTCACGTAGAAGAAGGTGCTATTACTATTTATATTTAATGCAAAACTTCCTTGCTTTTGGATATGCTTTGAATCTTGAAAAATGCTTTTTCTCATATGGGACAGTGCTTACAATACAGAAAGTAAGAAAAGCAGAATAAAACCACTTTTTAAGATAAGCATGTATTACCTACATAATCAGCCTGGTTATTTTTATTAGAGATGGTAATTAGAAACCAAAATCTGGGCACCAGGTATGTTCACTACTACTAGTATGTCTTTGCTCCCAGGCCCTCTTTGTTCCCAGGTCCTCTTCAGACAGAGCTAGGGAATATCATGTATTATGTATGCATGTGCATGCACACATTCGTCTATTTTATTTTTGCATTTATTTTATTTTATTTTATTTTTTTGAAACGGAGTTTCGCTCTGTCACCCAGGCTGGAGTGCAGTGGCGCGATCTCGGCTCATTGCAATTTCCTCCTCCCGGGTTCACGCCATTCTCCTGCCTCAGCCTCCTGAGTAGCTAGGACTATAGGCGCCAGCCACCCTTCCCAGCTAATTTTTTGTATTTTTTTTTTTTTTAAGTAGAGATGGGATTTCACCATAGCCAGGATGGTCTCGATCTCCTGACCTCGTGATCTGCCCGCCTCGGCCTCCCAAAGTGCTGGGATTACAGGCGTGGGCCACTGCGCCCGGCCTATTTTTATTTTTGCATTTATATATCTGCATATATATATATGTCTGTATGCTACTATATATATATACACATCTGTATATACTAAAAACCATGAGTTCATACTACAACCTCTGATTGAGTTTGATACTACAGGGTTCCCACTTCTGTACTTCTAACTTCTTTGTTTAATCCTAGCATACACATAAAGCAGTTTCAGAATTGATAATCCACACTGCTAGGATACACAAATTCACTAACTTGAGCGAAGCGTTTGTGTATAATACTTTTTACCCTTAGCCTCACAATACCAGTCAAAATACCCAGATTAGTGCTTTTCTTTCCCACCCCCTTCAGTGTAAATATGTTATCAATATCAATTCACAATAAAGTCAGGCTCATCTGTTATATTTTTGTATCCAATTTTAGGTTCCCCTACATCCTGGTTTTATTGATCTATTTATTTATAGAGAGGGAGTATGCAAAACACTACTATGTTTCTAGGAATCAAGCAAAACACAAAGAGCTTCTCAGAAAAGAATTGCACCCTCCTTATCCTTTTTATCTTGTTTCCATCTCTCTCCCCTTCTTTCTACCCCTTTGCCATTCACTTCCTATAGGTAACCAATCTCTTTAGTTTCTGATTTATCCTGCTTTAATTTCTTTTACACAAATAAATACATACACATATATTTTCTTATATTCCTTCCTTCTTACCCGAAGGGAAGCATACCATAACACCATTCTGTATTTCCCTTTTTCATTTAGCAGTATATACTGTTCAACATGTTTTGAAGTTAAGCTCTTATAGAAGTTAGAAGAGAAATTCTGAAAATAAGAGAAGATATGATACATGATGACATTGGCAAAACCACTATGGAAACAGTAAGGAATTGTCACAGTAATTCATGCATACACTCAACTCAAGAAATAGCTTTGTAGTATCCACTATGTTCCAGGAACTACTAACAAGTTACAACACAGATAAGCCCATTGCTAACCTTAAGGAACTTACAGTCTAGAAGGGAAATGTGAGAGTAAAAAGACAGTTCTAATACATTAGGATAAATCCATGATAGGGGTAAGCGATAGGGTTACCTAGGAGAAAACACAAAACTCTGGTTAAGTGGGAGGAAGGAAGTGGGGATGTCAGCAAGAGCTTCTGGAGGAGATATCATGCATGCTGAGAAATTAAGTCAATTAGAAACTCACCAAGCAAAAGTGGTAAGGGAGGAAGAGGCAGGAGCTCCAGAGAGGAAGCCACGTACACATTTTTAAAGAGAAAAATCCATGTCATGCACTGGTATGGGGAGTGCTGAGAGACAAGGCTAGAAAAGAAAGCAATGATGAAATCATGAGGTCACGAAGGGCCTGATAACCATATTAAGGAATTGGTACTTAAGCCTAGAGATAATAGGAGGCAAAGAAGTAAGACTGTAAGCCAAGGAAGTTCTTTCTATGTGTTCTGAAGTATAAAAAATGTATTGAAGAAGAAAGACTACAGGAAGGGAGAACAGGCTGCTGCAACAAAGCAAATGTAGCAATAGTGGTGGCCTAAGCTAGGCTAATGGGTGGGGACAGAGAGATATGGTTCAGGGCAAGAGATTTTATGCATCTATTTAAATCTAGCTTGAGCACCTATAGGTGCCAGTACTAATCCTGAGATATTAAATACAAAGAGAAGTAGGTTTTGGGGTAAGACGGGGTATGGAAGATAATGACTTCAGTTTCTGAAAATATTGAGATTAAGGTACTTCTGTCACATTTAAGTGGAAAAGGTCAATAAACAACTGGATGTATGGATCTAGAGCTTGGGAGAGAAGACCTGGTGAGAATTCAAATTGAGAAGTCATCAGCATGCAGAAAGTAACTAATAACAGAAATTAAAACCACCCAGTAAATGAGAAGAGCCAAGGACAGAATCTGAAGGAATACCAACTTCTCAGGCTAAGCAGAGAAGAGAGGCCCATGAAAGAGGCTGAGAAGGAGCAGCCAAGGAGATGAGACAATCAGTGGAAAGTGATGCCCTGGAGCCTGGGGAAGAGTGCTCAAGGAGAAAATCGTCAGCAGCACCAAATACTGCTCAAAAGTTAAGAGAAATAACAAGGTAGGTGATTTCAGAAAAGTATGTTTCAAAGTAGGAGAACAAAATAGCAACAGCTACTGAGAGTCCTGGTATCCAGGGAGATATATGGAATATGCACATTTAAAGAAGAGAGAGACTGCTGAGTTTGAATGCTGCTGGGAGAAGAAATGAGTTTATATATTTTTCAGGTCACATAAAGAGCACTGTATCATCAGATAGAATGAAAACGCACAAAGATAGAACTTCAGGTAGGCTCACCCTAAAAATTTAATAGAGAACAGTCTGGACTTGATTTACGGATTCCTTAAGAAATGCACATCTAATTAAATCTACTTCCACATGACATCAGGCTTCCATTCTGAAGGCGAACAGAACCCCATCATCATTCCTATCTCCCTTTCCTTTTATTGGTCTCATTACCCCACTGAACTACCACTGGAAAGAAACTTACAACCTGGGGAAACTTAGTTCCTCATATACAGTTATTCTTCTTACGTTCTTAAATTCTAGCTGTTTACACTTTTAACATAAAGGATCTAATATTTGTTCTTATAATTTTCTTTGGAAAAATGTGTCTCTAATTTGTCAAATGTACATTCTTCTTCAATGAAATTTAAGCCAATTTAGCATCTGTGATTTGAAAGTTTTGTCTTTATATTAATAACATATGTGTTTTATAACTTTTGGCAAAAATGCACTGTATACATACAGTAATGACTAACTAATTCACCTTGTTAAAAAAATAAAAAGGTAGCATTCTGATAATAACCAGAGCTATAAAAATAGAAAACAGGCATTTAAATTTGAAAAGCACTAAATCTTTTATCTCTACCTTTCAAATCATAGATACTTCTTCAAAACAAACAACAGAGCAACTCCTCTTTAAATTTTAAGTTATAAGGTCCTTATAAGTGTTTGATTTTCTTCATTAAGTGGGAACTTTAAGGGTGATGTTACTCCCAAAATTCTCTGTCTTTCAGGAAATAACCTACCATCAGAATTTCAAAATATATATACATAATGTATACATATACATCATAGATGTATAATATTAGTAATTATGTTATGCATCATGTATTATGTATTGTGAATATATATATATATATTACATGCATATCTTTCAAACTTGGCAAAAGTACAGACATCTTTTTTTAAAAAAGCATTAATTCTTGTCTGCAGCATTTCTTGATCACTGACCTAACATTATGCCAATATCTTAACAATAATGAGAACCAATCTTTTCCATCAGTATATCAATATTGTGTCTATAAATATGTGAAGGTGTGAGTATAGAATGGAGTCTGTTACCCATAAGGCAGAAGTCAACAGAATCTGTCTAATGGAAGGAAACTTAAATAGACATTTGTAGATAAAACTGGTCCAGATGTTATCCGCAGACCACACTCCTTACATTTTTTTTCCCCAATAGTAAATAAGTGATTCAAATAAGATACTGGGACACCATCTCTTCCACTTCTCACCTTGTACCTGTATAAATACTCTACAACTGCAGTCTAAGAGGTATCCTAATTTATTTATAGCTATATATATATATATATATATATATAAGCAGTATATATAGCGGTATATATATATATATATATATATATATATATATATATATATATATACTACTGATAGCCTTAATGTTTTGTATTGATCTGGGCTCTGCCTTCAACCCTATTTGGATGCTGGCTATTATGCAAGTTTCCAAGTCAGACCTGAAGATAGACTGTTAAAACTTAAGTGATGACATGCCTGTCTTTCACATTCACTGGCAAGACAATACCCACAACCCAGAAGCTCTGAACTGAATATAGAATTTAAAACAATCTCTGCTATCATCATGCACCCTGGAAAACAAAAAGACAGGGAACCAAGATAAACAACAAAAGAAAATAAACTACTGAATAACATCATTCTGTTGACTACATAGACTTATTGAACAGAAGTCATTACCTGGCAGTGATGCATTTTTTGGGAGCTCACAAATGTTTCAGCCAGTACACAGTTACCACCTAATTTCCCTTTAAGTTGCATTTTCCTGAAACTCTAATAGGCAACTTATGTGACAGAATCAGGCTTCCTCATACCAAGTAAGCAAACATAGGAATGGCTCAGAAGTGAAGGCTCAAGGTCAGAAAGTCTAAAAGTAAGACAAGTCAGTAAAAAAGAGATAGTAGTACATGGAAATATGTGAAACACTGTAGGAAGGACAGAAGACAATGAAGATTTACTGAGCATCGACTATGTACCAAAGACTAGCTCAAGGCACTTCATATATGTTATCTTTTTTGATATTTCAATATCCTTATGAAGTAGGCATTATAACCACCATTTTAGAAATGACACCAAAGCAAATGATTAGTAAGTAGAATCTAGATTTTAAATAGGTTCACCTAATACCAACCATCAAGCTATTTTCACTTCCCTGTGTAGCCTCATGCACTACATTATATAAATATTTCCTTTTGATGTTATATCTACACTGCAGTTCTACAGCCAGGGATTCTTAAGTGTTAGTTCCAAAAAATTAGTACAAATCATTCTTTACCTCAAAAAGAGAGATTATCTCCCAGCAATGAATTCAGTTTTTGGAGAAACAGGCTGGATCTGCTTTCAATCTCAAATGCCTGGTAAGGCAACATAGAAATATTTGTGAGATTGTTGTTATTCTCATCACAGAATGAGCACACATTACATTTTCACCTCTTTTCCAGAAGAAATGGATCAGGGCTTTAAAGTGACAGCCAAGAATTTATGTAATCTTCTATCGCAGTTTCAGAACATCTGACGCAAAAAAAAGAATAAATCACCTTTCCATTATAATAATCAGAATAAAACGAAAAGTCATCGTGAATTGAACATTTCCCATGGGCTAGGTCCTATGCTAAGTGTCTTCCATGCATTATCTTGATCAGTCCTTACAACACTACTATGGTCTCAGATAAGGAGACTAAGGCCCAGAAAGGTTAAGTTACTTACTCAAAATCACATGGCAACGTAAGTGATAGGCTAGAATACAAATCCAGGTCAGCCTGTCTCCATATATAATGCCCCTGAAATATAACACATCATTTCCAACTAATTATTTGTTGTTTGTGTTGTATTAAAATCCCTTCCAATGTCAAACATGCAAGACGAATTACAGGTGAGTTACAACTATGGTGATGAGGGTGCCATGGGTGGATAGTGTAAGAATAGGTCTATAGCAGATAAATTACACTATAATGTAACTAAGATAAAATAAATAAGATATCTCTCCTCTCTCTCCAATTTGCCAATAAAACAAAGAAGGGGAGGTGATAGCTCAAAAGAAGACAATCTTCATCTTTAAAGCAAGATTCAGTAACATAATGAAATTTTTTTTAAAGAATTGATGAATTCCAGGCAAGATTTTTAGAAAATCTTTCAAAGCTAAAATGAATAAAGCATAAGTTCCAGTAAGTATGTGGTCTTATCGGCAGCAATATACAGAGATCTGCAGTCTTAAGTTAGCTGCTTTCTCAGAAACTCTGATCATGCAATAAGGCCTGCTGTAAACACTGTTCAAAGAAGCTCGCACTTCGCATCTCATGACTTTGTTTTAGCGCCGAATGCAGATTGGCACAGATACTATATTGCAGTCATACTCAGACATTCCTTCCCTCGACCATCACTTACAATACACATTGCAGCTACAGTGACCCCATACGTGCAACTCAACAGGAATAGAGGATTGAGTTATTCACCTGAGAATCAATTTTACACCAGACTAGAATAAAAAGTTGCTTTTGAAATGCGTAAAAGAGGCCAAAAATACACACTATTTCTTTGGCAGCAAAAGCACCACACTATCTTCATGCTAAGATAGAGAGTAGTTGTACAATAGGCCATAACAAAGTTATCAAAATTCAATTTTCTAATCAAATGTCCTTATTTCGGATCAGAATGACATCAGAAATAGCTCAAATAGAACTGCTTTTTCAGTATAGACTTTACCTCCTGTGTCAGTGGAGATCGTAAATTCTTTTAAAAGCAATCTCTTAGAATGATGGCCATAGTTGTTTGTGAAACAAAACAACTGTTACTAATCCTAACAATAAACCCATTTCCAGATCCCAGGTTCCAGTGGTCTTGACCTTGGTTTAAAGTTGAAGTGAAATGCATAGATGTCTTAAAACTGGGAACATAAATCAGACTGAGTGCCTACACATATTCTAGCAAATCCTTTATTTGATTATTATCTGAACTTATCCTTTTGACACCAGAGATGACTCAACACATCTGGAGTACTGTTTTGACAGTACTTCTGATTTACACTCCTAGACCCATTGCAATCTGTAGGCTTTAGCAATATAAATTTTAAAAATACACTCTATAATAATAATTATACCTATACTCTCCATTGCATCAACATGACATCAATATGTCATCAAAATGAGCATTTCTTGGTTTTGTAAAAATATGTTAAGAATGGTCTCCTTTCTCTTTTTCTTTTTTTTTCTTTTGAGATGGAGTCTTGCTTTGTCACCAGCCTGGAGTGCAGTGGCACAATCCCGGCTCACTACGACTTCCACCTCCTGGGTTCAAGTGATTCTTCTGCCTCAGCTTCCCGAGTAGCTGGGACTACAGGCGCGTGCCACCATGCCCGGCTAATTTTTGTATTTTTAGTAGAGACGGGGTTTCACCATGTTGGCCAGGATGGTCTCGATCTCCTGACCTCGTGGTCCACCCACCTCGGCCTCTCAAAGTGCTGGGATTATAGGCATGAGCCACCGCGCCCAGCCTCCTTTCCCTTTTCTATGGCTTCTGTCACTACATTTCCAAGCGATTTGGCTTTTTCAGCTTTCACAGGTTAGCTGTTTCAAGTTCAGTTTAGGATTTGGGGCTGTACCATATAATAAGGCACCTCCTTGACCTAGCGGAAGCCAATTAATTAAATTTGGGGGAAGAAGGAATTCTATTTTGTCTGCAGATTGAAACTTTAGTCAAATGGTGCCTTTTCAGAGAAGCAGGAGAAAAGAATATTTCATTTCCTTTTGAGTAGCTGTTGTTAATTTTGAATAGTCCTAGGTTACAGACATGCACATTTAAAAAGAAATATCTCCTTAAGGAATCCCCCAAAAGTGATTATTACCATATATGTTTTTTATCACTTTGTTGTATATACCACAGAGACTTCACAGTCCACCAGCCATACATTTCAATTTCATCCTTTGATTTTCAATGGTAAATCTAAGGGTCAACTAGTCTTTCTTTGAAATGCCCTATATGGCACAGTTATAGGAAAGGCAGAGTATCATTAATACAATCTTCAATTAATAGAATAAAACATACTACTACTTATATTCCTACTTTGAAATTGAAGTTACTTTGAAATTTCAATGGCAACTCTATTTTCAGCCCAGGATTATTCCTAAAAGGTCAGACTACATAGAATTGTTAAGGGGTAAAATTAATAACGACTATTTTTCAAGAAAGAAAAGACTATTGTTGGTAACATGTCTATGTAATATCTTTGAATCAATAACATAAAGTACATAGCCATCAGTGGAAAATACTGCTGTACTTGTATTACAAATTCAAATCACTGTTCTTATTCTGGAATTTTCAGCTGGTTTAATTTTAATAAGAAATCTTACCATGACATTGTCCTGTTGGAAGATCACAAATTAAAGCATTTTTCCTTCTTCATACTTGATCAGATCTGTTTCTTCCTGTTCTTCTTTTCTCTTGTTCTAGTTTTTGACTCCGTTTAATTCTCATTCACACTTTTAATGATCTCCTCTCTAGTTTTTAGAGAGAAGTCTCTATTTTTAGGTGGTGGATGCACGGCATATTTTTATTTTCTGACTCATCTTCCTCCTCATATCATTCCCAAATTCTCATCTCAGAGTCCCAAAAAGATCAGTGTTCCAAGAGCTGGGAATTTATCGTTTCTGTCAACTCAGGTGGCTACTACCTCTACGATTTGGGAAAGGCTAGAGGAAAAGAGAAAACTGTTCCCTTTTCTTCTTCCTCCATCCTTTGAGCTATCTTGGCAGAGCAGGACTCAGAAATACTGTCATCATGGCCTGCATTAAACTTATGCATGAAGAAGTAGGAAATAAGACAGGACAAACATTTACCCTTAAGTAGGAAAACCAGGGTGGAGTTGGGCGGAGAGAGAAGAATATTGGACAATGGTAGCAGTTCACTTAGAAAAGAACTCCACAACTCTAAAGCACTTTAAAATGGTGTCCATCAATTCTTCTTCAGTGTATTAGGTGGCTTACTAAGATCACACAGATTGGTAGATTAGAAAAATGAACTGCAGGATTAAACGACAGACTTGAAATGTATAGTCCCTAATAGTTGTTGCAGTAAGAGCAAAGCAAGTTTTAAAAGGAAGGGTCTCCAAGAAGTAGCATAAGGAGAAAAAGGCAAAATGGGGTCCATTTAGCACTAGAAAGAAAAAGCTGCCTGGGGAAGTCAGACATGTTCAATTAAAAATAGGGATGGGTAGGTGCTAGTGAGTATTGTTTATTTCCACTGAAGCCAAGACAAAAGGAAATGAGCTTAAATTGCAACAGGAGGGATTAAAGTTAAACATTAAGGGAAAAAACCTTCCTGATGAGAAGGCTGGTGAGATAATGGAACACATAATTGAGAGGGCTGTGGAAGCCTATCCCTAGAGATGCTTAAGAATAAACATCTATCTTTCTGGGGTGGTTTTACATGCAGAAGGGCCTGGAGTATTTGAATGGAGACTTTTAGATTTATCTTCCAGTCCTAAAATACTATTGCTTTATTTAATGAGACAGACCATCTCCTTGGTACATCCACTGAAGCAACAGTGAACGGGGGAGGGGGAAGTAAGCAGCAGCACTGTTTTATTTTGACCTTGCTTGGATAAAAGCAATTCTCAAAGCACCTGAACCAAAGCTTATACCCAGGTGTGGCTAATCTTATAATAGTTAATGAATGCATCTCGTGGTGATTTCACAAAGTTAACGGCAAGTTTGGACTGTGTTCCTTCATTAAACAAAGGGATTGGAAAAAATGTCTTCATTTAGAAAGGGAAGCAGTTGAATTGTTTGTAATGTGATGGGAAGACTAAAGTAAGTTTGGTTATCTTGTTCCTACCCAGAATAATCCACTATGATCCCTAGGCTGGTTTGGAGAAAATCCAGTTGTTCTACACAATTTCAGGGCCAGGAAAGAGATATACTACATATACCCATCCGTCCTGCAGCAAGCATCTACCATGTGCTGGCTCTATGTTAAGCGCTAGGGGTACCAAAGCCACAAAACACATGCACTATCCTCAAGGATCCCACTGCAGGGTTGGGTTAAGGGAAACAGAGCTCTATAATACAATGCAATCCCAGATACGGTATCTGGGTAAACTGATAGAGAGGGGTGTTGTGGGTCAGGGGAAGAGTCATGAATGGCGTTAGGCAATATTGGAATTATGAAGGACTACAGGAGTCAGCCAGCTGCAGTAGGAAAGATGGGAATCCTGGGCAGAGGAATAATATGCCCAGGATCAGGGAGATCTGGGAACAAAGGAGAATATGCATCCTTCTGGAAGCTGCAGATAGGTGAGAATGATGGCAGCATAATTGCTGGTGGCAAGTAAGAATGAAGGGGCTGGAGACACAGGAACTAGATTATGAAGGGACTCACGAGTCGTGGCAGATAATTAGGAGTTTATTGTGAAGGCAATGAAGGACTTCAAGCTCTAGAGGGATATGATCAGATCACATGTGTCTATAGGGGTTGCATAATATAAGTAAACTCAGCTGGCAGCATATTTGGCTGCGATTTTTCAGTACACGGATAGTGGTTAGGTCAGGTGAACATGCGAGTAATTACCAGGCTGTTAAGTCTCATATTCCCAAGACACAATCCTGTTTTTATCGGGTAAGGCTGCTATCTGAAGCTTCGGCCAGTCAAGCCTCCTGGCTCATCCTGCTTCTATGCCCAACAGCTAAATGATGAAGTCATAATCCTGGGGGCTACTCTTGGGTTATATTTCTTAAAGAAAAAAAATCATCGTTGGCTAACTCCATTCTTAAAGAGCAGCTTGTATCACTTGTACCCCCAAGACACCAGGAATTAAAAAATAAAATGTCAAGAGTTACAGAGTTCCACTTTATCTTCATCAAATACCCTGCGGTTTCTGAGCAATTATCATAGTGCTTTACCCAACAGCTGTGCAGTGTTTATTCCTAGTCTTCTACGGGCACAAAAAATGTTTAGGAAATCATCTACGAAGATAAGTGTGGCCACTGGGGACAATTCTCTTGCTGATGATCATTTTCACCAAAAGCAGGGAGCACCATTATGAATCATCTATGACCACTTACGCTTAAGCTGAATACATTAAAATTTAATGGTTTCAACACAAGAAGCTAGTCGTAAGTCTGCACATCAAGGCATTAATGTGTTGGGCCCAATTGTACTTAGGGGAAGAAGGTCAGGAATGCATGACAGCCAACTATATTTTGCTATAAAATGAAAATTATGAATCTCTAATCACAAGTGAGGAGTCTTTTTAAAAAATTCATTAGTCATGATTTCATTCTCTAAATTATTCATTTTCTCAAATGTTATTGCTGTAGCCTTTTAAACTTTTCTACTCTCTCCACTTTCAAGTGATAAATGCCTGAGAACTGAGCAGTCTTTAGCCTTTGAATATAATATAATGCTATTTCAACATGCTGCGGGCTTCTGCTCACAATTATTCCAGATTATGAATGCAGGTTGGCCATTCAAGGTTAAAACTGTCACCTTTCATTTGGTCTAAGAGATAATAGGTTCATAAAAAAAAAGGCCTGTTTCAAGAATTTTCATTTCTAATAAAACCTAAATTTTGAAACAAGGCCTCCTCTATAATCTGGCCCCAGTCCACCTTACAAACGCCATCTCACATCATTCTCCCCAGTCACCCTGGCCTCCTTTCGTACCTCCTTTGAATCCTTTGCCTGCCCTGTTCCCTCTCTCTGGAATGTCTAGCCTTCCCTGCCATGCCCAAGCCCATCAAGTGCATCTTCACACTGCTGGCTCCTTCCCATCCATCCTCACCTCACGTGCCCCCACCTCAGTAAGGCTTCCTCAAGTATCTTCTCCCCTGCCATTTACTCTTATCACACTACCCTGCTTACTGCCTTCATCTAATTACAACAGTTAGTAATGATCTTTTTTGTTGTTTGTGTACTGTTTTCCCTTCCCACTAGGATGGATACTTTACGAGACTTTGTCTATTTTGTTCCCCATAATATATGCAGGCTATATAGTATCAGAATGGGCACAGAGTACGTATTCAATAAGGATTTATAAAATAATTTTTGATTCCAAGAGATAATAAAGGTATATTTTAATGCAAAATCACCTCTTCAGTTAAATATGTTCAATTTGTTCCCAGTTTACCTCACTTCTTTCTATGAACTGACTTCATGAGCCATCAAAGGGCTCTACGTAAGCTACTAGCAAGGCCACAGGCCATAACCTTGAACTTGGGATGGTGGTGGTAAGGATTACAACATAGACTCTCACTAAGATAAGGATCCTGGGATCCTAATAGTTGGAGGTAAAGAAAAAGAAACTGTGGTTCAGAGAGGTCAAGTGAAAAACCATCTGCTTATCTTCCAGCATCTTGCAATCCACGGAGGATGTCCCAAGCCAACTGCAGGATCGTTGGAAAAGAGTCTGGAAGCAGACTGCAGCATTATCAACTTAGATGCGCTCCTTAGAAATGCCACAAATTCATGTGCAGATTAGTTTCATGCTAAACCTGCCTGTTGAGTAGAGAAAGAGAACCCACTATGCCCAGGATTACCCCTCATCAGCTGGCATGGTCCACCAGTCCATTGTATCCAAAGGACTGACATTAATTGCAAAGGAATGAAACTAAATGGGTCAAGTTTGTAGAGAATAAGTCTGTCAGTTATTGAAATATATTTTCACAATAAAAATCAAAGTATGGTACCTTTGAGCATTTTATGCTTTCTCAAATTAAGTGATGTTTCTGGATAGCACACAATGTATTACTACAATAAAGAAACCAGAAACCTTAGATTCAGATATTAAATATAAAGTAATGATGATGACCTTCTAGCTAATTCGAAAAGCTACTCAAATGGAAACTGAGTGCATAATTACTAGACATTCTTGGCAAATGAAAAAAAGTAAAAGATCTTCAGATAAGCGGTCCAATTAAGCACCTTGGGATAATTGAAGAGATGATTTTACAAGTATTCTAGACAGGGTTATCATGGTATTTTTTTGGAGAACTAATAAATTCTTCAAAGCATTTCTTTGAAATATTATTATTGGCATTTGTAGGAGACCTGAAGCCAGGGAGAGGAAAGGCAACTGGTCTTGTTATAAAATTCATGCCTAAAATGACAAAGGCTCAGAAAAGGGGGCTTAAGTAAATACTTGCTGAATAACTGATGAGCCAGATAAAGATCAGAGACATAGAAAAGCTTACATTTCAACTCCCAGTCCCACGTAGAACCCTTTAGATTAGGTTAGTCTTCTTGTAGACAGGCTTGTACTTCTTATTACTCATTAAAACTAGATTTTGGAATGTCTACTGAAGTCATTCAAACTGCCCTTTTGTACCTTAGGTGGCTAATGTGGCAATATAATTTACAGAGGATACATTATGTTAGACCTTAGAGCAGTTCTGTGATGTTCTCAGATGCCCACCAAGGACTCCAGCAAATTGACACCTCTAAAGTCATTTTCCTGGCATCTTGAGTTGAATTTAGTGCCAGGTCTTCAAATGTGAATAGCTCATATGTCATCCCATTATGCCACCTGGCCTCTGACCAGTACACCTTTAAAATAGATTTATTTAGGCTATAAACTTACAGGACAGTGCCTCTGTCTTCAAATATATTACATTTAAACAGCTGGGAAAATAAAATACTAATTTTCCAATGCTGAAATTTCTGAGGCTAATTTGAGAAACAGTATAAAGAAGGCTATCAAATTCTATTAAAGACACAAATTTAGATGATGTTTTGTAATGTACTAAAGGAAAACTCACAGAAAGGAAAACATAAGACTGGGAAAACTCTCAAGGGCTCATCACCCTTGTGTTTGACTTGAGGCGTGGTTAAATAATATTCAACACAGTAAGTCGGGGTAGGGATGTCATGACTTTAATTAGAAAGTAGTTCCAGATAGAGAACAAATTCCTCTAGTACATCGGAGGATATAATTCACTTCCTGTTAATAAACTCACTCCTATTGCCGTGAGAGAGACTTGCTGTCTAATAAATTTTTGTAGATGATGAATTAACCATAAGAAATGAGGCTGTGTCTCAAGGAAATCACTTAGTGACACTGGTAATCCAAATACGTACTACTTCATAACATTGTGCACTACCAAGTGTGATCAGTTAGATAAACAAAAATAGTAATCATGTATTTTGTACCCACATGGATTTTCTACTCTCACTTAAAACACACGTACATAGCAATTAGAGAAACACAGTGTGACATGAAATGACAATGAGATATACTGGCAGTAATTATTAAGTTGAAGCATATGAAACAGCTAATAATTAATCGATAAGCATTAGAATAATTATCAAAGGGTAGAATATTCAGGGAAGGCTTCCTGTAAGAAAAGCAAACATGAGAAAGCTCTCAAATTCAACATGTACAAAACTAAACTGATGATCTGTCTCCCTCAAACTGTATGCTTTTCCAAAGATGTCTTCTTGATGAATGACACATTGGCCAACTAGAACCAGCAATCTGGGGGTTCCTTCTGATACCTCTCCTTTCCCCTCAATCCTTATCTCCAATCAACTACCAAATCCTCTCAATTTTAACTACCAAATCCTCTCAATTTTATCTCCTGAAAAAGTTCTCATACCCATTTGCTCCTCTTCATCACGCTTGCTGCTTCCAAAGTCTGAGCCTCCATCATCTCTTGCCTTCATACTATTTCTCTCATTTTGTAATTGAGTATCTGCTTAATTACTTCATTATCTGAAAAAACAGGCTCCATGATGGCAGAGACCAAGCCTGCTTTGCTCACCATTATTTTTCCATTGCCTGTGACAGCACCTGAATGTAAGGAAGGAATAAGTAAAGAAATTGACCTAAATGTAGTTAAGTGTTCAAGATAAAGAAGAGTGGGAGAAGACAACACAATTAAGCCAGATTCTGAAAAGCCTGGACCTAAAACAAGAAGCTTGTTTATTCATTCTAATTAGGAATGGGTCTGGATATGTGTCCCTCTGATGAAATAACAAGATGGGGCAGTGCTCTTTCATTTGAGACAGTGTTTATATTGGCTATATTCTGTATACTTAAAAAAGTTAGCAACACAGGTTTAAAACTTTATAGGAAAGAGAAGGAGTGAATATATAAAAGGAGAAATGTTACAAATTTATACGAATCTCAGGTAGAAGTATGTAAGCTCCCACCCCTGCCCTCACCTTGCTCCATCTGCTGACCTTGGAAATCCTCCCTTCGCTTGGCTTCTGTGTGGCTGCTTTCTCAGAGTTTTCCTCTTTCTCATTCCTTGGCTGCTTCTCTTCAATTTCCGATGTTGGCTCTTGCCCTTCCACCTGACCTCTAGATGTTGGAAGGCCTCCAGATTTAGATCAAGCTCCTCCTCTCTTTTCTCTCTCCATATAAGTGAAAGCCCATTCAGTTTCAAATACCATATATAGACTGCTGTCTCCTGACAGTCCATCTGCAGCCCAGGCTTTTCCCCTGAGCTCCGGAGCACTTGGCATCTACAACTGGGTGCCAACTAGGCCTCTCAAATGGAATATAGCCAAAACTGAGTCTTCGATTCTGCCCTCCCCAACTCACATACACACACACTGTTCTTCCCTCAGACTTCCCCATTTTACCAATAGCACTACTGTCCACCTTGGTACTAAAGGCAACATTCCAGGAGTCATCTTTGCTTCCTCCCTTTATCTCACCCCTTACACACAATCCAGCACCAAGCTCTGTGTATTCTAGCCTTTAAAACACACTGTAGATATTTGTACTTCTATCTCCATTGCCATAACCCCAGTCAACCTCATCTCTTGCCTACATTTCTACAATAGTCTCTTCAGCTGCTCCTGGTTTCCATTCCAGCTGTTTTCCAAAACATTCCCCACATAGCAGCCACAGTAATTTTTAAAGGCATAAATCAAATTATGTAATGTCTGTAATACTTAAGACTATTTGATGGCTTCCTACTACTCATAGGATCACTATCATCTAAATTCCTTACCATGAGAGGTAAGGAACATTACACAATCTAACTCTCCCTGCCATTTGTCCTCATCAAGATCAAGCCAGATAGACCATGTGTCTTTTGAATGTGCCAAGCCCTTTCTCCCCTCCCGGCCTTTAACTTCTATTCCTTCAGCTTGGAATGCTATTCCCCTGCTTCCTCATTTCTTCATCCTTCTCCTCACAGAAGCCTTCCCCAATCACCCTATCGAAAGTAGCCTCCACCACAAACTCTCTCAACTCATTGTTTCACTGTACTTAATATAACCTGCAATTCTCATGTTTAGTTGTATAGCTGTTTATTATCCGGCTCATCCCCCAGAATGTAAGCTCCTGTGGGTACGAATCCTGTCTCTCTTGTTAGTCATCATACCCCAATGCCTAGCATAGAGCCCAGCACACAGTAGCATTTAAAAAAATCTGTTAAACTTTTAAAAATTGTCCTATTCATGAGTAAATATTCTTTCCCCATTTTAAGAACTCTACATTTGTTAATATTGATGCTCCTAATACTGTTCTCTTGACCAAAAGAGGAATTATTTACAGATGCTGCTATTTAGCTTAATTCCAAATTTATCTTTAAGAGGCCACAGTACAATTGGTACAATTTGTAGGTCTGGAAGGGAATGAAAATAAAATAGTTAATATAATAACATGAAGAGTCAGAGGGCATTACTGGAACAGAGGAAAAGTGAACAAAGATTAGAAATGGGAGGGAGACAGCAGAAAATATATAGTAGACAGGTCAAGTGAGACAAATATGAGGCCACAAGGTCCCTGAGGAAAACAGGAAATAGAAGAGGATGCAGTTCATTCATCAGCTTTCCTTGGGACACCCATTACATGGCAGACACTAAGCTATACCATAGTAGCTAACGCAGACATTGTCCAGCTCTTCATGAAACTTAGAATACAGTGGGGAAATATTAAATAGCCCACAATGAAGATGCAATTATGAACTATGCTTCAGCTATAAAGAAAAAGTCCAAGAGACCATGAGTGAGAATAATAGGGGTCACAGAAGACATCTTACAGAAAAGCCATCTTTAAGTTGAGATCTGAGAATGGCTATAAGTCAGCCAGTGAGACAGTGTGGGGCGGGTACAGGAGAGGGAATGTTTGGGAATGGATAGAGGACAGTATTCAAGGCAAAGTGAACAGCATATGCAAAACCAGAGGCAGGAAAACGCTTGGTGAGTAGAAGTGAAGGAAGATTTGTGTGGGTAAAGCAGAATGGGCAAGGAGAATTGTGAAGAAATTGCTGGTGGAGAAGTGGATGGAGAGACAGAAGCAGAGTTCTGCAGGCCACGGTAACAAGTCTAAGTTTAATCCTAAAACCAAGTCATCTTCTGAGAAAGAACAGAAAGACAAAAGATTAATAAAATTACACATAAATTTTGAAATAAATGGATGGGAAGGGCAGTTTGCTTTGATTTTCATAGTGCAGTAGAAGTAAGGTCTTCTGCACAGTTTGAGATGAGATTGGAGCTTAAGCAAAATGACAGGCATTAACTTCTGTTGGGAATGAGATACGAAATCAATTAGAAACAAGTAAATGAAACAGATTAGCACAGAAGGGCCCAGGTGAAGTTACACAGCCAGAAAGGAGGTAGTTTTATAATTAATTTTAGTAACAATTTCCAGTTGCAGAGTTGATCTAAGAAAAGCCAAAGATTGACTCAGGGCTGAAAACTGACAAGGAATCCAAGAGAGAAACCCATGGGGTTTCAAGGGAAGAGCACCAAGGGCTGGTGGAGGGGCCAATGGAAGTGGAGTGGATGTGTTGGAAGGTGAGGTGGGGAGGAGTAGAGAGCTGACTGATAAGAAACTGAGAAAGGGAAGGAATAATGTTCACGTAAGTGATTCAATTCAAATCTACTCGAAGATCTGTTGAGCATCTTCTGTGTTCCAATTGTATTAGATTCTAGAGATGTGGAAATGAATGATAAAGTCTCTGCTATCAGATATTATAGTGTAGTAAGCTGATGTCAACAGACAGTGGACATCTAACAGTGGCTCATGATATAATATAAAAATAAAAAACTCAAAATAAAGATAAAACAATAATATGAAAATTCTTTTATGTCACAAAACATTTCAATGATCACTACAGATATGTTATCTAATTTATTTTTTAGGAACACTTCTCAAGAATTGCTTTGGCTTCTTTTCTAAAATTGAAACATATTCTTTGATCAGAAAACTTCAAAAACTGTGGTACTCCAATAATATTACTATTAACAGTAATAAACTAAACTATAATATTATATTATATAGCCAAACATAATTATTTTAACCATCACAAAAGGAATCTGTCTCAAATAATACAATATGCCATCCTCTCATTTCACCAAATGACTGAAAAAAAGTCATAAGAAAGATGTGGCACAAATGGTCAACAGCTGGCATTCTTTCTCCTTGTCTTGATGTACTTTTCTGCACTGCACTTTTCGCTGTCTGAAATTTGTTTCCCTGTATATTGACTGTCCCCTGCCAGAACATAATAAATTCCCTGAGGGCAGGGCTTGGATTAGTCTGATTTACCACTGTGCCCCCAGTACCTGGAACCATGCCTGAAACATAGTAAGCACTCAAAAAATTTCACCTTGGGGTCTCAGTCTTGGCTGGTATATGTTGTGTTTTTCAATGGAAATAATGTACAAAGTGTACAATTTCCACAGCTAAGTGATTTTCCATGAGTTAATAGGTTAAGTTTTAAAAAAGATCACAATCTGGTGTCTTATCTTATTTTGAAAGGGAAGATTCATCTCTTTCAAAAGCAGGTAAAAATATCAGGTAATTTATTTACACAGTACATAGTCACATATACTGATTAGGTGCTCCGTTTACTGCTGCAACTAATTTTATTTTTCTTTGAAACCCAGCCAGACTCCTACACCTCAGCCCTTAATATCTATCACCACATTTGCTCATAACTATAGCGGCAGTCAACTGGGGCCTGGCACCCCCTTGCTATGATCCTTACGAGGACAATGTATTTGCTTCTTATTTTACAACTGCAGTCACTCCCAAGCCTATTTTTAACAAATGCTAAAAATATCTTAGAGCAACCAACAAGCAAACACCTGTACTAAATAAAAACCATCCTATTGGTATTAGCATAAATCATAACTTCTGAAAGTTAAAGTGACATCATTTTATTTTTTTGGTAACATTTTCCACATGACACTGGAGTATGGCTCAGAAAGCAGACTTGAAAGGAATACAAAAACCCTAGCTAACTAAAATAATTATTTTTAAATAAAAAATTAAGCATTTCTAAAAGAAAAGGCTAAATTTTAAATAATATACAGAGTTGAGACATCCTGTACACAGAAATACAACTAAAGGTGTTTACTTTTTAGAATTGGATATTCATATGTTCTGAGAACCACCAGGAACAAGATAATTGTTTTTCATTTTAATTTTTAATTGTTTAAAAATATCCACATGACACATAAATCAGGACTTGACTATTCCAACAATTTATTGGAATAAACACACTAAAATTGTTTTTAGAAAAAGTTCAGTATGAAAAGATTTTTTTTTTTAAAGGTTGGCAGCATAGATCTGGCTTCATTCAGCATGACAGTTCTAAAGAACGTCATCTTTGCGTGTTGTGGCTGAGTAGTGTCAGAAGCAGAGTGTTGCTCCTATTTTAGGCCAGTTATATTGGCCAGAATTAAAAGGCCTAAGCCAGAGGAATAGGCCAAATTGTTGTGTCTGCCCCATTTACTTGTGGATACTCACATTATGCATATATTTGAAAAATTTAAATAAAAATAATGCAATATAAAATAAGTCTTAATGACTGTCTCACATGAGTAATTGATTGGATGAGTTGCTTGTAAGTAATTAAAATACTTTATCTAGGCACCCTAAAATCTAAAGGAAAATACAAAAAAAATAAAACTTTAATAATATTCACAAATTTACACTGAAAACAGAAACATTCATCTTATTGTTGGAAACTGAATTTCTCAGAGAGCGAGCAGATACTGGGAGTAGAACTTGAAGGAAAAGAAACAGGAAGTATGTTTATTGTAAGTTTTAGGTGACTCAGAAAACCGTACTATAAAAGATAGATACACTGAGGTAGCAGAAGTTGGGAGTAACAGTTGAAAAAAAAATTGTTATATGAATCAGTAGAAATCCCTTCATGATTTTATTTTTAGAGCCAGAATCTGCTGGAATAAATATCAACTTTTTCATCCTCATATTTGAAGACAAAACAGTACCAAATGCCAGTAGAATATGTGAGAAAAGTTATTTTTGATGTGATACAAAACCTCAGAGCTAAATATCTTCCTGAGGGATACTCCAGTGTTCTTGAGATACTCTATCTTTTGGCAAATCGATGCAATTTTTAAGAATACTGAAAATTATACAGAGTTCAGATTTCCATTGTGCTATTTCATAGGACAGTAGAAAAGGCAGTTCACTGGTGTGAGATGGTATCTCATTGTGGTTTTGATTTGCATTTCTCTGATGGCCAGTGATGATGAGCATTTTTTCATGTGTTTTTTGGCTGCATAAACGTCTTCTTTTGAGAAGTGTCTGTTCATGTCCTTTGCCCACTTTTTGATGTGGTTGTTTGTTTTTTTCTTGTAAATTTGTTTGAGTTCATTATAGATTCTGGATATTAGCCCTTTGTCAGATGAGTAGCTTGCGAAAATTTTCTCCCATTTTGTAGGTTGCCTGTTCACTCTGATGGTAGTTTCTTTTGCTGTGCAGAAGCTCTTTAGTTTAATTAGATCCCATTTGTCAATTGTGTCTTTTGTTGCCATTGCTTTTGGTGTTTTGGACATGAAGTCCTTGCCCATGCCTATGTCCTGAATGGTGATGCCTAGGTTTTCTTCTAGGGTTTTTATGGTTTTAGGTCTAACGTTTAAGTCTTTAATCCATCTTGAATTGATTTTTGTATAAGGTGTAAGGAAGGGATCCAGTTTCAGCTTTCTACATACGGCTAGCCAGTTTTCCCAGCACCATTTATTAAATAGGGAATCCTTTCCCCATTGCTTGTTTTTCTCAGGTTTGTCAAAGATCAGATAGCTGTAGATATGCGGCGTTATTTCTGAGGGCTCTGTTCTGTTCCATTGATCTATAACTCTGTTTTGGTACCAGTACCATGCTGTTTTGGTTACTGTAGCCTTGTAGTATAGTTTGAAGTCAGGTAGTGTGATGCCTCCAGCTTTGTTCTTTTGGCTTAGGATTGCCTTGGTGATGCAGGCTCTTTTTTGGTTGCATATGAACTTTAAAGTAGTTTTTTCCAATTCTGTGAAGAAAGTCATTGGTAGCTTGATGGGGATGGCATTGAATCTGTAAATTACCTTGGGCAGTATGGCCATTTTCACGATATTGATTCTTCCTACCCATGAGCATGGAATGTTCTTCCATTTGTTTGTATCCTCTTTTATTCCCTTGAGCAGTGGTTTGTAGTTCTCCTTGAAGAGGTCCTTCACATCCCTTGTAAGTTGGATTCCTAGGTATTTTATTCTCTTTGAAGCAATTGTGAATGGGAGTTCACTCATGATTTGGCTCTCTGTTTGTCTGTTGTTGGTAAACTATCGCAAGAACAAAAAACCAAACACCGCATATTCTCACTCATAGGTGGGAATTGAACAATGAGATCACATGGACACAGGAAGGGGAATATCACACTCTGGGGACTGTGGTGGGGTGGGGGGAGGGGGGAGGGATAGCATTGGGAGATATACATAATGCTAGATGACGAGTTAGTGGGTGCAGCGCACCAGCATGGCACATGTATACATATGTAACTAACCTGCACAATGTGCACATGTACCCTAAAACTTAAAGTATAATAAAAAAAAAGGCAGTTCACATTTATAGATGGGTGAAGATAAAAATGGGCATTTTACAGAGTTATCTACATGACAATTAAAGAAATAAGAATAGTGATGTCTTTCAAAAGCTATTTAATTTATCCCCCTACTTTTAGACAGATTTTTTCCCCAAATTATCTTTAGACTGTTGAGTATCCACATTAGTATAAACATCTGCTAAGAAGGAAATTACTCAAACTCCCCTGGTATTCTATTCCTGTATTAACAACCCTACTTCCAAGAAGCTGGTCTTTGGTCATCACATTGTAATTAGTTACCAGCCAGCATGTCTATCAACAAGTATTTGCTAAGTACACACAGGGAGAATGTTATTCTATGAGGTCTTTGATGGTAGACCTTTCCCTACAGTTGCTCCTAATTGCTTCTTCTGTCAAATCCAACTCTAATCCTAGATTCAAATATTTTTCCACTAATCTTCCATTCATCTCATTATGGACTCCCTGTTACACTGGATAAGAATGAGCATACTATCAATAACTGAACACCTCTTTATTTATAAACTATAGCTTGACTTTCAAAACGATTTTGAAACAATAATGTTTCAAAACAAGGAGGTAAAAGAACTATGAAAGTGAAAAGCTATGGCTCCAGAAAAATAAACAGCTGCACGATTGCTAAATGGCTGGCCTTGTCCTTTCCACAATGGCTATTGCAAATCAACTTTAATGTGATTTAATTATAACCTGACCATTTACCCCTCTCGCTCTGTCAAAAACCATTATAAGACTTTACTTCTCTCTAAAGCCTATGTGGCTAGACTTCACTAAGCTTTCCTTTTTAAAAAAAATTTTTCATGTATACCCAGCATATATCTGGGTGCTCACTTTTTCTCTTCTCAAATGCTAACTTTATTCAGTCTATGTATATTCTAGATTATTCTTTCTGCCTCCCAAAAGTTTTCCATTTAATACAAACATTGGATTTTGGCACTCTCATCTTGCTATACCACCTGAACTTCAAACGTCTTTAAATGTCTTTTAAGGGAAAAACAAAAGGAGAAGAAATTAAAACCCTGACAATAGCCTACTTTTTCTTCCATTTATTTGCTTTCCTATATTTTTTCTTCTAGTTATAGACAGATCCTTCCTGACCTTCTGCTATCTTTGATAGTAGTGATACCATCTCTTATGTGAATTTCTTAAAATTCACTGCTCCCTACAGAGTCCTCTTCTTGCCCCCAACTATAGCTCTGTAGCTGTCACCATCAGGGGAAGCTGAGTGAAGAGTATATGAGATTGTATGTATTATTTTTGCATCTTCCCACGAGTCTATAATTATTTCAAAATAAAAAACTTTAAAAAAATACATGGTGGGCATGAACTATATGTGTGTGTGTGTGTCTGCATGTGCGGCACAAATTGGGTATTGAGGTCATAAAGAAGAATAGAATACAATCCAACATCTTCTACCTGAGGGTGAGGCATGGAATCAATGTATTAAATGATTGTACTCTATAACACAAGTACTATAACAGCCATATGCTCAGGGGACCAGGGAGCACAGATGGAAAATTTACTAGCAGTTCCAGGAGGAGGACCAGGGAATGCGTTGTGGAACATCATTTCAGCTGGGTCTTCAGAAATTAGTGGTAATTTTACCATCAGGTCAAGACTGCCTCTCCAGGCCAAGGGAACTCTTTAAAAGCATAGAAACTTGAAATGCATGTTGTGTGTGGAGAATAATGAGTATTTCAGTATCAGTAAAAGGTCCTAAGGAAGAAAATGTAGAAGATATGGCTAGAAAAATAATGTTCTAGTAAAATAACATAGTATTTCTATGTAAAGAACATAGTATTTCAGGCTTAGAAATTTCAATTTAATATGGTAGATAGGAGGCAACTATAAAATCTTCTAAAGCAGAGAAGTAATATAACCAGCTCCAATTCATATTCATGGAAAAGTATAAATTCATCAGGATGTACACAGATTTAGCTACAAGAATATTCATTAAGTAATTGTGTACATACCAATATCAGAAGCAGTTTATATGTTTGACAAAAGGGAACTGGTTAAGTATGTAGCTTTTTAAAAAATGTATGCTATTTAATAATGAAATAACCTAATGAAAGTTTAAAAAATGGATTATAGGCCGGGCGCAGTGGCTCACCCCTGTAATCCCAGCACTTTGGGAGGCCGAGGTGGGCGGATCACGAGGTCAGAAGATCAAGACCATCCTGGCTAACATAGTGAAACCCTGTCTCTACTAAAAATACAAAAAATTAGCCAGGCGCGGTGGCAGGCGCCTGTAGTCCCAGCTCCTCGGGAGGCTGAGGCAGGAGAATGGCATGAACCTGGGAGGCGGAGCTTGCAGTGAGCCAAAATCACGCTACTGCACTCCAGCCTGGGCGACAGAGCAAGACTCCATCTCAAAAAAAAAAAAAAAAAAAAAAAAAAAGGATTATAAAGCAGTAGGTATAGTATGATCCAATTTTTATAAAACAGAATGTACACATATGCAAAGAAAAAAGTCTAGAAGGATATGCATACAAACACATACGTAGTGAGTGTATACACATATACAAACATTTACATATATTGAATAATAGTTGGATTTATATCTATTTCAGAATGGTTAGATTATTAATGATTTTAAATTTTCGATTCAGGGGATCATGACAGACGGGAGGCAGGACTAGATTGCAGCTCCGGACAGAGCAGTACGGGGAGGCTTGCATTGTGAATTTTAGCTGCAGATCGCCTGCAAGAACAAACCAGCAATCCCGAGGACCCACAGACTCCCTCAAGGAAGCAAGACTTGGGAGACCCCCTCAAATACTGTGAGTGCCCCAACTGCAGAAGTGGGAAAGGGAGACCCTCCTGTCCCGAACACACACCCCCACTGCAGAAACTGAAGGTTTGTGGGAGAAGTTTCCGACTTTACTTAAAGCTGAGTCAAGTTAGAGAGCCAAGCAAAATACAGGGATAGAGGAAGCAGCAGAAAGGCCCTAGGAGCTCACTGGGTCCCCAAGTAGCCCATTTCTGCCTGGCACCACAGGGATCCATTGCGAGGGTGGCCAGAGGAACAGGGGGTAAAACTCCACAGGGAGAAGGAATTCTCTAGCTGAACTTTGTAACAATTTGAACAAGAAAGGCTAGGGACAAGAAGCCTCCTGGTCAGAACTTGGGCGAGGGCACAAATCGGGCATGCAGACTCTACAGGCAGAGGAAGAACTAAAGCCCTTTTCTCTCACAGCTGGGAAGTGGATAGTCTCAGGCAAATTTTCAAGCTCATCTCGCCCTCTGCCTAGAAACAGAGTCGGGGCTGTTGGCAGGGGCATGGTGGGTGTGAGACCAGCCCTTCAGTTTGCATGGGAGCTGGGTAAGGCCTGTGACTCCTGGCTTTCCCCCACTTCCCTGACAACCTGCATGACTCAGCAGGGGCAGCCATAAACCTCCTAGGTACACAACTCTAGTGACCTGGGAATCTTGCCCCCATCCCAGACAGCAGCTGCAACAAGACCCCCTCAAGGACAGCCTGAACTCATACACACCTAGTCCCACCCCGACCTGTGTGGTCTCTCCCTATCCACCCTGGTAGTGGAAAACAAAGGGCATATAATCTTGGGAGTTCTAGGGCCCCACCCACTGCCGGTCCCTCTCCACACTACTACAGCTGATGCTTTCTGGAAAGTACCACCTCCTGGCAGGAGGCCAACCAGCACAAAAATAGAGCATTAAACCACCAAAGCTAAGGACCTTTATGGAGTCCATTGAACTCTCCACCACCTCCACCAGAACATGCACTGGTATCCACTGCTGAGAGACCCACAGACGGTTCACATTACAGGACTTTGTGCAGACAACCCGCAGTACCAGCCCGGAGCCAGGTAGACTAGCTGGGTGGCTAAGACCCAGAAGAGAAACAACAATCACTATAGTTCGGCACACAGAAAGCCACATCCATAGGAAAAGGGAGAGAGTACTACATCAAGGGAACACCCCATGGGACAAAAGAATCTGAACAACAGCTTTCAGCCATAGACCTTCCCTCTGACAGAGACTACCCAAATGAGAAGGAACCAGAAAACCAACACTGGTAATATGATGAAACAAGGCTCTTCAACACCACCAAAAAAATCACGCTAGCTCACCAGCAAACCAAGAAGAAATCCCTGATTTACCTGAAAAAGAATTCAGGAGGTTAGTTATTAAGCTAATCAGGGAGGGACCAGAGAAAGACAAAGCCCAAGGCAAGGAAATCCAAAAAATGATACCAGAAGTGAAAGGAGAAATATTCATGGAAATAGATAGCTTAAAGAAAAAACAATCAAAAATTCAAGAATCTTTGGACACACTTTCAGAAATGCAAAATGCTCTGGAAAGTCTCAGAAACAGAACTGAATAAATAGAAGAAAAAAAATCAGAGCTCGAAGACAAGGTCTTTGAATTAACCCAATCCAACAAAGACAAAGCAAAAAGAATAAGAAAATATGAACAAAGCCTCCAAGAAGTCTGGGATTATGTAAAATGAACAAACCTAAGAATAATCGGTATACCCGAGGAAGAAGAGAATTCTAAAAGCCTGGAAAACATATTTGGGGGAATAATCAAGGAAAACTTCCCTGTCCTTGCAAGAGACCTAGACCAAATACAAGAAGTTCAAAGAACACCTGGGAAATTCATCGCAAAAAGATCTTCACCTAGGCACATTGTCATCAGGTTATACAAAGTTAAGACAAAGGAAAGAATCTTAAGAGCCATGAGACAGAAACACCAGGTAACCTATAAAGGAAAACCTATCAAATTAATAGCAGATTTCTCAGCAGAAACATCTAGACATTGGCTTAGGCAAGGATTTCATGACGAAAAACCCAAAAGCAAATGCAATAAAAACAAATATAAATTAGCTGGGATCTAATTAAACTGAAGAGCTTTTGCATGGCAAAAGGAACAGTCAGTAGAGTAAACAGACAACCCACAGAGTGGGAGAAAATCTTCACAATCTATACATCTGACAAGGGAGTAATATCCAGAATCTACGACAAACTCAAATCATTAAGAAAAAAAAAACAATCCCATCAAAAAGTGGGCTAAGGACATGAATAGACAATTCTCAAAAAAAAGATATACAAATGGCCAACAAACCTATGAAAAAATGGTCAACATCACTAATGATCAGGGAAATGCAAATCAAAACCACAATGGGATACCACCTTACTCCTGCAAGAATGGCCATAATCAAAAAATCAAAAAACAGTAGATGTTGGCGTGGATGCAGTAAACAGGGAACACTTCTACACTGCTGGTGGGAATGTAAACTAGTACAACCACTATGGAAACAGTGTGGAGATTCCTTAAAAAACTAAAAGTAGAACTACCATTTGATCCAGCAATCCCACTACTGGGGATCTACCCAGAGGAAAAGAAGTCATTATTTGAAAAAGATACTTGCACATGCATGTTTATAGCAGCACAATTTACAATTGCAAAACCATGGAACCAACCCAAATGCCCATGAATCAACAACTGGATAAAGAAACTGTGTGTGTGTGTGTGTGTGTGTGTGTGTGTGTGTGTGTGTGTGTGTGTACATATATATATATATACTCACATATACATACGTGTATATATATATACACACACATATACACACACACACACACACACACACACACACACATATATATAATGGAATACTACGCAGGCATAAAAAGGAGTGAATTAACAGCATTTGCAGTGACCTGGATGAGATTAGAGACTATTATTCTAAGTGATGTAACTCAGGAATGGAAAACCAAACATCATATGTTTTCACTGATATGTGGGAGCTAAGCTATGAGGACACAAATGCATAAGAATGATACAATGGACTCTGGGGACTTGAGGGAAAGAGTGGGAGGAGGGCAAGGGATAAAAGACTACGAATATGGTGCAGTGTATACATGGGTGATGGGTGCACCAAAATCTCACAAATCACCACTAAATAACTTACTCATGGGCTGGGTGCGGTGGCTCACGCCTGTAATCCCAGCACTTTGGGAGGCCGAGGTGGGTGGATCACGAGGTCAGGAGTTCGAGACCAGCCTGACCAATATGGTGAAACCCCGTCTCTACTAAAAATACAAAAATTAGCCGGGCATGGTGGCACACGCCTGTAATCCCAGCTACTCAGGAGGCTGAGGCAGGAGAACTGCTTGAATCCAGGAGGCAGAGGTTGCAGTGAGCTGAGACTGCACCACGGCACTCCAGCCTGGGTGACAGAGTGAGACTCTGTCTTAAAAAAAAAAAGAACTTACTCATGTTACCAAATACCACCTGTACCCCAATAACTTACAGAAATATAAATAAATTTTCTTCTTTTAGTTCACCTGAATTTTCTAAATATATACAAAGAACATGTTTTATCTTTACACTAAAAAATGTTTTTAAACAAGTTTATTGAGATATAATTCATATATAACTTACCCTTTTAAAATACACAATGGTTTTTAGTATAGTCATATCACCACAATCTAATTTCAGAACATTTTTCTTACCCAAAAGGAAACTCTGTACTCATTAGCTATCACTTCTCATTCCCCTACTCCTAGTCCTAGGCAACCACTAACATACTTTCTGTCGCCTTGAATTTGCCTATTCTGGACATTTTATACGAATGGCTTTATAATAATATGAGGTCTTTCTGACTGGCTTCTTTCGCTTACCGTAATGTTTTTAATGTTTACCCATGTTGTAGTATGTACTAGAACTTCAGTTATTTTTATTATTAAAGAATATTCCATTGTATGGATATACCACATTTGTTATCCATTTATCAGTTGATGGATATTTGGATTATTTCCACTTTTTGGCTATAATACTGCTACAAATAGTCATATTTTTTATGGTAGCACTGAAAATGAAGACAGAATATTAACACAGAGATGAATGATAGGTCATTTTAACTGTCTAAATAAGCGATAAGAGTGTTATCATTGATTGATGGGCATTTGGGTTGGAAATAGCAGTGTGGGCCATGAAAAGAGATATATTTGGGAGGTAGCATCATCAGGTCTTGGTGACTGGCTGAATATGGAGAGTAAGAGAAACAGAGAGTCAAGGTTGTTTCTTGAGGCCTCTGGCCTGGGCATTGAGTAACATCATACACTGAGATCAGACATACAGAAGGAGGTGAGTTTCCTTCAGGCATGTGGAATTGCCTGAAGGAGTATTGGTGGAGACATGTGGAGCTTGGAAGAGAGGCCAACCAGAAGGCATACGAATTACAGTGGTAGCTTGATGAGACTGTCCAGGGGAGCACGAAGATGGAAAACCAATAGTCAGGAGACAGAAAAGGGAAAAAGAAGCCACAGAGAATGAGAGAATGAGAAGCCAAAGAATGAGAATGTTCTATGAGGAAACCTGTCTCATTGTAAAATGCTGCAAAGTAGTAAAATGGATTATAAGCAAAGTGCGAAATTATGGAGTCACTTTGACAAGGTGAAACATTAGTCAGAGATCAATAACTTGAATGACTTGGCCTATGCTCAAGAGGAGATACAGAGATGGGAGGGGAGAGAATCCAAAAAACAGCTGCGCACATTTCTGCAGTCCTGCAAAGGACTTGGGTTAGTTCATGAGAACTGAAATACAAACACGCTCCATAAACACATGGTCATTGCCCTTTTAATAACTTCCTTTTGAAAAAAATTAATTTTCCTGACTTATGAATTAGCCCTTGTTGTTTCCTTACCACCATTTCTGATACAATTATATAGTTGTTTTCCTGTTGGTTCTTTCTATCACGGGGCCTTTTTACAAAAGTTATATATGTCATTTTCAGAAAATGTACAAAATATATGGAAGAGAAAGAGCAAGAGGAGACTCAGACACCACCTGTAATTCTAACACGCAGGGATAGTTATCATTAATACACACCTTGGTTTATATTCTTCTGGACCCAATTTTGAGAAGTCTATAACAAAAGCTCAGTCTTCTGTTTATTGCCTCTGCTAACTTACATAGAAAGGCCTATCCTGCTTCCATATCAATGTATCCACCTTTATGTCCTTCTGTGATTTATGAAATTTCTTTTTTTGAATTTAAATACCTTATTTGTCTGAAATGTATTGTGTGATATGGGATGAGGTAGGGAATCTATTTCTTCTCTCCAAATGGTTGGCCAGTTTCCAACACTATTTTTAAACTAATTCTTGTCCTCTCCTCATTGCTTTGAAACGTCACATTAGCACATGTGGTTAGAGTTAAGGTTAACACATTCTAAGTTTTTACATATATAATTGAGGGGAAGAGGGTGGATCCTCCTGCTTAAGGAAGTTTTAATTATCCCAGTTGCTATAATCATAGAAAAGCAGAAGCATAACACAAAGATACACACTCAAAAACTGACCACTTCTAAAATTAGTCTGTACTCAAATATCCTCCTGCATTTAACACTAGAAGAATCTCTGCCTGCTACCAACATTTTATTGGTTAATCCCTCACTGACTGTAGGAAATTACTGCAAATACAACACGAATTGGCTGCAGAGGAAAACTATAAATCCTGCAAATTATGCCAAGTTTAATGCAGTTAAAGTGTTACTGGAGAACTGTGCCTGTCACACGCAAGGCCAGTGAGCAGTGAAAATCTGGCAGTCAGTTCAGTTGACAATAAAGAAAAGAAAACTGACAACAATGATGACATGATAGATGTTTCTGATGAAAATAACTTGCATATCAAAGGACTAAGAGAGACTGCTAGGAAAACAGATCATGCCTCGGAATATTTTTTCTTAAAAGGACCCTTTCTGTAAAGGTGCCTGTAAGGCCAAAGTTGAGTATGCACTATTGTCATTCACTTTTGCTTAATAATGAATAATCTGAAAAGGCAAATGTTACACACTCTTTCTTTTTAAAAATTTCCTGTTATAAGGACAATGGCTGCACTGCAGTCAAGTACAGCCCAAGGTACACACCCGGCACAGCATGACACAGCAGGATTGGAGTGCAGGTGCACAATCCTGTGCATTATATAATCATATCTACGTAGCCATAACATGGGAGGGCTCATCACCTGGCTCTGAGCCACTATTGTCTGGGAGGTGCATAAATGCAGCACCAACAGTGTGAGTGAGTTGCTGAATAAAGCCATGTCCCACCTACCTGTGGTCTCTCAAGTGTTCTTTCAGCTACCCACTACCCCATCAATTCCCCTCAGACCTCAGCTTGGGCTGGAAACTCACACCTGTATAATCTTATAATTTTATTCTTCTAATTGAACTCTAGAATCCTTTTGTCAAGTTCTCCCAAGTTCCTTTGGGATTTTACAATAGTATTCATTATTATTAGTAACAGAAGCTCACACTTAGTGAGAATTTGCTATATGTCAGGTACTTGCTAAGCATTTTCCATGTACTACTATATTTAATTTGGCCAACAAATCTATAGTGAAGTATCATTATTTTTCCTACTTATAGTTGAGAAAACAAAGAAGTAGACAGACTAAGTAACTTGTTCCATATCATATAACTGGCCAACCTAGCTATGGAACCCATATACTTCTGATGAGAAGTCCACTTCACAATAGCATTTTCCCATTTTGGAACTCACTCCCTTTTTTTTTTTTAATGTCAAGATAAAGTATTGTATTCTCTGTAGGAAAAACAGGCTCAGAAGCCATTTTTGTATATTTAAGTCATCTAAATCTCCTTAAAGAATGACTTCAAACTTATAAAAATTCAAAATGTAAAACCAACAGTTAAATCATACTGACAATATGAAAGTAAACACCAAATGTCTTATTGAGCATCTAAGTGAGACCTGGAAGAATTAAATTTAAATTCAGTTGAAATGGGCCAATTGGAAGTAGCTTCAAAATAATATCAAATCCTTAAGGCAAAAGGTCATTGACTCAAGTTTTAAATACTAAAAAGAATTTAAAATCCCTCTCTCAAAAGGCTAGAATAGACATCTTATTCACATTTATACTCTGTATTCAGATTCATACTGTCTTTTCTCCCATCCACTTAATACAATAAAGATGCACAAAATGCTAATTCCTGGGTGGTCCCTACCACATCTCAAAATGATAACTTTTTCAATCCATATCTATGAAAATATATGGATTATATAAGATACCTAATCTTATTTATCAAATCTTCTTTGCTTCCTTTTACTCCCTCCTCTTGGCTTCCTTTTAGCCCAGGAATCTGGCAGTGTGAAAGAAAATACAGCTGAAGCTACGGCCCATTATGACATGTGAAGTCATTTGATCACATTAAGAGAATGTTCACTTGAGGCACCTGATCAGCCTGGATTGTCTTTACACCCCTTTTCCTTGCCCAGCTTTCTATGCCTGCCCTGCTGTGGTGCCTACAGCATTTGCTCTCCAAGCTTCTATCTGATGGGCCGTCACTTATCTATATTATTTCTTAGGCAAAGCATCACCTAGTTGAAATTAAGTTTAAGAAAAGCATAGAGGTGACAAAAGCTCCAGTGTTCATGAGGTTAAAATGATAAGTCTTCAAATATCATGAGTTAGGCCCACTCATGTATACATTAAGTTTTGCATATATGCTTGAGAGGTTCAAATCTTTGCTATAATTAGGGCTATTGAAATATTGCCCTAGATACTGAGGTTATAAAAGGAAGCCTCCTGCAAAATACAGCAAGTCTTTTAGTCCTAGGCAGCTGCAGGGAGAAGGTTGGGAACATATATGCATGAAAAGGCCAGATAGACCACTAAATCACTTACACTCAGATTTTTAAAAAACACTAATCAGGTGGCCCTTTGTGACTTCTGCTCTAAGAGTAGAATGCATACAGCTGAGACTGGAAAATAGATATTTAACGAAAGTAGATTCCTTACAAGCTATATTCACCAGCAGAAAGATGTGAACACCAGAGCTACAGATGAGAGAAATAAATTTGATAGCTCTGCAACAACAACAAAAAGTTCACCAGAAAAGGTTAAGGGAAAAACTGATAGAGAATTGGTAAAAGTCAAGCAAGAGAAATGTAAGGCAAAGAAGTTCATAAGGTAATTCCCACTGGGAAAGATTTTCAAACTCTGGACGCCAGGGAGGATGTTGTCACCATGGCCTTCGCTAGAGCAAAAAAAGGGCACAGCCAAGGTGCTGGGCTCATAAAGTCATGAGGCTAGAAAAGACCAAAGGTTTTTTATTCTGAGATGTTTATCCATCTGCAATTTAATAGGGAACATGGCAAAATTACACACACTCCTGCCTTTTAATACTGAACACTTATTCACTTCACCTTCTTAGACCTTCGTTACCTCAGCTGTTAAGTGAGGGAGGTGAACCAGACGATTTTGAAGGTCCCAACTAAATCTTAAAAAAAGATCATCTCTGCAAAAAAAACTTTTATGCTTATTCAGTAATCCAGTCCTTTCTAATATGCCACTTTGTATATTCTGATACAACTACTGGAGCTAAACCAACATTGTAAACTGCACAATTACAGGCTTGAAGCAGAAATAACTCCTCACAGTATTTCTTAATAAGAAATACTCATGATAATGTTATCATGTCACCTTTGGACATAATAAAAATTAAGCACAAAACAAATATAAGATAAATCTTTAATATATTTCTCATAGCAAAGAAAAGAAAAGAGACTGTGTGAAACTATTTCTGCCCTTTTCCTTTCACACTGCTAGACCAATTTAAGTGGGGTGGGGGGAGGCGGGGGGCGGGGGGAAGGCCGAATCACAGAACAGCTTACACAGGAGGAGGCTCTGGTTAAAAACAAATCTGTACCACTGTGGTCTGTGTGGTCTAGAGGGAAGCACAGTGGGCTGGGAGATTTGGATTCTAGATCTAACCCTTCCAGTAACCATGAAACCCCAAGGCAAGAGATTTCAATTTTCCTGCCTCCATTTTCTATTTGTAAGACAGCAATAATTCTACATGTCTCTTCTACCTCAAAAGTATGCCAATACAGAGATAAAGCATGGGAAAAATCTGAGTTATAGGGAAGAAAAGTAGTATAGGCAATAATTAAGCATGTTAATGACAACAAGTGCTGATTTAACAATTTTTTAAAACCTCACTATTCTGATTAGATCAAGACAAGTGGGAGGGAGAGCCACTCAACCACAGAGTGGCAAGCGGGTCGTCGGCAAGTAAAGGCAAGGCATTGCGACTGTGACCCTGATTGCCCATGCACACAGCCTGAATCTCTCCAACAGAACGAACTCAGCCAGGCCAGGCATAAATCTGACTGATGGCCCGCCCTGGACTGTGAACAAACACACTGTCCATCTTTCTTCTTTTCATTTCTTTCTCCCTTCCTTCTTTTCCTTCTTTCTCTGTCCTTTACTTCCATACATTTAAAAACTTTGCACAGAGGTTTTAAAATGTTCCACATCCTAGATACGGACACAGCCCTTAGGTTACTTACAAATCTAGTTATTTAAACAAAAACGACTAAGACAGGGATTTGAGGATCCCTGAACAGGAAAGCTCAGACAGGGACCTGAGAAGAGAATTTGGGGCTGCTGCAGCCTGAACTCACAGGTAATCAGCCAATCAGATGGGCCATCCCATCCCTCTTCAAATTTTTTTTCTCTCTCTCTCTTTTTTGTAAAATTAATGTATCTGCCCTTTTCCCTCAAGTCTCCTTTGTTTTTCCTGTGGGCAAGCAGGGAGGGAGAGTCATAAACTGATACTGATTATAATGAATAGTTTTCATTTACTATCTCATTAAGCCTAAATATCTCTTAGGAAAACAATCCTGTAACAGTGGACAGAAGATGAACAAGTGGAACAGTTAAGAGGGTGTTACAGGGCAAGATAAAGAGGTTCTAAATGAAGGCAAACAATGTCAGAACTATTTCTCTATAGAAAAGCATTTCTATTATAAAAGGCCAAATAAAAAATATTATTTGGAATAAAGTTGGCTTCTACCTATGTATAGTTGAGGTAAAGATATTCAAATCATAGAATATAGAATCCATAACCCCAAACCAGCTATTTTTCCACCTCTAAATTTAAAGGCTGAATCATGCATATATCCATAACAACGATAATAATTACAGCTTAAATTTTTTGAGTGTCTCTGTTCCAAGCATTGTGCTAGGTGCTTGATAAACTCATAGGGCCCCAGCGGCAGGGCAAGCGTTATTACATTCATTTTTTTAGGAAGACATGAAGACTCTAGAAAAGAAAGTAACATACTCAGGGTCATATAAGTAGTAATGGATAAAAAGAGGCAGGATCCAAGCATTGTTCTGTCTGTCTCCACAGTCTGTGCCTATTAGATCATGCTATGCTGTCTCCATGTTTATCTTTTACAATTTCACTTGCATTCCTTTTCACTTCTAGGAATGCTGAGTGAGGGGGAAAAGGAAGCAACAGCAAGACTACCAGAGAGGGAATGGGGGCGGGGAAGTAAAGAAAAGGCATGTAAGAAGGAAGAAGAGAAAACCACACCACTTCCCACACTGTGGTTCTTGCTGTAGGAGGAAAGAGATGCTATAGCTGCTGCATCAATTAATTCATTGATGTAATGCTCCTTGCTGCTGCCACAGAGAGGCTAGGAAGAGGGAAACAGGAGTTGGGAACTGCTGCGCCTAAGAGACCTGAGGGCTGCACGACTGACTGCTCAGCCCCTATGACCATGGGAAGGACAGCCCTGGGTGCCCACGACCATCACTGACTGCCCATGGAGGGGCAAGTGGAATCTCTCTCCTTGCTGGCCCATGGGTGCCTGGGCTCTGAAGCCTGCTCACATCTCTTGATCCTCATCTTTCACTTTGTCTCTTCCCCCTTATTCTGATGACCACAATCCAAGCAAACAGCAGAAGAGACTGGACTCATCTGGATTACATTAGTTGCTTGTATCATGCTATTTACATTTACGAAATATTGTATCGCGAGATCACATTTAGTAAAACTTTTTCTTAAAAATAGTTTATCTTCTAATCCACTTTTTATTAGTTAGAAGCAAAACAAAATGGATCATATATTTAAAAGCAGAGAGAAGAAAAAAGACATACCATTCTGGAAATGTCTAGCAAGCAAATATCTCAGGGATATTTATTCAAGGGGTTACCCTGGGATGTCAGAGGGGAAACGTGAAATCAATTTTCTTGGCTATCATCACTTTAATATGAAATTTAAACCCCAAATACAACCACAGGCACATTCCTCTAATTTAGGAGAAGTACAATTGTGATTAGGGAGCATGGACAGAGCTCTTACCTGGCATGACCATGGTCTGTGGGGCTGCTGCATCGGTACTTAGGCAGAGACGGCCACCTTTGGATAATCTATCGCAGAGCAAGGTGATATGTTTCTTCAGTTGGCTTGTGTCTTTGGGTATGTTCAGCTGGCTGTTGAGGTTCAAAGCCTGCTCCTTAGAACTCTTCGACAGGCAAGTCTTCAACAGGTGGGAAATGGCGGCATCCACCGTTTCTTCCCAGCCCTGGATACAAAAGCCAATTTTGAATTAATACAAAGATGACAATAAGAAAAGTGGGCACTTGATGTATTATACAGATTATTGAGTGTTTATGTTCAAGTGTTGGGAACCTGTGAAGAGTGTGGTATCTGGAATATTCCAGACTAGGCTGGTTTGGAATTCTGGCTCTGTCACCTGTTTGACCTTGAGCAAGTTACTTAATTCCTCTTAGCCTCATCCTCATCTACAAATGAGGATGTTAACAGTCTGTCCCTCCAAGGGTTGGAGATCTATGAGAAGGGTTTAGCTCTGAGCCAGGCATAGAGTAATGAGTAACAACAAAAAGAGTATCAGGCACACGTCTGTTTAATGATCTGGTGGGTAAAGCTGCTAGGATTATAGTTTGTTTTGCCTTATCTTTCTTATCTTCGGCTAAAGGAAAGCGGGCCAGGAGAAGGAGGACCTTTGGATACCCTGGGGGAAACTGGAATGGAGGGAAAACCCTGGTGTCTCCCTCAGGTACTGGTTCCACAGCCTTGGGGTTATAGGCAGAAACAAAGGAGCTATTGCAAGAAGGATCGTGTGAGACACAGGGCCTGCCTAGTACTGCTCACTGTCCAGGTGACGGTAAATGACCCACAGGAAGTAGGCCATTGCCCCCACTTTTGTTGGGAACAGTGTGGCTGCGCTGCAGTGAAAAACCTAGAAAAGTGCAGTGACAGCTGCAATTCAGGAACGTCAGCACAAGGCAGGGACCTCAGCATTGTCATGGAGAGCACTGGCACCAGCAGGACTGGCATGGGGAGGCACCACCCTCAGGTGGGTTCAGCTAACACTGGCAACAAGGAGTATGAGGTAAAGAGCAGGAGGGGTCAGTTTAGGAGCTCCCTTTAGGCATCCCCAGAGGCTCCCAGGAATAACTGGGTAAGATCTTTGTGGGGATCTGGAGGTCCTAAGAAGCAGAACAAGGAAGCAAAGCATGAGTGAAATCTGGGTGTTGCTGTGAATGTGACTCCATCTGTACACAAAGGCTGGTAAGGCCTAGAGCACCATGGGCCTGACCATCCAATACAATTATAAAGAACGACAAGAAATGAATTTATGATCATAGAATACTGCGGAACAGTGCAAGTCCCTTATATTAGAAGTAAGAGCCCTGAGACTCAGAGAGAAGGTTCATCTGGAACCCATCATTCCATCCTCAAACTTATCATTTGAGCCACCATTCAAATATGCAAATCAGATAAGGTTACTCCCAAGCTTCAACTATGATATGGTTTGGCTGTGTCCCCACCGACATCTCATTTTGTAGTTCCCATAACCCCACGTGTCATGGGAGGGACCCAGTGGGAGGTAACTGAATCATGGAGGTGGCTACCCTCATGCTGTTCTCGTGATAGTGAGTTTTCATGAGATCTGATGGTTTAATAAGCATCTGGCATCTCCCCTGCTGGCACTCATTCTCTCTCCTGCTGCCCTGTGAAGAGGTTCCTTCTGCAATGACTGTAAGTTTCCCGACATCTCCCCAGCCATGCAGAACTGTGAGTCAATTAAACCTCTTTTCTTTATAAATTACCCAGTTTCAGGTATTTCCTTATAGCTGCATGAGAACAGACTAATACAAACTCCTAAATTCAAATGGTCAGACTGGCATTTAAGGAACTTTCTGCTCCAGCTCTTGCTCCACTGTATTCTGTTCCCATCCACCTGCACCCACACTGTCTCTCCCTTAGGCCTCTGCACATGGCCGTCGCTCATGCTACAATGCCCTAACCTCTATTCTTTAGCTGGCCAACTCCCATTTAATGACTTGCTCAGGCATTGCCATCCAAGGGTTGATGGGTGGGCCCTCTTTGGGGCTCTGAGACTTCACACACCCAGATGCATCATAGCTCTTGTCACCCTGTGACGTGGGTGCTGTTTGCATGTCTGGTATTCCCTGAGAGTGACTGGAGTTCTCCACATCCCCACACTGTTCTTGGTATACAGAGGATGGTCAAGAAATATGTTTGCTGCACAGAGATGGTGAGATATAAAACCAGGGCCTTAAAGTTGGGAGAGCTTTGGAGATCTTTATGTCTAGTCTCGTGGGGGTTTTCCCAGGATCATTTATACAACGGCAACCATCTGCCTAGGCATAGCTGTCTTCAAGATCCAAAATCACTACTTTTTGAGGCAGTTCACTCCTTTCAGGGACATGTGTAACCAACAGAAAACTATTCCCGCACTGAGCCAAAGTCTACCCCATTGGCCCTTCTTCTACCCTCCAGAGGCATGCAGAATAAATCTAACCTCTCTTCTACATGACAGCCCATTTTATCTGTGGAGACAGCAATTCTGTACCCTCTCCTCCAGAATAAACATCCTAGTTCCTCTAGTTCTTCCTTATATAAACTGAGTTTCAAGTTTTTTCTCCATCCTGACCACTCTTCTTTGAATGAGCTCCAATTTGAAACACTTAAAAATTTATACAGCTAAATAGAGAACCCCAGACTGACCCCAAAACACTGGGCTGCGGCTTGGAGTGTAGGTATCCCACAGCCCTCCCTCCTTTTTTCTAGGAATTCTCCTGCCAGCCTGGCCTCCAGTTGCCTCTGCTCTCTTGGCAGTTGGATTACATTCTTGATTCACATTGAGTGCACTGACACCTAAGCCCCAGGTCTTTGCCACACTTGCCACATCTCTTCTTCTAGGTTTATGAGGCTCGCTCTCTCTGTCTCCCTCTCTCTATTGAGACAGAGTTTAGCTCTTGTTGCCCAGGCTAGAGTGCAATGGCGTGATCTCAGCTCACTGCAACTTCCTCCTCCCAGGTTCAAGTGATTCTCCTGTCTCAGCCTCCTGAGTAGCTGGGATTACAGGCGGGTGTCACCACATCTGGCTAATTTTTGTATTTTTAGTAGAGATGGGGTTTCACTGTGTTGGCCAGGCTGGTCTTGAACTCCTGACCTCAGATGATCTGCTTGCTTTGGCCTCCAAAAGTGCTAGGATTGCAGGCATGAGCCACCATGTCTGGCCCTGCAGTTGGTTCTTCAGATCAAAGTGCAGACTCTACATATTTCCACTAGAGAACTTCCCACTGATTGCCATAATGGGTTAATCGGGACTTTTCACTCTATTGGCCCATTTCTATTGACCCACCTGTAGGTGTCACTAGGCAAGTTAGGAAACAAGTAAATGATTTTAAAGTCATCTTGAAAATCCTTTCAACAGATTCAAGAGACCTAAAAGACCATAAAAACAGCTTCCTACCCCAAATCACTAAAGAATAATAAACACTGGTTGTTACAAAGACATCTCTTTACTACTACCAAAATCTAAACTAGACTAATATCTAGAATTGAGTTTGAATTTCAGTAATAATGGGAAGAGATAAATGAAGACAAAATAGTAACCCAGACATCACTGGAGAGGGCATGTTTTCAATTGGAGCCATTGACAAAGACCTCTGGAGTAAAGAAGAAAAAAATCCTTTGAATATAATTTGGCATTTGTATGCTCTGCAGTCATTTCAGCATTAAAATAGTTCATACTGTCATTCATTTAAGCAAACTACTGTATCATAAATAGATTACAGTAACATATTAGATAATTTAAGTAGATATGACATTTAGTTAATACAGAGTACTACAGAATTTATTTTCCTGATGCCAACTTGCAGATCAAGTCAAAAACCATGTCATGTTTAGGTATTTGGCATGGTATATTTCTTTAATATAGATGAGGCATGATGCCAGTACTTTAGAAAGATTGCCACTAAAATACAGAGTTATTACTTGGAGGGACTGAATTGCTACATAAATTCAAATATAAAACTAAAAGGAATATCTCTGAGACAAAAAAAGAGCCTTTGAGAGTTTTGTTAAATAAAAATACAATGTGATAATTCACTGATCAAACATGTAGCATACTTACCTATGGAAATATGAAATAAAACTGTGGAATCTAGAATCTCAGGTGTGAGAAGTACCTTAAAGGTAAGCTATTTTAAACACCTTTTTGGTATTTGAGCTCATTACCTTTATTCATAGCCCTTAAATTGGTAAGGCTAATGTTCAGTTTTAATGTCTAAATACATACACATACTACATGCACATACCTAACCTTTATCTTTTAAAGATAAATATCAATCATACTAGTATTTTTGTCTTATATTGTGAGAGTAAAAGAAAATCTTAATTTGGGAAATATAGCACTAAAAATTTCTGGAAGGGAATTGGGCATGTGCTCTTCAGTGAGAAATGATTTTTGTTATAGTCCTCAAATCCACAATTTGCTGTAAATTCCAGGTTGACCTGTGTATGGCTTTTAGAAAACAACAGCGGTGGGGGAGTGGGAGGCAACTGGGGAAGGGAAGGGGATGGGAGAGGAGGGGAGGGAAGGGAAGGGAGAAGGTGTTAGTTAAATGTGCATGTTACACTACTTTATCTTTTCCACAGCCCTTGTCGTTATTGGAAATTAACTTATCCATTGGGTTTTGTGGGGATTTTTTGGTTTACTTTGTCTAGTCTAGCATTGATAACTGGGTTTTCCTTTGTTTCCAGACCTTGGCTTTACCCAAGTCCTCTACCAGAGCCCCTGCCTTAGGAGCCTGCTGAAAGTGTCACTCCTTGATAGATAGCTGCCTAGCTTCTGCAAGATCCCTCCAAGGAACCGGACTCAGGGGCCGAGGCCCTGCCTGCTACCTGACTTCTCCAATGCCAAGTTGCCTGCTGTATGCATCCCCCAACATGGCTGCCCAGTCCCCTGTTTCCACATCTTACCAGCCTGTGCAGAGGCTCCTACAGTCCATGCTGGTCCCAGATGCCTTTGTGTACCAGTGTGATTGCTGGTGTGCCCTTTTTCTGTGAGCCAGCTCTTTAAATTCAAGGACCTGGCCTTGCCTAGTCTGCTCCTCCTGACTGAATTCAGCTGAGCTATGCTTCTTGCTATCCAGAGACCAGAGAGCCACAGCTGAATTTCTGACTGCTTTGCTTTACTACCCTGCTAGTCTCCACTGGTCAATAGGCCTAAATACCAGATCAAGCAAGTGGCTTATTAGAAACAGTAAGAAGCAGAAAGTTTGACCACACTTGTAAAGTTAATTTCCTAGGGTATCGACCAAAGTAACCAAAGCACAAAATAAACTAAGAAAGTATTCCCATGCCACCTGTGAATCAAAACAGTTGAGTTGATGATAGCTGTCCCGAGGCTCCTGAGTTCTGACTTAACCTCACTCACCTCATCTGCCCCTTCACTGTGTGAGCTTAGATAACTCATTTAATCTCTCTAGGGTACACGTGAGGTCTCCACAAAACAGCAATAACACTATTCATTATGCCAAACTTATATAAGTGGTACGGCACTCTGAAATCTTAAGTGGAAGAGACTATGAAATGAGAAAATATATTCAATCCTACTTTTTTTTAAAATCAGAAAATAGAAGTATGTAATTGAAATCTAAATTTCCAAGTAATATCCTTAAACTTTTTTTCAAACAAATTATAAACTCCTACAAACCTATGTTTATAATAGAAACACTACCACATCCTTAACTACAGTGGTATAGGGAAAAACCACAAAATGCCACAGTAACATTTATTACCAAATGTGTACACAGTTAAACCTAAGAGAGAGAGAAAAGGTTAAAAAACAAAAACAAACAAACAAAAAACCACGAGACCTGTTAAAAGAACAAATGGAGATTTTGTGGCAGGAGTCCAGATTTCAAGTGAAAAGAGAAGACTCTCAGAAATGGCCCATGTTGCATTGCATATATGAAGGCGAAACAACCTTCATATCATATTCATTTATCTTAATAACAAACTGTATTAAAGGGAAAAAAATTTCCTCTTCAATAGATGTAAAGGATGCAAAATGAAAAGTGTTTGGTATTTATAATTGATCCACAGAAGATTATGGTTATTACTTTGTATCATATTGTATGGAATTGTATTACATTATATCTAAATACTTATTAGATTATATCTAAATATTATATCTAAAGCTAATCGTATAATGGGTTATTGTAAACCCCAGAACAAATAAAACTTGGTACTTTAGTTCTAAATTAAATATCTTGGAAAGTACAGGGCCTTTTCAGGAAACATCTAGGTTCAGATTATTTCCAAATATTATTTGCTTGACTGTAATCAGTGAAATCCCCTTGTCATGCAAAGAGGGCTCAAAATGTTGAGCAATTCACCTTTGAAAAATAAAACAGCCCGAGAGGAGGAGCCAAGATGGCCAAATAGAAACAGCTCCGGTCTACAGCTCCCAGCGTGAGCGACGCAGAAGACGGGTGATTTCTGCATTTCCATCTGAGGTACCTGGTTCATCTCACTAGGGAGTGCCAGACAGTGGGCGCAGGTCAGTGGGTGTGCGCACCGTGCGCGAGCCGAAGCAGGGCGAGGCATTGCCTCACTTGGGAAGCGCAAGGGGTCAGGGAGTTCCCTTTCCGAGTCAAAGAAAGGGGTGACGGACGCACCTGGAAAATCGGGTCACTCCCACCCGAATATTGCGCTTTTCAGACCCGCTTAAAAAACGGCGCACCACGAGACTATATCCCACACCTGGCTCGGAGGGTCCTACGCCCACGGAGTCTCGCTGATTGCTAGCACAGCAGTCTGAGATCACACTGCAAGGCGGCAGCGAGGCTGGGGGAGGGGCGCCCACCATTGCCCAGGCTTGCTTAGGTAAACAAAGCAGCCAGGAAGCTCGAACTGGGGGGAGCCCAACACAACTCAAGGAGGCCTGCCTGCTTCTGTAGGCTCCACCTCTGGGGGCAGGGCACAGACAAACAAAAAGACAGCAGTAACCTCTGCAGACTTAAATGTCCCTGTCTGACAGCTTTGAAGAGAGCAGCGGTTCTCCCAGTACGCAGCTGGAGATCTGAGAAGAGGCAGACTGCCTCCTCAAGTGGGTGCCTGACCCCTGACCCCCGAGCAGCCTAACTGGGAGGCACCCCCCAACAGGGGCACACTGACACCTCACACGGCAGGGTATTGCAACAGACCTGCAGCTGAGGGTCCTGTCTGTTAGAAGGAAAACTAACAAACAGAAAGGACATCCACACCAAAAACCCATCTGTACATCACCATCATCAAAGACCAAAAGTAGATAAAACCACAAAGATGGGGAAAAAACAGAACAGAAAAACTGGAAACTCTAAAAAGCAGAGGGCCTCTCCTCCTCCAAAGGAACGCAGCTCCTCACCAGCAACGGAACAAAGCTGGATGGAGAATGACTTTGACGAGCTGAGAGAAGAAGGCTTCAGACGATCAAATTACTCTGAGCTACGGGAGGACATTCAAACCAAAGGCAAAGAGGTTGAAAACTTTGAAAAAAATTAAGAAGAATGTATAACTAGAATAACCAATACAGAGAAGTGCTTAAAGGAGCTGATGGAGCTGAAAACCAAGGCTCGAGAACTACGTGAAGAATGCAGAAGCCTCAGGAGCTGATGTGATCAACTGGAAGAAAGGGTATCAGCAATGGAAGATGAAATGAATGAAATGAAGCGAGAAGGAAGTTTAGAGAAAAAAGAATAAAAAGAAATGAGCAAAGCCTCCAAGAAATATGGGACTATGTGAAAAGACCAAATCTACGTCTGATTGGTGTATCTGAAAGTGATGGGGAGAATGGAACCGAGTTGGAAAACACTCTACAGGATATTATCCAGGAGAATTTCCCCAATCTAGCAAGGCAGGCCAATGTTCAGATTCAGGAAATACAGAGAACGCCACAAAGATACTCCTCCAGAAGAGCAACTCCAAGACACATAATTGTCAGATTCACCAAAGTTGAAATGTAGGAAAAAATGTTAAGGGCAGCCAGAGAGAAAGGTCGGGTTACCCTCAAAGGGAAGCCCATCAGACTAACAGCGGATCTCTCAGCAGAAACCCTACAAGCCAGAAGAGAGTGGAGGCCAATATTCAACATTCTTAAAGAAAAGAATTTTCAACCCAGAATTTCATATCCAGCCACACTAAGCTTCATAAGTGAAGGAGAAATAAAATACTTTACAGACAAGCAAATGCTGAGAGATTTTGTCACCACCAGGCCTGCCCTAAAAGAGCTCCGGAAGGAAGCGCTAAACATGGAAAGGAACAACCTGTACCAGCCGCTGCAAAATCATGCCAAAATGTAAAGACCATCGAGACTAGGAAGAAACTGCATCAACTAACGAGCAAAATCACCAGCTAACATCATAATGACAGGATCAAATTCACACATAACAATATTAACTTTAAATGTAAATGGACTAAATGCTCCAATTAAAAGACACAGACTGGCAAATTGGATAAAGAGTCAAGACCCATCAGTGTGCTGTATTCAGGAAACCCATCTCACGTGCAGAGACACACATAGGCTCAAAATAAAAGGATGGAGGAAGATCTACTAAGCAAATGGAAAACAAAAAAAGGCAGGGGTTGCAATCCTAGTCTCTGATAAAACAGACTTTAAACCAACAAAGATCAAAAGAGACAAAGAAGGCCATTACATAATGGTAAAGGGATCAATTCAACAAGAAGAGCTAACTATCCTAAATATATATGCACCCAATACAGGAGCACCAAGATTCATAAAGCAAGTCCTGAGTGACCTACAAAGAGACTTAGACTCCCACACATTAATAATGGGAGACTTTAACACCCCACTGTCAACATTAGACAGATCAACGAGACAGAAAGTCAACAAGGATACCCAGGAATTGAACTCAGCTCTGCACCAAGCGGACCTAATAGACATCTACAGAACTCTCCACCCCAAATCAACAGAATATACATTTTTTTCAGCACCACACCACACCTATTCCAAAATTGACCACATACTTGGAACTAAGCTCTCCTCAGCAAATGTAAAAGAACAGAATTTATAACAAACTATCTCTCAGACCACAGTGCAATCAAACTAGAACTCAGGATTAAGAATCTCACTCAAAACCGCTCAACTACATGGAAACTGAACAACCTGCTCCTGAATGACTACTGGATACATAACAAAATGAAGGCAGAAATAAAGATGTTCTTTGAAACCAATGAGAACAAAGACACAACATACCAGAATCTCTGGGATGCATTCAAAGCAGTGCGTACAGGGAAATTTATAGCACTAAATGCCCACAAGAGAAAGCAGGAAAGATCCAAAATTGACACCCTAACATCACAATTAAAAGAACTAGAAAAGCAAGAGCAAACACATTCAAAAGCTAGAAGAAGGCAAGAAATAACTAAAATCAGAGCAGAACTGAAGGAAATAGAGACACAAAAACCCTTCAAAAAATCAATGAATCCAGGAGCTGGTTTTTTGAAAGGATCAACAAAATTGATAGACCGCTAGCAAGACTAATAAAGAAAAAAAGAGAGAAGAATCAAATAGACGCAATAAAAAATGATAAAGGGGATATCACCACCGATCCCACAGAAATGCAAACTACCATCAGAGAATACTGCAAACACCTCTACGCAAATAAACTAGAAAATCTAGAAGAAATGGATAAATTCCTCGACACATACACCCTCCCAAGACTAAACCAGGAAGAAGTTGAATCTCTGAATAAACCAATAACAGGAGCTGAAATTGTGGCAATAATCAATAGTTTACCAACCAAAAAGAGTCCAGGACCAGATGGATTCACAGCCGAATACTATCAGAGGTACAAGGAGGAACTGGTACCATTCCTTCTGAAACTATTCCAATCAACAGAAAAAGAGGGAATCCTCCCTAACTCATTTTATGAGGCCAGCATCATTCTGATACCAAAGCTGGGCAGAGACACAACCAAAAAAGAGAATTTTAGACCAATATCCTTGATGAACATTGATGCAAAAATCCTCAATAAAATACTGGCAAAACGAATCCAGCAGCACATCAAAAAGCTTATCCACCATGATCAAGTGGGCTTCATCCCTGGGATGCAAGGCTGGTTCAATATACGCAAATCAATAAATGTAATCCAGCATATAAACAGAGCCAAAGACAAAAACCACATGATTATCTCAACAGATGCAGAAAAAGCCTTTGACAAAATTCAACAACCCTTCATGCTAAAAACTCTCAATAAATTAGGTATTGATGGGACGTATTTCAAAATAATAAGAGCTATCTATGACAAACCCACAGCCAATATCATACTGAATGGGCAAAAACTGGAAGCATTCCCTTTGAAAACTGGCACAAGACAGGGATGCCCTCTCTCACCACTCCTATTCAACATAGTGTTGGAAGTTCTGGCCAGGGCAATTAGGCAGGAGAAGGAAATAAAGGGTATTCAATTAGGAAAAGAGGAAGTCAAATTGTCCCTGTTTGCAGATGACATGATTGTATATCTAGAAAACCCCACTGTCTCAGCCCAAAATCTCCTTAAGCTGATAAGCAACTTCAGCAAAGTCTCAGGATACAAAATCAATGTACAAAAATCACAAGCATTCTTATACACCAATAACAGACAAACAGAGAGCCAAATCATGAGTGAACTCCCATTCACAATTGCTTCAAAGAGAATAAAATACCTAGGAATCCAACTTACAAGGGATGTGAAGGACCTCTTCAAGGAGAACTACAAACCACTGCTCAAGGAAATAAAAGAGGATACAAACAAATGGAAGAACATTCCATGCTCATGGGTAGGAAGAATCAATATCGTGAAAATGGCCATACTGCCCAAGGTAATTTACAGATTCAATGCCATCCCCATCAAGCTACCAATGACTTTCTTCACAGAATTGGAAAAAACTACTTTAAAGTTCATATGCAACCAAAAAAGAGCCCGCATCACCAAGGCAATCCTAAGCCAAAAGAACAAAGCTGGAGGCATCACACTACCTGACTTCAAACTATACTACAAGGCTACAGTAACCAAAACAGCATGGTACTGGTACCAAAACAGAGATATAGATCAATGGAACAGAACAGAGCCCTCAGAAATAATGCCGCATATCTACAGCTATCTGATCTTTGACAAACCTGAGAAAAACAAGCAATGGGGAAAGGATTCCCTATTTAATAAATGGTGCTGGGAAAACTGGCTAGCCATATGTAGAAAGCTGAAACTGGATCCCTTCCTTACACCTTATACAAAAATCAATTCAAGATGGATTAAAGACTTAAACGTTAGACCTAAAACCATAAAAACCCTAGAAGAAAACCTAGGCATCACCATTCAGGACATAGGCATGGGCAAGGACTTCATGTCCAAAACACCAAAAGCAATGGCAACAAAAGACACAATTGACAAATGGGATCTAATTAAACTAAAGAGCTTCTGCACAGCAAAAGAAACTACCATCAGAGTGAACAGGCAACCTACAAAATGGGAGAAAATTTTCGCAAGCTACTCATCTGACAAAGGGCTAATATCCAGAATCTACAATGAACTCAAACAAGTTTACAAGAAAAAAACAAACAACCCCATCAAAAAGTGGGCAAAGGACATGAACAGACACTTCTCAAAAGAAGACGTTTATGCAGCCAAAAAACACATGAAAAAATGCTCATCATCACTGGCCATCAGAGAAATGCAAATCAAAACCACAATGAGATACCATCTCACACCAGTTAGAATGGCAATCATTAAAAAGTCAGGAAACAACAGGTGCTGGAGAGGATGTGGAGAAATAGGAACACTTTTACACTGTTGGTGGGACTGTAAACTAGTTCAACCATTGTGGAAGTCAGTGTGGCGATTCCTCAGGGATCTAGAACTAGAAATACCATTTGACCCAACAATCCGATTACTGGGTATATACCCAAAGGACTATAAATCTTGCTGCTATAAAGACACATGCACAGGTATGTTTACTGCAGCATTATTCACAATAGCAAAGAATTGGAACCAACCCAAATGTCCAACAATGATAGACTGGATTAAGAAAATGTGGCACATATACACCATGGAATACTATGCAGCCATAAAAAATGATGAATTCATGTCCTTTGTAGGGACATGGATGAAATTGGAAATCATCATTCTCAGTAAACTATCGCGAGAACAAAAAACCAAACACCGCATATTCTCACTCATAGGTGGGAACTGAACAATGAGATCACATGGACACAGGAAGGGGAATATCACACTCTGGGGACTGTGGTGGGGTGGGGGGAGGGGGGAGGGATAGCATTGGGAGATATACCTAATGCTAGATGATGAGTTAGTGTGTGCAGCGCACCAGCATGGCACATGTATACATATGTAACTAACCTGCACAAGGTGCACATGTACCCTAAAACTTAAAGTATAATAAAAAAAAAAAGAAAAAGAAAACAGCCCTTTGAATGTAAAATAGAAAATAAAATAACATAAAAATGAAAGCAAGTTATATGGTCTATATGCCATCTTAAGTTTAAAATCATATTCATGTTTTTATAAAATAAAGCACTGAAAAAAATCAGCTTTAATTTTTTCAACTCATCATAAAATGAAGAAAATTCCACATGTAATCTACTAACTCTCATTCCCCAGTACCATTCCTTTTTATTTTAAATGGAAACAATCTATTGGACTTTTGGAGTTCTCCGTATCTTTGTCACAACTCACAAGCTGAAAAAACTTAATTGAGGTTTCAACCAACGGTAGAGCAGTGTGCAAGTTTATCCACACCATTTTGTGGAAAATCAAGCACACTGCCTCCTATTGGATGAAAATCTAAAACCTCCTTAACAAATACAAGCTAAGAGACCTTCAGAAGGTTCGGCTGCAGTGCAAGCAGAAAGCTGCTGCAAACCAACCCACTCTGATCCCTTTTGTAAGTTTATATTTTGCCAGGAACATTTCTATTTGACCTGTACTCCCATTCCAACCCCAAATTCTTTAGATGGAGGAACACAAAGTAGATTACCTGAATTATTATAAAACGTGATCCTGGATGGAGATAATGAGTTTTAAAACAAAGCAAAATACTAATGATGTCTGATGGAGCCAGTCACCTTGACTAAGCATTAAAGTTTAGTTCAGGCAAAAGCTTCCAGTTACCTGCACTACTCAGAAGCAACTTACAAAAAAAAATAAAGACTGGTAAATCAAATTGATAATGCAAATCCAGGGGAAAGCTGTTTCTGGTGGTGGTAAATTACATCACTTGGACCAGATTTCCCAGTGAGAACAACTGGAAAAGAACATATAAAAATCATTCCTTTGAAGGCACAGGAAAGCTAACAAGATAGTGATAAATTACCAGGTCAAGAGCCAGGGGACAATGGAGGCCCAAGAAAGACGAACCCTGAGTTTAAGGCTGCCTTTTCCTCTGTGGTCATTAGCTATGTGGCCTGCAACACTGAGCCTTCACTTATTCACCATCTCACACTATGACTTGCACTTATTTATATATTTCCACATAAGGGGAAGTATGGGCCATGAAAGTACATTGGATTACAAGTCAGAAGACCTAGACTGTGGCTTTATGTCTCTGAGAAAATTTAAGCTTTAAACATAAGCTTAATGTCTCTGGGAAAATTATTTTAGTTCTCTGTATCTCAGTTCCCTCATCAGTAAAAAACCAGGACAATATTTTCCTTGCCAGATGCTTACTAAGATTTAATGAGACATATTTAGCAAATGTAGGTAGTTATTCCCATACCATTATTCTTACTTGTGAGAGTTCTCTCTAAAGTTTATCTTTTCTGTGCGGGTTCACTTGAATAACAGCAGCAGAAATAGCAGCAACAGCAACAGAAGTAAAAACTATTTTGGGGCCGGGCACAGTGGCTCACGCATGTAATCCCAGCACTTTGGGAGGCCGAGGCAGGTAGATCACAAGGTCAGGAGTTCGAGACCAGCCTGGCCAAGACGGTGAACCCTCGTTTTGTATTTTGTAAAACTACAAAAATTAGTTGGGTGCAGTGTCAGGTGCCTGTAATCCCAGCTACTCAAGAGGCTGAGGCAGGAGAATCGCTTAAACCCCAGAAGCGGAGGTTGCGGTGAGCTGAGATCGCATCACTGCACTCTAGCCTGGGCAACAGAGCAAGACTCCATCCAAAAAAAAAAAAAAAACCTATTTCAGACCTCTTATGTGCTGAGAATCTTACAAATATTATTTCAATTAATTCTCTCGACTACCCTATGAGTGGGTATTATAACTTCCAACTGAGGATTTAGATGTAAGGTACTTCACTGAAAATGTCATAATTATTAAAAGTGGGAGCTGTAATATAATCCAGGACTATATAGCTGTAAATACCACACTTGACCACTGTGGCCCAGAGCCCGTCTTTCCCATTTCGTTATGTTTGTCTTTCAATCTGTTATCATTAGATCTGCTTAGGCTCCTTTTACTTTACTGGGCTTCAGAAATGACTTCTTCCCCTAGAAGATTCATGGTCATAATTAACATATTCGCAGAACCAAAATTTAAATCAGCTTCTTTATCCAAATGAATAACTTGCATATAATTAAATGAGATTTTACTGCATAATAAAAAAAAAGCACAATGCTCTGTGCCAGTTTGGTTGGGCGAAACTTTTACAAGAGTCCACCAAAGCTTTTAGCACCTTCATAGACTACTGTAACTGACATTATGGTTATAGCCTTTGGACACCATGGCTCTCGAAAACATAACAATGGTCAGACATGATTCTAATGAATCTGAAGTACAAACACTCATTGCAGGCACTCATCATTGAGAATACTTGGAGCAGCTACTCCTATTATCAAGACATACAACACAAGGGGTCACATAAGACTCCTCAGGTGCCCATATATTTGACAGAGTCTGGGGAAAACTTTATTGCCACCTAGGACAAGAGAAGAACCATGTGAGTAAGCTAAAGGTACCAACTCCTCTCCTGACAATGATGTGTCCTTAATAATCTCAAAGAACAAGGAATGACTGAACTCAGGGAAAAACGTGTCTAAAAATACATGAAACCACTGATTTAAGTGAAAAGCAGTACAGGTTTCTTTTCTTTCTTTTTTTCTCTCCTCTCTTTAATTACTTTGGATTTTTCAGGACCACCCAGAAACTTCACTATTTTAAGACATGGCTATTTATTTCTCTCTTGATCAAGACCGCCAATGGATATGAAACAGTTCCAGAAGGTCCATATGCTAGATTTCTATTTCTATTTTCTTCAAATAGAAATCAAGTCTGGAGAAAAAAAATATTTAGAATTGCATCTGGAATGACAGAGCTGCACATCATTCAATGTTAGTGTCAATTTTCACAGCTATCAAGCTAAGATAACAGTAGGGGAGCAGCACAAATCTCAAAACTGTAGAGTAATAGTGATGAAGTAGTATGTTTACCCACACATTCATCCTAATTTTAAATATCATTGTCTATCAAATAAAGTTTAAATTTGAGTCTATACAGTCATTTATTTTAAAAATATTTATTTAGAGCCAACTAGCACAAGACACACTAAATACTATGGGGGGTTTTTTTCTTCCAAAAAGGTGAATCAGATATGGATCCTACCTTGAAGTAGCTGACACTCAAGTGATAATATAAGAATATAGGCCGGGCGCGGTGGCTCACGCCTGTAATCCCAGCACTTTGGGAGGCCGAGGCGGGCGGATCACAAGGTCAAGAGATCAAGACCATTCTGGCCAACATGATGAAACCCCGTCTCTATTAAAAGTACAAAAATTAGCTGGGCGTAGTGGCGCACGCCTGTAATCCCAGCTACTCGGGAGGCTGAGGCAGGAGAATCGTTTGAACCCGGGAGGCAGAGGTTGCAGTGAGCCGGGATTGTGCCAGTGCACTCCAGCCTGGCGACAGGGTGGGACTCCATCTCAAAAAAAAAAAAAAAAAAAAAAAAGAATATATACAAAAATATAATGATGTAGAAAATGGAATGTACTTAGAGAAGTACAGTAAAGTGCTTTAGTAATTATTTGTTTTAGCTCTCATGCCCTAGCCTCATCCTAGAATAATATGAAGAATTATTTGTCAAATAAAAGTTATTCATGACAGAAAGATCTATACAATACTGTAAATACAAATAATATAAAACTTCCCCAACAGTTTTGTACAAAAATTAATTATATAGCTTGAGTTTGTTTTAGTGTTATATGAAGCAAGCCATGAGTTGATTAAATGTGCCAGCATTTTTCTGGTATACGCTTAAGCACATGCACATATAACTACAAAATATAAATCTACATTTATCCTTGTTAAATAGATTGGAGAAGAGTAAAAATTCAGTATGATCAGGCACTCATCATTGAGAATACTTGGAGCAGTCACTCCTATTATCCAAAGTTACTCCATTGAGTCAGACTGTTCATTTTTGTTAGGCCCCTTAGTGTGGGTTCAAATCTTGCCTCTGTTATTTTCTAGATATGTGGCCTTGGACTCATTTCCTCATCTATAAATTGGAACTAATAGTCCTGAGACAAAGATAAAAGCCCGAGTAGTTGACTTGAGAGCAGAGCCAAGAAGTGCCAATGGGGAGTGGCAAAACGTGATGAAAAGTGGAGAAAAAGCAATAAAGGGTGTATGCTGTTGAGCGGCAACGGGTGCTCACTCCTGCCAGAGAACTCTGGAGGATGGTGTATAACATAACTCTCACACTTACCCTGCATAAAGGATGAGGGAACCTGGGCATTAATCTACTAAGTCTATCAGTCATTGGCTGAGCATGGTGGCTATGTAGCCTCTGCCAAACAGGGATAGCCCTCAGGCAAAAAACTGCAGGTGTTGAGCAGGTGGAAGCATTCAGGAATGGTGAGAGGTTAAGAGATAGGAATGGGACATGCACAGCATGTGCTACCACTGCCTACTTCAAAGGGACATGGTGAGGATTAAATGAAATAACATATGAAAAGTCCTTGATCAATGCCTAGCACATAATAATGCTCAATAAAAGTTAATTTTCTTATATTCCTTTGGCATATCTTATTTGGGTGTGTGTTTAACTCTTCTCCCATTTTCTTTACAAAATAGAGAAATCTAGTTAGTGAAGTTCACTGGACTTAGTTCTAAGACTGCTAACCAATGTTTATGACCTTGACTTCAGACCCAATAGGTTAGAAAGGAACTAACAACTGCCGTTAAACAATACAAGCTAGATTTTTATTTCTCAGGCAGCTGGGGAGTTTCACCACTCCAAATGCAAAAAATGAAACATATTCCTGTTAACACTGTTAGTGATTTCATCCACAAATTCTTATTCATTGTTGTGGGTGAGAAGATCTGTGTTCATTCGGTTCTCACAAACTACTTATCAGTGAGATCTAAACCTAAATTTCCTATGTTAGGCAATAGACCAAATTTAAAATGATACCAATAGAGACTCAGTCTTGACTACTTCTCACTGTTTATACATGGCTTTCTCTTCAAAAAGCAACAACTGGTAAGATTTTTCCTATTTATTGTATATGAAATGTGCTTCTAGTCAAAAACACCTACTCCAAGATAGGAAGTCATGGACTTGCCTTTTTCTATAACTTCCTGTCCCCAATTCAAACCACTCATAAATTCCCTCTTGATTAAAACAAGACTACAGTGATAATTTCTTTACTCTGTGCTTACAAATGTGTTCCATCAACTCTTTTTTTTTTTTTTTTTTTTTTTTGGAGATGAAATTGCTCTGCTGCCCAGGCTGGAGTGCAGTGGTGCAATTTTAGCTCACTGCAACCTCTGCCTCCCGGGTTCCAGTGATTCTCCTGCCTCAGCCTCCCAAGTAGCTGGGATTACAGGTGCCTGCCACCGCACCAGGCCAATTTTTGTATTTTTAGTAAAGATGGGGTTTCACCATCTTGGCCAGGCTGGTCTTGAACTCCTGACCTCATGATCTACCCGCCACAGCCTCCCAAAGTGCTGGGATTACAGGTGTGAGCCACCGCGCCCGGCCTATGTTCCATCAATTATAGGACATTTCTCCCCCACATCTCAGAAGTAGGGTTGTGTCTTATACTCAGTGGCATATAATAACTTCTGGCTTTCAGGTTCCGGTCATGCTATAGTTTTCATTGCCTGAGCATGTACAGCCTTTATCTTAGCAGTTCATATTATGTCACGTCCACTGACTTGTGTGCAATGTTAATACTCCTCAATGAATTAATTACCATTTAAATTATCTTTTAAAACCACACCATGACTTATCATTGAGCAAAAAAGTTACTGTGTGCACAGAAAGGTATGGAAATAGTGTAGTTAGAAGTATAAAGTTGAACTGAGTGAGGCAAACATTCATGACTGAAGAATGACAGCAATTTCATATTTTCTCACAAAGCAAAAGCTAAGCTGAAAGCTTTCCAGGATGTGAGACAAGAAAATACATCCAGATAGAATAAACTGTGTTATGCTTTGTTACTGAAAGACACGCACAGAGATCACTAACCTATGTCAAGGTCAAGCAATACAACTAAGCTCAGGAAAAACTGGCAAATCCCTGAAATAGATGTGGTTTAATTAATTAATGTATCATGTAGGACTATTGTGAGAGCATTAAACATCAATTTGCCTAAAATTTCTTGCTGACTTTGAACAGAGGCTTCTTAACTTCAGGCAACGTACAGTTCAACTGAGGAGGAAAAATGAAGTTTTGAGTTTAGTCGAAAAGGAAAGTTTTTGAAAGGATATAAGAGGCTCAGAAAAAAGAAATCATGAAGGCAACAGTGGCACACCCAAGAAATGCCGCATCAACAATGCTCGTTATAGTACACGGGAGGGACAATGCTACATGGAAAAACACAGCGATGAGCTGTAGTTTAATGACTTGCCATGATTTAGGGGAATCAAACTTTGAATGTGAAGAAGTTTCAGGGATACCTTACTCAGTTTATGTTGCTTGTATCTTTCTTCTTATTCAGGCACAAGAGTAATGTATGATAAAATGTATGTCTAAATAAGTCTAAGAGAGCTCTTTCAAAAACAAAAATAAAAGTAAGGGATAAAACTATTACATCATAGTTTAATTGGCAGTGTCTGGTTTTTTTTTCCTGATTCGTCCACAAAGCAATGCCATAACTTAGAGTAGATGGCATTGTTGTCATACAGTGGCAATAGTAACTACCAATTCTTGGATGCCTGTCACATGCCAGGCACCATTACTTGGAACTTCATGTACTTTATCTCAATTAGTCCTTACAAAGCCTTAAGATGTATATATAGAGTGTCCTCGTGAAACATGCACACCTTTGAAAAGTAGATGCCAAATGGGGTCATGCATCTAATGCAGTTTTTACAGCATTTAGCACCACTGTATTATTATTGTTGTTATTATTATTGTCTTCCAAAGGATATCAGTAATTAAGAACCAAAACCCTGAATCTGAAATGATAGTGAAGATAACCCAGGGAAACTCAATGTGTGGTTTAATTCATTGAGACCAAACAAGCAACGCCATTTTTAGTTACTTTGTGTAAGCAACATAATTTGGATATATATTTGCATATCTTATTGAAGAAGAAAAAACTTATTCTATATTTTTCTCACTCGATGTGTTTTATGTTACAGTAAATCATTTACAGTACCCAAAGCTAGCAAAGGCTGGATTCTGTTGTTTAACTTTTTTAAAGTACAGGAAACTCCCTGTAACAGCTCCCATCCTAACCCTGTGAAAGGGGTGAGCCTGTGGTTCTGAGCACCTCAGAAATGGCCATTTCCTCACTCTGTACAGACTATGTTTTCCATCAAACTCCAGTCACCCCTTGATGAGAAAGGCACTAAAGAACCATATTCATTAACTTTCTTAATATCATGTTCCCCTTCTGTACTGTTTGTTTGCTGGTTCAGTAAGAATATAAAAAGAAAGCAACCTGAAATCAAATCCGAATGGCCACTCTCACCTCTCCAAAGCAGAACCAGTCCTTGGGGAATAGTCTAGTTCACCACCGTACAGATAAGGAAACCAATACTCCGTGAGTTCCACCACTTGCTAAGGACACAGAGCTAGTTAAGTATTTGTTCCAAAAGGGATTTGAACCCCAGTCTGACCTAATTCTGTTCAACTGATATGCCACAGTTTATATTTTGCAACTATTAGCTTTTAGGTTGCTTTCAGTGCTTCATAATTCAAATTCTAAATGTAAACATTATGGTACCAAATGGATTTTAGGTTACTGCTTTTAGTGCATTAAGTTAGATGACTGATGCCAAGTACAAGATTAGTTTTATGATTGACATTTTCCTAGAGGACTCTCAGGAAAGACCATATCACAAATAAGTGGGTATGTCGATTTCACCATATGTCTGTCAGCACTATATATTAACAAATTTGGCTAAATCAATATAGGTGAAGTGTACCTAACAGTTGCTTTCACTTGTATATATTCATCACTGGTAAGATTGGAAATTTTTGTGTATATTGACTTGAATTATGAGGATATGTGAATGAACATGTATGTGAATATTTATTTATGGTGGTTTGACTATAATCTATCTATATCTTTTAGCATCTGTACAGGAGAGACCAGGTTTTGTTCTTATAAAACCCAAAAATATTTGAGGTATCTTAGAAAAAGGGGAGGGGTGTGGAAACAGAGGTAGTATACTTCCTTTTCAAAAAATGATTAAAAACTACACAGTTATTGGACAAGCATCTGTAATTATGTGAGACATTATGAAAATACATGGAGTATCAAGCAATACTTGTATACAACTATATGTTTAATTGCTTTAATTCTGTGGGAATGTAGAATATTTCCTTATATTTATTAGAATATAGGACAAGTACATATAATAATTTTAGAGTACTTAATGAGAAATAAATTGCATCACACCATCCAAGTGAAATTCACAAGAGAATGGGAAGCCAGAATAAAGAGGGAGGAAATGAACATTGATTTACTTCTTAAAGAGAATAGAGAATAGATGGAAGGGTAGACAGGAGACACAATTTTAAGTGAAGAAAAAATCCTTCTTCGCTCTGGCTTGATGGAAGAAGCTGTGTACCCATGGTTCACATTTCCCAGAATGAAGGGGGTAGCCGGGGAGTCACATAAAATGAGCTTTAGAAATGAGATATGGTAGAGCCAAGTGACTGAAGGTACTCAATGCCTGGCACTGGAGTTCAATCTGAACAGGGGCCAAAAGAGCCATGTAAAGTATGTACACAGGTGTGTGATGGGAGAGCACTGGGCTGTGAGTCCAGCAAAGGTGTGAGGGGCACACCAATGCAGAGACATGGGCAAAAAGGCTACTTCGGATGCCAACACAGAAAGTCAGGTGGAAAAACAGGGCCTGAGCCAAGGGGCGTTTCCAGAAAGATTTCCAAATGAACAACAGCGGGCCAGGGAGATGAACTGAACACGGAGATTCAGGGAGACACAGAGCCACATGTTGTGGTCCACAGCACAGCGGGCGTGCTGCTTTTAAAGGAACGAAGGCCAGCAATTTCCATGTATATGTTTCTAAAACAATGTACTGTCACAGAAAGGTCAAAATCATCTCTTTGTAATTAGCAGACTCAAACTAGGTCAGGGAAAAGTATTTTAAGAAAACTAAACTAATATAAACACACCTCTAGCCAGGAATAAAATTGGTAAGCATTATGAAGTTGATGATGATCACTATTTTCCTCACTGTGATTGTTTGAATTTAATTATTACCTTATTCACATTTAAATCCTACTTTATTTCACAGAGGATTTGAAAAGGCATACAGAGAAAGTGATGCTTCAATTAATTCTTTATTTGTTTTTTTAGTCTCCTTATTTTAAAATGCATAAATACCAAATGTGTCCATTAAAGCACCATTCAATATTTGATGTAAAGAAAGTTTTTTAAAGTACACATCACAACTTGTGCATTGTATTCTACTTGACTTCTATCCTATACTATATTCTACAGTATTTCAACTATTTCAATTTTTCAAAACAGCAAGAAAACCATCAGAAAGCCTCTAAGATATACCATATTCAACTGTAGTGAGGCAGAATATTATACAATTAAGTAATATCAGTTGCATCTCACTAGCAGCAACACAGGGTATGTGGTCATTATAACATGAAACTAGTTCTTTCATGTTTATCTTGCTGGCTAAGATCATGGGAATTACCAAAATATTTACTTTCTGCACTGTGTTCCCATAGACAGTTATAATTGGGATGATACTTTAACAGTCACAAAGGCAGACTTAATACTGACACCAGACTTCCTCTTTTTGTTTGCCTTTTAAGAAGAGGTCATTAATAACGGCAATGATTAGCCATCGCAGTCATCACTCAACCCAGACAGCAAGCACAATGGCCCTTACATTAAACCTGACCTATGACGTAGAAGTCTTTAAACCTTGTAAGTGAGCTTTGATAATTCCCTCCACACAATAGCATTTCCTATTATAAACATCTGTTTTCTCACATGAACCATGCTGAACATGTTATAAATAAGTTTCTCTTTCCATATCAGTTTGTAAAAGGGATAATCAATCAAAAAATAAGGCTGAAGGCCCAAGTCTCCTTCCCCCACTGATGTAAATTTCCATCCTAACTTTCCCAGGGGATTTTTAAGTTCAGTACTAGGGAAGGTAACTATTAAACCCTTAAGAACACAGTAAAGCTTTCCTTCTTCAAATTATAGATAATATCTAGTAAAGACATTGAACGTACTTTAAAAGAAAAGAAACAGGCATAATGCTATACAATGTGCTAATATTCCTTCCAACTCTGGGATTCTATGCAATCAGGTCCCCAAACCAGTGCACTATTGCTCTTTTCATTAGAGATTCCTCTGGAGTCAGGTGAGCATAAATGAATATTAGAACAGACATCTGATACAGGCAGTTTTGGAAATATCAAAACTGCTCCTTCTTGTTCTCTTGCCATAAGCTGGATGAAGAATCTTAGTCATTTAAGCTGTTTACTAAGATAATGAGAAGGAGATTTGTACAGAGATCAGGAAGGGCAAAGAGGATTCATCTACATACCAACTCTAAGTGACAGTGACCACCTAGAATGCTGTATTCAAAAGGATTCTGAGACCACGTGCAGGCTCAACAGAAAAAAATTAATCATGGTTACAATGTTTACCAAGGCCACATGGGGGAATAGGAACAGCATCACTTGTGCCAGCTTCTTGCCTCTCTTATATGCATACATCTCCCCAGAGAAGTTTCTTGTTCCTAAAAGTGTCTGGTTATTGCACATCTGAACAGGCTGAACCTAGGATATCACAAATAGGTACTGCAAATGCAAACACCATGGTATAACTTAATGTCAGTATCCTACCCTAATTTCATTAGTGTGTTAAAATGTGCTGAGGTGGTCAACTCAACTGATAAGATGTTTTTTCTCTTGACGACTGATAGTGCTATGCAACAGAACTTTCTGCAATAACGGAAATGTCCTATATCTGGGCTATCCAATGTGGTAGCCACTCATTCACATGTGGCTATTGGGTAGCTGAAATACAGCCAGTGTGTTCTTATTTCTTTTTATTTAAATTCACATGACAAGGGGCTACCATATTAGGCAGCACAGGACTAGAATGTTTGCTTGCAATGTTAAAGTAAATCCACAAAGGATTGGCTCTAAGTCTGTTTTGCTTAGTGAGGTATGCTATGTGCCTAGAACACTGCCTAAGACATAGTATGTGCTAAGATCTTCATTGAATGAATAAATGAGTAAAGAGATTTGTCCTATCAGGCCATCCTGAAGTATGGATGGTTTTGCATCTTTTGGCTTCTGTGCAGCATGATTAGAGGGAGATGTGTATAATACCACAATTCAACACTCTCTCAGACTCAAACCAGTAACACAGCCCTCACTGAGCTTAGCAGATAAAGTATTTTCCATAGAACTTCAAGCAGACAGAGGGTCAATCGAGACATGTTTAAATTCTGCATTGAGAATTCAAATACCCTGAAATATCTCCAGCCCCTAACCTGAAAGATATGAAAACAATTTATTTTAAAATTGCCCAATCTGATACTCTGCTAGAACATTATTTTGGGTGACACTTCTTTATCATCACAGGAAGATGGTAGAGACAATACTAGGTTATCAAACGGAACCAAGTGTAAGAGCTTTTTTAGGAGACACCAAATAGAATACTTAATGTTCTTCTGTCATGAAAAGGGGTATCCCCACAAAAACACATCTGGCCCATATAACTTTGAGCACTTTTAAAAATTTACATATACCAGCATTTATTTGCCCCAAAATAGTATTGAGGAGTGACAAAAATGGAAAGGCATCATTAAAGAGACAGATCACAGACAACGATTAATTCTGCTCCAAATGAAATGGCATTTTAAACAAAATACTGACAATATAGTGTGGAGAACATTACTTTTCATCAGCAATAGCACATTCTAAATATTTTTGCATTGTGAACCTGATGTCATTAGGGAGAAAACACTCCACGGTTGGCTATTGCATTTAGGCTGCCTTTTAACACATACCATCAAAATAACAACAAATCATTACACAGTGCTGTCTGAAACATAAACAAAACATCTTCTGAGCACTTTCTTTTACCTCTCAATACTTGTGGGGACATGTGACCTTGAGCTGAGAGGCTCTTCTGAAAATGTCGTCCACATGTCTAAAGTTTTCCCTCTCACACATGTACTCTGCCATCCACCCTCAACCAAACCATCTAAATTACATTCAGATTTTTGTGGTATCATAATAACTTCAATATGGGATATATTTTCAACATTCTGGTAAGAGAGTCCTTTCTTCCCTGCCTCACCCTTCTTCCAAGTTATTTCAGGTTTGCATATTTCATTTTCACAACTCAGTGGGATACCCATCACATAACATTTATTTGTGAGGTCTAAAGGCATAATGTGGGGGATTGTGAACTAGCATGTCAAAACCACATACTGCATGCGTATGTCTTAAAGAATGAAAAAGGTTTCCTTTTTTCTCAAGATGTATAAGCTGTCTCAACAGTATAAGTCCGAAGTGAATACCACAACCTAATTAAAGATGAAGAGCATAACAAGCAGTATTAAAATGTCTTTTTTGATTCATTCTTCTCCAAGTTATGTTTTTATCAAATGTTTTGTCTCATTAATGACTCCAAAGACATAATGAGTATACATACCTTCTAATCTCACCGAATTCAGAAGAGAGTTGAAAGAATTTTCTTCTACATGTTTTGGGGGCTATGACAGCAGAGAATGTACAGGCAGGGTAGAAAGGGGCTTTCAGGAGAGACTAAGTCCATTCACCTGCCTACAGGGATAAGCATGCTTACATATTCCCAGATAAATAAGACTTTTTAAAGATCTCTCAAGTAAGAAATACCACAATCTCTTCTGGGTACCAATTCCTACATTTAGAACATTTATTTCTAGGAAAGTCTTCCTTTGAGTCTAACCATGCTTCAGGGCCAGCTTCATGAGCATTCAAGCTCTGCAGTCACAAAGGGGCTCATGCTCAGAAGGACAACCTGCCAGCCCTGCCTGGCTTAATGTTTTGTTGTCACCATCTTGAAATTTTTAATAATTTTACCTCTGAATTTGTGTTTCCTAAGTGAACTCTGATGGAGCAATGAAGCACGTGTATAAAAAGGGAAGATATATGCAGTATGCATGCCCCCTTTCTCCTTTCTGTCTCATTCACATGTAGCCCCATGAGCTCTGAATTCCTGTGGCCCCATGATGAGTAGGGGTTCAGGGAGACTCAAAGCAACTACAAGGAAGGCATGTTATGTCTAGACTGATTAAGTGGGGACACTGGTAGCCCTGAGAGGCTTTCCATGAGAACCAGACATATTTTGAATAAAGAAGGAAGGCAACAGAGTTCAAAGCAACAGGAATGACCGAAGAAGCCCATTGTATCTTTTCTTACTCCTGTTACTTCCCCTGTATTACCTAATCACTTACAGTGAAAATGATAACATAGAAGGAAAGAAAAAGAGTGATACATAGTTCCTTTTCCTTTCAGTCCTTCCTTTCTCATCAGTAAGCTGAAGGTAGAGAGCACTGGAAGATAGGCACATATCAAGAAATGAAATAAAAAGTTAAGTCTGGTGATTCCACAGTTCTATAAGAACAAAATATATGTGTAAGTACAAGCTACAAAATATAAATTGTGTAATTTTGTTGATTCTGCATATGAGTCTAATGCAGTCATATTTGTATTTCAAAGAGGCACTGCACATTACAAAGACCAATGGTAAAATTCACACTAACAATTTAAATTTTTTATTTTTCTTACTTAGAACATAAAATAGCAAATAAAAAACGCCATGACAAGTCAGGAGAGATGCTGCAGAAGGAAAAAAGCTTTGCTTTTAGTACGTGTTTTAACAGCACTTTATCACCTCTTCCCCTACTTTTTGAACAAGGAAGTTCAAGTATTCATTATGCACTAGGCCTTGCAAATTATGTAGCTGGCCCTGACCCGCTTCCTCATGCTCCAGATTACATCCACTGCATCTATTCTTTGAGGTCACCATTTGTTAGTTTTCACCCTTTCCTTCATTCATCTACCCGACAAATACTGACTGCTCTGTGCTCAGGCACTGTGCCAGGTACTGAGGATATAAAAAGGAATAAGATATTATCATTCTTAAGTGTAGTTGTGAAGATGGACAAATAACCATGAAAGTTACTAAGACTGGGCCAGATGTGATAGTTCACGCCTTGTAATCCCAGCACTTTGGGAGGCCGAGGCAGAAGGATCACTTGAGGTCAAGAGTTCAAGACCAGCCTGGCCAACACAGTGAAACTCTGTCTCTATGAAAAATACAAAAAAAATTAGTTAGGCATGGTGGCACGCACCTGTAATCCCAGCTACTCTGGAGGCTGAGGCAGGAGATTCGCTTGAACCCAGGAGGCAGAGGTTGCAGTGAGCTGAGATCACACCATTGCACTCCAGTCTGGGCAACAGAGCAAGACTCCATCTCAAAACGAAAAAACAAACAAACAAACAAACAAAAAAACTGATCTTGCATAACTTTAGTGAGGACAATAAATAATATACATAAAATGTACAAATCACTTCCAGTAATGATTGCTAATCTTTAGCACTCTATGTAATTATCTCATTTAATCCCTATTACAACTTACTGGGTAGGTCCTACTATTGTTTCCATCTTACAGCTACAGAAGAGAGATTTAGAACAGTTAAGAAACTGAACCACAGTGATTTTGTCACCAAGTGGTGGAACCAATAACTGAAGTCACCCAAACCTGTTTGACTACTAAATCTGAGTTCATAAGTGACAGCTATCATTCTTATTAATATAATCCTAACCATTATTTATTTTCTAGTATTACAGTTGTGTCTCCATTTCTAGTTTCTCAAAGGTCAATTTTAGTCGCAATTTTGTCAATCACCTTATAATATATCATTCACCACTAAACAAAAATGTGTATTCTAACTTTTTCCAATTTACTTATTAATAGTTTGGTTAGCACATAAAATATAGCTTCTTTTTTAAAAAAAAATCTGGCAATCCTCTGACCTAACTGTAGAATATTCAATTCAGCTGATAAAACTGTGGTTTTCAAAATTACATTCATGATCCTGTTCACTAAAATATAGGCAGACAGAAAGAGTTAAGAAAAGTACTTAACTCTTAAAGCCTAAATTTTCCCATAGGTAAAACAGGGATGGAAACAGTACTTTAACTACCTCACTGGCCCATGTTTAAGAGTAAATAATTCTTACAAAACACTTAACACCTGGTACCTAATAACCACTCAAAAAAATTGTTCATTTTAATATTACTATTTTTAGTTCTCAAATCTAGGTTTTAAAATGGATTTGAAATGATTTCCCCTTGAAATGTTTTCATCCAATACGAAGAACTAAGTTCAACGGTCTCTAATTTCCGAGATTTGTATTTTCTTTTGTAAATAAAAGCACACAAAAAGTCCCCCAGAACGGCCCGTGGTGGTCATATATATCTCTACAATTCAAAGGATCTCAGAGGTTTTAAGTTAAATAATCCTTTCCTGAAAATGCCAAATACTACCCTCATTTTTTCTCTTTTCATTCTAAACTGCCTATGCTAGGACTGAGGGTAAAAGAGTTTATAAACTACACATAAAGAACTCTATAAATGTAAGGAACTATTCACATCAGTTATAGCAAGGCTATCTCCATTCTCTCTAACCTTTGAAGTGACACTTAAATTTAAGAAGGTTGAGCAAATTAAAATGGCCGAAGTGTTTTCTCTGGCGGAAAAGGAAAGGATTAGCTAATCTGAAGGTTACTGCTGTCATCTAGACTGTCAAATGACTGTTTCCCTGGCTTCTAAGTGATTGAAGAACACATAAAAAGTAGACTGGACCACATAAAAATTGACTATATACCTATTCTTAAAATAGCTCTACAGAAAAAGGCCTTTGTTTGACATTTTTATTATGGTTTAAAGACAAGGAAAGCAGCATTTTTGTAAAAAATCAAACCCTTATTTGATACCTTAGAAAACCTGATAGCCATGTGATATCTTCCTAAAGCCGAAACTTCAATAATGCTGGCTGTTCCCACCACAGGCTTTCAGGTCCTTACCAATTCTTGAGTGTCTTCTTGTAGCGGCAGAAATGCCGCTTCCAGAATAGCAACCTGGTCAGCACTAAGCTTCTGCCACAGCGCGATCAGCAGAATCACCAAATGGGTGGCACTCTTCAGCCTGGTGAATGACTGGAACAGATTGCCTTGGTTTTCCTCCACTGCATCTGCTAGAGCAATTACCTGCAGATATTACAAACTTCGGTTAGGGATAATTTCACAATTATTGAGCCCTCAACAAATTATGTCTGGCACACTTTTGTTTTTCTTCAAGACAACTTGATGAACTTTGTCTTCCACAAACACAAGCTATGTTAAGTAATAAAAGAGTTATCATTCATCTGCTCACTTCCTTCTTTAAAAAAAAATGCCCACAGTAATTCCAAATCCATATGGCCAGAAGTGGAAAATATCCACAAAATAAGCTTAGCAGGGACAGTGTTCAGTGTCTGCTTTGCCATCTATTGACTTTCTTCAATATATGGTAATATAAGTAACCTCTAATAAAGTTATCACAGTCTTTATTACCAGCCACATAAATTAATCAATTAAAACATTCTCAGAAGAATAATTGCATTTGCCTTGTAGTTCAAAATAACTTCATTACACTTTTTTCAGAACATCGCTTTCCTCTAATATTAGTCTTTAGATGCTACATGGTATTGAGATATCTAATATTTCTTTATTATATCTAAAAGGTAGATAATGTTCAAACATTTGACCAGTTGAGTAATGTCATTTTTAACACAAATATCAGGCACCAGCCCACAGGGACCTGAAAGAAAAAAAAAAAAAAAGTTCAGGGTGTGTTAACTTTACAATGCCAAATCTACTTAGGATAAAATTGGCAGGAGTGAGTAGAATTGACTTTTTTTCATCTTTTTGAATAATTCTGTGGAAAAAAGAACTAAAGCAACAATTGGATGAAACATCCAAAACTTCCCATTGGTGTTTTATTTTAGTTTAATGTCTTGGTGAATTTTGTGCTCATTAAAAGTAATGAACTGACTGCCGCAGAGGCTCAAGGCGTCTGACAGTCCCCAGAACAGCATTAGCAAAAGCCAGGGCCATATGAGCTCCTTTCTACAAGCCCCCACCAGCTGGGGGACTGGAGTTCAGATGAGTTTCAGAAGTCTGGTGCAGATGATCCATTTGGTGATATTTCACGGTTTATTGACACGGGCCCAAAGGGCTTTTTAAAAAATCATCATTCAAACAAGTACAATGTACAGCTGTGTGGTCTCCCAAATTCCATGTTGGGAGAGGGGCTGTACAGAAACAGCCCTCAGAGTGTCTCGGAGATACTGGAAAAGAGATGTAGGCAGAGCAACTGAAGGTCCTTGCCTGAAATTGCTGGGGCGACCAAGATTCTTTGCCACTTCGCTGAGGGCTTGCAGGAGTTATAAAAGGCAATGACAATTCACATTTAGCTCTACAGGGAGGCATGGAAGTTTAAACGAAGAGTAGCATAATGTAAAGTGCATTGCTTGCTATGTGCCTAGTACTGTGCTACTCCCCAATTACATTCAAAAGAACTACACAATATCTTACAGTCCACAGGATCTTATAATTTGTTGGAAAGAAAACATACATACACAGCCAATTAGTGGGAAGAAACATTACTATAATAATGTCCTAATTGTGCAGAACAGAAAGTAAGTGTGAAAGAAGTTAGCAAAGGGACGGATTACTGTGGGCCAGAGTTAACATCCCTGGGGCCTCTTTTACTCAAACGGAGCTTGGAACTCATCCCTTCCCCATTACTTCAAGAAGTCCCCTCGAAAAGATGGAAAGAGCCCACTTTCCTTAAACCAAAACACCTGGAATCGTGTTCCTCCCCCACCCCCACCATGATTACAACGGACTCCTGTTAAAGTCTGAGTTTATACTCTTTTTCTTCCTGTGAATGTTACCAATTAAGCCTCATTGTGGGGCCATCACATTATGACACAGATGCTTATTGTCAAAAAGTCCAAATCATACAAGGATCAAGGTCATAAACACCCACTGAATGCCAGATATGTGCAAGAATTTGCGGGAAGTATTGTAGGGAATTCAATGGTGACAGATCTAATCTCCACCTTCAAAGAGTTTGTAATAGGAAAATCAGTCAAGGAGGCAAATATTGACCACATAAGGAAGACTCTATAGGCTATAAAGGAGAATTCCACTAACATTGCGATTATTATGTGAATAACTATCCCTCCAATTAATTGAACATAGGCCGCATGCCAAGCATTCTGCCCTGTGCCATACAGGTATCAGTGCCTTCAATCCTCACATCTCCCCTGCGACTTAGTTGATATTTTCTTTCACAGATGAGAACTCTGCGGCTCAGCAAATATAAGGTATTTGCCCAGGACTGTACGCAGGGTGTGCAAACTGTGCTCGAGCTTTGACGGGCCTGAACTTGTTTAACGCTCTGCTGTCTCTGCCTTGAAATTCTTAGTAATTTTATTTTTGAGCTTGCGTTTTGTAAGTAAAATTGATAGGGCAATGGAGCATGCACATGCGCAGAGGAGTCATGTGCACTCATGAGTTAAATGCTCATACTTGCATTTAAAACTGAATTAATGTAACGATTAATGGTAAAATTCATGCTACTTATTTGAAATTTTAGTTTTTTTCTTACTTAGAAAGCTACTAAAAAGAAAATAAGAAAATACCATCAGAAGCTGTGAAAGAGAGAGTACTGAAGAAAAGAAAAAGCTTTTTATTTTAGTGGTTTTAACAGCGCTTTCTTCCTGCATTTTGAACAAGGGCCCCTCATTTTCATTTTGCACTGGGATCCACAAAATAAGTAGTCAGCCTGACCATCACCTAGTAGATGAAAGAACAGGATTCAAACTCTGGAGTGTGTCTCACTCTAAATTTTGTTTGAGACCTTAAGCATGTTGTAGGTTCAGAGATGGGCATACTACTACTAGCTGAGTGTAGGGGGCCTTAGGAAGGAAGAGGTAGAGAAAGAAGCAGTGGTATGCCAGAACTAGCTCAGTCAGCTCCTCCCACATCAGGAGAAAGAACCTATTGTTCAGTTTTCAGAAATTTTGCAAGCCAGCTGTCACACATGGCCATTACTAACAATTAAATCACATAAACTTAAAACTAAATAAATTACATTTAAAACAAAGGTAATAAATACTCAACATTCATTACTTCCTACTATTATCTAGTTTCTTGAGGTTATTTATGCCTATTGTATCCATATGTTGGAAACACTTTGCAATGGGCTACGGTTTACATTTCTTCCCAACTTTGCATTCAGGGACCTCACATTGGTAGCCTGAAATCAGCCATGGTGGAAGTATTTACTACATGAAAATCCACAAATGTTACAAAATCAGGCTTCCTACCCTTCCCCTTCTTCCCCAGAGAGCTATTTACTAGCACACCAATGAGAAGAGGTATCTGAAATGTGTCCTAAAGAATAGATATTGAAGGCTGGGCGTGTGACTCACACCTGTAATCCCAGCACTTTGGGAGGCCGAGGCGGGCAGATCACAAGGTCAGGCATTCGAGAGCAGCCTGGCCAACATGTTGAAAACCCATCTTTACTAAAAATACAAAAAGTAGCTGGGCATGGTGGCACGTGCCTGTAATCCCAGTACTCGGGAGGCTGAGGCAGGAGAATCACTTGAACCAGGGAGTCGGAGGTTGCAGTGAGCCGAGATTGTGCCACTGCACTCCAGCCTGGTGACAGAGTGAGACTCCATCTCAAAAAAAAAAAGAATAGATATTGAATAAGTCCAGTTTAGGGACAGTGTTTGATGACATTAAAAAGGTAGGCTGGGCACTGTTGTAGAGGAACCAAAATGTCACAGTGAAAGCATTCACTTAACTCTGTAGGCACTGGGGAGCCACAGAGTATTCTGAGTGTGGGTGTTACTTAATGGAGGCTGCACTCTAAGCAGCTATCAGATCATAACAAATATTTGGGGCATTTTCTGGACTTAAAGGATGCTTTTACACACGTTCCTCACTATCAAGGGAAAAATCCTCACTAAGTGCAACAACATGTCAGTTCATGGACCCACCCAACTTGCTAAACACAGCTGTTATGGAAGAATGACTTCTCAGTGAGACAGCAGTCCAAGCCACAGGATCTTTCCTGAGCAAGGCCCAAAATATATCAATCGGACAGAAGCATCGTCTAAGTCTCAGTCTCATTGGATATATTCCTGTGCCATTGTGGAAGGAGTCTGCTATCCCCAAATGGTCACAGAAACTGGAAAGAAATGGGATAAACAATTCCTTATGTAAATTACCCCCAAGGAAAATCTTCCTGACCTACTGGCCAGCATGAAATACTAAACAGCTCTCCATGTTCTCAATTTAGTTTTACACGTAACAGCCAAGTTTACTGTGTTCCCCACAAGAGCCAAATGAATTTAACAGAATTAACATAGTAAAAAGACTGGAAAAACTACACCCATCAAGATTCAGATCTCTGAGACCAAGGCCTAGAAGATCTCGCTGCTCACCTGGAACTGAGAAATGAGGCCAACCAGCTGCTAGGACTTAAATTTGAGGGAGAGCGATTTTTAAGGGTGCATCACTGGCTGAGCAAGATGTGTGTTCCCTAGTGTTCAACAGAACTACAGAAAGGGAGGGGTTTAGGAAACAATAAATGCTAACGATTTCAAGCACAATGTGTTGATGGCCTTTGTTTTGTTTTTTCAAATTGAAGGTTTCCAAATAAAATGGAGACCCCAAAGGACATCTCTGTCCAACTGACATATCAGTTGATGCCAAAGTAATGAGGCAGAGGCCCAGGGAGCTGCTTGCAGGAAAACGCTCAACTCATAAAGTGAGTGTGAAATTAATCCCAAATACTTCCAGCTGCCAAGATAGGCTCTAAAATTGGTTACAGGAAAGCAGCAGCAGCAACAGCAGAGTAGACATGAATCATCATACTATGTGAACACGGACATGTCCAATTTCTTCACCTAAACTTACCATTGAATCTGCCTCCATATTTCATGTGTGGCACTACCACTGCCTAAACACTACATTGCTGTTTAGCTGTCATTTCCTGAGGACTGACTGTGGGCCAGGCACTGTGTGCAAGGCTGTCATACCCAGATTATCATGTGGTCCTCATGACAACCCTCTGAGATAGGAACTGCTGACCCCCTGTCCCCCCACTTCCCGATGAGGAAACAGAAGCTTACAGGCATCTGAACACACTGCCTGTGGTCATGAATAAGGGAAGATAAGGGCTAGGATTCTAATCCTGTCTTCTGATTTCCTACTGGGTGCCCTTTCTTCTACACCAATATACAAATTATATATTCAGCCCCATAATATAAACCAATATACAAATTATACATTCAGCCCCATAAAATAATCCAGTGAATTTTCATCTTGATATTTAAGCAAAGACACTAAGGAAGAACACTACTAATACATTACATCCACGATAGGCATATGTGCTTTAGTTATGCTTTCCTACTGTCGCAGCTTTAAACATGAGGTCAATTCAAATTGGCTGGTTTCTGCACAAAGTTGTGTGGTACTGCCCAAAGTTACATTATAAAGGAAATTAGTTCATAACTTGTAAGAATGGGAAGTTAACATACTAAGGTTTTTTTCTTAACAAAGAGAATTTTATTATTTTCCATATAGCTCAAAAATATGAAGATTTTAGAAAACAGACATTTTCTAGGCCTGCTCCTTTAGTGAAGCTACTTTTTTCAAGGGGATGATTCATTTATTTTCTATAAAATCTCACATTACAACATTTTCAGTGGTCTGAGCAGGTTAATGTTTTGTGATAATAATTGTCAACATTTATTGAAGGGTATCTAGGAGCCAGGGGCTGTGCTAACCTCTTTACAGAAATAATCTCACTTAATTATAAAAACAATACTGTGAGGTATATACTATTATTGCTCCCATTTTAAAAATAAGACCAGAGTACAGAAAGTGTCAAACAGTAAGCAGTAGAGCCAGAATTCATATACAAGCAATCTGACCCAAGAAACGTCACTATGAAGCACTGCCTGCATTAACCTTCTGCCTGCATATCAGTCTCATCATGTGCAATATGTGAAACTAATTCTATCAGGAGCTCCCCAATTGCAGGTTTCAGCTTCGCTAATCTCCCAATACCTGAAATTTATTACAATAAACCAGATAGATTTGTTGTAATAAAAGGTCAGCATAGATGAATGAGTTAAGAAAACGACATTCCTATGATATGGATGAATTTATACATCCCCTAGGGAAGAATGCAATAGGCTGTGCTGGAACAGGCAATGTCCTGGGAACCAAGGAGACAGAGCTTCTAGTCCTGACTTTGCTACCAAGCAGCTTTATGTCAGTGTTCATCAATTTACTTCCCTTTTCTGGGCTCTAGTTTCATCACCTTTAAAATGTAGGAAACATGATCTCTAACATCCAACATAGCTGTAAGTGTCTGATTCAAAAAGTTTTAAACTACTTTTGGATGATGTGTTGTTTTGAATTATCCATGCCACTTCTTCCCCTCTATTTGCACACATAATAGGATTCTTGTTGACATGGGGGTTTTATCTATAAAATAGCATTATGAATATTTTTCTTTGGCTAATTCATAGGATTATGAAAATTAAATGAGAGGAGTAAAAAGATGGACAATAACAAGTGCTGGCAAGGATGTGGAGAAATTGGAACCCACGTACATTGCTGATGGAAATGTAATACAGTACAGCTGCTGTGTTAAATAGGCTGGCAGCTCCTCAAAAAGTTAAACATAGAGTTACCATATGACCTAGAAATTCCACTTCTAGGTATACACCCAAGAGAAATGAAAATATATGTCCATTTAAAAACCTGCTCACGAATAGTTATAGCAGCATTACTTATAATAGCCAAAAAGTAGAAACAACTCAAATGTCCATCAACAGACACATGGATAAACAAATTGTGGCATATTCATATAATGGAATATTATTCAGCCATAAAAAGAAACCAAGTACTTATACACGCTACAAAATGGGTGAATCTTGAAGATGTTATGCTAAACAAAAGAAGCCTATGACAAAGGAAAACATATTGTATGATTCCATTTATATAAAATACCCAGAATAGGTAAATCTATAAACACAGAAAGTAGATTAATAGTTGCTTAGGGCTGGGGGTGGGTGGTAAATAGGAGGAATGGGAAGTGACAGCTAATGGGGGTTTGGTTTCTTTTAGGAGGGGTTAAAATGTTCTAAAATTAGACTATGGTAATTGTGGCACAATCCTGTGAATAACTAAAAATCATTGAATTATACTCTTTAAATGACTGAATTGTAATATATGTAAATGATATCTCAATAAAGCTGTGAAAATAGTAAGCGAATAAAAGATACTTTGCAAGTATAATTCCTGTAAGGTAAATACATAAACACAAAGGCATCTTTACTTAGGCAACAATTTTGATATATTAATGGCCATATCATATTGAAACTAGGGCTTAATTACCTTAAGGATGATGGAATAACCATGTGACTGGAGTCAACCACATCTAACTATGACTACTGGTGATGCTACTTATTAGTTGTAGAACTTTTGGCTAGTTACCTTACCTCCCTCAAACTTAGTTTTCTCACCTATAAAACAATACTCGGTAAAAGCTAGTGAACATCCCTGCTGTTCATTTCTAATTGGTTGGGCTCCTGGTTACTATTTCTTAAAATTTTCTATAGTTTAGGGCTCATTTCAATTTAGTAACACCAGGAAAATTCTGCTTTTTCTATTAGATTAATAATGACATTGAAAAAGGAAGACTCTTCTGTTTGAGGCAGTCTACCAACTACTACCTCCCAAAGTTAGGCAGGATAGCTGATCACCCTGCACCGTACCCTGACCCTCACTCTGTGGTCACTCAGTGAAAACAGTGTTCATTTTGCAGCTAAGTTTAATCAAGTTTCAAAGCTTGATGAAAAGCTTGTAAGTTACTCAACGTTGGATTTCCCTTTATCCACTCCTTTAGCAATACTATTAAAACAAGCACACAGACATACAACTTTGCCTGGTATGACTTGTTCTCTAGAAATCCTCTGAGGCTTGTTACTTGGGGAGCCAGACATTGCTTGTTCTTCTTTTATACCTTACTGAAAATGTTAGAAAATTTGGTGATTTGAATAAAATGTTTCTGAAGTTCACCACAAAAAGCCATAGAAAATCAAAACTCAAGCTCAAAAAGCCCAGAAAATTCCAGTGTAAAAATATCAGCTGATAAGACCCCAACATGCCCACAATTTTCCAGTACGAGGTACACATTGGGTGTCCCATAAATGCTGGGTGAATTGATGAGCTTCAAAGTCAGTCCACCTAAAGATATAGTGCAACTATATTTTTTCTGCTTCTTAAATCCTGGACACACTGAATCAGGCACTGTCAGGCTCCCAATTTGAATGGAACCCAAGTGATGTCACATGGAAACAACAGACCTACTTCAATATATCTGTCATCTACTTTTTAAAAAATTGCTCCAGTTCACCTTTAGCCAGAGCTTCCTAAACACCAAACAGACAGCTCTAATGACTGTTGAAATGAATTTATTCTTCAGATGGCAGCCCTTTGGTTGGAAAGGCGCACTCTCAGTCTAGGAGAGAACTGGAAGCAGACAAGAAATAGGGCATACTTCCCTCCCAACAATGTTGTTTGTGATGGCATTTGCTGCAATTCCAACATGGCAAAGGCTTTGCAATAAGGAAAAAAGAAAAGATTTTACCAGGGCTAAGCTTTTACTTTGGATGAAATGATCCAATTTGTATCCAAAAGAATTGTTCTTTTACCAAAAACAATGAAATAGGGCTCAAATGAAAAAGAAACGGCATGGAGATGGTTTAAATGCCAGACAGGCATGTAAGAAGCATTTGGGTAGCAAGCTTATAACTAATTCATTCATTACCTACATGCATTCATTACCTCTGTGCTGAACTTATGACTAGATAAAAGAGAAATCTGAGGCTTTTACTTTGAAGGCATAGCAAGAATCTAATTCTTAGCTGTTTTTGCTATTATATTATTTTGTATTAATAGGACAGTGAACTGGATTTCATTCTATTGCACTTCATATTGTAAAGAAAACCTGAGACTCCCCTTTAACATGCATTTAGCTTAAATTTGTAAACCAAAACCAGGATCAGAATACTTTTTTTTTTTTTTGAGATGGAGTCTTGCTCTGTCACCCAGGCTGGAATGCAATGTCACAATTTCAGCTCACTGCAACCCCCGCCTTCCAGGTTCAAGTGATTCTCCTGCCTCAGCCTCCTGAGGAGCTGGGATTACAGGTGCCCACCACCACGCCTAGCTAATTTTTTGTAGTTTTAATAGAGACAGAGTTTCACCATGTTGATCAGGCTGGTTTCGAACTCCTGACCTCATGATCTGCCCACCTCGGCCTCTCAAAGTGCTGGGATTACAGGCGAGAGCCACCACGCCTGGCCCAGAATACATTTTTAATCATAGTATCATTTTGGGTAGCCATTAAGGCAACTGCAAAAGTGTACCCAGTCAGTAAAAAACTTCAGTTGTAAAAATGATTTGTCTTCATAAAAAGAGACCTCCTAATGAGCTAAACCACCTGATCCTTCGAAACACTAAGGTATGATCATGTGACTCTTGGAAGTCACAATGGTTTTTCTGGTCTATGATTACAATTATCCCGGACACCAATCCACACTTGCAAAATGCCTTGAGAATTCACATAAAACCGGTTTTAGAAAAACAAATTATTTCTGAGACATTTCTTTATAATATATATAAGTATGACTCTGAGAGAGACAATAAATCATTTATTAGTGACATAGAGACAAATTTTGCTATTTCTGCAAAGTTTATTCACCATATAGACATGTAACTTAATCAGTTGAAAGGAAACGAACTCCAATGCTTGGCTAATATAAAGTTAAAAATACAACTGATCTCAAGCCTGCTTACTATTTTTACCTTTTTTTCCCCCTGGCTGACCAAATTTTTACCCCTTTCCATAAAATTATCTTCCTATAGCCAAGTGAAACCCCAATTTAAAAAATAATAATTGATGGAATCAGGTTGTAAAAAGAAGAATGAATGTTCTCCGGACTATGGTTACTCATTGAACAGATCGCTATTAAAGCTGGAATCTATGGTTGGCAATGTCAGAGCTCATTTTACAAGCCCTGGAGAATGCCACAGTTATCACTCTCCAAAAACAACATCTACAAGGTCTGATCTGAATAGTTTCTAAGTTTAGAATGTTTCAGGCCACATTCCTACATGCAGACATGTCAGTAATTATGCAACCACCCACACTGCCTCGAGTGCCATCTCCAGTGAAGGGAAATGATGGATAGATGGGCAGTTGGCGGTGTCCTAAGAGCATTCCTTTAGCTAAGGTAGCAAGTGCTAAGACACATTATTACACGTGATCAGGTAGGGCATGCTCCCAAAAAGGCAAAAAGGGAGGCTGGAGACCCCAACAATGCTGGTGACACTGCCAATCATTTCCTTGGTTCCAGAGTTTAAGAGGTGAAAGTGACATTTTCACAATAGAGTGAAATTGTTGAGGCTTTTCTATGAATCCTCTTTTAAAACATCTAGTTTTTTCAGAGGGCCTACTTCTCTTCAGTATTTGTAGTTTTTATGTATTTTTGCTTTTTTAGATAAAATAGTTACACCACTACTATCTGGTAGTTCTTTGGCAAAATATGTAAATGTCTATATGGCTCAGACCACATGGAAATAATACAAAAGGCAATGAGGAGAGCTGCCTGGTTTCACATGGAGTGAAACTAGGGTAAACTGTAGGTTATTTTTACAATCACAGGCTATTGGAACATTGTAATTGGAAGTTGCCTTGGTGAAGATATGTTATGCATGATTTCTACTGTGCTATAAACTCCCCCAGGTCAGAGACTATTTTATTGTTTGTTGTACCCTCCTACAGCCTCTGGCTCACAGCAGGCATTCAATGAATGTTTGTAATACTAAAGTAAATTTAAAATTCTGATGACTCAGTAGCCAAGAGTATCCATTAAGATGGTAATTTATAGGACCACTACTTGGGTAAGGGAAGTCCCTCCCTATACTCCAGGTAAACAAGACCAAAGCCTCCCATTTTTGAAAAGTTTTTGCAGGCTATGTTATTCATTGGGTTTACCACAGGTTGTAAATAACTGGGCTCTAAATCCATACCTTCCACATGTATTATATTACAATGAATTCCTAAATTCATTCAAGTCTTTACTGCTGAGTTTACTGCAAGTGTTATGAAGTCTGTAATTTAACTTTAAAATACATCATCACAGAGTCATATCATGCAAGCATGTGCGTCAGTTTTAAGTGCACTCTAGAGCAGGGTTTCTCATCCTCCTCGTTAATGACATTTGGGGCCAGATAATTTGTTGTTGTTGGGGCTGCCCCAGGTACTATATGAAGTTTATCTGCACCCCTGTACTCTACACACTAGATGCCAATAGCATCTCTCATTACCAGTTGTGACAACCAAAAAATGTCTCCGGACATTGTCAAATGTCTCCCTGGGGGCAAAATCACCCTGGGTTGAGATCCATCGGTCTAGAGTCAGTGAGATTGTGCTCAAAACAGTTATCCTTCTCATCAGCAGCAAAACCCACAAGCCAGAGGGGCTACCACAAGGACTTAGGCTACTAGTATCTCCAGCAACACTGGAGACTTTTTCATTCCATAATAAATGTCAGAAATGGATTTTGATTAATGAAGTTTGATGATCAGAAGTTTGATAGTCAGCATTATAGATATTAGAATTGGTTCACTGGCAAAAATTAATGGTATTAAAGACATGTGGATTGACTGAATATTTTTATACTCAGACCCTCCTCTGCATGAACAGGGTACACGAATTCCAGCAAGACACTCATGGGATGGGGTCCAAGGTGTAAACCTAAATGTTCCTGTGTCTTGACTTTGGGAAGCAGATTTCTAGCTACTTGACGTCCATTACGAGGGGAAAAAGACACTGCCTTGGATTATTGTCCAATCCGCCCCAGTGGAACCTTTCCAGAAAGGTGGTAGTCTACTACCTAAAGGACAGCTGGGCCTTCACCCAGCCTGCAGAATAAGCCATATGAATTGTCCCATGCTTATAAATGTTTATTTAATAAATGTCTTCATATGTGACAAAATTAGGTATGAGACGTACTTTCATTAGAATCAGGGAGAGAGGTTTGGGGCAAGTCACTCATTCTCATTTACCTCAAGCTTTTTGATGGCTATCATTACTTACTGAAAAGAATTTCAGATTTGTGTGTGACTAAATTGGCAAAAGTAGTGTGCCACATCAAGTGTGTGCTGAGTGACGGGGATACATGTGTTTAAGAGCTACCTGCAAGGAACCAACAGTCTCACAACAAAAATAGGCCAGGCGCGGTGGTTCACAGCTGGAATCCCAGCACTTTGGGAGGCCAAGGCAGGCGATCACTTGAGGTCAGGAGTTTGAGACCAGCCTGGCCAACATGGCAAAACCCTGTCTCTACTAAAAATACAAAAATTAGCCGGGCATAGTGGCTCATGCCTGTAATCTCAGCTACTCAGGAGGCTAAGGGACAAGAATCACTTGAACCTGGGAGGTGGAGGCTGCAGTGAGCCAAGAATGCACCACTGCACTCCAGCCTAGGCAACAGAGTGAGACTTCATCTGAAAAAGAAGAAAGAAGAAAGAAGAAGAAGACTAAGAGCAGAGGGGTTAAGCAACTTGGTGAAAATCACACAGCAATGCCAAGATTCAAACCAGGTATCTTTAAAACCTACAAAGCCCAAGCATTTTCCACTGTGCCATACTGTACCCTTCAACACATACACACACACACACACACACACACACACACACACACACACACACTCACTCCTATACTAGATGATAAGTGCTATACAAACGGCTATCAGGTTAAGTGAGTATGAGAAATACCTATAAATGACTCCTCCCCAACAACTGATCTCCTGGGGTGAAGGGCCCACAGATTCCTTTGTTTGTCCCTCTTTTAAGTAAACCTGCATTTGAATGTTTGAATGCCTTTGGTTCAGAACAACATTCAAGTCCTGCACATTACTCCTTATTGTTTCCCATCTACATCTGTGTTACCTGCCTGGCCCTCTAGTCATTTGAGTTTGTAACCACTTCAGTAATCATGAACTCTAAACATTAAAAAATCTGTGACAGGTATGGAAAAACAGAGATCGTCCTCATCATAAGTGATTAAACTGAATCTGGGCTCTGGTAATTTAATCCCAGGAGGTCCTCGACGTCTTTAAGCTTCAGTTTTCTCCTTTGTAAGAGACAAGTAATTACGTGGCTTGAAGATTAAATGAGATACAACTTAAAATGTATTTGTCACGGTGGCTAGCACATAGGAAGCATGCAATAAAGGTTAACATTATTATTATTATTTATTATTCCCTGGCTAAACACTCAACCAAGTTTTTTTTTTGTTTTTTTTTTGTTTTTTTTTTCGAGGTGGAATCTTGCTTTGTCACCCAGGCTGGAGTGCAGTGGTGCGATCTTGGCTCACTGTAGCCTCCACCTCCCAGGTTCAAGCAATTCTCATGCCTCAGTCTCCTGAGTAGCTGGGATTATAGGCATTCGCCACCACGCCCAGCTAATTTTTTTTGTATTTTTAGTAGAGACAGAGTTTCAACATGTTGGCCAGGCTGGTCTCAAACCCCTGGCTTCAAGTGATCCACCCACCTTAGCCTCCCAAAGTGCTGAGATAACAGGCATGAGCCACCACACCCAGCCCAACATATCCTTTAATAAAGCAAAATAAAATTCAAAAAATGTCATATACCTGAAGACAATAATAACACTCCCTTTGGCCTCTTCATCTCTAGTTTATACAATCCCAATAATTTCAGTACCTCTTCATGGGATTGATTTTGTATATAAAATACTTACATTATTTACCAAAGTATGTGTCATAATCTCCACATCTTCTCTCTCAAAGCACCCTGTGTGTCCCCTTCTATTATATCCATCACATTTGGAATGACTTGCTTAATACATGTAAGCTCTGTGAAGACAGGGACTGTGTCTTGTCTTATTTACTACTGTGTCCCCAGCATAGAGCATAGGGCCTAACACACAGTAGGGCTCAACAAATATTTGTTCAATTGAACTGAATTAAATCCCATTTGGTACATCCTAGAAGGGTAGCATATTAGCTTAATATTACTAGCAGAACATTCTCTTAGAAGTAGAGCTAGTACCTAGAATACCAGTTGTGAGGCAGAGCCAATAATAGATTTCCTTAATTCCATAATGCCCTTTGCTTGTTAGGCACCTCTCCCACCCATACACCCATTTTTGATAAACACTTTAATGGTTTTCAAATCAGGATACGCCACATTTAATGTGGTAGCTTTGCTTTTTATCCTCAAAAGTTATCTAATCAATAGTGTGCTCTAAAATTAATGTCTTAGAATTCATTAAATGTATTTTTGTGTGGTATTTTGTTTGGAGTTATACCTCCCAGTGTCTTCATCCAGTTTCCAGGAAATAACTATTCTAAGAATACTCCCTGGCTACCCCTTGTGGGGCATTCTCTCCAATATACACAATGATCCCTCTCCCCATACTTCCTAGGTAGGACCTACTATAGGCCAAGCATGAGTTCCTTCATATGGTCTCTATAATGAAACTGTGCAGTGGGGCTATTAGATCTACTTTGGCTGTGACGAAACTGGTGGTTTAAGATGCTGACTGTCCACAGTCATGCAGCAAGATTCAAACCCAGGACTGGCTACCCAACAAAGCCCATGTTCTGTCACTGTCCACACCGCTTTGAAAGAACTCCACGGAGCTAGAAAATTAACTTCCACAAAGTTGTTACTTATTTTCAGATTAATTATGCTTATGACTTCAATGAAAGAAACTATGCATTCTGGGAAAGTAATAAAGTTTATTTCTTATTAATAGAATAGAAGCTAAGATCAATTTACCCTGAGAAAAAATAAAATATATGTTTATTCAATCTCTTCAAAGAGTACAAATTGAGCACCCACTGGAGTGTTAGGTGCTGCATGAACCTTAATGGAGGAAGAAATTTGGCTCAATGAGCAACTGAAACTGGGGTTAATAAACATTTGTGAGATAGTGACATTTTTCACAGTTATGAGATAATTCTTAATGACTATCTTTGAAGTGATTTTCAACTATAAAACTAGCCAAAAGATAGTTGATATCCATGTATAATTCTAATACAGATGAGAATTAAACAAAAAGGGACATGACAGCTTTGGTCCTGGCATTGATATTCTCATGTAAAGCTTCTCTGTTAAAACACACAAATAAAAAGAAAATCAAACCAGGCAGAAAAAAACAAAAAAGAAAAAGAAAAAAGATTGATCTTTTTAAAACTCAGCAAATAAAGAAAAATCTACAAACCTAAGTAAATGTGTTATGTATAAAACAGATCTTTTCTTGAAATGTCCAAATTTGGATTTGAATGGATAAGGGGCCCCTCTAAACCCATGTATTTCTTCCTTCGAAGTAGCTAAAATAGACTATATGAGGATGAGAGCATCTGTTAAGAGAGGTATGGATTACAACTAGTTTTAAAAATAACTCACTTTCTAGTTCACTTAACAAATTAAACAGGTGTCACAGTTCAAATTGGAATCCTCTAATAGAATCCATTTACTAGAAATCTGAATCCATTTTCAGAGAATAAGAACAAGATTATTATCTTACAAATAACTGATTCACACAGCCACTTTTTGTTTAAATTCTTGGTATCAATATCCAACACTGTGATAAAGAGCTGAATTTGGATAAAATAACAAGTATCACACAAACCATCCGGAGAAGAAATTTTAATTCTGGGGATAGAATACCATCTTCATAGTGGAAGCGTTCATGAGTGATAGGAAATATCACACAATAGCACGTGAAGCTTCAGGAAAGAGTTCTTTGTTTCAGTTCTCTAGGGTTTTATCCTGTGGCCATCATTTTAATTCCCCTAAAAACACCTTAGAAAATAGTGTTTAGCAATCTTCAGAAAAGTTATGATTTGATGATCAAAAATAATATTAAGAAAGATTACACAGATTATTGGGGAACTGGCCACCATAAAACTTCTGGTATATCAGAAGTTGATTCTGGCAGAATCTGAGAATGGTAAGTTGAGCAGTCTCCTCTTAGTTTACCGATATGCAGAATATTTAGATTATATCTCTAGTTTTATACCAGCTATTGCCTGAACAGAGATGAGTACACAAGGAAGGTCTTGGTCATCAACACTACTTTGATAAGTTATTAAATATCCAAGTTTTCCTTCTACCTACTGGAGAAAACTCAATTTCAGCAAAAAAAAAAAAAAAAAAAAAAGCCATAAGTGGTTATTTTTGTTTAAAGAAGTCTGTCCTGGCCGGGTGCAGTGGCTCACACCTGTAATTCCAGCACTTTAGGAGGCCAAGGAGAGTGGATCACTTGAAGTCAGGAGTTCCAGACCAGCCTGGCCAACATGGCGAAACCCCATCTCTACTAAAAATACAAAAAGTTAGCCAGGCGTGGTGGTGCACGCCTATAATCCCAGCTACTCGGGAGGCTGAGGCAGGAGAATTGCTTGAATCCAGGAGGCGGAGGTTGCAGTGAGCCAAGATCATGCCATTGCACTCCAGCCTGGGTGACAGAGTGAGACTTCATCTCAAAAAAAAAAAAAAAAAAAAAAGAAGTCTGTCCTGAATGTTATCTGGTGTCTCAGACAAACACGCCACTTACAGCTATTATCAATCACCAGTAATGCTCTGCTAAAAACCAAGTAAACTCTATTCCCTCATATGAAAACTACTTTTCTTGGTGAATTTCTTTCCTCTGGACAGAAATAAGCTCTAAAATGGAAGAGACTGAGAGGAGATAAGTTTTGCAATCACAGAATCAGAATTTCAGGGCTAGAACAGAAGAAATTTACTATATCACACTATGGTCATTTATTTACATCTCTTTTCCTTAGATTACATGTTTTTTGAGAACAAGGACAATGTTCTTATTTATAGTTCATGACACTGTAAATATTCAATATACTCATCTGAATTCAACTGATTGAATCTGAAAAGACCTTCAAAATCATCTAATCCTAACCCCATATTTTAATGTTAAGGAAACAGAAAAGTTCTAAGGCCCAGAGAGATGTGGTGACTTGCCTTAAATCACACAGGAGGTTAGTACTGGAACCAGGGCTAACCCCTCACATCAACATCCTCCTTTAAGGATATTACCTACACTATCTCATTAAGTATTCACAACAACTTTACAAATTAAACAGGCAGAGCACCTAAGTCCCCCTTTTATGAGGAAAAAATGCAAAATGTCAAGTTACAGGGAAGGCTAATAAGGGTATCAAACTCAGAACTTCTGGTCTGAGATTTTGTTCCTATAGCACAGAGGATTTGAAACATGCCACTTATTACCTACAAGGCATGAGCTTGCAAAGGGGAAGTGAATCTAGTCCAAGTGTGCAAGTAGATGGACAGCACAGAAGAAAATGGAAACACAGATGTAGCATAAAAAAATTAATATGAGGAAGCATGAATACAGTTGGCTGGAGAGAAGAGGAGAGCTTGAAGCTGGAGTGACAGCCCTCTCCATAAAATGGGATCAGAGTTTGGCTTTGTCTTGATTTTCTATTTTTTCAGAAACTTAGTAATTTCCTTCACTGTCACAGTTTTATAATTTACAAAGCTGATTTCATGTACAATTTATAGCCTATCACACCTCGGATATTGATAATTATTTTCCCTGTGATTAAGAGGCTATGATAGTGGGCTATCAAGTTGAGACAGTCTTTTTATGTTAAAAGAGACAAGAAGGGCATGTGGAAAGAGAGCTATGAGCCTCAACCTTACATTTCTCAGTTTGGGCATAAGGTGTTCCCTGATGGCTGAGAACAACACAGTTCAGAAAGGGCAGTCACCCAGACACATCCCCTGACCATTCTCATCAGAATTACTGGGATGAGAGGCCCCAAAATGTGAGCATAGGGTACAAGGGAGAAAGAAATGGCCCAGATCTCTTCCTCCAGCAGCAAAGCCTGCCTAAAGCTTGCTTGATATCATGCAAAGAACACAGGCCTTTGACTCAATAGTTTGAATTGTGCTGTTTACCTCAGGCAAATCATTTTACTTTTCTAGACAATCCTCCTGTTTCTCTAATGTAAAAAGTAGCAAAGTAATATTAACTTGCCTCACAGATTTAGTTTTTTAGGGGCCAATTTAAGTGATCTATGTGATGAATTTTAGTAAACTGTTAGATACTATATAAAGTTAGCTATCATTACACTAGAAGCATAAGGAATTTAACATCTCTAAATAATCTTAATTAATATTCTCCAAACTGAGGCCTACTGTTCAGCTAATTTACATGGAAAGAGTATAAAAACCAGTAGCTTATCTGGAAAAACCCCATAGCATTTGGAACAAATTACAGTTTAAAAAATGGAGAAACCAACGAATTACAATGAATCCTAAGCTTACGTCTTTAAACAAAGAATGCTATTTAAGAGTAAAGATTGGCCAGATTATACAGGGTAGAGGGGACATTTAGTAGTCACAAGGTGAGGATCAAAGGACTTCCAATATCACAAAACTTTATAGAAAGAATTTTTGCTTTCCTTCATACTGGCATTGAATTCCAATTTATAAAATAAAACATCATTAGTTCAGCACATACAAATTACGAAGATACCCCAGTGGGGTAAGACACTACCCAACAAATCACAAATTCAACTTGTGCTTATGAAAGACATTATTGGCTAGGACAATGAATTATGTTTCATTTGCTGTGTATCAGCACTGGTCTGAAGCAGCTGTAGAGAATTAGAAAAAAAGACTTCCCCTGAGAATTCCCCTTTTCACCTGAATGGCTACCAGGGTCACCTCTAAACAGCAACTGGCTTGCTGCCTACAGAGAGAAGTTACTGGAAAGAATCCTGGGATTTTTTAGCATCTATCCAAACAACAACACTAACAAGAAGAAGAAGCTGACTTCCAGTTTGGGTCAGGAAAGAATAGGAGTTTGACTTTGTCCCCCAAATCTCTCATTGCTGAAATAAACCTATACCTTAAAATCTACATACCCAAAAGTTAGCAAGGATCTCTGAATATGTAAAAATATGAAATGATACAATTTTGAAGGGATTTATTCACTTTAAAGAGTAATTCTTAACAGGATCCATTTAGGTTTAGCAACTACTTAAGTGCACTGAAAATACAATTTGATTTAAACAAATTTAATTTCTTTACAGCTTTTTCTCAGAAGCACAACTGTGATACAACTGAACAGGAGATTGTCTGACTGCTGGCTTCTCACTTCCAGTACTTCCTCTCCGAGGAGATTTCCCTGGGGCTGTTCCTGACCCACACATCCATCAGGAGGCCATTGACAGCCCACTTGAATGTTATGAATTTGAGAAGCTGTCACAGCACCTATTTATTCCAAGAGGGTTCAGTATTGTAAGCTGAAAAATGAATTTAGCCTGGATTGTTTAGACTGAGGGAAAAAAAAACTGTGCCTTAGACTCAACTCTGGCAGAGGGTCTTGAACAATAAGGCTAAATTGTGCCCCTGAATTTTGGGGAAGATGGAGGCTGCTTCGGTTTTTCTACTTTCCCCCTACTCCCACACCGCCAACAAGAACACACGAAAGATTAATTTCCAAAGTTAGGAAATCAGGCTTCAACCCACCATTGTGTAGTCATAAGAATTACACCTAACTACTCATGAGTCATCAGGCACTGGATTCAATCAGTGAATGAATTCATCTTTTTTCCTCTTTAATTGAGGTGACCAGCTATCTCCATTCCAGCAAAGAACTGGCAAAAATGAACAATTTGGTTAAAGTGATCCAATAGCCTTCTTAAGGTTCACACCTAATCAATTATTTAATTTTGGATTTGAGTGTCAACTAATTTGACCATATCTTGTCATAATTTGGCCTACTATTGTCAAGGCTGTTATTCATTATATCACCCAATGTCTACCTTATAAAGACTCAGAAGAAAAATTTCTCTCAAACCTCATTATTAGGAAAATGCCTTTTTTTAAAACAACTTTTGGCCAAGCGCAGTGGCTCAGGCCTGTAATCCCAGCACTTTGGGAAGCCGAGGCAGGTGGATCACGAGGTCAGGAGATCGAGACCATCCTGGCTAACACGGTGAAACCCCATCTCTACTAAAAATACAAAAAATTAGCCAGGCGTGGTGGCGGGCGCCTGTAGTCCCAGCTACTCGGGAGGCTGAGGCAGGAGAATGGCATGAACCCGGGAGGCGGAGCTTGCAATGAGCCGAGATCGCGCCACTGCACTCCAGCCTGGGCAACAGAGCGAGACTCCATCTCAAAAAAAAAAAAAAAAAAACTTTTATGTTAAGTTCCAGGGTACATGCATGGGATGTGCAGATTTGTTACATAGGTAAATAAATGTGTGCCATGGTGGTTTGTTGCACAGATAAACCCATCACCAAGGTATTAAGCCCAGCACCCATTAGCTGTTCTTCCTGATTCTCTCCCTCCGCTATCCCCACGACAGGTCCCAGTGTGTGTTGCCCCCCAACAATGTGTCCATGTGTTCTCATCGTTCAGCTCCCACTTATAAGTGAGAACATGAGGTGTTTGGTTTTCTGTTCTTGCATTAGTTTGCTGAGGATAACGGCTTCTAGCCCCATCCATGTCCCTGCAAAGGAAATGATCTCATTCCTTTTTATGGCTGCATAGTATTCTATGGTGTATATATACAACATTTTATTTATCCATGCTATCATTGACAGGCATTTGCGCTGATTCCATGTCTTTGCTGTTGTGAATAGTGCTGCAATGAATATATGTATGCTTGTATCTTTATAACAGAAGGAGTTATATTCCTTTGGGTATATACCCAGTAATGGGATTGCTCAGTCAAATGGTATTTCTGCCTCTAGATCTTTGAGGAATTGCCACACTGTCTTCCACAATGGTTGAACTAATTTACACTCCTACCATCAGTGTAAAAGCATTCCTTTTTCCTTCTCCACAACCTCGCCAGCATCTGTTGTTTATTGACTTTTTAATAATCACCACTCTGACTGGCATGAGATGGTATCTCATTGTGGTTTTGACTTGCATTTCTCTAATGACCAGTGATGTTGAGCTTTTTTCCTGTTTGTTGGCTGCAGTCAAAATGCTGTTGAAAAACCAACCAACAAAAAACAAAAAAGCAAACACAAAAACAAACCACAACAACAAGAAAAATAAGTATGTGTTCTGTTTCTTTAAAACATTAAGAATATTTTAAATGGCTATGATTCCAACTTTGTATTGATTAGAGAGGTCATATTCTACATCTGGCAACACAGAAATATATACATATGCTGTATACATAATATAAAATATATATTTTTTCATCCAGACTGCTTGAGGCTTTTGAGAAATCTACTTTGATGTAACCTTTTTTGTAGATTTTCCTGATTACTCATGAGCTGACTCTATTGATTAACATGTATAACTTCTGCTGAATTTGATTTAAGTGGCTTATGCCAGGAAGAGAAGAATAAAAATGATCTCAATTCAGATCAATCAATATTAACAAGTATTTAGGTCTCAGCTCAATAAGTCACATTTCAGAACTTTTTCTCCACATTGCCTTAATACTAATACCAAAGAATTATTTAGCATTTACTATATTCCCAATACTGTGTCTCAAAAAGAAAATTCTTTGAAAGCTTGAAGATAAAACTCAGTAAAGGTCTGTTGAGGTCAGCGCAGTGGCTCACATCTGTAAATCCCAACATTTTGGGAGTCAAAGGTAGGAGAATCACTTGAGGCAAGGAGTTTGAGACCAGCCTGGGTAACAAAGCAAGACCCTATCTCTACAGAAAATAAATAAATAAATAAAAATTAGCTGGGCATGGCGTGTAGATGTAGTCTCAACTACTCAGGAGGCTGAGGTGGGAGGATTGCTTGAGTCCAGGAATTCAAAGCTGCAGTGAGGCATGATCACGCCACTGCACTGAAGCAGGCAATAGAGTGAGATTCTGGCTCAAAAAAAAAAAATCTGTTGAGATCAAACTCGAATCTATTAAACCAAAGCAAATATAAAATATCACGTGATACTGAATTCAGTGGTAAACATCAAAATGTTTCCTAGATATGACCTTGATGGGATTAAAAAATGAAGGCTGAAGTTGTTAGAAAAGACTAATTGGAGGTTGAAGAACCTAAATTAGATCTGTTGAAGGAAAAAGGTGATTCTAGGCAAGGTATATATGCCAGTGAAGGCACTAAGGTAAAATAGACACCATTATCATTGAACAGAGCCACGTGAAAAAAGCAAAAGTTACAGCATAGAAAGTTCCGGAAAATTTACTTATGAAAGGACTTAGTGACTAGAACAAAGATTTGAGTGTAATGAGTACAAAGTCCAAGAAGGGTTCCTTGTTTTTCCATCTTGGGCCAGGTCAATATACAGGGTCACTATTTTCTTTACAGAGTACAAGGATTTTCTGCTCAAGGTCTAGGACCAAATTATAGCAAGACAGGATACACTTATGAAACATTTCAGTCTGTTTTAAAGCTATTCCCCCCGCCCCCCAAAGAAAAGGTGTTTATTCTTCATTTAGAATTCATGAGTTATTCAAGCTATGAGATTAAAATGTAAAATTGCCCCTTTTAAAAATTTCTATCCAGAATCTAGTTTACTAATCCACTCTTAAAATAGACATAACTAACATACTTATATTCATAGGACAGTTCCCATTTCCCATTCATAGTAAATGGAAAATGATTCCCATTCATAGTAAATGGAAAATGATTCCCATTCACAGGACTCAATCCCATTTCTATCCCAGAATAGCCCAGAAACAGAAATAGTAAGGTATGAATGGCCAGAACAACAGGAGGACCTTTCCTCTGAAAATCACTGAAGCACCAATCCTTTAAACCCATTTCTGCCAGTCTATAGAACCTGGAAAGTTACAGATTTAATACCATATAATTTCAACTGAACTGGAAATATGTGGTTTCTAACATAGTTTCAGGAGACAAATTTAAGGCTAACTCTTAAATTGAAAGAAATGCTTTCTAAAATTAGTAATTAGGGGAGAGAAAATACCCGCATAATTAGAAGCTCTACAACTTACTAACCTAACATAATATTATTTCCAGGATATCCTTTTTTGTCTCAATTATACAACTGTATTTCCTATTTTGAGCCATCCTTCATGGCATCTCCCCTATGTTACCAGTTAAACCTAAAAAACAGGCCATGACAGACTTTGGAAACAAAGCCTTTTTTAAATTCAGATTAAAAAATAAGAGAAGAGTTGCAACCAGAGAACCAATCACAGTGGGATACAGGAGCAGCAGTGATGGATGTGTTCCCCCATCCAAGGCAACATGGTAGTCAACCAGCAGGAAGGCCCTCCCTCTGCCACTCAGTGAGCACCTGAACATAACTGTCCTTTTCTCCATTTTCCTAATTCTTGCTTTATCAGTCTCTAAAATGAGAACAAACAGTATGTTCCCATTCTCCTAAAGAATATGTGAGAGTTGAGTAACTGTCTGACTTTTCATGAATGTTGAGTTCTGTGGTAGAAAAAAAAAATCACACTTTAGTACCACCCTCTGATTACTCCAATCTTTACCCGATCAGAGACACCGTTAACTACTAGTCCAGTTGCTGCTATATGTGTTTACATAATAGTTCAAGATGTGGACATTAATAAGCCAATTTTCCCATGAAAAACGTCCCAAACTACAGGACGACATCCCTCCCAATTTGCTATTAATTATGCCAATTGGCTTGAAACCTTAAAATCAGACCTAAAAATTCTACTTTTATCCCCTTTATTAAGACCCCATGTCCTTTCAATTCTGCCCTTAAAATATCTCCCTATATTTATTTCTTCCTCTCCACTCCAAACAAGAGCATCCTCTACAAATCACCCCTAGGTTACAGAAACAGACTTCAGCTAAATTTAAAAAGGGCATAAAAGATTACTTAAAATTATTTACTACTTAGAGAGAGCCTTTACAGTATTAATATTTTGGGAAACACCTTTTCAGACAATTCTCTCTAAAACTACCTACACATATATGGACATGTATACAAATTTACATTGTATTTCATATTCATCACATTGTATCACATAAGCATATTTATGTAAATTTGTACACTGCTTTGTTCATGCAACATTATATAATATCATATTACATAATTTAATTCTGAAATATCATTTTCTTTAGTTGTATTTCTTCACTGACCTTTTCCTACCCTTATTTTATAGAGAAATACATGTCAAAGTTATAGGTCTTACCTATGCTATGGAGTAATTTAATAACAATATTCAATGTCTTCCCAATCTTGCAAGTGTTTATCTTGTCCAATGTCAACCTATACTACTCTCCTATATTAGCCTCTTCATCAAAACAAACTTGGATCACTCATCACCTATCCATACTCTGAGTATTCCCACTACCATACATTAACTTGTATTTTTCCTTCTGCCAATAAGTCCTTCCTATCTCCTTGTGTGCCCTTCCTTCAAGGTTAAATACAAGTTCCACCTCTTCATTCATGTATCCCTTATTCATTCTGTCTTAGTCCATTTTCACACTACTATAGAAAACTCCCTGAGACTGGATAATTTATAAACAAAAGAGGCTTAATTGACTCACAGTTCCACATGGCTGGGGAGGCCTCAGGAAACTTACAATCACGGCAGAAGGTGAAGGGGAAGCAAGGCATTTCTTACATGGCTGTGGGGGGCTGGGGGTGGGGAACTGCCAAACACTTTTAAACCATCAGCTCTCCTGAGAACTCACTATCATGAGAACATCATGAGAAACTGCCTCCATGATCCAATCACTTCCCACCAGGTCCCTCCCTCAACATGTGGGTAAATACAATTCAAGATGAGATTTGGGTGGGGACACAAAGCCTAACCATATGACATTCATTCAACATATATTGCTATACATCTATGAATCAATGCTAAAGATTTAGAGTTGAACAATATACACACCAGCCCTGCCCCTAAGCAACTTACCAACTAATTGCCAAGAATGACACCTAAGCAAGTGATAACACAAAAATAAGATTAACATTAGGTCAAGATACATGACAGAAACCTATGGGGCACCCATCATGAGAACTTCCTTTGTGAAGCTTTGACAAGACATTCTTGCCCATAATGTCTACTCCCAGATCAGAATTCCTCTGCCATTTATTTATTACCTACGCTATTCATTTCAAAACTTACTCTATGCTTTCTTGCACTGTAATTAACTCTAGGGGACACGTCTTTCTCCCCCATTTAATGGTTATGTTCCTTACAAATAAAAACCCTCTTTATCCTTCTTCTGTATTGCTAGAAACTAGTATAGAGCCTTGCACAAAATAAATAATTTATTGTTACTGCTGCTGCTGTTGTTAACACTGGGAAATAAGAATTTGACTATCACTAGTAATTTCAAGCTTCTGATAAGAATGTAGAAGAATGTTTTAATCATTACAACTGTTCCTCATATCTCTAAGTTGTTTCCACTTACCTAAAACCTTTATTGAGACTTTCCTCCTTACTGAGCATTGCTATATGAAAACAATGCTGTGATTCCTCCTGATCAGTTTAGCAGTATTAGGCAAAAAGTCAACAAGCTTGATACCCAATGTTCTGAAATCCTTTGAAAAAGACAGAAAATATTTGCAAACTATGCATCCAACAAAGGTCTAATATCCAGAATCTATAAGGAACTTAATCAACAAGCAAAAAACAAACAACCTCATTAAAAAATGGGCAAAGAACATGAACAGACACTTCTCAGAAGCAGAAATACCTGCAGCCAACAAATATATAAAAAAACACTCAACATCACTGATACACAAATCAAAACCAAAATGAAGATACCATGTCACACCAGTCAGAATGGCTAGTATTTAAAAGTGTGGAGAAAAGGAACGCTTATATACTGGTGGTGAAAATGTAAATTAGTTCAGCCACTGTGGAGAGCAGTTTGGAGATTTCTCAAAGAACTGAGAGTTGAACTACCATTCAACCCAGCTATTCCATTACTGGGTATATACCCAAAGGAAAATATATCATTCTACAACACATTTACCCATATATTCACTGCAATGCTATTCACAATAGCAAAGACATGGAATCAATGCAGGTGCCCCTGAACAATGGATTGTACAAAGAAAATGTTGCACATATACACCATGGAATACTATGCAGCCATAAAAAAACAATAAAATAATGTCCTTGGCAGCAACATGGATGTAGCTAGAGACCATTATCCTAAGTGAATTAGAAACAGAACAGAAATTAGAAATTAGAACAGAAAACTAAATACCATATGTTCTTATTTATCAACAGGAGCTAAACACTGACACATGGACACAAAGATGGGAAAAATAGATACTGTGGACTACTAAAGGTGGGAGGGAAGGAGGCATGGGTTGAAAAACTACCTAGCGGGTACTATGCTCACTACCTGGGTGATGGGATCATTCATACCCCAAACCTCAGGGACACACAATTTACCCACGTAGAAAATCTGCACATGTACACCCTGAACCTAAAATTAAAGTTGGAAGAAAAAGAAAAAAAGAAATATTCAGCCTTGAAAAGACAGAACTGCTTGCTACTTTCTATAGCCATACCTTGAATTAAGCCTAGCTTGCTTGCTAATTTTTATTTCAGGAATGACAGCTATCAGTAAATGAACAGTAAAGTAACATTATCAATCAAATATAAATTGTGTTCAAGGAAAACAAAAGCACCATATTTAAATTGCTAAAAAAAAAAAAAAAAAAACCCACTAACATCATATTTACTTCTCCTGCCTATTTGGGAGAACAAACTATATTGACTGTTTTGCAGACATGTCAAGAGTATCTAAATGAAGGTTCACAAACAGTTAGAAAATAAAATATCTGGCTCTAATGAGTTATGTTCTGATTTATGTGAAATAAAAAGAAAAACAAACAAAAAACCTGGCACCACCTCTCAAGTAAAAAAAAAAATTACAAACAAATTGCTAACAAATATTCCTGATTGTTTTGACTAGAGCAAAGCTCTTGATAAGAACACCTTTCATTCTGAAATAAAATTACACTTAATGTGCTTTTTTGTATTTATCTAGATGAATATTTGAAATGCCTACTTTTTTCAGTTAGTTTTAACTCTACTGCACCTTACATCAGCCACTAACAGAAGTATTCTATAAGAAATGTAAGAATTACCATGGCCATGCCAATTCCACAATCAGAAAACTAGAGTGGCTCCCAATTGCTTCCCAAATGAATAATAAAATTACATATATTGGCATGTTCCTAAAACCCCTAGCTTTTCCTTTAGCTTAGAGGTTTATAACCTGGGCCCAAGAATGGGCCCCAGGTGTTGGTAAACCCCTTGAAACTGAAACTAACATTTTGCATGTTTTTATGCATTTTTCTAGAGGAAAGAGCCCAACATTTTCAGAATCCCACTGGAGTCTTTGACCTCAAAAAAAGGTTCACAACTATAATTTTAATATTCCCCTTTCATCACCTCTTTCATATTTAATGGCCCACAACCATTATTATTTCACAGATCTGGAATTTCTAGCAGAGTCAAGAAAAACTACCTACTTCCTTGTAGCAAGAGACATACAATTTCCTTCCCTTTATATGTCCTAACCCTCTCAGTAAGTCATATTTAACACTTTCTGGCTTTTCATTTCTCTCTGAAAACCTTTCACTTCTTCCAAAAAACCCAACAAACAATACCAAACAAAAGATGACACAACCCAAAAGTTTCAAATGATACTTCTTCCCCATTTCTGATGGCTATTCCACCTAATGGCACCACACAACTAGTGGTCAGCACACATATTTTAATGAATTAGTTAACCCCTTCTAGAAGCTCACTGCGTCTATTCCATGATTAAATGCCTATGGTCAATAATATATCTATGGTGAACAACCTAATGCTATACTTACTTAATCGTGGTGCTTCAGGACACTGAAGAACAACTAGTAGGAAAGTTAAGTCAGAACTGAACTTCTAATTCTGAACTTCTAAAAGTTCTAGCTGAGCCAGTACTTGCCACTGGCTAATCAAATCCATGTGATTGGGAGAGCCTTCCTTATTCTCTTAAAATTGAAGTCCTTACATTCACACAAGCTTTAAAAAAAATAATAACCTCTATTATGAGATATTAAGGTATGCATCTCTGTGTTAATTTATGTATGCTTTGAAGTAGCCAGATGCACAGTAAACAAACTAGAAGGAAAAAAGAAGTGTTTGGGGGAGGATACATTCAAATGGACTTTTCTCTTTGACGTACATTTTCACCCTTATTTCCTATAGAAAACTCATTTTTAGGGGCTATAGTTCTTCAAAGTGACTGCCTGGCTCAATCAGTTATGGCTAGAATATAAGGGTAACAACAATGATGACGATGATGGCTAATATTTATTGGGTACTTATGATATGCCAATTACTTCTCAAAGTGCATTTAGTGTATTATTCCCTTAATCTTCCCAACAATCACTTTGAGACCTAATAGTTACCTTTATTATCACCATCTTATGGATGAGAAATCTGAGGTACAAAGAAGTTAGATCTTTTGCTCAAGGCCACAAGGCTAGTAAGTGGAAGGGCCCACTTGAACCTGGGCAGTTCAGCTTCAGAACTAGTGTTCTTTGTCACTAGGCTATAATAGGTCCCCAGGTGAAATAATTTACCAACTTTTAAACTTCTTTTTATGTTTATAGGAATCAGACACTAACAAGATATCTGATATCAAGCCATCAAGATATATATTACAATATAAATTACTACTGACAATCTATATACATACTTAATTTACACTTTATTTTAAAAACAACATCTCTTAACAAGATAGAAATCTTTTAGGTTTATATGACAAGACAGTTGGGGTTGACAGTTTCACATCAGCATGAGTTTAATCAAGAAAACAAACCATTTTGAGTATGTACAATTGAGGGACTTTGATGTGGAGTTTAGTAGGTAATGAGGGAGCTGAGAAGTAAGACGGGATGGATGATGGGCTAATTTAGAGATTAGCAACAGCAGGAAGCCAATACCACCCCCTCAGGCTGGAGGGATACTGGGAGGAGACAAAGCTATCACAGCCCAGGGGTCCAGGTTTGTTTAAAGGTGGTTGGAGCCAAGGAGGAAATGCAGCCATGGCCAAGATGCTGCCCAAGGCAGACAGGGCAATGGAGCAACACCGACTTCAAAATTCCTACTGCCCTGGAGTCTCCTCCCAGTGCCTCCCAGCTGACGTGGATCCTGAGAAATGCCTGCATCCCTCTAAGATATAGAGCAGAGCCAAAGAAGGGTGAGGAATGGCTCAGAGTAACTGCACAGGTTTCCACCATGGCTTTATTACCCATATAAATAGTCCAAGTGGAATCCAACACTATCCAAGATTTAAAACCTCCCTAAGCCAAAAAAAAAGTCCATAAATTCACCAGATTTGTCATATTTCACTTATGTAAAATAGAAAACCAATTGTATTCTATTAATGTTCTTTTTGAAAGACTAACAGAATTTTACAAAATGTTATAAATTTTGTAAAAAAATTATTTTACTACCTTTGCATGAAAAACATTCTAAAAGACCCAAATACAGATGTCACCTTTAACTGAAGCTTTACCTGATAGGATATTTTACTTATCAATTGACCGCCTCTCTGTATTTATTGCACCAGACTCTAAACTTTCTTCAATTTTGCGATTAGATTCTAGTCTCAGAAAATGTTAGCAGGTGGGTATTCTTGTTCCATTTTCTGGAACATTTTGGCAGTGAAGTCTTTTGTTCTCAGGAATTATGATGTGATTGTCAGTAGACACTGCTGGTTGCCTGTCCAACAATCATTCCTCTCGCTCTTTCTTTACATCATAGTGATTTTGTATACACTCCTTCCCCAAATGCTACAAGGAAAAGTGAACCTCTTCCCAGACCCAGGGAATATATCTGAAAAGTCTATGTCTAAGGGAGAGGGAGAAATCAGAGAGTTTGTCCCCTAGGGAACATTTGGGAACATCTGGCAATATTTCAAACTTTTTTTTTTTTCTCGTCATACTAGAGGAGAGGCAGGGTGGCTACTGGCATCTAGTGGGTAGAGGCCAGGGATGCTGTGAAACATCCTACAATGCACAGGATAGCCCCACAATAGAGAAATATATTTAAGTGAGGTTCTTGAATTCACAGCCTCAGCATTACCTGGGAAATTATTAGAAATGCAAATTCACTGGCTCTATCCCAAATATGCTGAACCAGCAACCAGGATGGGATCTTGTATTTTAACAAGTCCCCAGTTGATTCTAACAAATGCTAATGTTTCAGAGTTACTGGTCTAAGGTTCCAGGGGTTAGCAAACTATGGCCCATGGGCTTACCACCTGCTTCTGTAAATTAAGTTTTACAAAAATACAGCCACATCCATTTATTTATTTATTTATTTATTGTCTATTGTTGCTATTACAGCAGAGTTGAATAGTTGCAACAGAGACCAGATAGACTGCAAAGCATAAAATATTTACTGTCTTGCCCTTTAAGAAAAAGTTTGCCAACCCCTAGAGCCAATCATGGTAATCTTATTTTTCTTGCCAGTTATTGGTTTAGGAATGGATTGCTTAGGAAGGCAAAGACTATTAGGATCAATAGGATGGAAGACAAATGTTGCTGGACATGAAGATGGGACATTAGGGAAAGCATTCCTTTTTGTTTGTTTGTTTGAGACGGAGTCTCACTGTCACCAGGCTGGAGTGCAATGGCGCAATCTCAGCTCACTGCAACCTCCACCTCCCAGGTTCAAGCAATTCTCTGCCTCAGCCTCCCAAGTAACTGGGATTATAGATGCCTGCCACCACACCCAGCTAATTTTTGTATTTTTAGTAGAAATGGGATTTCACCATCTTGACCAGGCTGGTCTTCAACTTCTGACCTCGTGAACCACCTGCCTCAGCCTCCCAAAGTGCTGCGATTACAGGAGTGAGCCATCACGCCCAGCCAGCATTCCTTATTTCTAAGGTATTTCTAAGGAGCATAGACAGAAAGAGATGTACTCCTTTTTCCTCTGGATATTACATCATCTGGATGTGATACTAGAACTGCAGCAGCCATCTCGCAATTACAAGGAAAGCCAGGTTAAAGCAAAAACAATATTCCAAAGATAAGAAAAGTGAGACATGGAAAGAACCTGATATTTATATGTTAAAAATTTTTCCCATAGTGAAGCTGTATTACTTGAGTAATAAGAAAAAAATTAAAGTTAAGGGGCAAAAAGACTGGATAAGAAGACAAGTCGGGGAAGCTGAATCCAAATAACCACAGAAGTTTTTAATTGCCTTAAGTCTGTTTTAGTGTATGTATGTTTGGATCCATAATCCATACAAATGTTAAAGTAAAACAATTCTGGTTTGAAGCAAATTAAATTTCCCCCCAACAACAGTGAAGAGTAACTACTTCTTCTTGCATTGTAACCAGAGCAATTTAAACTAACAGGCCACATGGCAGAAATATAATCAAAGGTTCACCACAGGGAACACACAGCACAAGCTCAGTATACTTGAAATCATTTTCTCCAAGAAATCAACAGCAACTAAAGAGACCACAATTTGGATTTTAATCATTTGAATTTGTGATATAACAAATCCAAATAGATATTTAAAATCTTCAAAGTGTAAACAACCTCATTTTCCACAGAATACAGCCCAGCATATATTTACGTAGTATACAATGCAACATCATAATATAAAATGAACCTGGCATTGGACTAGGTTCTAGAGACAAAAAAATAAATAAGATATGATTCCCTGCCTTTGAGCAGCTTATGTCTGGTGGGGAAAGTGATAAATATACACAGAGAATTGTAAGACAAGGAAACATAGCATAGAAGTTTGTAGAGTTTTATGGAAATGCAGAGGAGAGACAGATAATCTAGTTAGAATCAAAGTCAAGAGTATGAAAATATTATGGAAACTGTAATTTACCATGCAAATACAATGATTTTATAAGCTGCTGTGTGAAAAACTAGTATTTATTAAAATGTTGGCTGAGCGTGGTAGCTCAAGCCTGTAATCCCAGCAGCACTTTGGGAGGCCAAGGAAGGCGGACCATGAGGTCAGGAATTCGAGACCAGCCTGGCCAACATGGTGAAACTCCGTCTCTACTAAAAATACAAAAATTAGCTGGGTGTGGTGTCGGGTCCCTGTAATCCCAGCTAGTTGGGAGGCTGAGGCAGGAGAACTGCTTGAACCCAGGAGGCGGAAGTTGCAGTGAGCCAAGATTGTGCCACTACACTCCAGCCCGGGTGACAGAGCAAGACTCTGCCTCGGGGCGGGGGGGTGAGGGGGTGGGGTGAGGGAGGGGGAATTGTTGCATGCAGATACTTGTACAGCCAATTAATTTGAATGATATTATTTAAAATACTTTAGTCTGTAGGCAACATTTTTGTTTTTCAAAATACTATTCTTCCTAAAAGTTCATCGCACTTGGAGATTTATCTTCATTAATTTCTAACTGGTAGGGGAAGACATAATCTTTCAAAACTAACATTCCAAGGATGGTTCCAATTTCATGAATGACAAAATCTTCCCAAGTTCAAAGAAGAATCCATCCCAGAGCTGGAGCTCGGCAGGGCCATCCAGGGCCCACCTGGTCAACTTAGGGCCTGAGGTAAGGTAGAGGTTGGATCCAGGAACTAGATCAATACCCAGCCAAGTCACCATGAAGAAGAGTTCTTGGGATGAATCATTTTATTACATATTTGACCAAGTGGAAAAGCAATTTGTTCTGTGATTATGGTCACTGACACTGTTGACAATGTTTATCATGTGGCAAGTTCCACAAACAATAAAGTATACGTGTTCACTACAGGAAAAAAGTAAGGGTGGTTGAGAGAGTGGGGGTAATGCTACCGTATGTTAGGATCCAAGAACTACAAGATAAAAAGAAGCCATTTGGCCCAAATAGCTTACACAATTAAATATGCCATTAATTTCAACTATAAACTCTGCTTGTCGATGTATTCTACAATTACCTCTTTGCTAAAGAATCTCTCAAGCAGTTAACTAATGCCAGGCCTGCTAGGGACAGCCTGTCTATAAACACTACCTAACCTCCATGTTATCTACCATCATGCCCTCATCTAATTAGATCTGAGCAGTCACCCGGCTTCAAGCTTACTTATTACATTTGGCCCATTTACTAGAATTAGATACAGAATCTTCTCTGAGAGATATTTTCTCAAGTATTGCATAAGAAATCAGTGCTACATATTTTTCTGGAAAATGATCCTCCTTATGAATTTTGCTTTGCTATTATCCACTATAATATCAAAAAACAAATAAAATCCTCCATGATCAAGGTCTAGGCCTTTATCCAAGATTCTCATTTGCTCCTCATCTACTTCTTTTCCCTCAGAACTTAATAAACTTACCTGGACATCTTCACAGTGCTTTAGATATGCCTATTGCCTCTGAAGAAATAAAAATATCATTTCTCTGCAAGAGTCACTATTTATCCTTGAGCAATCACTCCTACACCCTCTGGCTTACTTCGCTAGTTCTCAGTCAGAGCCTACAGAAAGATTAGATGAATAAATGTTCCTCTAGAAGTTTCTCTGTCAGTCAAAAGGTCCTAAGAGGAAAGTGGGGTTTTTTTTGCCCTAAGAAATGACTAGGAGAACAATCCCTAGTGAGTAATTTTAGGCACTTGTGGTCAGAGGCAATCTGGCCTGAAGAAATCCTCAGCCTGAGCCACCATTACCAGTCTGCTCTACCAGCTGTGCGGAACCCTGGCTTCCCATAAAATCAACTTCAGTGACCTGGTGGCAGTTCATGGTTTTGAAAATTCCACTTTAAATGGAAATTTTCAAAAATGGTTCTGTTGCTCTGGTTTGCTGACAACCAACCTTTACAAATTTGGCAAGAACCCTCTGTTGCCCAGCTGCCTCTGATTTACTGTCCCTGGGCACAGTCTCCAGCGTGGCTGTTGGGCTCTATACAGCTAACACTGCCATTGCCTCTGGCAATGTGGTGTGGTGGAAAGCACAGTGGACAGCTAAGGAGACCTGGGATCAGTCCTGCTTCTGTCACTAATGAGAATGCCCTTCTAGATCTTAGTTTCTGCATTTCTAAGCTCCCTTCTAGGTCTAGTCATACTGTTGTTCCACCTGCAGTTATGAGCACCTACTATGGACTATACGTGTAGCAAGGGATACAAGTCACAAACCCCAGCCTCAGGGAGTTCTAATGATACTCTGACTCTATGAACAGCCAACTTGCCATTTTTTATGCTAAGACAAGAAATACTAATGAATGATAAAGCCAAAATCAATTCCAACATCTCATTTTGGCCAACTCTTTTTAAACTTCACCAACTTCTTTACAAACAAATAGGTAACAATTTTAGAATAAATGAAAGACCATCACTTGCAGCATTTCTTCCCCCATCCCACTATGACTGTACATTTAAAAATCAAGTAAAAGGAGGATGAAACAGGAGAAACAGCTTGGATAAGTCAGCAATTAGATAACTAGCCACTGGAACAACCAAGAGTTACCCAAGTTGATGCTGAAGGAAAACATACTTTTTAGTGATACCAGCTAAAAGTGTCAGATTATTCCACATGTGAAGATGTCACATTGAAGACTGGTTAATGAATAATCCGCAGGAAAATGAACCTGTATCAGTATGTGGCACGATGGCATTATAGAATCTACTATGTATCAGCAGTATCTATTTCTCAGCCGTTTTCTATCCCTCCCATCTTTTGAAAAGCCTACTCAAAACTCATCATCTATCCTCTAACCCCAGGACACCCCCCTGAATGAGTGTCCTTCAGGATGTCCATTTAGCTGCCCAGGTCTCCACAGAACACAGCTGGCCCAAGGATTCTCTTACATTATTCATGTGTTGCTTTGTGAACTTGTGTGTGATTGTTCTTCTACAGTGGACTTTAAATCCTCCAGAGGTAGTATATTATAACCCACGGTGAGCAGGCACTAAGTATTTTCTGCCTCCCTGGCTTTGCATCTTCTAAAGTCTATTATGCTAAGATATAAATCCAGTACAGCTTTGAAAATAGAGAATTCATCACTGATCGTTGGCATCGTACATATCAATAGAGGAACAAAGCTTGCTATTTTCACGGAAAATTGGAGGATAATCTACAAGAGAACAATAAATAGGGGTGGTAAAAAAGTGAAGGGGTAGAAATGGAATCTACGTTAGAAGATTAGGGAGAGAAGCTGAATAGCAATAGAAAAAAATATATATTTTAGAAGGTCCAGAAGTGATTTTTTTAAAAAATAAAAAACCTAGATTCTAGCTTCCCCTATAATTGAGTGACCTGTATCAAATCATTTTATCTGAGAAAAAAAAAGAATGCTGGTGTTCAATGTTTACAAAAATCTAGGAAACTAATATGAAAATAAATGTAAAAATCTGGAAAAAATATTCTTGTAATTCTATATTGTTATGAAAAGGCAAAGTAGTACCACAGTTGGATTTAGTACAATAAGCACTTCTTGAGGACCTGCCATGACCCCAGGCATTGTAGTAAGTCCTCAATTCCAAAGATGAGCAAGACATGGCCTCTACCCTCGAAGAGCTTACATTCTAGTTCCAAGCCCAACAAAGGCTTTCTCAGAACAAATTCAATTTAACACAGCAACATCTGCTATTAATAGTTATAGTAATTAAAATAAAGAAAACTTAAATGTGCTCATAAGTATATACTCTAGAGAAAAAGAAGATATTATTTTAAGAAAATCAAGACAACAGAGCCAGCTGGTTTGTTCAAGGTCATATCATGAGGTAAAGTGGAAGCAAAGAAAACACCCTAGGGCGCTTTGAGTTACAAACCAGGTTTACATGCTTTCTGGAACCAAAAAGGGCCAGGCAGCTTTCTTTTTCTTTCTTTTCTTTGTTCTCCTCTTTTTTTAACAGCTGGGAAAGTTGTGGGGTGAGGTGCTTGATGCAAAAAAGTTACTTTTTTGGCTTTGCTTAGTTTTGCAAAACTAAAAAGCATTTCAAATAGATATTGCATTGTTGCAGTTCATTTAACCCTCCAGATATTTTCCCACTTCGTCAACCATTTCATTCTGCATCTTAGTTAAAAAATATCTTCCCCTACTCCTTATCAATTTCTATACCATTTTCCATCTTATTTAGTAATGATATCCCTCCTGTCTACAGAAAGATAGGACTTTGTAATATTACAGTATATTCCACAGATATTTAGCCAAATAAAATTGATGTGGATGAAGAAAATGGCTATAAAGTCCATGAACTCATTGTCCAAATATAGAGATATCTGTGCACACTGATTTTACTGACTACTTCATGGGTCTTTTCTTCCTAGATAGGGGGAAAAGACATCATGGGCTACAATTTATGGCATCCCAGACATGGACAATCTTTTATCTCATTGCACTTGGTACAGATATACTACTCATCCATTCTGGGCTAAAGTGGTTTGGCAAACAATGCATTCCTCAGTCTCTTTATTCTCCCTCAGATTCGACCAATATACTGAATGGGGTGATGACCAGTCTGACACTACTTACCAATGCACAGTCAATCTACTCTACTGTAAAAGTGGTTATTAATAAAACCTCCAAAAGAGCAGATGACTTCTCAAAAAAGTAGTCTCTCACAAAAAAAAAAAAAAGGAATCAGTAGATTGAAGAGAAATCTGTATGCCTGTTTAAAGCAGCACTATTCACAAGAGCCAAAATATGGAACCAACCTAAGTGTCCACCAATGGATGAATGGATAAAGAAAATATGATATATATACACAATGAAATACTATTCAGTCACAAAAAAGAATGAAATTCTGTCATTTGCAGCAGCATAGCTGAGGCTGGGGGGACATTAAATTGAAATAAGCCAGGCACAGAAAGACAAACATTGCATGTTCTCATTCATATGTGGGAACTAAAAAAGTTGATCTGATGGAGGTAGAGAGTAGAATGATGGTTATCAGAGGCTGGAAAGCATAGTGGGGAGCAGGGCAGGCAGAGAGGTTGGTTAACGGGAACAAAAATAAGTTAGAAGGAATACATTCTAGTGCTTGATAGCACAGTAGGATGATTATAGTTTGTTATATATTTCAAGATAGCTAGAAGATTTCAAATGTTTTCAACACAAAGAAATGATAAATATTTGAGATGATGGATACCCCAATTACCCTGGTTTGATCATTAATACATTGTATACATGTATCAAAATATCACATGTATCCCATAAATATGTACAATTATTCTATATTAATAAAAACAGAGTGGTCTCTGAATGCAGATCAGAAATGAAGGACTCAAGCACTTATCACTGTGTAATAGGGTCAGCCTTCATTGCAGAATATAAAATGAAGCCATTAGAACAGTTTTCTAATAAGTATTGAAAAATATTTGGGCTTGAGACAACTTGATTTGACTCACTGTGTCCACACGGCCTTCATTAATTCTAGGAGAGTCTTCTTCCTCACTACTTTACCTAGCTATTTTATCTACCCCCGATCTCTCTCTTTTCATCTTCTTCCTCCTACTATTTTCTAGAACACTAGAGTAAAAGAACATATATATCTTCCAGTAGCTAAATTTTTCCCTAAAAAATAAATAATCACTTCAACTTTTAGATCACAGAGCACATGGCAGGCTGGATCAATTATCAGCAAAGTGATGAACAAAATTATCTTAAAGGTGACCATGTGATCTTCTGCCAGGGTCCAGGCCAACTCAGTGAATTAACTCCATATTTAGATTTCAGCTTCAGCACTGTGTTGATTTCTCTTATCACTTGCTTCCTCCCCCACATGAACAAAAAGTGTCACATTTTCTCCTCACCAGTGTTTCACCTAGGCACCCCAACTACTCAGAATCTGTTAGAATTTCTACACACTAAAAGATCCATATCATTTATTATCTTTCAGTACAAGAAATATCTATTTTTTTCACTGCTAATTCTGATTCTCAATTTAATTTCTACCACCTAAGGATGATCTAATGTTATGTGCAATTTGTGTCCTTAGGTAAGGACAGAAGATTAACACATTATATAAAGAGTAGTTATAAAACAACTACAATAGTGGAGGTGGCGGAGTTGGGGGGTTCCCACAGCACTGGTGAATTAGTGAAAAAGGAGAGGGCATTAGCGAAAAACAGGCCAATTAGGTCAAAGTGCAAAAAATATACAAATGAACTAACAGACTTATTTGTGTAAACTAGGAATAGGAAATCACAAATGAATTAAAGTTAAATCTTGTCTAGCCTCATAGAAAATCGATGGAGATAACACAGGGTCTGGGATCTCTAATGGTTTTAAATAGAGCTGGAAGGTGATATAAACAAACAAGGATATAGCATGTCATTCTGGGTCTAGTAAACAAACTAGAACTAAAAGAGATGTTTTGGTAATATCAGTAACTGAGCAAGCAGACAACCTAGAGATACTACATGCAATGTTTCCCCCCAGAATCAAGTCCCCATCTCTAAGGATGGGTGCAATAAATGTCTTCAGACCATCTTTAATCACAGCCTCCGCCCCCACTGAAAAGGTAACCCATATTCTCTTTAAAGATCAACAGTCCTTGAATGTTTGTTATTCAGTTGTCATAGTAAGGAGTTTGGTTGTCATAAGAGAGAGAGAGAGAGAGAGAATGAATGAATGAATGAATGAATATGAATGAATGTGTATTGTGGGAGGAAGGGGTCCTGATACTTGGGAAGCTACATCAGAAACCGGCTCACCCTTGACCTCTGTGTATACCACTCTCTCCCTCCAAGATTTCCACACTGAGGCAGAGCCTCTAATAAACCCATGCTTGTGACAAAGTCCCTTGGTCAAATACATGCCACTGGACTTCCCTCTGTATCCGCCTCTGACTTATCAACACTTGGCATTGTCCTATTCTTTACTGGTTACAAAATGACTCTTCAACTGCCATTTATCCTTCTTTTTTTCCAGTGTTTTTCTGACTTTTAAGGATCTGAAATGTGATGTCATGATTCTTACTCTTCCACTCAGTAATTAATTGGTGTTTTTCAAGACTATCATTACTCCAGCCAAGATATGGAAACAACCGAAGTGTCTGCAGACAGATGAATGAATAAAGAATAAATGGTATGTAAACACACACACATATATATACACACACATACACAAAAGATTATTATTCAGCTTTAAAGAAGTTAGCCCTGCCATTTGCAAGAACGTGGATAAACTCAGAGGATCTTATGTTAAGTGAAATAAACCGGGCGGGCCCAGAAAGACAAATACTGCATGACCTCACATATATGCAGAATCTAAAGAAGCCAAAGTAGAATGGTGGTTGTCAAGGGCTGGAAGGTGGGGGAAGTGAGAGAATGTTGGTCAAAGAGTACAAAAGTTTAGCACTTATTCATGGAGGATGAATAAGTTCTGAACATCTAATGTACAGCATGGTGACTATAGTTAATAATACTGTATTGTACGCTTGAAATTTGCTAAGAGAGTTGATCTTAAGTTTTCCACTACACACAAAAAAATCTAACTGTGAGTTGATGCATATGTTAACTAGTTTGATGGTGGTAACCATTTCACAATGTGTGTATATATATATATATCTCTCTCTCAAAAAATGTTATATACTTTAAATATATACAACTTTTATTTGTCAGGTACACTTCAATAAAGCTGGGGGACAAAGACTACCACTACTGCTAGTTAAATGATCTTCCTTGATTTATATCAACTTGATTCATTTTTATAGTTCATCAAATATAGTAAGAAATGAAATCCTTTTTATTGCTAGAAAGGGTATTTTTTCAAGTTAATAGTCCAGTTAACTGTCAGCAACAAAGCAAGAAAATAATAATATATAGTGATAGCAGCTGACATTTATTGAGCATTTAGTATGTGCCATGCACTGTTCTAAGTAAACATGTATCCATATGTATTAACTCAATCCATACAATAACCTTACAAAATGAGGCTATTGTCACCACACTTTACAGATGAGAAAACTGAGATATAGGCAGTAACATGTCCAAGGACATACAACTAATAGGTGAGAGACAGGATTCAAACCCAGATAGGTCACAGAAAGGGATTTATAATTCAAAACCAGACACTTTTGAGAGAATAAGAGTGCACTGAAATCCGTTAATATTTATAGAGTGTTCATTTTATCTTTTTAATATAAGAAACTGCCAAAGAAGGAACAATCCTTCACTGTATTAACTAAAGTACTTTGGGCAAAATAACATTCATGTTTCCCCTGCTGGCATTCCTCTGCAGGTGTGCAGTTCACAGTGCCCCACCCACCACAACTCCACCCCAAGAAGAGATCTGCATTGGGAAATTTTACACGATCATAAAATAAATATGCCTCATGAAAGCATTAATGAGAGGAAGCTGAAAAAAAAAAAGAATAAATCATGTTTTTTTTTTTCCTTACAGACACTAGCTTTCTAGCACCAAAAAAGTATTACCTCCAAAGCAAAATTAACAGGAATTACCACAGATCCCATCTCTACATGCTGCAAAACAACTGAGACACGTACAGGAACTCTGGCTTTTATGGAAGAACCAACAAAATTATTAAAGAACAACATAATCAGCAATTAAATTATAATATCTGATTAACTGACGTACCATCAGTAGCACCTGGGGTTGGCAGAAAAAACAGTAAATAGTTAAAAAGAATGATGGTGGCACGCGTCTGTAGTCCCAGCTACTCGGGAAGCTGAGATGAGAGAATCGATTGAGCCCAGGATATCAAGGCTGCAGTGAGCCATGATGACACCACTGTACTCCAGCCTGGGTGACAGTGGAAGACCTTATCTCAAAATTAAATTAAATTTAAAAGGAAGTGTTTCTAAGTCTCGATTTCCTCATCTGTAAAATGTTCATTATAATAATAGTTATGTAATAGACTCATGAGAATATAATAAAATTAACTGATAAATGTGCTTTATAATATCAAATATTAATTAAATATATAATATAAAAACTGAGAATGAAATCACTAGCACTTTTTATTTACAACCTAACAGAACAATCTGAAAAAATCAGTGTATCTTCCTATACTCCAGTAGGAAAAAAATTATTGAACAGATGTTATTACATTTTCATTTGGATCATCTAAATGGAGACCTTTAAAAATTCTGGTGAAAAACTGAAGTTTAAAGCAAACTAGTCCTCACTCCCTCCCCAAAAGTCTTTACATAATTGTAAAGAAGTTTTCCAGTTTCATATCCATTACATATTTATTATTCTCATTCTGTCTACTGTGAAGAAAAGAGATATTACTCCTATTTTACAGAAGAGAAAATAAAGCCAGGGAGTAAGTAGAAAACCAGGAAATCCCAAATCTTCTGATCTACAACCCTTAGTTTTTAAAATTACCCCAGGTTACCAAAAAATAGTTCCCTCATTTTCGTAAGGCTCATGTTTGTTTTATCTTGACCTAGCTTTTCTGATAATGTCTGTCTTTAGTTAAATAAAGCTAATGTTTTTCAAGTATATTAGCATTTTAAGCAATCCTATTAACCAAACCAGACAGTCAAATTTATAAAATGAATTTCAGTAAGCATTACACAAATTTGGATATATTATAAATGATGTATGATTTTAACTTAACAAAAAATTTAGAATTGCCATTTAAAAGCACAAAATACACTGTATTTTAAAATTAGCACATCTAAAAATACTTAAGGACATTATACTGTAAGATTTGTCTACCTCACTGAACAACAGGCAATGGATACATCCAGAAAAATATTACATTATTTTAAAGTTTTCATATACCCACATAAAACATAAATGTCAACTCAGAATTTCAGAAAGGGGTGGGTTGATAGGAGATCAAATTTAAATTTTAAGTTTAATATTTCCATAAGTGAATGTAGGAACTTTACATTTGTTTAATATTTGGTGGGTCTCATTCTCTTCTGCTTTGGAAAACAGAATAGCTTAACTGTCTAAAATACTTAAAAAACATGATTTTAAAATTTTGTTTACAATCTGGTTGCTATAAACCCGATTGTACTAGCTGAAACTTGTTCCAGTGTAGAGGAATCTGATTAGCTTTATTTCAGACAAAAATAAGAGACTAAGAGAAGTGTAAAAGCACATCCTGGCTCACAGAGATACTGTATAAACTCACAGTCCAGAATCACAGAATTTTTAAGACTGGAAGGGATCATTGTAACAAGGAAATATTTTGGGACCCATTTCTCCCACTAATCTAAACAAGACAACTATTTTTTTTTTCTTTCACAAGTTTCCTAACTGAAACTGGATCTACAGAGCAAGATGCAGGCATTCCCCCTATCAAAAAGTTAATGTAGAAACTCCCTTTGCTATTTCACTTCTGCATACACAATGCCAGCACAATTGGTTACAAAAGGAAAATCTAAGCTGTTGCCTGTCTGTGTTTTGGTCTACGTGACGCTAAGCAAGGATTTTGGTTTGGTTTTGTCAATTGTCTGTCTGTTCAGCTGCACAATAGCCTCAATCCTCTGGCAGTGATAACTAAATACAAAGAGAGCCTGGGAATACCACTCCCTTTAAAAAGTCTTGGCAAATCTCATCAAACTACAGGTCTATTACTTTTTAGGCAGACCCTCCAGGCCTCCCCAGATCTATTTAGCTGAGCACACACCCTTATTTCACCCATTCACCCATTTTCTCCTAGCTTGTCCCTACTGTCCTAAGTCCTAAAATGTTTAACGTGCAAAGTGATTGTAGTTAATCTACTCACTCAGGTTTCCTTTAAATATTTCCTAACTTTAAATATCCATTTTTTAAAAAGTGGACAGAGTATGGCTTCATGACTGCTTCTTGAGAAGACCACTCTCATTTTGCAAAAAGAGCTGCCCATCCAACATGTGTCCTTTTGCCCTTCCTGGGTAACCTGAATTTGACTTATTCTGAGTAATATCCCTCATTTGTATGGAGTAGGTTTGGAAGAACCCACTCAGAATATTTAAATATTTTCCATAAGCATGTGCCTAAGTTCATTTTTTTAAACTTCATTTAACCGCAAGTAGAACTTACCACCACTTTTTCTGTCACTGCCAGAAATAATGTGAACTACATACATTAGGAACGTTTACAGTTTCAAATTCAGCTACTGTGATTTTCCAAGTCAATCTACTGTAATATTTTTTACAGTCACCCTAGAGTGTTTTCAGAAATATGCAGCCATTCATGGGGGAACATTTCTGATATCTAATAATTGTGGCAACTTAAGAGTTAAATTTACTCTGTGCCATCTTCCAATGCCACGTCTCAACTATATTACTGCATTTACAAACTGACATTATATTTCTTGTCAAAAAAACTTTACATATTTCCTCAATCAATGAAATGATTACAAGGAAAGCCTGACCAACTTCAAATGTAAATATATCTGGGATACAAAAGACAGTCATGGCTAATGATCCAAATTTGGAATATTTTATATGTTTAACACAAGGAGAACATTTCATAATAGGAGAAGCTAACAAGGAACAAGTATTATCCCAATAAAACATTCTTGTGTAATCAAACTAGAGTCAAGGTTTTAGATTTTGATTTAGTTTATTATTTAATAATTAACCTAGTGTTCCTACCCTACAAAAAAACTATACATCTTCATGTTTGAATATCATAAAGATGTCAAATAAAGAAATGAAATTAAAACGACCTTAGATATGGGAAGAATTAGCTTCACCAGCACTTAGAAAGCAATACAAACTGACTGCTGGTTGCTAAAATTAAAAACTGCAGAATTCAAACACTATTTCTGAATGTACTTGGTAATGAGATATGTCATGTGAAGTTAAAAGGGTCCAAACTAAAAGACTATCTTTTTAGGCAAATCTTCAAAAACCCCAGCAACATGACAAAGAAGAAAAAAATTAATTCTATTTCATAGGTAACTGTCAAATGCAGATCTCTTTTCTTCCCATTCAGAGTAAATATTTATTAACTCCATAAATAAAGTGTTATTGAACACTCAGCCTAATTTTTTAATTTTTGTTTCATTTTCATGAAGTCATATGGAAAATAGATACTGTGCCCGAACATTTAAATTGACTTCTGCTATCTTAGGGAAGAGCTAGTTGTCTTAGAGCGGAAGACTAGAAATTAAAAGCCTGGAATCTTTTTCTGAGAGTCTTACAAACTCTCCTGAGATGAATATGGAAATTATCCAAAGTTTTTTTTTTTTAAGTAACTTTGGAAAAAGTGGTGGATATGTTAAAGAATAATCTATTTTTAATAACAAAAATCAAAGCATTGAGGAAAGTATGTTTCCAAATTGAGCATTTTGATTTTGATAATGAACATAAAGTTAGGAATAGCTTTTAAAAATCATTCCACTGCTGTGGAAGACCACTTGGCTGTTCCTCAAAAAGTTAAACATAGAATTACCATATGATCCCACAACCCTACTTCTAGGTATATACCCAAAAGAACTGAATACAGGTACTCAAACACATACACACATGTTCATAGCAGCTCTATTCACAATAACCAAAAGGTGGAAATAGCCCAAATATCCATCAATAAATGAGTGGAAAAACAAAGCATGGTACAGCCACATAATGGACTATTATACAGCCATAAAAAGGAATAAAGTACTGCTACATGCTACAAAGTGGATAAACCTTCAGCACATTATGCTAAGTAAAAGAAGTCAGATGCAAAGATCACATATTGTATAATTCCAATTATATGAAATATCCAGAAAAGATAAATCCATAGAGAGAGAACTCAGACTGGTAGTTGCCAGGGTCTAGGGAAATGGGTTAATGAAAGAAACTGCTTATTGGGTAAGGCGTTTTACTTTGGAGTGATGGAAATGGTTTAGAACTAGATAGGTGTAGAGATCATACAACATTGTGAATGCATTAAATGTCAATGAATTCTTCGCTTTAAAATGATCAATTTTATGTCATGTGAATTTCATCTCAAATTATTTTTTTAAATGCTACATCACCAAAACTTCTGATGATATAGAGGACAGTAATGTTTGGAAAAATACAGACATTGACAATTCTATGTTTAAAAGTGATCCCAAATAGACTCTGAATGTGAAAAAAAAATTAAGAATACCTTGAACAAATTATTTTGCTTGTATTTTTCTTTATATGTCTATTTAAGTGTGATAAAACATAAAATTTTGTCTAAATCTTAAGAGTTTTTCAGTACATAAAAAATATTTAATAAGAGAAAATATTCATTTTAAAATCAAAATTATTTTCCCTTGTACCTAAAATGGTTTAAAAATCAACAATGCTACTTAAAGAGAAAACCCTGACAGGTTACGTCAATCAATTATGGGCATAGAAGACAGTTTTTGAAATAAACAAAGCAGTTAAAGATAAAGCCAAGAAATTCCAGAAACTATCTTAGGAGAATTTAAACCTTAAATTTCTACAGAGATATGAACATTACCCAAATGAAGGACTATCAGTTTAACGTAAATCACAATAGAACTCTTTTAGCCAGGTTCATCATTATGCAGATTTTCACACACTTCAGAACAAATTATCGATTTGTAGACAAGGCAGGATTAAGTGCCTTTCAGCTGTAGGAGGCTATGAAATAAAACTAAATAAAACTACATATGGTAAAAAGTGTACAATAACAAAGTCGCTTTAAAGTAACAGTAGTCTCAAACACCATCAGTATATTATAAAAGCAATACATTTTACAATCCATGTTATTGCAGGTTTCATTTAACTTATAAAGATTCATTTTGAATTTCAATATTACTTGGGTAATTAGAATGTTCCATGTAAGCTCAAACATAAGAAAAGAATTTTTAAAGTACACTTATATAATATATGGTAAAGACCAAGTTTTAAAAACTGGTCTCATTAACAAATTAAGCTTAGATTTTGGAGTTTAAAAAACTAAGTGCCAATAAGCACACCTAATGCCCAGATCTTGGTTTCTTCAATAAAAAGACCAGGGCTCCTTGGAGAAATGGCTGATTCCAGCAGGGGGCAAGAGATATATAAGACAAACCTGGAGCAGCATGTAGTGCCAGAGAGTAAGGAAGTGCTCAAAACAAAAACTCATTTTCAGTGCAAAGGCACTGAAATGAGATATTTTGAATATCTGCTTGCACAAACTGGCTATGAATTTGTAGAGACGGGCCACTTCTTTTAAATGCCTTTTAATTTCTTCCTATAGAGCAGAGCTTCTCAACCTCAGCCCTGTGGACATTTTGGGCTGGATACTTGTTTGCTGTGAGGGCTGCTCTGCCCTCTGTAGGAAGTTTAGCAACATCACTGGCCTCTACTTACTAGATGCCAATGGTATCCTCTCCCTTCTCCCCAGCTGTTACAATCAAAAATGCCCCCAGACTTTGCCAAATGTCCCGGAGTCTCGATCATCCCACTCCCAATTGAGAACCACAGCTCTAGAGAAATTTCCAAAATGCTGAGCAAAATAAAACATGATAGTTAAAACAAGCAGAACAATACCGCAAGATTCTGGCTGGCGTTAAAGAACAAGCAAAGGGAAGAGGGATCTCAATGGAAAGGAGTTCGTTTTGTCTTCTTGAGTGTTTATTTTCTTCTTTCCTCTTCAGTAATTGGCAATAAGGCCCTTTTAATAACTGGTTTAACACTGTACTCCTGATCCCCTAACTTCATTCCCACTGCTGCCAACAAGCCTCATGGCAGAAAAGAAAAAAGCCCTAGTGTTTGACACATTTCACAAAAGCTGTCCTTCAAAGACACTTGGTTGAGAAGTAATTTAATTAAAGACAAGGACAACAGCCTGCCAGTTAAACTCAGAAACACCAAATAAGGAGGGTGCTACAGTTTCTGGAATCCCATCTTTTCTGCTACTAATAAAACTCACTGAGCCCAGAGTACTAAAAGAATTGTCATAATGTATTCGGGGTGTGAAACTGAGAAATGTTCACCTATTCCAGTGAATCACTCTTCCATAACATTTGAAAAGAAGTGCAGTGTACTCCCCTTGGGCAAACACCTGTTTACAAACAGGAACATACAATTAACAGAGACTAGTTCCTTTTACACCCTGTGCCAAATTCACTGTAACTCATTTGGCTTCTGCCAGAATTGGATTCTAATCCTTTGTTCTAGACCATTAGCTATAATCTTTAGCTTCTTGTTTGTTACTTATTTTAGCAAAAAGCAGAGAAAGATTTTCCGCAAAGAAAAACTGGCACAGAATAGTTAATATAAACACTCCCCAAAGTGGTAAGGTAATCCACAAATGGACTAGAAATTTAAATGAAAGTCTAATTATATATACTGATACCATATACTCTCAAAGAAGAAATCTATGGAACAAATGAACAAACAGGTACATTGGGATGCTGTTCTGAAAACTTTATTCTCAAAAATACTAAAAGAAGCCTGTTTTTATCTTTTACATTTTTTCTCTCATTCAAAAAATCAACTTTTTACATTTTTCAGATGTGTTCCATTCAGCCTTTCCTCGGATGACTTTCACATTTCTTCTTAAAGAGTGATATAAACAGTTTTGCTAAATCAGACATTTTCTATAATAAGCATTATTCAAAAAACAAAAAAGTGCACAGAGTCATCCAGGCCAGACAACTGTCTCTTTTTGTCTCTTTTAAAAGCACACCTGAGGACTCCATTTAAATTGGATAGTGCTGATCTCAGAGCAGAACCAGCTAATTGTCTCAGAGCTAAAAGACTAGAAATTAAAAGCCTCAAACCTTTTCCTGATCCTGCCACTTGCTGTGTTACTTGAACGTCACTTAACCTCTTCGGACTTTTATTGATCTATAAATGGCAACTATTTGGCAAACGATAGGGTGATTTATGGAATGGGCACTTTAAGAGCATTGACTAAAAGTGGTTAAATTAAAAGTTAAGTTGTATTTTTAAACTCTAAATAGAGATATTGAGGTCTTTAACACTCTTTTCAGACACAATTTCCTGAAAGTTTCTTTTTTACAGATAAATATATCATGCTTCCAGACAAACTAACCTTGAGTTCAAAATCATCAGCTAGCTAAGGAAAATTCAAAAGACTTTTCATCCTAAGATACCATACATGTTTTCCATATATTCTGTGAAGTATTTTAGTGTAAATTATATCTTATTCCATCAACAAGTAAGTTTCAGAAGGTATCTGATCTCTCAACATACAGAAATGAATACGGTGACATTTCTCATTGAGTGACTATAGTGACAGTGCTTATTAAAACAATAACATGACCAAGACCCAAGAGTCCTTTTTCTTTGGTACAGAGAAAGTCTTAAAATCTTACCCTCAGGACAGGTGGAATAAAGGTCCTGAAATCTTCCTATCCTATTTCTCAATATTAAGAGACTAGTTTTGTAGAAGCGGAAACTCCTCTACATAAGCATAAGCTAATTTATTTCATTCTTGACGTTGTTCTTGTACCTCAGGAAAATATGTGGTCTCTTGCCAATAACACACAGTATTATAAGGCTGATTGCTTCCGTGACTCATTAATCAGCATGTCCCATGCATCTTCCAGAAAGATGACCCTCGGTGTAAACAATGTCTAAAGAGACCCACAGAAGCCAGAGAAGAGGGCAAAAGGGTAAACCCTAATCTCTCTCCCAAAGGACTAGCTTTAAAATAGTCTGACGTACACGTATGGCCCCCTCTTAGGGGCCAAGTAGACATTTTCCACCTTGCACCATGGTGACCAAATCTCACCCCCACTTACTCCTTGTCCCACTTAATTAATCCTCATCCCACTTAATTAACAGTGCTACTCATTTGTTCTACAGATGTTTTCTATTTAGGAAAACCAACTAATGATCAGAATCAGTTATAAGAAGTTAATCAATAATCCTTCTATTTATGACTGATTTGTTCTATTTTAAAACTTGAACTGTTTGGAGATGTTACATCTTGTCACTTTTTAATCAAAGTTCCATCTGACACTCTGTAAGAGATGTAGGGATATTATTTAGTAGCATCCTACAACATTCATGGCTTTGTTATCCATGACAGCAAGCCTGAACTTTCCATTCTATCTGAAAGAGACACTTATTTACCCATATCTAGGATATAGAAAAAAAAATACTTAGGGGAGAGGGGAAAAAATGAAGAAAGTCCTCGTTTAAATTCAGGTTTTGTTTTTTTAACTCAAAAACAACCATAAAACCCACCTAGAACAAAGCAAAAGAGAGTTTTCTAATTACCACTTAAAAATAACTTTGTATTAGACTAATATAAATTAGTACAGGCACAGGTTTAAGAGGAAAGACTGAAGTGAAGACAGCATCTTATTTCTTTTATTATCTACCTTTCCTTGCATTCATTACAAGTATTACAGCAACACAGCCGCCACATTGTAAATGATGTTTTCTTAATTAAATGCACATTTTTTCCTTCATTATGGAACAAATTCTAGAATTTACATTCAAATTCAAAGCCTATGGGAAATTCAACATTACCTAGCAGTTTAAAGGATTTCAAATTACAGCTCAAATTTGTTTAAATGTACATTATTCCCAAATCAGTTCCAAGACACTCAGTCCCCATCCCTCTGTGTACTATAAAAATATCTGTTATTTCTATGATTAAACAAAAATTGTTCACCAAAGGACACAAATATTACATAACACTCACATCTTGGCTGATGGGCTTTATGTGTGTGCACATGCGTGTAGGACCCCATGCCTCTGCTTTGAGAGCTAATTTTTCCCCAGCACAATAATTTCATTATCTCCACATATTCCAGATATTTCTGAAATTGCTTGTTATCAAATATAAAAGGCAGGCATAGTGACTTACTCAATGGCACTAATAAACAATTTCTTCTTTTTTAATATCGTAACAATATGTTGGGCCAAATAAGCAACCACTTATCATTAACAGCTCTGTTAAAAAGAAACACAAGAAAGGCCAACCCAGATTTTTCTTATTAATACAATCCTCTGTAGTTCTGATCTTTGGTTAGCTGGGGACCCAATTCAGACACGGCCTTTTTAAAGAAAATCAGTACCCTAATTACCACACCACATGGGGGTGTTTTCACCATTGATGGTTTTCCAGCCTCTAATGCCATAGTCACCTGTTAATCATTGGTGCGGGGATAGTTTTGGTGAAGTAAAGCCTAGGAAAAGCCAGACCAACTTTGTCAGATTGCCTTGAGTAGTGGGACATGAAGGCAATATTTTGAAATAGGAAAAACGAAAAACAAAAAAGAAGAAGGGATAACTTGTCAAGAATTTCTTTCTGGGTTAGTAAGCTGACTTTCTATAAAATATGAACAAATTTTCTAGTCAGAGGAAGATTTTACCTGGAAAATTTTCCCTAAAAAATTATGAAGGACAGCAGTAGCCCAGAATCGCTATCTCATCTCAGAAACTGAGGTTTCCTGACAGCAAAGACAACTACAGAGGGTGGACTTTGTGTCTTACGTGTTCCCTCCCACTACAGTACCAACAGCTCTGAGGTACCACCATCACGTCCATATTTTACAGATGAGGAACTGAAGTCTGAGGAGGTCAAGTGATTTGCCAAGGTTTTCTCATCAGGGAGTGACAGAGCCAGGGAACAACTGTGTACCAAGTACTCAAGAACAATAAAAGCAGCTAGCATTTATTGAATACTCTGCATATATCACCTCAACCTCACAACATGATAAACTGGATATAACTGGGATTGCTCCTCCTTTACAAAAGAAAAATGAATTGTAGGGGAATTGTCACTTGCCAGTGGTCTTACAGCTCATTGGAACTGCTCTTACACCAGAAAGATAAACGTTTGCCTTGGGCTCTGACTTTTGAGAGGCCAGAATGGGGTCCACTCCTGGCCAAACTCCTCCCCACAGGGAAAGTTGTCTATAAAACCAAGGGGATGTACAAAGAGACTGCACCTTCCCTTCTAAATATGTTCTTTTTAGCACAGAATTCCCTGCCCAAACTGCCCCAAGTCTACCTTCCAGGGCCACTCCTGAAATCCTTCCCCAGGACTCACTATATAGCAGGTGTGCACAAGCCTACATCCATCTACCTAACAGTGCAGTAGCCATTATGATTGAGGTGTCTTGACCCCAGGTCTCGAAATGAATCATGATTTGTCTGAGCCAATCATGATAATCCCATCCTCTTGGCAGTGACCTGTTAAGGAACTTGGCCTAAGCCACTTAATCCTTCTCCAGTATCAAAGATTATTTCCAAAATGGACAAGTGATAAAATACAGGCCAGAGAGAAATAAGGAAATGTCTGCTGGGAGCTTCTTGGAGTTTATTTCCTCTAAGAGTAAGCCTTTGGATAGTGTGTGCAGCTGTGAGGTCCAGCACTGCCATAGACATCTCACTACTACCAGCCTGAGGGAGAAACCAAAACACAGAGGAAGTCAAAGCCAAGTGAGTGATAGGGCAACAGAATAGAAACTACTGGATTAAAAACAACTCTGAATCCTCTGGACTTGCAGTTATATGAACTCATACATTTCTTTATTGTTTAAGCCAATCTAAGTTGGGTTTCAGTTATTTAAAGCCCAAAGCATCCCAAATTAGTAGATTCTCAAAGCCCATGTATGATATTGCCTCCCATGCAGGGCAGGAGATGGGGGAGGACCAGAGGCAGCACTCACCCCCAGGGAAGAGACCCCAAAGGCTACTAAGCCATGTTCCATCCAGAGTAACATGTATAGTTGACACTTGAACAATGAGGGGATTAAAGGTGTGACCCCCACACCCCGCCATGCAGTCAGAAATCCATATACAACTTTTGACTCCCCCAAATTTAACTACTAATTGCTTACTCTTGACCTGAAGACTTCCCAATAACATAAACAGTCAATTAACACATATTTAATATATGTATTATATACTGTATTCTTACAATAAAGCTAAAGAAAAGAAAATGTTAAGAAAGACATAAGGTGGCTCATGCCTGTAATCCCAGCACTTTGGGAGGCCGAGGCAGGCAGATCACCTGAGGTCGGGAGTTGGAGATCAGCCTGGCCAACATGGTGAAACCCTGTCTCTACTAACATACAAAATTAGCCGGGCATGGTGGTGCATGCCTGTAATCCTAGCTACTCGGGAGGCTGAGGTAGCAGAATTGCTTGAACCTGGGAGGCAGAGGTTGCAATGAGCCAAGATCGTGCCATTGAATTGCAGCCTGGGCAACAAGAGCAAAACTCCATCTCAGAAAAAAAAAAAAAAAAGTCACAAGGAAGAGAAAATACTGTTCATTTAGTGGAAGTAGATCATCATAAAGGTCTTTATCCTCATGGTCTTCATGTTGAGCAGGCTGAGGAGGAGGAAGAGGAGCTGGTTTTACTGTCTCTGAGGTGGCAGAGGCACAAGAAAATGAACATATAAGTGGATCTGTGTAGTTCAAGCCCATGTGGTTCAAGGGTCAACTGTATTTACATCCAGCCTGACACTATCAGCAGAGCAAAGGCCATTTAGTACCTTCTTCCCTTTAACTCAGCTGCTTTGCTGAGTGGGGTTAAAAAAATCTGAATCCTCCACAACATAAGACCATGCAAAGAGCAAAAAGAATGTGTCTTAATGATATCACCACTCTTAACCCATAACCATAGTTAAGACCTAGCATGATTTCCAGTACTTCAAAATTTCAGTCATATGGAAGATTTTGGAAGAGATGAATGTTTGTATAGCTAGCAGTAAAACATATTATTTTGAAGGAAAACCTTTCTAAATTGTACTGCCAACTCCACTGCCTTCTTAAATAAAGTGCACAGTCATGTAACTTAATCTTTTCTTGATGACTCAGAAGTCACCATTATGAACATCAATTGCTATATTTGATTATAAATTTATTCAGCCAGAAGAAATTACAGACAGGCAGAAAGCTCTTTTGATCCCATACTACATGGCTATAACTTTTGCGTTATTATCACTTTTATATTTATAGTTTTTGTTCTCTTTCTTCTGATTACACTATCAGTGGTTACTTCCCACTGTTGCTACAGTGTGTTCCCATAATAACCTTTTTACCCTCAAAATTTATGACATCTACTCTACTGTAATTTTGGAAATCCACTAAACATATAAGTAGGTATTTTAACAAATATTTAATAATAGATATTTAGTGAACACTTAGTATGTTTCCCGAATTATGCTCAGAGCTTTGTGTCCATTACCTTATTTAATATTCAAACAACCCCATAAGGGACATATGATCTTCTCCACTAGAGAAAATAAGAACGCTGAGGCTAGAAAGACATTAAAGGCAAAGTTCCAAGTGAGGATATACAGCACTTTCCTACAAGTAAAGTGCAAGAGGCTTTGTGAACATTGTTTTGACTATTCAAAAAGCTGTAGTTCTTGGTGAGGGAAAAGAAGGGCTGAATTTCAGAAAAAGAGAGTGTCATTGTGGAAGGACAAACTTGGAAATGAACTCAATTCTATAAGCTAATGTTAAAGAGGTAGTTCTCAGAATCAAACACTTAGTAATAAACTTAACCAAGGTAGTAGAAGACTTGTACACTAAAAACTATAAAACATTGCTAAAAAAAAAAAAGATAAAAATAAATGAGAAGATATCCTGTGTTGGTAAGATCCCTATATCAAAATTCCACTGGTGGCCAGGTGCAGTGGCTCACGCCTGTAATTCCAGCACTTGGGGAGGCTGAGGCAGGTGAATTGCTTGAGGTTAGGAGTTCAAGACCAGCCTGGCCAGCATGGCAAAACCCCCTCTCTACTAAAAATACAAAAATTAGCTGGGCATGGTGCTGCACACCTGTAATCCCAGTTTCTTGGGAGCCTGAAGCACAAGAATTGCTTGAACCCAAGAGGTAAAGATTGCAGTGAGCTGAGACCACACAACTGCACTCCAGCCTGGGTGACAGAGCAAGACTCTGTTTCAAAAGAAAAAAAAAATGTTCCCAATGGCATATTCTGCAAAAACAGAAAACAAAAATTGTTAAAATGTCCACAGTACCAAAAGCAATCTCAGAGTTACTAAAATCCCTATCAAAATCCCAATGGCATGTTATGCAAAAACAGGAAGAAAATTCTAAATTTCATATGTAACCTCAGAGAATCCAGAAGAACAAAAACAGTGAGACAGAACAAAGCTGGAGACTTCACACTTACTGATTTCAAAACCCATCACAAAGCTGCAGTAATTAAAACAGTATGGTACTGGCATAAAGACAGATATGTAGACCAATGGGACAGAACAGAGAGCCCAGAAATAAACCTCAAATATATGGTCAAATTATCTTCAACAAGGGTGCCAAGACTACATAGTGGGTGAAAATATAGTCTCTTCTACAAATAATATTGAGAAAACTAGATAACCACACATAAAAGAGGGAAATAGGGCCTGTATTTAACACTATATTAAAAATTTACTTAAAATGGATTAAAGGCTGAAACATAAGACCTGAAACTATAATTTTTAGAAGAAAACATAGGGGAAAAGCTTTATAACACTGCATTTGGCAAGGACTTATTGGCTATGACACCAAAAGCACAGGCAACAAAAGCAAAAGTAGAACTATATAAAACTTTATTAAAACTTCTGGGCTGGGCACGGTGGCTCACACCTGTAATCCCAGCACTTTGGGAGGCCGAGGCAGGCAGATCACGAGGTCAGGAGATCGAGACCATCCTGGCTAACATGATGAAACCCCGTCTCTACTAAAAATACAAAAAATTAGCCGGGCATGGTGGCGGGCGCCTGTAGTCCCAGCTACTCGGGAGGCTGAGGCAGGAGAATGGCATGAACCCAGGAGGCGGAGCTTGCAGTGAGCCGAGATCGCGCCACTGCACTCCAGCCTGGGCAACAGAGCAAGACTCCATCTCACAAACAAAAAAACAAAAAAACAAAAAAACAAAAAAAAAAAACTTCTGAACAGCAAAGGAAACAATTAACAAAATGAAATGGCAACCTATAAAATGGGAGAAAATATTTTCAAACCATGTATGTGACAAAGAATTAATATCCAGAATATATAAAGAATTCCTACAACCCAATAACAACAAAAAAACTAATCTGATTTTAAAATGAGCAAAGAATTTGAATAGAGATTTCTCCAAAGAAAACATGCAAATGGCCAAGACGCATAGGAAAAGATGCTCAACATCAGTAATCATCCAGAAAATGCAAATCAAAACCACAAAGAGCTATCACCTCACCCCCATTAGGACAGCCACTATTAAACACACACACACATCAGTGTTAGTGAAGATGTGGAGAAACTGGAATCCTTGTGCACTGTTGGTAAGAATGTAAAAGAGTGCAACTGCTATGAAAAACAGTATGGAGTTTCCTCAGAAAACTAACAATAGAACTACAACATGATCTAGCAATCCCACCTCTGGGTATATATCCAAAAGAATCAAAAACAAGATCTCAAAGAGATATTGGCACATTCATGTTCATTGCGGCATTATTCGCAATTGCCAAGGGGAAGAAGCAACATAAATGTCCATCCAAAGATGAATAAAGAAACTAGGGTATGGCATATATATGAATATCATTCAGCCTTTAAAAAGAAAGAAATCCTGTCATGTGTTATACAGCATAGACGAATACTGAGGACCTTATGCTAAGAGAAATAAACCAGTCACAAAAAGACATGATTCCACTGCACGATTCTACTTATGAGGTATCTAAAGTGGTCAAAATGAAAGAAATAGAAAGTAGAATGGTGGTTGTCAGGGGCCGACCTGACAGGGAGTGGGAGGTAGAGAGTTGTTGTTTAATGTATGTAGGGTTTCAGTCATGTGGGGAATGGGTGGGTCTGAGATCTGTTGCACAACAATGTATATGTGGTGGACAATATTGTACTATACACTTGGAAACAGGAAGGTGAATTTTATGTCGTGTGTGTCTTTTTTAATATCTTTATGCGTTTGTTTGCCACAATAAAAAGGGAGGGCGGGATGGAAGAGTATCTCTGTTATTGGCCAAGAATGATACAATTTGTTTCCTTAATTCCTATGGTAAAATCACAAGCATAAGAAATACAGTTGGTTGAGTTCGTTTATTTCATTTAAATGTTTTGTTTCCAGGTTACATACAGAAAGATATGTCCTGAAAATGTCTTTGTACTCTAACACAGATACATGCTGACCATTCCAATAATGTGAAAACTTACTCATTAAACTTGGCTTATATGAATCTCTCAAAAATAGTAAACCTTCAGGCCATCCCAAGCCCTCACGGCTGGCTTCCTGTCCACACAGGAAGTCATCTGTCCACCCAGCCCCCAAGCCTCTCCAGGGCTCCGGGCCGTAAGAACTATTCCAGTTACTCTAGGGGTTAACTTAGCTATTTATTGGTGAAGCATGCTGAGTTCCAAACAGTGAAATTACAAATTTGGGAAACAAATCTGTCCATAAATTGGGAATTGCCTGTAGCCAGTACCATTCTGTTAGTGATGTATTGTCTATGGCTGGTAATTCACGTACCCCCTCCTTTACTACTGCCCTTACAGAAGCCCCAGGGAATAAACAGGGCATTGCAGTTCTCCCCAAAGTCATCCATTCAGGGCTGACACCCCAGCTAAAGTAGCAGCAAAAAAACGAATTCCACAGCACAACTACCACGATTGATGCCCAGCACAAGGACTCAGGACCTGGGTTTCTTCCTTTTCTCTCCCTTTCTTCCCTTGTTCATCTCAATATTTATTGACAGGCAGTGAAACTCTGGAACCAGACTACTGGCATTCTTCTCAGCCAGCTAAGAGCTGTGTGACCTTGTGCAAGTTACATAAATTCTCTGAGTTTGAGTTTAACTGCAAAATGCAGGTAATAATACCTACTCTTGTCCTCTGGGAGGAAATGAGTCAATATATGTAAAGCACTTAGAAAAAATTGATACAAATTAAGTGCTCACTAAATGTTAACTATTTTTCTTATTATGTGCCAGGGCCTTCATGCCAGGGCCTATGTCAAATACTAGGGAGACAGCAGTGAATGAGACCAACATGGTTACTGCTCAGGGAACATTTAGATTTGCAGATTTGGCACCAGTTCTGATACTTTATGAATAAACTGTCTCAGATTCCTATTCTTTAGAAAGGAAAAAACAATCCTATTCAATGCTTGTTGTTGGTTTAGCATAATCATCATTAACATATCATTTCAATGGTACTGAATGCTTACATTACAGGTATTGGGCCAATTGCTTCACAAGCTTTACCTCATTTAATTCTCACATCAAAGTCCTGAGCTATACTATCATCCTCTTTTACAGTTCAAGAAACTGAGGAACAGGGAGATTAAGTATAATAAGATTCAAATCCAGGTCTGTCTGACTTTGTTCTGGAGTCCTACCCCATGCCGCCTTCAGAATAGTAAATGAGAGCCCTTGAAGTGGAAAACTGCCAAGGCAAAGGGAATGCACTCAGACTACATCACAGACAGGAAAAGACACGATCTGGAAAACCAACCCAAGCCCAATAGAATATACATCAGAAAGGCTAGGAAACAAGGGAGGGAGAGAGGCCTGAACTGGGGCAATTTCTAGAGGTCTGAACAGAGCTGAAATCAGAAAAAGTCCTTGGTTTCCCACACAGGAAACCAAGGCAACGCTGCAGCTATCAGGACAAGCAGAGTCCGGAAAACTAGCGGCCAAGAATCAGAGTGGCAGAACATCAAAGAAGGCAGGAAGCCTTCAACTTCCAACTTACTGGCCAGAACTGCGGAACACATCCACTCTAAGCTGAAAAAGAGCCTAGAAAATAGATTGGGTGTTTTTGTTTTGTTTTTTTACAAACTAGGTATCAGTAAAACTTTTGCTCACCCAATCCCCTCTCCACTAGCCTCCCTACTTCTCAAACAAAAGTGGAGTCCTGCTAGTAATGAAATTAGATAACATGTAGGCAACCCACAGAACCTGAACAACATATATCCATCTTTCCTTATTCATTGAAATCAGCTCTAATTCTTTAATTGTTTGGAACTTTCCAAAAATAACCTGCTATATACCAAGGGCAAAAGCCATCAAAAGTCAGCATTTGTGTGATTTTAAAATCACAGGAATTCTGTAACAGATACACGACCCATAGCAGCCTTCTCAGATCATTAACCTAATCATTCCGCAGGCATCAAATAAATATTTAACACCCTGATAGTAAACTTCTCTAAATCAACACTAAATATTTCTAGTAGCAGATACGTATTTTAAAAAGTCTTTTTGGAAACAGTTGGATGACTAACCTAACAAGCATTAAATCAGATCTAAAACTTCTATATGCAAATTTTTTAATGTCAGGACAATATTCAAAGCCTATTCAAAGTCCACTGAAGCCATGACTCCTAAAAAGGCTGATTATTTGTTATTACTTAATGTATTAAGTACTGCAAATGCTCAGTGTAATGAGTTTGTCCTCTGAAATCCTAGGTCTAACCAAACTGTCTTCCTCTGACATCTATTTCTTTGAGAGGTGCCCACTATGATTGCTTCCCCGCAGCTTCCGTAATTAATTGTGGATCTCAAGCCTCTTGTTGTGATATCAATCTGGGGCCATCTGGCCTAGAAGTGAAGGGAGAACACTACCAATCAGGAAAAAGTGGTATATTCTGGTTTGTTTCTTCTTGCACATCTTTAACAAACTTTGTTTTCCTATTTCTTCCTCCATGATAATGTGTAAGAAACACAATCCTAAAAATACTTGCATGGCCTTTGGATGGATGCTTCTAAGGCCTGATCCTTCAATAATGTAACATACTTCTTTGATTATCATATAAATTCATTAGTTTCTTTCCCACCTATCTAAACTATTAAACCTTCTCTTGGTGGCAGAACTTGCCACCTTTAGCCAATCTAGGGTGAAATGAGCCTAGCAGTCAACTCAGACTGAATCTGTTCTCCACATATTCAGGCTTTGTCCAGATGCCAGCCGGAAGCCCTCTGAAGTGCTCAACATCAGAATCGAATTGGGGATTGGTGTGCTTCAGACAAAGGAAATGGAAAAGCAAACAACCCAATTTCTTTCGCTAATATTGCTCACTACTCACTCCATAGCATGTTAGTGAATAGGCTGACCATGAAAAATGTTGTCTCATCTTTGATGAATGAAAGAACTGCAGATAAGACAATGAAAATGGCAAGAATTAAGCTGCTTTCTCATTTAATCACTTTCTACCTTTTCTGGGGCAAATACCAAGCTTCCAACTTTAAATAAACCTTAAATGAAGGCCTCATTCTCTTTTAGATAGGTTGTTTGATCATGGCAATAGGCAGGTGTGAAATTGATACCTCATGTTTGCCTGCTTTTAGACTTGATATAATGAAGTTATGACATCTTACATTGTAAGGGAATTTCAAGCTTTTTCAAAAAAAACAGATTTAACATTTGGTTTAATTAATAATATTGCTTAATAATTAAATGTTAACTTAATATTTACTATCAAGATATTAACCAAATGGCAATACTATGGACTAAGAATTGTACCTTAATATTAGACATAGAAGCACAGGAACTTTTGGCTCTAGTAAATTATTCTCTTTGCTCTCAAAGACTGAATTTTTAAGGCCTCCTTTACTCACCTGTAAAGTGTTGTGACTATGATTCCATGATGAAAGAGTTTTGTTGTTGCTGTTGCTATTTTAATCTTAAGGAACCATATTTTAGATCTCTCACTCTCAAATCAAATAAATTTAAGCTTGGAGTTTTTGTTCTTAATATATTACTTGAAAGAATGATAATACAATTATACATTTTCTGCTTCAAAAATCTATTAATATCTGTATTAGTCCGTTTTCACACTGCTCTAATGATACTACTTGAGACAGGGTAATTTATAAAGAAAGGTATAACTGACTTACAGTTCCACATGGCTGGGGAAGCCCTAGGAAACTTAAAATCATGGTGGAAGGTGAAAGGGAAGCAAAACCTTCTTCACATGGTGGCAGGAAAAAAAGAAGTGCAAGTAGGAGAAATGCCAGATGCTTATAAAACCACCAGATTTCATGAGAACTTACTATCACGAGAACAGCATGGGGGAACTGCCCCCATGATCCAATCACCTCCCACCAGGTCCCTCCCTCAACACATGGGGATTATGGGGATTACAATTCAAGATGAGATTTGGGCGGAGACACAGCCAAACCATATCAATATCATTTAGATGGATTAAAATAGTTTCAACAATGTGATAAGCAGTTTAATAAACAGAGAACATTCCAACTAATGGAGGACAACACAAACTTTTTATACCTCAATTTCTCAATCTGGTCACTGAGGTCTTATTATAAAATTTAACTTTATGCATCAACATACAAGTAGTTTACTAAGTAGATATTTACCATGATGTACTGGCATTTCTGACATAAATGCAATACATGTGTTCCTGCAAAACTTCATGTTTTGCAAAATTGCTATGAAAATAACAGGGCTTATGAGGGAAAAGGGATTATGAGCAGAGCACTCAAAACTTATGCAATTCTGTAATCAGAGCATTAGCTAAAATAATAACAGTTCTAATAGGAATATTAGCACAGTTCAATCTCCGCTAGCATTTGCATTCAGCAGTTAGTCAATGCTTAAAGGCCTGAAAACCCAGGCTCTGCTTCCTCCTACAGGATGTAGGTCCTTACACAGATTCTCCAAGAGAGACCGGTTCCATCAAAATTTAAAATGTGACCTAGGGATGTAACTTATTGTACAGCCTTGTTCCTCTTCTTCTTCCTCTCCTTTCTCCACTCACTTCCCCTCAACATACATGTACTATTTTTCTAAATGCGGGGAAAGATGCACTCTGCCCTCCCAACTTCCCTAGACAGCTGAAAATTATGGACAATCCAGCCATTTTGGAAGCAACTAAACCAGCCACTACTTGCCCTAAAATAAGAGCTTTCGCAAAATTTTCAACTGTATTTTAAGGTCTGCATATATTGATAAGGCTTTGTCTTCAGTTGTGAGCAGGGAGAATAGATTATACTGGGCATGTCCTCTCCACCAGCGACAGACTCCAAAGCATGAGCTAGAGCTCCTAGAATAAAAAGCAGTTAGTTGACCTCCCATCATGCGATGTTCTGGGCTCTTACTTAAGATCACTAAGCCTTGACCCTGGCATAAATCCAAGCAGCACTCATTTAGTACACGTTCTTTGGAGCCAAGACATCTGTGTGTTGTAATAACATGCTACAAAAGAGTGTTTATATCTCATTTTAGTATAATGTGAACATTTAACTATTGCAAATCAGCTTTCTATAATGACTAGTCCTTACTTAAAAGATTTATTATATTTCCAATTAAAGTCCTTAGCAGTACACAACAAATTTATATGAACTGATTAAGCTGTTCATTATGGCAGCTCCAGAAGTGCTTAATACAGTAGTTAACCACATTGGAAAACAGAAAAATTTAAAATAATCTATATCATGTAAAATAACTAATCATATTTAGTGACTACTTCCAAATAACTTTTTTCATTTTTATCTCCCTAATAGAGTTACCGTTCTTCAAAACTGACAATAAAGAAACAGTTTAAGAATAGAGAATGATCCTTGAGGTATCAAGATGCAGAATGATTTGGATTTGGGGAAGCACTTCTCTAAGCCCCCATCTAAGACAGCAACAGTGGTGGGCATCTCTATTCTGAGGGTCTAGTGAAATACAGATGTGCAAGGTCATATCCTGACCCAATATGCTGCACCACAGGTATCACCCTTCAAAAGGCAAAGTTGAAATTCTGGCTAGGGTTGCCTCAGGGGGAAAGAAGAGGAGAGCAATTATCCTTCAAACCTGAGGAGGTAATGGGAAAGGTCATTTCAGAGGTCAGAGGACCAATTCAAACAGCTCATCAATTCAAACACCTTCACTGATTTTTAAAACTATTCTACTGTGGTGAGCACAGTTTGAGCTCCCTGTTTCGGTAACTCATAAACTCCCACTGATGACTTCTTTTCTCAGGCATTCACTTTATTGCCTTAAACTTGTCTCAAGTAAAGTAATTTTTTAAAAGTTATAATTCATGGTCACACAGAAGGGGTCTGGTGTCATATGTAACCCATTTTGGCGTGATTACAAATCCATGCTTGCTAAGACTACAAGAGAATGCCAAGATGAACTTCTTACAGGTACAATAGAAGATCAACAAGTTATTTTCATCTTTTTTATTACAAAAACTGCACGCTTATGTGTAATAGGGATTCCAAAGTAAAGCAAAATGTCAAGTCTCTTTGTAGCAATTATTTCACACTGATCAAACAATTTTACATGCAGTTCTATGCAGTATTAATAAAAGCATGTACAATTGATATATTGTCCTTGAGAGACAATTTTTAAAGCATGGAGTCCATAGGGAAGAAAAATATAGGGGTTTCCCGGTGGGAGTGAAGGGCATGAAAGACAGCATATCTGGATTTAAGAGAATCCCAGTGACAAAATTAGTCCTCCACTAGCTACGTCTCAGAATATGAAGGAATTAACTTTTCCAGATTTCTCTTTATGAACAAGCAGACATAATGACAAGCAAGTCTCCTTTTCCATTTCCATCTTTCTATCAAACAAAAATCAAGTCATTCTCATGAACAGTTAGGATTGAAGGGTTTGGGTTTTAAGATATTTGGCTTAAAACAAGTTCCATTTTTACCAAAATCAATCTCCAATTCATAAATTCTTGGTAATGGTGCCAGTTCTACTACAAAGTAGTCATAATTTTTCACAGAAATGAGTACATGATCTACCCATTTAGCCATATACAAGGTGTGACAGTACAATAATGAGACCGATTCCATAAGCCAGTCATAAAAACCAAGTCCATTAACTTTTCATACATGACATATAAGATGCCAAATATGCTTTATGTTTCCAATAGACTTCCTCAGTTTTCAAAGCTATTTCTAAGGAGTGTTTTTTTCTTTCTGTCTATATTTACACAGTGTGAAAATTGGACAAGGACCAATGCAGGTAATGGCTGCTTATAACTATAAGCAGACCTGGGTTAACTAAAGAAATCTGATAAACACCAAGCTAATGAGACCAAAAAAAAGGTGATCACATTATGCTTAATGCATACACCTTCTTTGAGGAACAATAATCCTTATACTTGGCACATTTATAGTGGAGCTTCCCATCATCACTGTTGATTTGTGAGGTGCTAATTAGCTTTTCTTTCTCAATCAGAAGAAAGTAATAATTTGTCAGATCAGAATGCACTTGCTTCCATTTTAATCAATTGTAAAACTTTAGCTTACTATTTTAAAAAACACTTTCTAACATTATTAATGTTCACCCCTCAATTCCACTACAAACGTAATAATTTGATGAAATGTTTCCAAAGTACTTCAAATACATGCCACTGATACTTTCTTGAGAACATTTATTTTTAAAAGTTCATATCTGTATTCTACAAACAACTTACACACCACAAACCACACTGCTCATTCTCTATGATTTATTTTACAGCCTGAATTATGCAAAATATTGTTATCTAAATCTCTTTCCTGGTCTTTGGCAAACATAATATGATAATTAGTATCAAGGGCGTTTAGACCAAGTGTTCATGGATTCAACTGTCAAACTGACTGAAAGTGGAAATTTCTTAGAAGCATACGCCAGCAGTCAGGCACGGTGGCTCACACCTATAATCCCAGCACTTTGGGAGGCCAACGTGAGCGGATCACCTAAGGTCAGGAGTTTGAGACCAGCCTGCCCAACATGGTGAAACCCTGTCTCTACTAAAAATACAAAAATTAGCCAGGCATGGTGGCGGGTGCCTGTAGTCCCAGCTACTGGGGAGGCTGAGGCAAAAGAACGGCTTGAACCCAGGAGGTGGAGGCTGCAGTGAGCCAGGATCATGCCATTGCACTCTGGCCTGGGTGACAAAGTAAGACTCTGTCTCGGGAAAAAAAAAAAAAAAAGTATATGCCAGGGATGGTTGAAAACATTGCTGTAATTGATGGGCAATCTTTGAGATAACCTATAAAAGGAATTCCTTTAACACATCCTAAACTTTCTGAGCTCCACAAGAGTCCAAGTCCTCATAATGGATTCTTAGGAAAGAAATCAAATCAAAAAGGTAATGAGATAAAACAAAAGTCATGAAAGCATACATTAGTTGCAATTAAATGGGTTAACAACCATGCAAACATTAACTTCCTGATTTAATAGAGATATTATAAATATAAGTGCAAATGTGGGTTTTCAAGCTTCATGTGTTATTAACCAGAATGCTCAAGATCTCAGAAAGAACATTCTAAAGAAATAGACATAATTTATGTAGTAATAATCCAAAATATCATTAAATGATGAATTAAGTTTCCACAAGGTATTATTGTGATTTTCATTTTATGAATAGATGAATTAAAACAATGAACATAAAAAATGAATATTAAATATTTTTTGCAAATCAATCTAGCGTCTCGCCTCAGTTTGCATCCTGCTCTGTCTGAGCCCTTGGGGATATGGTTTCCAAGATTTGAAAGATTGAAAGACCTTTCTCCCCACCCTTTTATTTTATTTTTTTTTTTTGGCCATCTACAGCTCATCCTTTCCCCAAAACCCAGCTCATACACACAAATAGGGAGCATTCCTGGATTGACTCCACTCCAGCCTATGTTGATGATTCTTTTACTCTGCTTTCTCTCACAATTAGATATTCTACTTGTTATATAACAATCTATATCCACTCGATTATTGCTTTCATGCTTAGTAATTTTTTCCATTTAAACATTTTTCTTATTTTATTATTTCTGTTGAAGTGTTCGGAAAATGCACAGATTTTAAGTTCTCAGTTCAATGAATTCTGACAAATATATCTACCTGTATAACCAATACCCCACTAAAAATATGGAATATTTCTATCACCCTTCAAAGTTCTCACATTTCTTTTTCTAGTTAATGCCTCTCCCTCCCCAAAAGCAACCATTCTTCTAACTTCTATTGCTGTTGATCATGCCCATTTATTAAATTATAAATTATATCACTGCTAAATGGCATACACCATGCACTAGATCTTATGCTTCATATGAGCTTGGGCTACCTCGTGCAATGGTATACTGATGGACTCTGAAATTTTTCCATATTCAAAAATTCCCTATGTCCAACATCAACTAACTTAATGTGCTGTGATTCAGTACGTTTTTAGGTTCTTAATAAATGACTTGTTTAGGAATGAAATTCAAAATTCTGGCAGCTTCCCTTTCTTGACCTCAAACCTTTAAGCACTGCCTCAATAAACCTGAGTGCAGCCCCTCAAAATTGTAAGCTGTGGCCCATGACCTTCCATGTGCTACACAGTAGCATCCCCACCAAGCACCATTGCATATTTAATAAATTTTATCTGTTAAAAGGAATGCCCCCAGCTGTCATGCATTTATGAATATTTAAAACTACCCTTTCTTTAGAAAACAAAAGCCAGTAAGAAAATAGGGATGACTGTTACTCTGTGCTGAACTAAGAACATATACCATGTACTGATGAGGGCAAAAGAGACCAAAAGAATGTTAGGCATCATTTAGAAAAATATTGATAACACTAATATCTCAAATTTGTATGGTACGTTATAACTTACAATGCACCTTCAAATAAGTTAAATTACACAACTCTATGAGATAAGCTTTATTATTTCCAACCTTCAATGGATGGAACTATGGCTTAGAATTTTTATGAGTCTTTTCCAAGATCAAGAGTTTTCATAAGTGTCTTTTCCATGATCACAAAGCTGGAAAACCGCCAGCCCTAACGTCTAAGCCTTTTTGCATCACACTGCAAGGAAACATTACCTTATTTCATATCAAATTTCTCCTGGTATACAGTGTACTGCTCTAGACAAGCATCTCACGCAAAACCCAAACACTAAGGTTGACTCACTTGCCTTGCCTACCTCACAGTCAAGTCCTTGTGCCCTACCCTAGGTATCAGAAAAGACAGATTTATCTTTTCTTCCTCTAGAGAGAAAGGTTTTCCTTTAACAATTGATAAAAGGCCGGGCGCAGTGGCTCACGCCTGTAATCCCAACACTTTGGGAGGCCGAAGCAGGTGGACCACGAGGTCAGGAGATCGAGACCATCCTGGTCAACATGGTGAAACCCTGTCTCTACTAAAAATACAAAAATTAGCTGGGCGTGGTGGCACACACCTGTAATCCCAGCTACTTGGGAAGCTGAGGCAGGAGAATCGCTTGAACCTGGGAGACGGAGGTTGCAGTTAGCCAAGACTGCGCCACTGCACTCCAGCCTGGCAACAAAGCAAGGCTCCATCCCAAAAAAAAAAAAAAGGTGATAAAAAAGAGAAAAAGTGGAAAAAGTGGATGTGGGCGCAGGCTTATGGAGACAGGAATGCTTCAGTCTGAAATAATGAAAGCTGAGAAGAGAAATGTAGAAATCTATGAAATCATGGGTCACATCAGAAAGACAATAGCATTTCTCCCAAATTAATATAGTAAAATGGAATTCTTTAAAACTCAGAGAAATCCATTTGATACATGCAAAAAGTAGTAAGAGCTCACATAATCACTAAAAAATCACAATACCCCATGAGATAATTCTTGCAAGAAATAAACTGATTCCAAAAGGAGAGAGCAAATATAGGAATAGCAGGGCCATGTGAGCAGCAGTAAGAAAAGGTGAGATAGTCCTTCCCAGCTGGCCCAGGGAAAAAAACTAGGGCCCGGCCTAGCATGTCACTCAGACCTGAGCTGGCCCCAGGCTTTAGGGCTGAAGGGTCCATAAAGCTTGACCAAGAATACAGGCATTTTTGGCTGTTTGTAAATCAGCCCAAAGCTTGAACACTCTGTGTTCACTCTTGGTGACTTACCTACCAAAGCACTGGTAAAGTGATAAAAATCCTGTGGGTACCTACCAATTATGATAAACTAAGGTTGTAAGAGACTCCTTCATCAGCTTTAGTCATGATAACTTGCTGAACTAACTGTTCCAATGGAAGAAGAGAATAGCAGCATATGAGAACATTCGCCAGCTTTGTGAAATGAATATCCTGTGTTCTTTCTTTCTCAGCATTGTGTTTTTGAGACTGCGTTAAATATTAGCATGTATATAGCCCAAGTTCTTTCATTTAACTGCTCTCCAAATACTGTATCTAATTGTGCTCCTACAAGTAGTGTATGGGAATTTGTCATTGCTCCATGTATTTGCCAACACTTCATCCTATCAGAAATTTCCCTTTTTCTTCAGTTTGATATGTATGAAATGGATTTTCCCTATGGGTTTTAATTTCTACTTCTCTGATTACTACCAAGGTTAAGCATCTTTCAATGTCTTTTGGCAGCTTACATTTTCTCCTTCAGAATTTTCTACACATATCCATTGCCTAATTTTTCTACTGGACCCGTTATTCTTAATTATGTCGGATTCTTTACATACTCCTTTCCTGGTAGAATGAATTAAAAATATCTTATCTTAATTTTGTACCTGGTTTCCTTTGTTATACAAAAGTTATATTTCAATTTAGTCAAATTTATCAATCTTTGATTTTAAAGGTTGGCTGTGCTTTTTATAACTTGCTTAGGAAGTCCTTCCCTACCCTGAGGTTAAAAATATAAGCTTCTCCCTTTTCTTTTAAAAGGTATATGTTTCCCATTTAGGCATTTAATTTACTTGAGATTTATTTTTGTTTATGGTATGAGGTAAGGATCCAATTGCATTTTTTATATATAGATAGCCAATTGGTTTAGTTCTGTGGTATTTTAAATAAAAACACCACAATATGTTCATTATGGCCCTTATCACCAGGTGTTACAATATGCTTTTCTGCATTTTGTTGACAGTGAGTTAGAATTACGAAAGAGAGCCTATGTGTTTTTCATTTCTATATTTCAAAACTTAACACCATGTCCAGCAAAAATGTTGAAAAAGTTGCAAAAGCTGTTCAAAACAGCTGTACAAAAGCTGTGGGGTTTTTATTTGTTTTGTTTTTGCAACGGAGTCTCACTCTGTTGCCCAGGCTGGAGTGCAGTGGCAGGATCTTGGCTCAGTGCAACCTCTGCCTCCCGGGTTCAAGCAATTCTCCTGCCTCGGCCTCTTGAGTAGCTGGGATTACAGGTATGCAACACAGTGTCCGGCTAATTTTTTTTTATTTTTAGTAGAGACGGAGTTTCACCATGTTGGCCAGGCTGGTCTCAAACTCCTGACCTCAGGTGATCCGCCCACCTCGGCATCCCAAAGTGCTGGGATTACAGGCATGAGGCACTGCCCAAAAACTGTTCTTAAAGATATGCTGGACATATACACAGTTATCTAAGAAGCTATGACTTCTTGTGTAGTAGTAATCTTCAATATAAATCAATCTGTATTTCCAGGTAAAGAATTTATGTGAAATTCAAAAGAATTTTCCCCTCAGAATTGGAAATGTGTCTGACAGATAACACTCTGATGCTTCTCTATATATCCATTAAAAATACCCTGGAGTTAACCTGATATAGCACTTGGCTCTATTTGATGATCACTCTCAGGTCGCTGTTTGGAAAGAAGACTGGTGTGGGAGCAGAGAGGTCAGCTGCGTGGCCTTTCACAAAGGGTGAGCCATGCTCTGACTCCAAAGAGGTTAAATGCCAAGGCAAGTTTCAGTTATCTTAACTCAATTTACCTCAATAGAAATAACCTAAATTAGATGGTTTCTAATTACCCTTCTAGACAAGGATTAAATGTCTGAGATGGGGCTAAAGCAGAGACAAGCTTGTGATGGACAGATAGATTCCAAAAGACTGGTCCAATTGACACTTAAAAGCTGTAGATGGTTTCTTTTTCCTTTATTCAATCCCTGATATTTTAAATCATATATTAAATTTCCTCACTCATGTACAAATCTCACCACCAAAGTTCATGTTAAATAAACTATGTCACAGTTACAAGTCAAGTTACACAGAAATTATCTCAGATGGCTAATGCTTTATAACTTATGTGTTTTATACAGTATTCCATGCTTAAGTAAATTCAAGATAATCTGGAAAACATTTATCTGGCATCTATTAACAATGAGAACACTTACTAACATTTAGGGATATCAGTGAAGAAGACACGTCCCCTTCCGTTAATCAGCTCACAGCTTTGTTAACAAAACAGATGTGTAGTCAAGTAATTGCAACACAGCGTTATCAATGCCATGGTCAAGGTGGATCTAAAAAGTTGATGGCAGAGAGAACAGCTTGACTTCAAAGGGAGTTACCAATGGAGGTGAGTCTTAACAAATAAATTCATTTTAAATAATTTCAACAAATTCAGAACCTTTGGTTTGAACTTGAAAAACAAAATGTTTTTATTCATTATTTCTAATATGAGTTTGAGATTATAAATAATGTAATTACAAGTATCAATTATATAATCCTTAGGAAACTAACTTTCTGAGGAATGATCACCTGAAGTTAGAAGACAGATGATTCAAAGTTGGGGCAGTGATCAAGGGGCTATTACATTAATCATTAATAATAACAAAGTAAAGATTTTAACCGATGAGCATCTTTCATCAAGTACACTACAACACACTTATTTCACAATGCAAAAACATGATCTAAGTTCACATCACCAGCAATAGCAATGGTGTATGTTTTGCTACAGGGCTCCCACATCTCTAGGATTCAGGGAGTCCTTAAGTAGCAGAAACACAGTAGGTAATGGCAAACCAACAACTCCTGCTTAAGTAGGGCAGCCCAAACTGTGTTGGCTCCAGCTTTAGTACAGCAACCTACTTGGAAGTTAGCGAGCTGACCTGTCTTAAAGTTGCACTTGCACGGCACTTTACAAAAAAGACTACAAATACGTTAATTCTCTATCTCAAAGAATTGGGGAAGGCTGCTAAAGGTCATGGGAAGACCAAAGCCACCTCCCCCAAGTAAACACTTGGTGATACCTCTAGCCCAAGGAATCCACTGGTAATTCTTCAGAGTACTCTTGCTTCACTGTGAGGAGTGGCTAATATTCAGCACTGATAATAATGAACACAAAAGTTTTCACATATCTGAAGCACAAGGGACCAAAAACTCAGTGTCACAAGAGAACACAACAAACCCTCCTGGAACCAACTGAATGGCCTTTACGGAAAATATATCTCCATAAAATATGCACTGCTATTTTGTGAATATTATCTTCATTATTGTGATTCCTGCAAATGGGGCAAACTGGTTCCAACAGTTGCAAACACAGGATATTGCCAACCCACATACTATGCTTGGTATTTAATTCAGTATCTATTGATGCATCTATATTGCAAGGAGAAGACAAAAACATTTTTGAAGGCATTACTTTTCTGAGTGCTGCATACTTAATAGAGTCCTTGGTCTAGCCTTAACCTTCCACATATTTTACATACAAGGATAAGAAATTAACACACTTTTATTAAGGAACATCTACAAAAGGGATATTTTACTCATTATTCAATTCAATCTTTGAGGTAATGTCATTCCTCATTAACAGACAAGAAATTGTACTCACAAAGTATCAAAGATTTAACAAATCCTTGATATTAACAAAGTTCATATAGCCAGTAAACATTTTAAAAGGTCATATAGCCAGTAAATTTTATACATAGAATTTTTGATGACTCCAAGTATTCTGATAATCCCTATGCTTCCTTTTTCCTCCCTTTTACCATCAGTAAGACATCGACCAATGCAGAACCTACAGAGAAGTGTTCAACTAAAAAGACCACCAATCAACTGACCTTCTCAACATGCGGTATTTATTATACCTAAATTTTAGGGTTAGTTTATAATTCAATACAATTGTATTTCAGGCAAATTGGGCAGAGGAACAGAAATCATTATTCATTTTATGTAGTCTTTATAAAGGAGATGAGATTTCCTAGTATTGCATAAAATGCCTTATGATAGAAGGCTAAAATGAAGTAATGGAGTCACAATACTTTAATTTAAACATTTTCTTTGAACTTAGCACTTTCTGCATATTTCATGAGGTCAAAGCCGCAATATTACATTAAATTCATATAATATCATGTCATGACCATCATTGTACATTTTAGACTCCATTCTTCAAGATGCAAATAAGCATATGAGCAGCAGTATGTTATTTCAAACATAACTTGTTTTGATTAGATTACCTAGACTTTGTACTAATTTTGAAATAATTGTAAATACAAAATTAAGTCACTAAATGGTTCTATGAATGGCTAAAAACACAGGTGAAACACAATGAGATCTCAGTTATTACTGATGAAGTAGCAGATAGCAGCTCTCATTTTTCCACAGCAGACTTACAGAACTGTTGTTATCTGTCTGAATGCTCAGACCCCTACACCATATTTCCGTTCAAATATTTAGCTACAGGATCTAGCAATATAAATCATCAAAAATTACACACTAAGAAAAGATAGCCCACCAAAATGTCAGGTGGCTTTTAGCACTAGAAGGCTATCTATTGAGTTGCTTTGGTTGTTTAGCAATCTAATGATGTCCTAACTTGTCTATTTTAATGAATATATTACTAAAAAGACAGATACACATTAAATAAAAAAAATGACTTTACAGCAACATAAGCTAAAACGGAGTTTTTTTTTTTTTTTAGCAAACAGGAAATTAGAATTCAGTGTTTTTAGAAAGTTGTTTGGCAATATGTATCAAGAGTTTTTTAAAGGCTAATATTCTTGGCCCATAATTTCACTTCCAGAAATCTATCCTATGGAAATAACCAGAGATATGGTCAAAGATTTATAAATGAAGATATCCATCATTATTGATAAAAAAACTATGAAAAAATATTTGAAAATTAAGAATGGTTGAAAATGATACAATAATATAAACAATTATATGTTCACCAAAAATCAACTTTTAAAAATGTTATACGGCAAAATATGCATCATATAATGCTAAAAATCAGTATTCAAAACTGCATATACAACATGAACTTTATTATTTAAGAAATAAGACTAGAAAGTAAAATCAACTTGTCAATAGGATGATGAAAATACAGATGAATTTATTTCCCTACTTATACAGTTCTAAGTTTTACACATTCCAAATTTTTCAAATTTTACATAATGATTATCTGTAAAATAAAAATATATAAGGTTATATTTACATCAGCCTCATATTAATCTCTTATTTCATTCCAGTTGGCACCAACAAAATAAAAAAGATCTACTCTACAAAGAAGTCTCTTCTATGAATGTGAAACAAATGCAAAACAAGACTAGCTGATCCAGAGGGTTCTTGACATAATTGTGTCTCTCAGACTGAATACTAATGCCGATGGCACTAATGGAATGAAACCAGAATGGCATGAATAATACATTACTTGCACTAATCAATATTATGATGTTATAAGCTGATGGAAAAAAATACTCAGAATAAAAACAGAGGAAGAACTTTCAAATGCAAGTACAGTCTAGAAATCTATCTGATATCTCTGCTGGATCACGGTATGGGAAAATTATTGCAACTCTGCCAAAACAATGCAAAATCAGTAACAATTGTTGCTTTCTCATTGCCAAATTGTCCTCTACCAATGATGTATTGGAGGAAAGGCATTATACAGATGACTGTGATTGAAGGTAAATTATTGATTAATATACATGTGTTTTCATGTAACTATGTATACCCATTAACGAAAGACTTGTGATACCAGCAAATGCAAAATTTTAATTGCCTATCTCTGCAATTAGTATAAAATTATATGCCATATGTTAAAGAACAGAAATAAAATATATAAAAGAGTTAATTATAGCCCACATTACCCATATTCCTAAATCAAGTGCCTCCTAGCATGTGGTACTGGAGGAAATGATTCACAGTTTTCAGCCTTTAGGTAAAGTGGCTAGGTGATTGATGGACCATGCCTCAAGGAATACATAAACCCTCTCTTAGTCACATATATGTCAGTTCCTTTTCAACTGAGGGTCTGAATTATAGACTAGATCAGTGCCCCAGGAGAGAATGAGGGAGAGAAGAAACTAGCAGGTAAAAGGATTCTTAACTCTAAAATCATGTAGGGGAACCTTTTAGGGCATAACGTTCCAAATATGATACAAATGAGGGAAAATACCTTGAAAAAAAAAAGGAAAAGCATGCTTATCATAAAAACTTGCCTAGAAATATTTGTAAATAACTCTTCTATAGGCCTAATAAAAGCGATATAGTTTGGATTTCAAATTATCTTCCATTTCGAATAACAACATAGACAACTTTTCTTTTCTAGGTGCATTTTTTATCTGCTAAATTATTTCTTCTAAAACAACAAAGAGATAAAGTTGTCTTAATGATTTAATACTTTAACCTAATGGCCAAAAAGAACACCTTAAATTGGATGATATTAGCTAGTTTTCTATGGAACCCTTTAGGTTTGTCATAAAAGAAACAGAAGATGTATATAATCACATTATAATGTAATTACACTGCAAAATAAAGAGTTTTGAGAGTAATTTAAGAAAAAAAATCAGCTGGGCGCGGTGGCTCATGCCTGTAATCCCAGCACTTTGGGAGGCCGAGGTGGGCGGATCACGAGGTCAGGAGATCGAGACTATCCTGGCTAACACGGTGAAACCCCGTCTCTACTAAAAAAAAAAAAAAATTAGCCGGGCATGGTGGCGGGCACCTGTAGTCCCAGCTACTCGGGAGGCTGAGGCAAGAGAACGGCGTGAACCTGGGAGGCGAAGCTTGCAGTGAGACGAGATCGCACCATTGCAGTGAGACGAGATCGCACCACTGCACTCCAGCCTGTGCGACAGAGTGAGACTCTGTCTCAAAAAAAAAAAAAGAAAGAAAGAAAGAAAAAAAATCCTGGCAAAAATGTTTAACAAACTAGAATGAGTTTCTTAGGGATATTATAAAATACTCTTTCATTGCTGCTCATTAAAAGGACAAATATAAGGGACTTTTCAATTGACATGGTAACTATCAAGTGGTGCTTGATTTGCTCTTTTCTCCTATTTCAATGTTCATTCCCTCAAAAGCATATATTATAAAAAGATGCCCAGTTACAAAGCAGTGCAAAGTATGAACATTCATGGTGTATTATGTCGACCACACATCAGGAGTAATTTCCATTAAACATATGGCTCTCTTTCTGTCTTAGTCCATTTGGGCTGCTATAGCAAAACATCAAAAACAAAATATCACATAAATCTGTGACTTATAAACAACAGAAATCTATTTCTCACAGTACGGGTGGCTGGAAATTCCAAGATCAAAGTGCTAACAATTCAATGTCTGATGACAGCCCTATTTCTAGTCCATAGATGGCACCTTCTAGCTGTGTTCCCACATGGTAAAAGGGGCAAGGCAACCTCTGGGGCCTCCTTATGGAGGCACTGATCCTATTTGTGATAGCACCACCCTCATGATCTAATCACCTCCCTAAGGCTCCACCTTCTAATACCATTACATCGGTCATTAAGTTTCAATATATGAATTTGGGGTTGGTGGGAAGGGCACAAACATTCAGATCACAGCGGACTCTGACTAGGATAGCCACATTTAGCAGAGAAGGCTGGAAGTTCAAAAAAGAGTTCCACCAAAATCCACTGCCTTCCCCTAGTCAAAAATCTACATCAACCCAAACCCAGAATGCTATTAGTCACTTCTTTATTGGACAAGAACAGCTTTCTTAGGTAACCAGTACCATTTTTTTTTTTTTTTTGAGACAGGGTCTTACTCTTATTCCACACTCCCAGGCTGGTTGGAATGTGCAGTGGCATGATCTTGGCTCAACGCAACCTCTGCCTCCCAGGCTCAAGTTATCCTACCACCTCAGCCTCCCAAGTAGCTGGTATTACAGGCACACAGCACCATGCCTGTCTAAGTTTTTTTTTTTTTTTTCTCACAGAGACAGGGTTTCACCATGCTGCCCAGGTTAGTCTGAAACTCCTGAGTTCAAGCGATCCACCCGCCTCAGCCTCCCAAAATGCTGAGATTATAGGCGTGAGCCACCATGCCAGGCCAGTACCATTGTCAAATCTTTCTCTTCTCCCTCACAAACACCTACGGCCAACTCTTTTCATATTCATTGAAGACTGCAAATCCCAAGTGTGCAAACAGCCAACAAGGGAGAGGCAGACATGCCCTATTTCTTATGATCGAAACACTCATTTATTAAATGTTTATTCAATTTCCACTGTCCATTGGCCACTGGTGGGTAAGAAAAACATTGTCCCAGATTTTATCATATTTTAAATCCACATGAGATTGATAGAGGAAAGAAGCAGAGATAAGGAAAAACATGAAGGATAAATTCTAGAATTTGGACTTTTATCCACTGCTTTCGATAAACAAGGAACTAGAGTTCCCTCCACATAAGTGACTAGGCCACAAAGTAAAACAAGACTTTGTATTCTCCCAGAAGAGTACCCAAGTTTCCTCTATACAACAAACACTTACTGAGATACTATAACATACCAACTATTTTCTAGATGCTAGGGATACAGTAGAGAACAAGAAAAAAGCTGCTGAGTCCATGGAATTTATATCTAGTGAGAACAAACATAATTATTAACAAATAAATAAGAAAAATGTTTAGTAGAACCTAAGTCCTATGAAGTCTGGGATCTTCTTTTTGTTGACTGAAAAATCCAAAGTGCCTAAATACTACTTGACAGAGCAGACTCTCAACATCTTTTGAGTAAGTGAGTGAATACACGAATTTCAGTTAATTGGTTGTAGGGAGACCATATCTAGCTTTTTTCACTGCTGCTTTTTAATTGCTACACATCTGTGTTAGTCTGCTTATTGGTAACAGAACTAACCTTATATGGCCACCAGCCTGAGCATGTAGTCCAGGTTGGACCCATCCTAGTAGCACTCTCCCTGGTACCAGTAAGACCCATAGACCAATTTTTTTAAATCGACCTGACTTCATGGGGAAAAGACCCTTTCCTCATGGGCCACAAGCTAATGCAGGCTTAGAACTTCCTAAAGGCAACTCTCCCTTCCCATAGAGAAGCTGGTCTCAGAAAAAAATGAAATTCAAACAGTTAACAAAACTATAGGTTTTTTAATTTTGCTATTTGGCAAGTAAAGTTATTCTCCTAAACAGCTACTATGAAACCACTGCGACAAAACTAAATCAATATTGAAATTACAGAGTATCTATAAAAACATAAAATTAATAAAGGCATTCATTAGTCAACCATCTACCTTTTAGGTACTGTGCTATGAACTCTACAGAAAAAAATAAATAAATAAATTTATTTTTTTCAATTCTGAAAAGTAAGTATTATTAACCCCATTTTATAATGCAGAAACTGAGGCTCAAGATTATGGAATCCATGGCAGGATCCTAGTAAAGATCTAGCTGTTTCCTAAACCAATGCTATTTTCACCAAGCCATACTGCAACATCACCACACTTAAATGTGGTATGTTGGCAAAGCCATACTCAAACACAAATTCATAGCCTTAAATGCTTTCAGTGTTCTTAAAGAATAAAAATAAATGATGTAAACATTAAAGTAAAAAGTTTGAAAAAGGAGCAAAGCAAATCATGGTAGGCAGGCAAAAGGAGATTCAGAGTACAATGAATTAGAGTAACTGATAACTAACACTTCTGGCTGAATTTTTTTTTTTTTTATTTCAAGGCAAAAGCTACGCAAAAAAGGGGAGAGAGTGGCAACACAAAATTATAAAATAAAAGGAGATATAGCAACAAATAGAGGTGGCCTTTTTTGAAAAAGAAAACTGCTACACATATGCCAATGTGTTCCAAAGTGTGCTTCCACAGAAAGTTAATACATGCTCCACTAAAAAAAGCACTCAGTGTCTAAGTTTGGGAAATGCTGGACTAAACAAAGTGAGCAAGCTATTTCTAGCACTCTAGGACTTTACCTAGTCTTTAACATGCTTATAAGTGTATTGTTAATCTCCAAAAGATATATCATTTGACCACAGAATCATTTCATAGAATATACTCTTCAAAAATATTTCAATATGGAAAAATGCACAAAATGTATTTACAAAGCTAGCCTAACACCAATGTCAAAAAATTTCTAACAAGTAGCACAACAACAAAAAATCAATGCAAAACTACCATAGTAGCCTGTAGAGGCTAATTAAACAATTATGTATAAACCACAAGAAAACTATCATAGTTATTATAGATCTGTATATTAATTATTATTCTCTCTTTGTTAGAACTCTCACTGAAAAGGATGTCAAGGAAAGCAAAGTTTAAGTATCTTATCCTTTGTCAGTTGACATCAGGAGGACAAGATAGTGTTGCAATTTTCCATCCTCAGCTGGGTTTCATTTAGATGAGGAATGTGTACCCTATAAAGCCAAGTCAATCATGTTCTTCAGTTTGAGGGGGTGGAGGAAGAGAGAAAAGAATAATTATCTCCTGTTTTGCTTTTTAAAATGTCATAAATACTCCCTTTACTTTGGACTGCACTAAGTTCTGGAAACCCATAAAACACTGAGGTGTGAGAAAAGGATGTGCAGTAATCCATTTTATCTATATTGGAACTGTCAATAAGGGTGGGTCTACCTTGGCAATAAAATACTTTTAAAAGCACAATAAAATATTTAAAACTATTTGAATTCGGCATATTGACTCAATGGGAGATAATATCCTAGAACCACACCTGTCAAAAATCAATTGCACAAATGTGACTAAAATCTATCCTACTATTTACTTGGGTATTTCATTTGCACAGTAGAATGAACACACACCCTGTTTTTCTATGACAGTCTGGACTATACCTGTTGTTCTGGTGCAATTATTAATATTGTTCCCCTTTCCTCTCCAAAATGTCTAGTTTGGATTATAACTACATGGTCACCCTCAGCTCAAGCCAAATAATGCCATAAAACTTTAATTTGGCAGACGGTGGAGGGGAACAGAGAAAACTGGATATTGAAGTCATACATACATACGTGTATTTAAATCACAGCTCTAATTACCTGGCCTGGGGGTGATCACTTCCTCTCTGGTTATCAGTTTCCTCATGCATAAAATAAGGATAATAATAGTAACTAGTTAGGGTCATTATGAGGATTAAATAAGAAAATATCCTACGCTTAGCTACACAGTAGCTGGTGTTTAGTAAGCACTCCATAAATGATAGCAATGAATATTATAAGAACCACCTCGAAGAGCATCAAATTTCTTCACATGTAAATTTCAGAATAAAATACCAAAATCCTGAATAATATGAATGATTACATCAGAAAACCCGTGTAAACTGCCAAGCAGAGTAAATTGCCTAGTCTTTCTTTCCCTAAATGTACAAGAACTGTAAAACTAATAATCCAGCACCATTTGGTATTTCATTATATAAACAAATTCTACACCTGGAAAAATCAAGCACAGAAAAGAACAGTAGCAAAACATAATTGATATCTAGTCAATAAAACCTAAAAGGAAATCTATAGGAACTGAGATTAATTGGCTCAAAGGAGCAACATTGCCAGGAAAGTCAATAGTCCAGACTGTTTGGAAGATGCTTAACTTTGCAGTCCTGTGTTTTCTCCATTCTTCACAGTTTTGCCCCAGCCACTCTATTCTTATCTCTCACCCTACTCCACCCAACCCTTCAGGAATTGTGAAAGGTCTAAGATTTTACTGTAATTGCAAATTAACAAGTTTATCTGCCATGGTTTCACGGATGCTTGCAAAAGATTCAAGACTGCTAGGTCAGAAGCAAAAGATTTTACTACTTAAAGCAACAAGAGTACCCAGAACATCAGCATTTGTGCCAGTTCCCTGAGCCCAGATTCCCACAGGTAATGTGAAAAGGGCCAAGAAGGTGACATCTGCACATGCGGAGGGGTTGTGTTACAGGAGAAGAACCCTGAGCTTAGGGAACCCAAATCTTTTATAATGGTCAGTAATCATGCTTAAACCTTGTTCTGGAAGGATTAATTGTGTTTGTTGTACTAGATAGTAAACAACCTACCCTCTGCTCTGCAGGGAGATACTACCTCTGTTGTCTAAGGGTATTCTCTATAAAATATCCTTTTTGAAAATATAGTACAGAATATAGTACAGAACAAAGGCACTGACTAGTCCCTCCGCTCACAAGATGCACAGAAACAAAAGACACCCAGCAGAATTGTCTCCCAATACCAACTAGGCACTCATGGAATGTTCTCCAATCCTCTCTCCCTGACCGCTCCTCTCAAGGTGTTCTGTAGTTAAATTAAGGAAATAGTAAACATAGTTTTTTAAAAAACTCCGTTTTTTTTTTTAAAGCAGAACTTCTCAGATCCTTTAACAACCGAATGTGGCTTAGTGAATCCCCAGCAGAAGGACACAGAATGCAGTGCTTCAAAACCCATTTTTTACAGAACATCTATTAATATCTCCCAGAAGAATATTCCTTGGATCACAGTTTGGGAAATCTGGGGAGAGTTTATAGCATATGCCCAACACCATCATTCTCTCTTGTACAAGGTTAGCTAATATTTTCCCATTTATTTCCTAGAATCCCAAATCCACGGGGAAGTGTTTACATAAAGAAATGCTCTTTAAAAGCATTAAGTTATTGAAGGCAAAACATTACAGAGTCCCTCTGTACAACAGAACCCTTTAAAATAATTGAGATAATGTAGGTAAAGTGCTTAGCAATAGCTGGCACTCAGTAAGTGCTCAAAAAATAGCAGCTATTATAAGTATTTGCCATTTTTATCATGGTGCATTTACAGAACCCTCTTTGTTGTAACACACTGAATTCCTATTATAAGTAAGCTGGTGTGGCTGTAGTAACATCGGGTCATGACTAGTGATTTTTCCTTCTCTAATTCTACTCCCGTACATTTTCCTACATGCAATGTTTCCGTTCTCTTCATGCCAATATTTTACTCCACAAACTGGACCTTATAAACTTCTTGGTTTATTTTAGTCTAAATTTGATAAATGTTACCTAAAGTCAGCCTTCCTTTTGGTTTTATTTTAATGTAAAAAATTAGATCCACATTTGTTTAGAACTAATTCTAAGTTTCTGTTTGTGCTTACTTTAGTTTGTTCTCTTTTAACATGATTGCCACTGTAAGGTCAAGCTGGATCTCATAAGTGAGCAGCAAAAGACACTGGCTTAGGTATCTGAAGCTCAACACTAAAATAAAATACAGCAAGGCCCACTTGGTATTTCAAAAGTAAGACAATAGCATCTCTGCTTAACTAGGTCCCAAAAGAAGTCTCTTAATTCCCCACTTCTTCCAACTCCTCTCATAACAGCGCCTTTAGTTTCTGAGCCTTTTAAGGAGGAAAGACCAGACACGCAAGCTGCTGTCCATTTCGACACAGCATCCATCACCTGACTAGACTGTCTCTCAAAAATGTGCCTGTTTATGAGAACACATGGACACAGGGAGGGGAACAACACACACTGGGGCCTCTGGAGGGGGCTGTGGGGGAGGGAGAGCATTAGGAAATACAGCTAATGCATGCTGGGCTTAATACCTAGGTGATGGGCTGATAAGTGCAGCAAACCACCGTGGCACACGTTTACCTATGTAACAAACGTGCACATCCTGCATATGTACCCTGGAACTTAAAATTAAAATAAAAAATTTTTTTAAAGTGTGCCTGTTTGTATTATCATCATACTTTAAAATAAGTAATGATAAAAATTAATAATAATAATTGAGCTCCACTGGATAAAGTGGGGTCTAAGTAGAAAGACTAACAATGGGATCTATAACTAGACTGTAAGTTTAGACATAGGGTTGGGAAGGGAGGAGAACTTCTCCATTTATGTAGAATGGTAGATAACAAAATGGCACAGGAATCAAAATAACCCAATACTCTTCTATGTGTTTACTGTAGATTAGAATGTCCTTAGATAAGTGGTTTTCCTCCTCACTGCTCAGTTTCTTGTCTGTAAAATAGAATGTGATCACTTCCCCTTTATTTCATACTTTAGGGGAAGAAGAGGTCAATAAACATTTTTAAAATATTAATTTATATCCAAAAAATCATAAACTTTTTAAATTTTTTTACCATAACATGATGGTGAGTATCTACTTGCACATCTGTTACTCTGAGTGATCAAATCTCTTAAGTTATAACAGGAACTTCAGTTACTCCATATTCTAGATCCTTCTTAAATAGCAGCTAAACAAGGAAGTACATTTCCATTTCCATTAAAAAAAATCTTATAATTATACGGCCATCAGTATAAAAGAAGAAACCCCCAAATAAGAAATTTCATTACACTATGGTCTGCATATTAAAATTTCCTACAAAATTCTGTTAAACCCTCTGCTTAAAGTCTTATTACATGTGCTTTTTTTAGATATTTTTAAATACCTGTTTCTGGTAACAGGAACTTTTTTAAAAGTTCATTTTGAGATATTCTCTTACTAGTGTAGTTCTCACACATTACAAGAGAGAAGGCTGCCAGGCATTTTCCTGGACCCTGCCTCAGAATCACCAGGGAACCTTTTAAAAAAAACATCTCTTCTCGTTTGAAATTTGGTGAGTCTAAGGGTGGAGCTCAGGAATCTGTATTTTTTAATGTTCCCCTCCAGACTGAACCCAAAGCAAATTTCAGAACTACTAAAGTGTCAAATGTATACATTTCAAGCAGCATCTAGCTGGCAGCAGAAAACTGTTCTTTGGAAAAGGAAGAGTTCTCTCCTTTTATAAGAATAGAAAGTAATCTTCTCTCTATTCTCTGGAAATGATAAGCCAAGTTTTCCTATATTCTTCCATAATCACCTTGCTGGAACCACTTGTTCTTCAAGCATGAAATCAAAAAGATAGAATTTTTTTAAATATACAATACACATAGTGTATGTGTGTGTTTTTCCAGCTACAAGGTGATGAGAAAAGCAAAGTTCATCATTAGTTAATGTCAAGTTTGAGACAGACTGTATTGCTGGTGGCCGGAGCAAAAAAATGCCACTGAGTAGCTGAAAACTCAAAAAGTGTCCTTTAAACCAATCAAGAAATTAATTGAAAGTTTAGTAAAATTTACTGAACTTTCTTTTCATTTTATTTGCTTCACTTCAAAAAGGAATCAAAGTGGTCCTTTCACTTTCCCACCTGGGAAAAAGCTTTACTAGTCAGACTTGTAATTTTAACCAAATCATGGCTACCCCCTGGTGGCTGCTTACCCCAATTACAAGGTTTTTAGAGAGGTTTAAATTAACATACTGAAAGAAGACTTCAAGTTTTGTCTTTGAAGAAGGAACAGAAACTAAATTTGGTCTCGAAATGTCCTGGTATGCTCATTCTTGTAAAGTAATGATCCCAGGCCTTTAATTTATTTCCTGGGGCACCTATAATTTCTGAAGTTTACTGACTCTGAATTGTGTTGCTGAAACAATGCAAGATTTTTAAATACTTTTTTTTTTTTGCTTTCTACATTTATATATTCTTCACACATCATATGAAAGGCCCTCTTAATCCTAGACCCTGCTACCAGAAGCACAGTGTGCACACCCGTGGGCCCTGACTCAAAAACCTTTGTTTTTCTCATCCCCTTATAGCTAGAAACACACACACACACACACACCCCCAAGGTATACATTTTCATTTTAAAATTCTATCTTTTTGATTTTGTGCTTGAAGAACCAGTGGTTACAGCAAGGTGATACATGCCTCCCCTGCTGTATTCCCACAGGCTCCAGGCTGCTCCTGACCCCAGCAGCAGAGGCAGATGTTCTCTGCTATGGAATCGGGTCCGCACTTGTGCTTTTGTGGTCAATCTTATCACGTAGCCAGGCCTGTTAATGTCTCAGCCCCTCAGCAGGTAGCTTCTGTAGTATCTTTAACATGGCTACAGCTTCCAATTTGGCTGACTTTCTACCTCCTAAATCAGCAAAGTGTTCCGATCCCTGGCACTCATGATCACTGTCCTGGCCTGTTTGGAAAGCGGCATTCAGTTCTGATAGAAGGGTCATTGACCTAGTCACCCCAAGTTCTCTTCCAGCCAGTATTCCTTCAGGGACATTCATGTGCCAGACATAATTCAAACAGATGTGCTCATATATAAACTAAGGCCAGGCACGGATGGCTCATGCCTGTAATCCCAGCACTTTAGGAGGAAAAGGCGAGAGGATTGCTTGAGGCCAAGAGTTTGAGACCAGCCTGGGAAACACAGCAAGACCCTGTCTTTATTTTTAAAAAATAAAAATAAAAAATAAACTGAACATTCGCATTTATTAATTATACTTTTCTTTAAAAATCTGATAGCTCTGTTTCTCTGGTAATTAGCTGTCTTCTCATTGTTGAGAGCCAAATATAATCTTTTGTGCTTCTATTCTTAAATTATCACATTATAAACAGAAGACATAATTATTATAAAGTAGGAATTTAAAGCAGGACAATCAAAAGTAATTGAATTGTGGTAGCTAGAAAGCAGGAAAAGTTGGGCAACTATTTTACTACTTAGCCAATATTCTTAAAAACACCAACACAATTAAAGTATCATCACTATGTAATCACAAACCACTAAAAAATATCACTTTCTCTCTAAAAATGGGCTAGAAGTTAGAAAGAGAAGCTTCTTAAAGTAAATCACCAACAGTAAGAAAAATCAGCTAATTCTGCTATGGTAAATATTTATTCTTTGTGGTACACATCAAATATACAGTGGTCTGCATCAGAATAATATTTATTCACAAAGTAAAATGAATTACTTACATGTTACTGTGAAGTAATATGTCACACATTTTTTAAAAGACAGGAGCATACCATACAAACATAACTGAAACTAGCAACCAGAGTTAACTATATTTACGAAAAGCTATAGCAGCTATAACCGTACATACAATTTATATTTACAAGAAAAAGCACTTTCCAAACAGTATGTACCTTATGACCCAATTTAAAAATATTTCTATTTCTTATTTATATTTATACATAATCCAACACATTCATAAATCTGGAAGGCTATATACTAAATTTAAACTATGATTTTCTGGGTGGTGCAATTAGGGTATTGTTTATTTTTATTCCCTTCCCTTTTCTGTATTTTCTGACAAAGAATTCTGATATTTAGTACTTGTGTACTTTTTTAAAAAGTTATATTGAAAAGAAAAGCAAGTAAAATACACCATGCTAATTTTCAAGTGTTATCTGGAGGTACCAACCATGTCCTTTCTTTAAGAAAGATCAGTGTTACTTAGTAAATTAGAGAATGCTTTTCTTGTTTGAGGCCTTCTCAGAGGATGGGGAGCAGGAGTGCACATAGAACATTGTTCCAAGATCTCTACTGTTTGTTTCCATCATTTTTAAAATCTTAAATCCCTCTATATCTCAACATTCCAGACTGACTAAGAAAAGACAAGAGTATGTTTTGCAATAACTAGCTTTTGCTGCACTCTGCTGGAACATTCCCTAATGTTCTGTACAAAATGATCAATAAAGTATGCCTAGGTCTTTGCTACATCTGGTTAAAACGTTCTCATGGAGGTTTATACATTTCTATGAATAATTAAGAATATTTTCAACTAACAAAATGGATATAGTTTACAAACATACACACCAAGTATCATCATGCTCACATATTAATAAATGGCTACACATGCAATAGTTGATTATGATGTATGACAGGGAGTATTTTTAAATGGTGTATGTTTTGCACTCCCTCACGACTAGATCTTTTTTCTTCTAAACAAATTCAAAGTTCTATCTTCAATCATGTAAAAGTCGCTGTAAATTCCTTGGACGTACCTACTTGGACTCACAGTTTGTAGAATCATTTGTTTACAGTAAAAAAAAAAAAAATTAAAAATCCTCACCAAATTAAAGCAGGCAGTTCTACAGTTTAAATAGCCAAATGACTTAAACCTGCTTTATCTAATGATCAATCCTTCCATTTCTACTCCTTTACTGCCTCCTCCAAAACACACCTGCAGTCAACATTCTGCATGAAGTTCTTTCGCTGAAAAGCAAATCAATTTGTGTTGGCCCAAGATGCCACAAAACAGTGTCTAGAGAGGCCTCGATGATACGGATGCAATGGAAAAGAATAGTGGCCGGCTTGTTTCAACAATCTTCCAAGGGTAGTGAAGAAAAACTTTCACCTTAGCAATGTCTTGGGAGTTGCAAACACAGAGCCTGGCAAGAATCCCAGCATACACAAAATACTTCTCAATTTTTACTAATACCTGCTAAAATTATGTTTTGGCCTGTCTGCCTGGAAAGAAAAGTCTGGAATGACCGCTTCTTTTGACTTTATAATCTGCATAAATCTCTCAAAGAGGGTTCACAGGAAAAGTTTCCATGGAACATTTCTTTTCCAAGAAAAAAAAGCAGTGGGCTCCTCAGCATCATCTCTGTCTCTGTGGATTTCTCGGCTATGCTATCAAACAAGAGTAGGGAAATGCAGGAGTCCCGAGGCCACAGAACCAAAGCACCTGCTGCATGGCTTCAGCATGGATTCCTGCCCAAACCTCGTAACAGTATCATCATAAGCCAGGTGCATACTAGTGTCCCCGTGTCTGGTGCTGGTCAGGCAGCAAACCCAGACCTCATTGCCAAAATAGTCAGGGTCTTGTTTGGCATAAGTGACTTGCTACAATACACAACACTGTGTTGTAGAGAAGACACTGACCTAGCAAAGGGAAGGGAGCCAGCACTGATAAGCCATTTGGAAGGGTCAGAACCGAAGCTCAGTCTTCAAATCCATTATCTCATGAAATCACACAATGGAATATCATCCCCATTTTACAGAAGATAAAAATGAGGTTCAGAGCACTTCAATAATCTGCCAGAGCTTACAAAGGTAGTCAGGGTTGAAAACCAGATTTGTCTGACCCCAAAATCTCTTTCAAAACCAACAAATTGTCTCAGAAACCCTGGTTCTTGTCCCATCTCAGTTATTAATAACGCAGAACTTTGGGCAGGTCATTGAATATTTGAGGCTTCTTTTTATTCTCCTGTGAAATGAGGTAACTGAACCTAATTTCCAAAACTTCTTCAAATTAAAAACTCCATTATTCTCAGGATCTGTTCATATCTTTCTTCCACCATCTGCCCCCACCACCACCAATTTTTTGTTTTCTTTTTTCTCTTTGATGTGACATAAAGATGTAAACTCTCTAGGCTAAAAAAAATTCAAGGTAATTTTAAGGGCTTTGTATGCCAGACAGTCTCTACTGCTAAGAATTAAGTTTGCAATTATCAGTAATCTCTCTGAACCTGATGATTTTTAATGAAGTATACAGATTATCAAATAAAAACAGGCCAAACAAAGCACCAAATGCTCTTAAGATATTTAGCTTAGTTTCAGGAAATTTCATTTCCTACTTATTATTTATTCACTATAAGTTTGAAAAATACAAAAAAAGTTATCTAATATATTTGGAATCAAGAAATATGAGGCATTTTTGCCACACCACCATTAGGATCTGGTTCCACGACATTTTATTATTATAAGACAATCTCTAAGCATATTTATATAAGGTGACAATGAATGTAATTAGAAAACCATTACATTTAAAAAGCAAATGTTTTAATACTTTAAAATGGAAACAAGCTCCCCATTTCCATCAACAGCTTAATCAATCATTTGGCCTTAACCAAGGAATGGTTATTTCAAAAAGAAAGAAAGCAATATTTTAAAATATATTTTCATCAAAAAAGGTACATTTTATTTCATTATTGATATACAATTTTAATTAAAACTTCAAGTCCATATATTTCTTAAGTGACAGATATTTTCATTAACTAGCAAATAGTTAACCCATTGTCACAATCCTGAAATAATGTGTGTGATGAAGAATAATTAAGGTAGCAAGGGCAAAAGGTTACTCAAGACCTTACTACAGTTTGAGCTTAAATTATAGGTTTTAAACAAGATGTAAGGACCAATTCACATGAAAAAAAAAAGCAATTTTAATGGAATGCAGAACAAATTAACTTTTTAACATTTAATACTACCCAATTGCATAATGGGATTTTGCTAAGTGCTACAGGGAGCAGAAAATAAAAGTAACACTGAAAGGTATGCTTGTTAACTACTTCAAGCTAAAGGTATTATTGATCTACTAAATGCTGTAGTAAATGGACACATTGTGACATGAAAGACTCTGGGTTCTGCCATCTGATTGGCATGTTTTGTGTGTTGTTTCTTTTTTAAAAAAGGAAATGGATCAAAAAACTTTTAAGGAGTTTTGTTAGCATATTCCCAGAATGTCTTCTCAACACTACGCTAGACTGGGAAAGGCTTCTCCTGCAGGGTTACCTTCTTCCCTATTAAGTCAACCAGCAAGGTGGCTACAAGATGCTTTCAAACCCAGCCCTCTCCATGGGGGTGAAGCCACCACAGCATTCCTGTCTCCAGCGACCTAGGGAGCCTGCAATTCAATCTGAGCCTCTAGCTTGTAAAGCAATAACCACAGGGCATGGGGCAGCCTTTGTTTTCATCCAACTAATTGAGCGAAAATGGTTTCCACTGTGAAAAGACCCTTCATGACCTAGCCCCAAAGGTTGGCAAAAAAGAAATAGAACACGAGTCTGAGCTTCAGAATTCCACTGCAAGAAGTCACCCTGCCAAACACTGGCCACACACTCAGTCTCCCAAGGGAGAGAGGTTTCCTAGTCATCAGGGGTTAAAATACATCATCAATCTTCCGCTGACCAGAAGCCTTACCACAGAAATGTCACACTGTATGTCCGGAACACACTGCAAATCTCAACGGAAGTATCACAACCACAACCAGCAACAAATGAACACATGGATCTGTCCATTAACACACATTTGTAATCAAAAACCTAATTACACAACCAGAGAAACCAATACAATGCTGCTTGAGAGCACTGAGAGCTCATTTTAAATTTCCTCCCAAGATGCCAAGGGCTGTAGTAATTCATTCTATAAACTTAGAGACACCTACCCTATACTAGGCATGCTGTACGCAAGGCACTGTGCTTGGTAGAGTGAACAAGATGGATATGGTCCCTGTCCTCAAAGAACCTAGGACCTAGTGGCTGCACACTGCACCAGAATATAGTCTCAATCACCAGGCTTAACCCTTGGTAAAAAAGAAGAGTGCCCAAACTCAAAAAGTGAACGTAGCAAGTCAGTAGAAACCTTTGTTGTTTCTATCTCTCCTCATTACCTGATTTATTTTCTGTTCTTTAATCTTTTGGTGAGGTTCCCAATGAACTTGGCTGAATGGAAGACTGGCCATTTGATAGAGAAAATGGTACTAAGACTTCTGTTAACCAAAAGCTGACATGAAAACTCACTCTGATTAGCTAGAAAATCTCCTTTCTTATAGTTAGGCATATACTAAAACATTCTTAATTCCCATGATCTTAACAGACTCCACTAAACAGTTATGGCAACCTTTGTCTTAGAGCCTGGATAAACCTAAGAATCCTTCTTAACTCAGCATTTTCGGTAGTCACTACAAATTGTTCAAAATCATCATAGGAGATGAAAATTATTTGCCAATGTAATCTTAGATTGCATTGAATGACAGAGTTTTTATACCCAGTAGAAGGTTGGGCTATATGACTAAGGTCAGTTGCAATGCCCCAAATCTAGGAATATGAAATTCTAAAAAGAGGAAGTATCCAACTTAAATGAATTATAACATTCCAAAAGTATGTCTATTAGTAGAGTATTCAAGCCCACAGAAGGAATTTCCCCAGTGAGACAATGCTATAAACTGTGTTTATTTCACAAACCCATCCACAAAGACCCTTAGCCCATGATGTACTAAAATAGAACTGAATCAGAACACATTTCAAATAAAAAACTAGAAAAATAGATTGATAAGGGCCTAAGATAATATTCACAATAAAAGTTTAAAACAACTTTGTAGACCAGACCCAAAATCTAACAACTATTGTTAAAACGTAGTGTCTATTGTAGCTATTGGGGTGCATATCTCATCTTCCTAACTAGACTGGAAACTACTTGAGGAGAGAAACCATTTCAATTACATTTTGTATACTTTTCTGACTGTCTCACCTATGGTCCCTAATAAATATCTATTGAGCAAGTGTAGATAAATGAAAGATTTTCATAGAAAGAAACCTAGGAGCATCAAGGAGCAAATGTCCCTGTGCTTTTCTATCCACATAAAAGAAAAGGGAACAATGGAGCTTCAGAGTCATTTTTTGCTCACTAAAAGGAGACAACTGGCTGCCTCCTCCACTGCCTCCATGTGACTTCGAATGGCCACTTACACCTGTGAGATGCTCATAAGCTATGGATTTGGAATAACGTGGAAAACCCCATAGATTATAGACTCCTTAATATTGGGGACCACGGCTGTCACATGCACTGTTGAGGCTTCAATGGCCAGGCATGGTGGCCATCACTGTGCATCACAGCTTAGTGGTCTGGCACACAACAGGCACTCACATAACATTTGTTGCATAAATGAATGAATAAATTAGTAACTATCGTCTCCATGCAATAGAGCCCCCTTGGGATCTGTACTGGTCATTATAGTGTCCTGAACCCTAAAATATACAAAACCTCTCAGCCTGCCGTTCATTTTTCTAATTTTTACAAATGTGGGTAAAAGAACAATTTCTCTTTCTTTTTATAGTTTTACAAAAACTACAAAAAGCAACACCAACTTGATGATACAAGATAGCAGAACCTCAGGCTGTGTCAGGAGACAATACCAGTGGTGAAGGCTGTCAAGCAGAAGAAGGCAGGACCCATGTGAAGGGGGCAGCCTGTTCTCACCATGAGGAAATGCAGGTCCCGTATGGCCAGGGCTACTGATTTTTCAAGAGAAATTTTTAAAAGTCTTCTAGATTTTAATTTTGGCAAATAATAAATGTTTTGATAGAAACACTATGTGAAGCCAGCCATGGTGGCTCACACCTATAATCCCAGAACTTTGATAGGCTGAGGTAGGCAGATTGCTTGAGCCCAGGAATTTGAGACCAGCCTGGGCAACACGGCAAAACCCCAACTCTACAAAAACTACAAAAGTTAACCAGATGTGGTGGGATGCACCTGTTGTTCCAGCAACTCAGGAGGCTGAGGTGGCAGGATCCTAAGCCCAGGGAGGTCGAGGCTGCAGCGAGCCAAGATTGCATCACTATACTCCAGCCTGGGTGGCAGAATGAGACCCTATCTCAAAAAATTTTTTTTCTTAATTAAAAAAATGTTTTAAAAACCACTAGGTGAGCCAATTATAATGTCTGATCAAGAAGATGAAGCTGGCTTATTCCTATGCTGTTCCTAAAGGCAAAAGAGGGAGAGAGCACTACGCTTTCTTGGGAGTGTTTAAGTAAAGCTAAGAAGACTACAGATCAAGGATACAACAAGCAGGAGGTTGAACTTAGCAGCCTCAAAGCCCCTTCTAAACTGGAAAGTCCACTTCTTGATATCTCTGTCAACACTGGGAATTATTAAAAAACATATTTGCCAGTTTTATAGATGAAATGGTGTCTTACTGTTTTACTGTGAATTTATAGTGTGGTTAGGCTTTGGTCCCTATCTTTGTTGATATCTGGGATGAGCTACTTCTTCTTTCAGGCCCTAATGTTGGTTATGGAGACTGAAGTGCAGAGCTCTCAATCCAAGACCAAGTTTTTAAGTATTTTCATCTAGTTTGTCTCCAGGTCTCTTAGAGGCATCTTCTCTTATACATGCTTTCCAAACTCAAGGAATATGGGGAAAACTATAGTTCTCAGTTTGTATTTCTATTAGCTTTCTCCCTAACTTGGGGTCTTACCCACAGTACTTTATACTGGAACATTTTACAAGACACACTGACATACTTTTACTTCAGATTGTGACTCTAAGTCCATCTCCCTTCTTTAATTTGCCATAGACTTTGCATCCTTTCCTCCTACCCCAAGAAGCCCACCATGAAGGTCATTGGTTTTTCCAAAATGGGACTTAAGGAACCCCAGGAATTCAGTAGAGCCTCTACAACCATCAAGATAAAGGGTAGGAAGGTATTTCGATCCAAATAACTCAGGTTTTTATTGTTGTTGTTTTAGGTATTAGGCTTCAATTTGAAGTTGTGATTTCAATTTTTAAAAAAATGTGAAAACCACTACCCTAGTTATTATAATTTTTCCAAATAGTCGACGGTAAACTGATATCATCTCTCTGAAGTGAACATTTGTATTAGGAACACTTACAAATATACACAGAACCTGGCCCAACATCTCCACATCTAAAAATTTATTCTAAGAAAATAGTCATGAATGTTTCAAGCTTTACCTCCAGAAGTGTTCACTGCAGCATTGTTCATAGTAATAAAGTGGTCAAAACAATCAAATTATTCAATACTAGGAAACTGATTAAATTGATTTTTACATGGCTACACTATATAGCATTGGTATTATAATATTTATAATGACATGAAAACTCATCTTGAGATGAAATTAAGAGGAATAAATAGGATTCCAACAGATTTTTATATGATGATCCCAATTTTTAAAATAATGCATGCATGTATACACACAAAGAGACAGGAGAATGTTCACAGGGAACTATGGGTGCTTTTCCATTTTCATTTTTGTGTTTATTTTTATCTGAATTTTATAAATTTTCTACAATGATAATATTTAATGTAATTATTTTAAAAAGCTTTGTTTAAAAGTACATAATGTGAAAGTATTTCTGATTATTCTGAAAGGGGCCTTTGTAAAAATTTTCTTTGTAAAGTAGAATTTAAACTCATTTAATCTAATCAAAAGTCAATCATTGTTTAGCCCCCTTTTGATCATTTCCCCTTTTCTCTCTTTTTTCTTTTAGAAAAATGAAGATATGTGTAGGCCTGAAGGGAAATTACTACTAACTGATCTAAATCCCAAAACAAGATAACACTACAGGAGCACTCATGTGCTGGCTGCCTCCTTCTCAGTCTCCTCTGGGAAGCTGGGTTCTTCTTCAGTTTGGTTTTTGGTTTTTTGTTTGTTTTCGTTTTTTGTTTTGTTTTGTTTTGTTTTGAGAGGGAGTTTTGCTTTTATTGTCCAGGCTGGAGTGCAATGGCGCATTATCAGCTCACCGCAACCTCTGACTCCCAGGTTCAAGAGATTCTCCTGCCTCAGCCTCCTGAGTAGCTGGGATTACAGGCATGCACCACCATGCCCGGCTAATTTTTTTGTATTTTTAGTAGAAATGGGGTTTTTCCATGTTGGTCAGGCTGGTCTCAAACTCCTGACCTCAGGTGATCTGCCTGCCTCGGCCTCCCAAAATGCTGGGATTACAGGCGTGAGCCACTGCGCCCGGCCTGGTCTGGCTTTAATTCACTATAAACAAGGGGCCAATAGCCAGTCCCTGTCTTTAGCTCCTCATATCCACATTCTGTTTTTTTTTTACACGCAACTGTTGGCTCTCTCCAGCTGTGCTAGGTGGTCTTGTAAGACAAGACCATGAAGGAAGGCACATTCTGTTGGCAAACCCCATAAGATGCTCTGAAAACAGTGATATTGATGTACTTACTAATGAAGACAGTGTGAGGGAATACTTAAAGAATCGCCTGCACATTTTCTATGCCGCATCAACTCATAAAATTAGTAATAATCAGCTAATTTATATTAAGGCCTTAAAATACTCCTATTCTTTGACTTTGTAATTACCATTGTAGAAACCTATCTTAAGAAAATAATCTTTATTTAAAAAGAATAGTCAAAAGAAAAAATTAAACTCAGCCTGTCTTAATAAAGGAATGTTAATTAAATTATCATTCATGGTCCCAGTGGTTTCTCCACCTAAATAAAACTGATAGTTAAAACAGCTGACAGTAGGAGTGAGACTGCAAGGATTTTTAGATACTGAGAGTTGTAGGAATGCCTGCTTCTCCACCTTTACTATTGAAACTGTATTTTCTCTGAGTCAGTTCTTGATTGAAGGCTATCAGAACTACCATCTAACTCATTACCCAGTGTTAACTAAGAGGAGTCCAGAAAAATTAACTCATAGTAAAAAATGACTCTTTTTCTAGGTCGTGAGTATCCAATTGTTCCATAACATTCCCTACTAAACTATATCAAACATTGTAGTCAACAGCTTTCAAAATTTTACATAAAATCATTTTTTATTTTAAGAATAAAAGGCTAACTCAAGGAAGAATGGTATCAAGCTAGAAAGCAAAATTTGAAAAGATGAAGTACTTTATAATGTCACTTCTAGTCCTATGATTCAGGCTCATGAAAAACATGCTTTAAAAAGAACTGTATACCTAATTGGGATATAGCAAGTAATTTACCTCAAATGATATAAGCGTAAACTTTCAAAGGTTTGCAACTTAACACCAGAAAGATGATGAGACCTATTCTTCTTCCAAGATGACAATTGCTTTTTAAGCAAAAAAGGATCTTAAAAATTCCATAGTGACAAAACTGGGAGTCCCAAAACAACTTGATAGTTAAAACACAGTCAAAGCAAAGGAGTACTTTCCACAGCAGCTGCAATGACTGCTGAACTCCAGGAATAGGAATGATAAGCATAGGCATGCAAGTTGTAAAGTGCATATCTCATTAGCAAAATAATTTCCTGGTCCCAGGGAAATTACTGGCAGAAACAGAAGGCATACCTTCAGAAACTCACTGAAGAAATGCCAGTTGCCCTTGGGACAGGACCAGAGAGCTCAACAAATGTGTACTGAGCACCTAGAATGCATCACACCAGGCTCTATGTTAAGCACTGTGGCACAGGAGTGAACGTTAGGTCTGGCAGTTAGTCCTACTCTGGAGATGAACTAAAAACAGACTGAAAATCCAATTCAACTAAATTGTGCAGTATTTACCTGCTAAATAGTTTGACGTCTTGGAAGAAAAAATGACATAGAAGCATGGCTATGAATTTTTTTCTAACAAAATGGGTTCTATTACAAAAATACATTAGAATAATCTATTGTTGAGCTATACAGTTCCTATTAGTCACTAGTGATTTCAACCAAAATGATTTTCACATAATACATTTTAGTTTAAAAAAAAAGTATGATGCATCTGCTCATATTTCACTTAAGCACCATTTTATTTTTTCAGATATTTAAATAATCATCCTCAATGGTAAATGACTACCATAAGGAGTAACATTTGTCCATGCTTATAATTATTATCTGTATAAAACATCGTGCTCCTTGAGGCTATACACCATATTATAAACATCTTTATATACCTCCTCTAATCATAAAGACCCCTACACAGAGTAGCTGCTTGATAAATATTTGATAGCACAATCCTTTAAATTGAATCTCTTAATCCCTAAATTTTAATGATCAAATAATATTCATTCTAAGAGGTTTTTTCCCTAGTATCCCCAAATATTCTTACATATTACATTGAACATTTGTAGACTGAATAACACTTTTAAGACTCAAAACTACCATAAAATGTATTTCCTAGGATGAATCAATAGAAGTTTAATTAAGTACATATATAAGTTTATATAAAAAGCAATAAAAATACACAATTTTTGCGTTGTTTCTTGAAATCTGATCAAAATCTAAGTTTAAATTTACATGTATAGGAAAAAGGAATAAATGTGGTTTACTTCAAGAAGACAGTCTTGCAAAGTTTTTAAAATAGCTCCACAAAACACAAAGATTGCATCTGTATTGAGTGTGTTTAACAATAGGTTTGTGGACAAGCAAGAGTGTTGAAACCTTGTCAAGAAATATTTTAATATTAAAAAACTATGTCAACCCTTGTTCTACTCATGACTGAACTTGATACAATCAAGAAAAATTAGTTTCGGATGTGGGATACTTCAGGGATTTGAAGTAGTTTGCTAAATAGGAAGCTAAATCCAATTACTTTTATGAAGATTTGGCATCTGCAACTGAAAACCAACATTCCAATTAACATTAGACAAATATCCAAGCTTATCCACATGTTCCAGGCATCCTTTCCGGCTAAAAGAAGGCTGCATTTCTGCATATAATTATTCCCGTATGCATATACAGGGTCTGCACTATATTGGAGATATATAAAGCAAAAAAAAAAAAAAAAAAAACACCAACATTTTAAGTTCTTCTGTGGTCTGTGGCCAAGATTATATATATATATATATTAGACGGATACATGAAATAAGAGGTGAGAAAGCAAAAAAATAAAAGTACTATGGATCTTACGAGACGTGTGTGAAAAGGAGAAAAAGGTTGCATCTAGAAGAGAAACACAAAGAAAAGTTGTAGGAGGCAGGTCTATGTTGGGATAAACCTCAACATGTTTTTAGGCTATAAGAAAGCAAAAGAGCAAGGGACAGATCAAAAATATAACAGCCAGACAAACTGGCTTTTATATAAATCAGTATTCCAGAAGCTAGCAGAAGGTCAAAGGGATCAAGGGAAGGGTTGATCTTAAAGAGAAATAACGTACCTGATCCTTTGAGACAAGAAGGACAGCAGGAAAGTTGGGAATAGATGTAGACAAGTTTCTAGAAGGGTTGGTGAGACAATGAGGGAGACATAGCTGAGAGTCTCAATCTTTCTGACAAGACAGAATATAAGGTTGTCTCCTGGGAGAGTGACAGAGAGGGGGCTGAGTCACTACTTAGCCTGCTGACTACCTGGGAGAAATGGGAGAGGTGACTGACCAAGATGAAACTAAGATTTTAGGCAAATGAGTAGGGAGGTATGAATTTCAAGCAACAACAGGAAAAGAGACAGTGTTCTGATGAGGCTAAGCTTCCTAAAGAAAAGTAAGATATAAAGCAAGGGACTCATGGGTGCAGAGAAGAAAACATTTGAGATGATCAGTACTGGATTCCACGCCCTAAAGAGAACAGGGAACATGAAAATAAATTGAAGAATAAGCCATCTCTTCTTTAACACACATTTTTCTCTGAGGTCTTTGTCAAACAGTCATGAATTATTTCAATTATGTTACTGTTCTGTGCACTGGTGGGCAAGCAAAGAAATGGCCCCAGTTGTCCAGGCTCACCAGGAGAAAAGATGGAAGTACCCAAGAAACCATAACATAAGACAGAATAATATAAGTAAATTTCACAACAGAGGTTTAATCATAGCACTCCTAAGGTTTAAAGGCAGAAGAGATCACAGATAACTGGAAAAGGCATGGTGAAATAGGAAAAGCTTGAAAGACAAGAGGGTATCTATAGGAAGCTTCCATAAAGGAAGATGAGGGAAAAAAAGGGAAATACATGTAGCAAAAATAACATCAGCAAATGCACGGTGGCAGAAATGTATATGGTAAATTTGATCAAAAAATAATAGTCTAATAAACATATTTTTAAAAGTTCAACATCGTTAGGAAAATGCAAAATAAAACCACAATGAGCTACCACTACACACCTACTAGAATGACTATAATTTTTAAAAAATAAACAGACAACAATAAGTGATGTAAGGATGTAAAGAAACAGAATCCTCATACACTGCTGGTAGGAAAAATAAAATAGGGCAACCTGGAGGCAACACATTACCCAAGTTCAAACTATACTACAAGGCTACAGTAACCAAAACAGCAGGGTACTGGTACAAAAACAGACACATAGACCAATAGAAGATAATACAGAACCCAGAAATAGAGCTGCACACCTATAACCATCAATCTTTAACACATTAACAAAAATAAGCATGGGGAAGAGACTCCCTATTCAATGAATGGTGCTGGGATAGCTGGCTATCCATATGGAGAAGAATGAAACTGGATCCCTACCTATCATCATGTAATAAAATTAACTCAAGATGGATCAAAGACTTAAAATGTAAGATCTCAAACTATAAAAATCCTAGAAGAAAAGATAGGAAATACACTTCTCAATATCAGCTGTGGCAACGAATTTATGCCTAAGTCCTCAAACACAATTGCAACAAAAACAAAAATGGGCAAGTGGGACCCAATTAAACTAAAGACCATCTGCACGGCAATAGAAATTATCAACAGAAGAAACATACAACCTAAAGAATGAGATAAAGGAATGTAAACGAATCAACAAGCAAAAAACAACCTCATTAAAAAATGGGCAATGGACATGAACAGACAGTTCTCAAAAGAAGACATATAATTAGCCAACAAACATATGAATAAATGTTCATCATCACTAATCATCAGATAAATGCAAATGAAAACCACAATGAGATACCATCTCACACTGGTCAGAATGGCTTTTGTTAAAAAGTCAAAAAATAACAGATACTTGTGAGACTGCAGAGAAAAGGGAACACTTCCACTACTGGGGAAATGTAAATTAGTTCATCCACTGTGGGGAGCAGTATGGAGATTTCTCAGAGAACTGAGAGTTGAACTATCATTCAACCCAACAATCCCATTACAGAGTACAGACCCAAAGGAAAATAAATTGTTCTACCAAAAAGACATGCACCCATATGTTCATCACCACATTATTCACAATAGGAAAGACATGGAATCAACTCAGGTACCCATCAACAGTGAACTACATAAAGAAAATGTGGGAGGAGCCAAGATGGCCGAATAGGAACAGCTCCAGTCTACAGCTCCCAGCGTGAGCGACGCAGAAGACAGGTGATTTCTGCATTTCCATCTGAGGTACTGGGTTCATCTCACTAGGGAGTGCCAGATAGTGGGCGCAGGAGAGTGGGTGCAGCACACCGTGCACCAGCGAAAGCAGGGTGAGGCATTGCCTCACTCGGGAAGTGCAAGGGGTCAGGGAGTTCCCTTTCCTGGTCAAGGAAAGGGGTGACAGACGGCACCTGGAAAATCAGGCCACTCCCACCCTAATACTGCACTTTTCCGACGGGCTTAGGAAACGGCGCACCAGGAGATTATATCCCGCACCTGGCTCAGAGGGTCCTACACCCATGGAGTCTCGCTGATTGCTAGCACAGCAGTCTGAGATCAAACTGCAAGGTGGCAGCGAGGCTGGGGGAGGGGCGCCCGCCATTGCCCAGGCTCCCTTAGGTAAACAAAGCAGCCAGGAAGCTCGAACTGGGTGGAGCCCACCACAGCTCCAGGAGGCCTGCCTGCCTCTGTAGGCTCCACCTCTGGGGGCAGGGCACAGACAAACAAAAAGACAGCAGTAACCTCTGCAGACTTAAATGTCCCTGTCTGACAGCTTTGAGGAGAGCAGTGGTTCTCCCAGCATGCAGCTGGAGATCTGAGAAAGGGCAGACTGCCTCCTCTAGTGGGTCCCTGACCCCTGACCCACGAGCAGCCTAACTGGGAGGCACAGCCCAGTAGGGGCAGACTGACACCTCACATGGCCGGGTACTCCTCTGAGACAAAACTTCCAGAGGAACAGTCAGACAGCAGCATTGGCGGATCACAAAAATCCGTGGTTCTGCAGACACCGCTGCTGATACCCAGGCAAACAGGGTCTGGAGTGGACCTCTAGCAAACTCCAACAGACCTGCAGCTGAGGGTCCTGTCTGTTAGAAGGAAAACAAACAAACAGAAAGGACATCCACACGAAAAACCCATCTGTACATCACCATCATCAAAGACCAAAAGTAGATAAAACCACAAAGATGGGGAAAAAACAGAGCAGAAAAACTGGAAACTCTAAAAAGCAGAGCGCCTCTCCTCCTCCAAAGGAATGCAGTTCCTCACCAGCAACGGAACAAAGCTGGATGGAGAATGACTTTGACGAGTTGAGAGAAGAAGGCTTCAGACGATCAAACTACTCCGAGCTACAGGAGGAAATTCAAACCAAAGGCAAAGAAGTTGAAAACTTTGAAAAAAATTTAGACGAATGTATAACTAGAATAACCAATACAGAGAAGTGCTTAAAGGAGCTGATGGAGCTGAAAGCCAAGGCTTGAGAACTAAGTGAAGAATGCAGAAGCCTCAGGAGCCAATGCAATCAACAGGAAGAAAGGGTATCAGTGATGGAAGATGAAATGAACGAAATGAAGCGAGAAGGGAAGTTTAGAGAAAAAAGAATAAAAAGAAATGAGCAAAGCCTCCAAGAAATATGGGACTATGTGAAAAGACCAAATCTACGTCTGATTGGTGTATCTGAAAGTGATGGGGAGAATGGAACCAACTTGGAAAACATCTGCAGGATATTATCCAGGAGAACTTCCCCAATCTAGCAAGGCAGGCCAACATTCAGATTCAGGAAATACAGAGAATTCCACAAAGACACTCCTCGAGAAGAGCAACTCCAAGACACATAATTGTCAGATTCACCAAAGTTGAAACGAAGGAAAAAATGTTAAGGGCAGTCAGAGAGAAAGGTCGGGTTACCCACAAAGGGAAGCCCATCAGACTAACAGCGGATCTCTTGGCGGAAACTCTACAAGCCAGAAGAGAGTGGGGGCCAATATTCAACATTCTTAAAGAAAAGAACTGTCAACCCAGAATTTCATATCCAGCCAAACTAAGCTTCATAAGTGAAGGAGAAATAAAATACTTTACAGACAAACAAATGCTGAGAGATTTTGTCACCACCAGGCCTGCCCTAAAAGAGCTCCTGAAGGAAGCACTAAACATGGAAAGGCACAACCGGTACTAGCCGCTGCAAAATCATGCCAAAATGTAAAGACCATCGAGACTAGGAAGAAACTGCATCAACTAACGAGCAAAATAACCAGCTAACATCATAATGACAGGATCAAATTCACACATAACACTATTAACTTTAAATGTAAATGGACTAAATGCTCCAATTAAAAGACACAGACTAGCAAATTGGATAAAGACCTCAGCTCTGCACCAAGCAGACCTAATAGACATCTACAGAACTCTCCACCCCAAATCAACAGAATATATATTTTCTTCAGCACCACACCACACCTGTTCCAAAATTGACCACATACTTGGAAGTAAAGCTCTCCCCAGCAAATGTAAAAGAACAGAAATTATAACAAACTGTCTCTCAGACCACAGTGCAATCAAACTAGAACTCAGGATTAAGAAACTCACTCAAAACCACTCAACTACATGGAAACTGAACAACCTGCTCCTGAATGACTACTGGGTACATAACGAAATGAAGGCAGAAATAAAGTTCTTTGAAACCAACGAGAACAAAGACACAACATACCAGAATCTCTGGGACGCATTCAAAGCAGTGTGTAGAGGGAAATTTATAGCACTAAATGCCCACAAGAGAAAGCAGGAAAGATCCAAAATTGACACCCTAATATCACAATTAAAAGAACTAGAAAAGCAATAGCAAACACATTCAAAAGCTAGCAGAAGGCAAGAAATAACTAAAATCAGAGCAGAACTGAAGGAAATAGAGACACAAAAAACCCTTCAAAAAATTAATGAATCCAGGAGCTGGTTTTTTGAAAAGATCAACAAAATTGATAGACCGCTAGCAAGACTAATAAAGAAGAAAAGAGAGAAGAATCAAATAGATGCAATAAAAAATGATAAAAGGGATACCACCACCGATCCCACAGAAATACAAACTACCATCAGAGAATACTACAAACACCTCTACGCAAATAAACTAGAAAATCTAGAAGAAATGGATAAATTCCTTGACACACACATCCTCCCAACACTAAACGAGGAAGAAGTTGAATCTCTGAATAGACCAATAACAGGCTCTGAAATTGTGGCAATAATCAATAGCTTACCAACCAAAAAGAGTCCACGACCAGATGGATTCACAGCCGAATTCTACCAGAGGTACAAGGAGGAACTGGTACCATTCCTTCTGAAACTATTCCAATCAATAGAAAAAGAGGGAATCCTCCCTAACTCATTTTATGAGGCCAGCATCATCCTGATACCAAAGCCGGGCAGAGACACAACCAAAAAAGAGAATTTTAGACCAATATCCTTGATGAACATTGATGCAAAAACCTCAATAAAATACTGGCAAACCGAATACAGCAGCACATCAAAAAGCTTATCCACCATGATCAAGTGGGCTTCATCCCTGGGATGCAAGGCTGGTTCAATATACGCAAATCAATAAATGTAGTCCAGCATACAAACAGAACCAAAGACAAAAAACACATGATTATCTCAATAGATGCAGAAAAGGCCTTTGACAAAATTCAACAACACTTCATGCTAAAAACTCTCAATAAGTTCGGTATTGATGGGACATATCTCAAAATAATAAGAGCTATCTATGACAAACCCACAGCCAATATCATACTGAATGGGCAAAAACTGGAAGCATTCCCTTTGAAAACTGGCACAAGACAGGGATGCCCTCTCTCACTACTCCTATTCAACATAGTGTTGGAAGTTCTGGCCAGGGCAATTAGGCAGGAGAATGAAATAAAGGGTATTCAATTAGGAAAAGAGGAAGTCAAATTGTCCCTGTTTGCAGACGACATGACTGTATATCTAGAAAACCCCATTGTCTCAGCCCAAAATCTCCTTAAGCTGATAAGCAACTTCAGCAAAGTCTCAGGATACAAAATCAATGTACAAAAATCACAAGCATTCTTATACACCAACAACAGACAAACAGAGAGCCAAATCATGAGTGAACTCACATTCACAATTGCTTCAAAGAGAATAAAATACTTAGGAATCCAACTTACAAGGGATGTGAAGGACCTCTTCAAGGAGGACTACAAACCACTGCTCAATGAAATAAAAGAGGATACAAACAAATGGAAGAACATTCCATGCTCATGGGTAGGAAGAATCAATACCGTGAAAATGGCCATACTGCCCAAGGTAATTTATAGATTCAATGCCATCCCCATCAAGCTACCAATGACTTTCTTCACAGAATTGGAAAAAACTACTTCAAAGTTCATATGGAACCAAAAAGGAGCCCACATCGCCAAGTCAATCCTAAGCCAAAAGAACAAAGCTGGAGGCATCATGCTACCTGACTTCAAACTATACTACAAGGCTACAGTAACCAAAACAGCATGGTACTGGTACCAAAACAGAGATATAGATCAATGGAACAGAACAGAGCCCTCAGAAATAACGCCGCATATCTACAACCATCTGATCTTTGACAAACCTGAGAAAAACAAGCAATGGGGAAAGGATTCCCTATTTAATAAATGGTGCTGGGAAAACTGGCTAGCCATATGTAGAAAGCTCAAACAAAACCACAATGAGATACCATCTCACACCAGTTAGAATGGCAATCATTAAAAAGTCAGGAAACAACAGGTGCTGGAGAGGATGTGGAGAAATAGGAACACTTTTACACTGTTGGTGGGACTGTAAACTAGTTCAACCACTGTGGAAGTCGGTGTGGCGATTCCTCAGGGATCTAGAACTAGAAATACCATTTGACCCAGCCATCCCATTACTGGGTATATACCCAAAGGACTATAAATCATGCTGCTATAAAGACACATGCACACGTATGTCTATTGCGGCACTAGTCACAATAGCAAAGACTTGGAACTAACCCAAATGTCCAACAATGATAGACTGGATTAAGAAAATGTGGCACATATACACCATGGAATACTACGCAGCCATAAAAAATGATGAGTTCATGTCCTTTGTAGGGACATGGATGAAATTGGAAATCATCATTCTCAGTAAACTATCGCAAGGACAAAAAACCAAACACCACATGTTCTCACTCATAGATGGGAATTGAACAATGAGAACACATGGACACAGGAAGGGGAATATCACACTCTGGCGACTGTTGTGGGGTGGGGGGAGGGGGGAGGGATAGCATTAGGAGACATAACTAATGCTAAATGACGAGTTAATGGGTGCAGCACACCAGCATGGCACATGTATACATATGTAACTAACCTGCACATTGTGCACATGTACCCTAAAACTTAAAGTATAATAATAATAAAATAAAAAAAAATAAAGTAAAACTCAAAAAAAAAAAAAGAAAATGTGGTACTGGGAGTATTAGAGTGGGGAGAGAGGGAGGTGTGAGTTGAAAAACTACCTACTGGGTACCATGTTCACTACCTGGGTGACAGGATCCATACCCCAAACCTCAGCATCACTCAATATACCCATGTAACAAATCTGCACATCTACTCCCTGAATCTAAAATAAAAGTTGAAATTATTTTTTTAAAAAATTTTAAAGGAATTATGGTATATAAACACCATGGAATACTATGCAGTCATAAACAAAGAATGAAATCATATCTTTGCAGCAACATGGATGTAGCTGGAAGCCATTATACTTAACTCACACAAACAGAAAACCAAATATTGCATGTTCTCACTTATAAGTAGGAACTAAACATTGGGTACATATGGACATAAAGTTAGGAACAACAGACACTGGAGCGATATAAGAGTGGGGAGGAAGGAAGAGAGGTAAGAGTTGAAAAACTACCTCTCGGGTACTATGCTCACTACCTGGGTGACAGGTTCATTCATACTCCAAACCTCAGCATCATGCAATATACCTTTGTAACAAGCCTGCACAGGTACTGCCTGATTCTAAGATAAAAGTTGAGGAAATAAAATAAAAAGGAGCAACCACTGAGGAAAACTGATAGATGAACCTCAAAAACATGATATTAGGTAAAAGATGCTAAAGACTACATATTGTATGATTCCATTTATATGAAATATCCAGAAAAGACCAACCTATGAAGACAGAAAGTAGATTAGTAGTTTCTTGTAGTTGGAGTGGGAGTGAGGATTAGGTGTAACTGGACACAAGGGGGCTTTTGGGGGAATGGTGATGTTTAAAATTGGATTGTGGTAGTGGTGCACAACTCTACAAATTTACTAAAAATCCTTAAATGGTACACTACAACGCATGAATTTTGGTATGCAAATTATATATCAATAAAGCTGCGTTCTTTTTCAGAGGATAGGGTAGCTTGACCAGCATGTAGTTTCTGCAGAAATAGGAGATGAGATTAGAAGAAATTGGGTGCAACTCTTCAGAATTTTTGAATGTCAGAGTGAGAAATTTCAATGTAATCTAATAGGCAACAGGGATCCCCTTGAAGGTCTTGGAATAAGACAAATACAAACAAATAAAAACCACAGATAATTACATTCATAAAATTAACCTCATCTAATGAGGCAATTTGTTGACACATTTGACCATAAGGACCAGGACCTGTGGGCTTCCTTGGGACCATGGCCTGGATTTAGCAAGGGCGTGAGGAGACACACTCTACAAACCATAAAGTATCATCAGAGAGGTTTTATTTAACTCTATATAACATGACTTACTTTCCAACCTGACTCTGGCATAACATCACATGATATTATATAAGGAAGGAAATCAAAATATTTTACCCCAAATATGTTTCTTTGTCAAATCTTGAAATAGCCCTGCAAAGCTGTCTCTTGTGGGGGAAAAAAATCTACATTCTGTAGAATCCCCTTCCCTTTCCAGGCCTTTTTTCTAGACAGAATCAACTGGGAATCTGATAAACATTTGCAGTCTGTTCTCTGAAGCCTGCTGCCTGAAGGTTTAATCTGCATCAAGGGAACCTTGGTCTCCAGGATCTCTTGTCTTAACCCAGATATTCCTTCTATTGATTCTAGGTCTTTAGACAGCAATTTAACTCTTTCAACCAATTGCCAATTAGAAAATCCTTGAATTCACCTATGACCTGGAAGCCCTGCCCCCCACCCCTTCAAGTTGTCCCACCTTTCCAGACCAAACCAACATCTTACATGTATTGGTTGATGTCTATGTCTCCTTAAATTGTATAATTCCAAGCTGTAGCCCAACCACCTTAGGCACATGTTCTTAGGACCTCCTGAGACTGTGCCCCAGGCCACTGGTCGCTCACACTTGGCTCAGAATAAATCTCTTCAAATATTCTACAGTTTGATTCTTTTTGTCAACAGGCAGATCCTCTCAAATACTTTTACCTTGAATCACAAAAGTGGGAAAAAAGATGGAGGGAAATGGTCCCATGAAAATCTATCACTTCCACAGGAAAAACATCTCCAAGAATATGGCTTCTGGCTTATCATTCTAACTGGGAATCAACTGAAAAAGAATATTAAGTGATGGGCTAGAAGCCAGTCCTAGATGAGATGGGGTGGAGTAAAGTGGGGAAATCAATATTTGGCTGAGGGCCTAATTCTCTGAAATTTAATATCCTGCTATAAGAGATATGGAAATCATATAAAAAGGAAGTTAAAAACAAAAATACAGGTGGCCCATCTGGGAGCATGGTAAAGTTGGATAGGTATTGATCTTACTGCATGACATTCTATCAATGATTCTCAGGTAGTGTGACAAATATATTTAAATCCACTTAAGGTCAAATGTTCAAAGTACATTTATTTTAATTACATTAAATCACTTTTCCTACTGCTAGATTGTTCCAGGCTATACAGCTGGGCCTCATAAAAGTAACTTTTTAGGAAGTACAGCACCTTAATTTATCCTTAGTTATATTTGGTACTTTCAAGCAACACTCTGAGCACTATTAGCTCTCTGTGTATTAATATACAGAGAAACATATCGGGGTTGATATAACTGCTCAGCTGTTCATAGATATGCTTATAAAAACAGTACATCTTTTTCTTTTGCTGAGAAAGATCACAAAATAATCTCTCAAGGAAACTGGCTTTGTTTTCCTCTACTTAAAGAGAGAGAGAAAATGACGGTAAGGGAAGGAAGGTGGACGGGAGGATTGTGAGGGTTATAAGGGTTGTAATAATCGCTAATTCACAATTCAAACTGTTCAGAACTCCTTTACAAAAAACTAATACAAAAAGAATAATTGTGCCAGATGGGATTAAACAGGAAGATAGATAACAGAAATGAAAGAAATCCTCATACAATTACAGATAATTGGAGGCCACTTATGTATTTTTCTGTCATCACTGACACAAAAAGATAAGATTTTCATTTCCACATAATGAGCCCATTAATAGTTTTATTGTAATATTAGAAACATCTTGTTTCTGAGTATATCTCAAAGGACTATTTTTTTTTTAAAGATCAAACAACAAACAGAACAAAATTTTAGCAGAAGAGGGGACACACTGATTACTTCTGACTCAGAATAGTTTATTTCAGAAAAGTGATCAAATTTCTGAATCTGATAAACTTACCAAGATAAAATCCTAATATTAAATTTACAATACAGCCAGTTGTTCAAGCTAACACTAGCAAGCAGAAAACTCAAATGCTGATTGAAGAACATGAAGATAAAGAAGCATGCATTCAATTTATAAAAAGTGAACACGCCCCAGGGAAGTAAAGCATACCAGATGGTTATTAAAAGGAGAATGTTTTCATACGATAATAGGTCTGTTCTCCCCTTGAAGTATGTACAACCCCCATTAATGTCAATTAGCATTACATACCTAAATCCAGGGAACCATAACTCCAATGTTATAATACTTTGCACTTACATATCTTTTCTGAAACTAATTCAGTTGCACAAAGCCCTATAACTTACATCATTGTCATTACAGTATACCTAACAAATGCTGACTGGGCAACAACCTCACCCCAGTTTAGGAGCTGGCACTAGATGATCCCTAAGTCCCCATTGATTTCTGAAATTCCGAATTGATGAAAATTTAAGATTCTAAGTCCCTTTTCATAACAATTATGCAGGTACAATAAACATTTATTGAGAATTTTACTGGAAAATAAGCACCATGCAAGATGCTACACAGACAAGTTCTATCTACAGGGTCCACAGATTAAAGTGAAGAAGGTGAAGCTCAGAGAGATGACGTGATATGCCCAAAGTCAAAGCACCAGAAAGAACTGGGACTAGGACTCAAGTCTGTTGACATAAAATTTGATGACATTGTTTTAAACAATATTTGAATGTATAGTTTTTACGAGCTAATGTTTCTGGTGATTCTCTAACCACCTAAGAGTGCTTCACAACTGCCTGCTATTCACATCCAGTGAGTGAAAATCATTGGCTCAGTGATAGTCTATTCATGAATAAGAATTTAAAAAGACTAATGGAAAGAAAAAAAAATAAAGAAAAAAGACATCACAAGAAACAATATAAAATGAGGAACTGACAATTCTCTATGCCTGGTACGGCACTATCTAATAGATAGCCACATATAGCTAATTCACACTTGAAATGTGCTGCACATATAAAATAAACCAGATTTTTGAAGACATACTATGAAATATAAAATACCTCATTAATAATTTTAATTTTACTACATGTTGAAATGATATATTGAATATATAGAGTTAAATAAAACACATTGTTGGGCTGAGCACAGTGGCTCACGCCTGTAATCTCAGCATTTTGGGAGGCCAAGGCGGATGGGTCACATGAGTTTGTGACCTGCCTGGCCAACATGGTGAAAGCCTGTCTCTACTAAAGATACAAAGATTAGCCAGGTTTGGTGGCGCGTGCCTGTAGTCCCAGCAGTGAACCAAGATAATGCCACCGTACTCTAGCCTGGGTGATGGGGCGAGACTCTGTCTCAAAAAATAAATTAATTAATTAAATAAAATACATGGTTAAAATTACTTTAACTTGTTTCACTTTACTCTTTTAATCTTCTAGGAAATTAAAAATAATACATGTGGCTCACATTTGTGACTTGAACAAATTTCTGTCAGACAGTTTGGCTAGACTCTATACCCACACACAGATAGTGAATACATCAGGGACATACTTATAACAAACACTCTTTGGAGATTACTCTGACCCGAATAAAGAAAAATTTACAAAATTTTGAAAGAGCTTTGTATATTGCTCTTGTTTGGCTGAGAAACTAGCAAGGGTCAGACAGAGTAAGAGAACATCCACCTTTACATTCACTCAAGCATACCATTCAGTTATCTAACTGCTCTCTTTTCAGTGAACAGGAATAAACTAACTCATATATGGAATAATTCAAAACTCTAAACATTCTGAGACCAGAGAAACAAGTTCATAGGGTATAGACAGGAAAGAGAAAACGGCTCCCTCAGAAATACCAATGAAGAACAGGAGTTCCATGACTACAACCCAGTTTTCAAAAAGTTGTTATCTGTGGTAATATATCTGGTAAAACACACATAACATAAAATTCACATTTCAAGTGTGAATTAGCTATATGTGGCTATCTATTAGATAGTGCCGTACCAGGCATAGAGAATTGTCAGCTCCTCATTTTCAAGTGTACGATTCAGTATATTAATGCATTCACATTGCTTTGAAAAAGCTATTTTTGTGCTCATCAATTTTTTTAATTTTTATTTTTTTTTCTTCAACTATTATTTTAAGTTCAAGGGTACATGTGCAGGATGTGCAGGTTTGTTACACAGGTAAACATGTGCCACAGTGGTTTGTTGCACAGATCAATCCATCACCTAGATATTAATCCCAGCACCCATTAGCTATTCCTCCTGATGCTCTCCCTCCCCTGACCCCACTCCCACAGGCCCCAGTGTGTGTAGTTTCCCCTCACAATGTGTCCATGTGTTCTCATCATTCAGCTCCCACTTATAAGTGAGAACATGCAGTGTTTGGTTTTCTGTTTCTGCATTAGTTTGCTGAGAATAATGGCTTCCAGCTCCACCCATGATCCTGCAAAGGGCATGATCTCGTTCCTTTTTACAGCTGCATAGTATTCCATGGTGCATATGTACCACATTTTCTTTATCTACTCTATCATTGATGGGCATTTGGGTTGATTCCATGTTTTTGCTATTGTGAACTGTGCTGCAATGAACATATGCATACATGTATTTTTATAATTGAAGATTTATATTCTTTTGGGTATATACTCAGTAATGGGATTGCTCGGTCAAATGGTATTTCTGCCTCTAGGTCTTTGAGAAATCACCACACTGTCTTCCACAAGGCTGAACTAAATTACACTCCCACCAACGTATAAAAGTGTTCCTTTTTCTCTTCAACCTCATCAGTATCTGTTGTTTTTTGATGCTTTAATTATACCCATTCTGACTGGTGTGTGAGATGGTATCTCATTGTAGTTTTGATTTACATTTCTCTAATGATCAGTGATGCCGAGCTTTTTCAAATATTTTCTGGCCACGTGTATGTCTTCTTTTGAAAAGTGTCTGTTCATGTCCTTTGCCCACTTTTTAATGGGATTTTTTTTCTTGTAAATTTGTTTAAGTTCCTTGTAGACTCTAGATATTAGACCTTTGTCAGATGGAGAGACTGCAAATATTTTCTCCCATTCTGTAGGTTGTCTGTTCACTCTGATGATAGTCTTGATCTATCTTGAGTTAGTTTTGGTATTTGGTGTAAGGAAGAGGTCCAGTTTCAATTTTTGCATATGGCTAGCTAGCTCTCCCAGCACCATTTATTAAATAGGGAATTCTTTCCCACTGATTGTTTTTGTCAGGTTTGTCAAAGATCAGATGGTTGTAGGTGTGCGGTCTTATTTCTGAGTTCTCTATTCTGTTACATTGGTCTTTGTGTGTGTTCTTGTACCAGTACCATGCTGTTTTGGTTACTGTAGTCTTGCAGGATAGTTTGAAGTCAGGTGGGGTGATGCCTCCAGCTTTGTTCTCTTTGCTTACAATTGTCTTGGCTATTCAGGCTCTTTTTTGGTTCCATACGAATTTTAAAATAGTTTTTCTAATTCTGTGAAGAATGTCAATGGTAGTTTAATGGGAATAGCGTTAATCTATAAATTACCTTGGGCAATATGGCCATGTGCACAATACTGATTCTTCCTATCCATGCATTCAACAAATTATAATATTTTTAAAAATTGCATAAAAATGTAAAGTCATCTAAAATAAACATACACCATTTTCAATTTTTTGCAAATGTATCTATTATAGACACATCTATTTCATTATTTGTAACTTATTATATACTATTTCATAATCTGCTTTTTTCAGTTATATAAAATGTTTTATATCATTCCGGTTTTGAAAATAATGAAACACAATAATGATATGAAATATCACTTCAAATAGTAGTACTATGATAAACCTAATCACTTTCCAACTAGAAAGCTGGTTACAATTTCCTGCAAAGATAATTAATAATATAAATGAATACCTTGATGAATGTATTTTTTTCTTTGTGAACTATTTCCTTGCCTAAATATTCAAGAGTAAAATTATAGGGTAAAAATGTACAAATTCCATTTTTTTTACTGACATCTCAGTTTTTTTGTTTTGTTTTGTTTTGTTTTTACTTACCACCCCTGTTCATCCACAAACATACGATTGCAAATTTCTGCTTCCTCCTCCTTTCTCACCTATTTACTCTATCACCTTCTGAGAAAGAATTTCCTTTTAGCTCTTAAGTGGTTATATGAAAAACAAGCCCAGCAACATCACCACATCCATGAAAGCTCCTTCTTAGTCTCTCAGCATGTTATTTTTACTTGTCCATGACAATGAGGAAAGTGGGCCTCTGAATGGTTTCATTATATATTCCTCTGTGTTATCAGCCAAAATCATGCTCATTTAAAAACCCATGGACCAAAAAGCTCTTAGGCTTCTGCGTGACTTAAAATGATTTTTATATATCAATACCATACAAATAAACAGAGTGGAAGGAAGTTTAAAGTACAGAAAAAGTAACAAATAGCAAACTCCAAACCACAGGATCTCTATTTAAAATTATGCCTAATACAGCCTCTTTTGTAGAAGAGAAAAGTCAGCCATCTGCCTCTCTAGAACATTAATGACTACTAGTCATTACATCACACATATGTCATCTGACACCAACTTTTAGATCAGTAAACATTTTCCCTCTGCTACAACAGAGGGTTAGTGTTGAAGTGAGGAGAAAAACCTCAGCACATGTAATAGCATCAAAACATAAGCCAAGTCATAGGGTAAGTCTAATTTCTTCCATTTCAATTTACTCAACCAATCAGTCTTGCTTTGACTAACAAATTTATGTGAAAATGTTATAATAAAATAGAGAATTTATTTGGCAAAGCTTTTCTGCCAATCAGCATTAGCATTTGAAGGCAAAGAAGCTAAACTTAGGTATAAGTGAAATCAACAAAGTCACACACCCAAAAAAAGTCCTCTGATACTTGTTTCAGATATAATTTCAGAATTGAGGGAACTCTCCAAAAGATTTTGTTACCTGTCTAATAGGTGTGTATACAATGACTATTAGATGATCATGAATATACATATACGTAGCATGAACATGTACAAACAGTTCGCACACATTTCCTTTTTCTTTACCCTGACCATAATTTTGCTAAAGAAAATCTAGGCTGTCTATGTCCCACCTGACAATGATTAAAGTAAAATTGCCACTTGATATTCTAAAGCCTGGACTTTGGAATACAATGCTTAATATCTGTGTAACACTGAGCAAGTTTCTTAACTCTACTCAGAGTCTCAGGTTCTTCCTCTATAAACAATAATGCCACCCTCACATGATGATTCTAAGTATTAAATGAAGTAATAAATAAAATTTACTTCAAACTCAGCAGACACCCAACAAATAAGAATTTCCTTTCTTTTCTCCTACTTTATTTCTTAGGTCCTCCAAAAATACATTCAGTTGATTGAGAAGGCAGTATTCCAATTTTACAAATGAGGAAATTTAGGTTTCTAACTACTGAAAAGAAGACATTCTCAACATGGTTACATTCTTTCAACATTATACCTCCAAAGCTAGAAGTAAAGATGAAAATTCTTTCAAAAAGAATGATATTTTTCCCAAAATTTTATTAGTTTTAACTTGTATTTTAAGTTCAGGGGTACATGTGCAGGTTTGTTACATAGGTAAACTTGTGTCATGGGGGTTTATTGTACAGATTATTTCACCACCCACATACTGGGCCTAGTACCCAGTAGTTACTTTTCCTGATCCTCCCCTCCTCCTACCCTCCACCCTCCAGTAGGCCCCAGTGTGTGTTGTTCCCCTCTATGTCTTCATGTGTTCCCACCAGTTAGCTCCCACTTTTAAGTGAGAATATCTAGTATTTGGTTTTCTGTTCCTGTGTTAGTTTGCTAGGGATAATGGCCTCCAGCTCCATCCATGTCCCTGGAAAGGACATAATCTTGTTCTTTTTTATGGCTGCATAAATACAACATAATTACTGAAACTGTGGTGGACAACTGAAAAATATTTATTCACTAGAGGCCAAATCCTTCCCCTGTAAGAATCATGCTCTGCTTTTCCCAGATTGATAATCCCAGGTCCCCTCTCCTTGCTTCAACCTTAGGTTGGCCTCCATAAGGGTGCTTGTTGTATGTTCCTAGTGGAGTATGATGCAGTAGTAGACACTATGTAGGCAAGGCATGCTAGCAAAAATAAGATGGGGATGTGGCTTTGAGGGTTCCTATACAGGATACAGGAAATAACCTGCATTTGAAAATAGGGAGGGAAGTGGTTGGCTTTTGCACCAAAACTCAAAACTATTAATGATGCACCTTGAAGCCAGTGACCCACCTGTTAGAAATATAATAAGAGGCTGCCACCCACAATAGGCCAAGAGAGGGCTAACTGCAGGATGATGGTCCTAAATGAGATAACCCTTCGTGGATGGTTGCCTCATTGCCGATTAACCAATATGTTTGTCCCAAAAAGATGCACTTGAGCTATCCAGAAGAGCTACCACTGATGTCCATTGCATCCTGTTTTCTTCATCTTTGGAAAGGCCTACATGTGATTTGGGGGTAGGGGTAATAAGGCTGTTCTCTATTTGAACTTTGCTCTGCATCTGAACTCCCAGGTGTCTTGTTCTACTCATCAGAAAGTTGTTATTATCCTAACAGGGCCAGGACCAGCTACGTTATTTGAGGTGCCCAGAGCAAAATAAAAATACAGGACCCTTTGTTCTAAAAGTATTAAGAAATCCAGTATGGCTACTATAGAGCATTAAACCAAAAACAGGGCTCTGTGTGACTGTGCAGGTGACATGCCCATGAAGCCAGTACTGGACAAAGCTAAGGTGAAGACCTATTTAAAAAACTGGATAATAGATTCCATCCTTCAAAGAACTGACCATAACTAAGAACATGGGCAAATATTCAGACAGTTTTATTCGCCTAAAAACAACACTGATGCTCTGTTTGCATTATTTTTTATTTATTTATTTTTTGTTTGTTTGTTTGTTTGTTTGTTTTGAGACAGGGTCTCACACTGTTGCCCAGGCTAGAATACAAAGGCACAATCATGGCTCATTGCAGCCTCAACCTCCCGGGCTAAAGCAATCCTCCCACCTCAGCCTCCTGAGTAGCTGAGGCCACAGGTGAGCACCACCTCTATCAGCTAATTTTCAAATTTTATGTAGAGACAGGGTCTCTTTATGTTGCTCATAGGGATCTCAAACTCCTGGGCTCAAGGGATCTTTCTGCCTTAGCCTCCCAAAGTGCCAGGATTACAGGCGTGAGTCACCATACCCAGCCTGCTCTGTTTGCTTTAAACAACTCTTGACAAACCTAATTAATTTTCAGATAAATTATCTTCAGAGTCCATAGACTACAACTGCTTATGAGTGAATAAGATTTTAATGACAACAAAAATTTAAGTTTAAATGTCAAAAGTATAGAAGAAAAGACATCTCTAAGTATAGAAAAACTAAATTGAAGGGTTAGAAAAGTTTCAAAAAGAACTGTTCGTTTAAAATAGTTTGCTAATTTAATATATGTTGAAAGAAGGAGGATAGATTATAAAAAAGTACACAATTCTCCACTCCTTCAACAAAGAGGCAAAGTCTATATCCCCACCTCTTTGATCTGAATTGACCAAAGCCAATGGAACACTAGAAACATGACACAAACAGATGCTTGAAAAGTGCTTGTGCATTGGGACATATAGTCACCATGTGAACAAGCCCAGCCTAGCCTGCTGGGCCATGAGAGACAAGTGGCCCAATTATTTCAGCTAACTGCAAGCCATCTGCCAAATACATGAGTAAATACATCCTAGCTATCCAGTCCCGAGCTGAGCCACCAGCTGACCAGAGACACATGAGTGAGCCCAATCAAGATCAGCCAAGCATGACCCAGATCAACAGAACTACCAAGCTAATCCAGAGACTCATGAACAATAAATAATGAATTATTGTTGTTTTAAGCCACTAAGGTTTGGGATGGTTTACTATACAGTAAAATTGTTAAATGATTCAGGTAATATTTTAGCTCAGTAGAAGAATGGAATATGCGATAAGCAGGGGCTGAGACACTAAGCTCACCAGGGAGCAGGGAGATTAGATTCTCACTAAATTGCACAATAAATTCCAGATGGAGTGAAAAAAGTACATTTAAAGAATCATAGCATAGAAGTGTTAGAATAATTTATAAATTGATATTCATATACTCTTGGCATACATAAGGAAGGATTTCCTAGGCAGAGAAACCTAAACGAAAAAGATGGACAGATTTTACTACACAAACGTTTTTTTAAACCTCATGTGTCAAAAATACATTACAAATAAAAAATAACAGGCAAATGATAAATTGGTAAAACTTTTTTATGTATGAGAGATTACATACATAAATAGGTACCAAGTATTTTCATGCATGATGAAAGTATGACCAAAGATTATCCCTCAATATACACAAAATGGTAAGACAAAGATGAACATGATAGAATATTAAACAAAATGTGTACATACGCAAGTCATAAAAAAGAAATACAAATGGCCAATTAACATGTGAAAAATATGCAGCATCTCTGGTAAGCAACAAAAGAGGTAAGAAGTAAAACAACAATCAAATTACTGTTTCAGTTAAAAATTGTAAAGATGAAAATAAGTAATAATACCTAGGAAAGCAGGCATTTTCATACACTATTGGTTGAGCTACAATCTGGTACAACATACCTGTAAGGTAGTGTGTATGTATGGGTATGCTGGTGTATGTGTGCATGTGTGTATGTGTGTCTCATAGAGAACATTTTGCTGAAAAATTAAAAGATCCCATCACAGGAGGAAAAAAAACGCTAAACAGGTAGCAGATCTAATTTTAAAGCGGTACGTTGGGAAAAGACTTTAAAAATCTAGTAAAGTCATGCAGTGGAGTTATGCCACAGGGACAGGAATGGACTCTAGCATGGCTTGTTATTTCATGAGCTTGACTAATCCATCAAGTAAATCATGCTCCCTACCTAGGCAAAGCATAAAGATAAGAAAAACACTGAACAGAAGGTATGTGATAATAAGGTAGGTGGTATGCTTGTTCGATCCCAGGAGAGTTGTCGAAAAAGGATTTCTCAATGTTAGACTCAACATTAAAACTATTATTAAGATTTGTCCTTTAATAAACTGTGATTGTCCATACTACAGACTGTCCATATCATAAACTATTATGTAACCATTACAAATAGAGAAGTACATCTATGCACTAATATGCAAAGAGTTCCAGTACATACTTTAGAAGAAAAAGAAAAAAGAGAGCTAGATTAATACATATCATATGATACTCTTTATGGAGTTTTTCTTTAGCCTGGTGAAACAATATTTCATTTCTATGTGCCAAAAAAAGAGGTGTGGAAAGAAACAAAAACAGTAAGAATGATTACATTTCTGAGCAGATGATAAGGAACCAAGATGGGAAATTTAGCATTACGTATAATGTTATAATTTTCTTTGGGAAATTATATTCATGTGTTAAGTATGTCATTAAAAAACTGACTAAACGGAATTAAAATAGACTTTATTATGCTCATGAAACTTATTGAACAATCAACACCTCACCCTCATTTATTACAAATATATACATATAATAAAATTGAATGGCAAGGTACATAAAAATTAAGTCAAAATCCTTATAGTACTCATATTTTTCCTTCAAATGTTTATTCATTCTTTTCATTAATCTAAAAGGAATGGGACTTAACAATATACATTCAAGTGAAAAGCCATGGTTTTGATCGTCTTGTCTGTAATATTACAAATCATGGAAAACCTCAACCTTGAGGCTAAGCAGAAAAAAATAAAAACCTCTGCACTTTAAATGTATAAAAGACGAAGTCTTACTATATAGAAAATCTGGAAAGCATTAAATCAAGCATCCTCTTCAAGTTCCTTTAAATGCCCTTCCACCATTGTGTCTACAAAAAGATACAGCATCATTAAATACAAGGTTGACCATACCTTCAGCCTCAAGTATGGCAGGCAGGGATGACGGTAGACCCCAGAATGAGAAAGAAAAGTGAACAAAGAAATGGGAAAAAGGAAAAGGAAAAGAAGGAAGGAAATAGAAAACAAAACAAAACAAAAAGAGTACTAAAGAGGAAAAGAGGTGTGGAACAGACAGGGCATTGGTGCCTACTGACTGAAGAATCATATAATTACCCCAGCACACACACACGAAATTGGCAGTCTATATTTGTGGAACAAATTTTGTAAATTCCATACATTATGGAATATAATCTTTGTAACAAAAGAGTAGTCATCTCATTTTATGGAACAAAACAGAAGTTCTGGGAGGGTAAGGGAATTGCCAAAAACCATACATCTAATAAGCAACAACACTGCGGTGTTTGAATTCCAAGCCCAGTGTTCTTTCCAATATTCCACTGCTACTATAGACTGTCCTTTAAATTGCTGCTAATTTTCAAATAACCATGAATTTTTTTTTTTTTTTTTTTTTTTTTTTTAGATGGAGTCTTGCTCTGTCACCCAGGCTGGAGTGCAATGGCGCGATCTCGGCTCACTGCAACCTCCACCTCCCGGGTTCAACCGATTCCCCTGCCTCAGCCTCCCGAGTAGCTGGGATTATGGGTGCCTGCCACCATGCCCGGCTAATTGTTTGAATTTTTAGTAGAGACAGGGTTTCACTGTATTAACCAGGATGGTCTTGATCTCCTGACCTCGTGATCCGCCCGCCTAGGCCTCCCAAAGTGCTGGGATTACAGGCGTGAGCCACCATGCCCAGCCTAACCAAGAAAATTTTAAGAAACAAATGTATTATGAGCAAAAACATAGTAAGCTATTTTTCTGTCCCCTAGGAAAATTAATTCTGAAAACAAAAATCTGATTTGTCCTTTCAAAATCAACAGAATGGAGTGGGGCAGGGGAGAAGGGCAGAAATGTTGTGATAAAGGACCACATGAAGGAGTCCTGTGGTGAAGCGTCTAGAATGTGGTGGCGGATGCTGAATCTACACAGGTGATAAAATTGTATACAACTTAATACACGCACCCACATAAATGAGTACAAGTAAGTCAGAATAAGACCTGTGGATTTTATTAATATCAATATACTGCTTATGATATTATACCATAGTTTTGCAAAATGTTACCATTGGAAGAAAGCAGTTAAAGGAGACATGAGATCTCTCTGCATTATTTGTTACAACTGCACAGAAATATAGAATTATCTCAATTAAAAAACTCAATTCAAAAAATCAACAGACTATTCATACCAGCAACACTGACTTTGAAACAGGAGAGTAACATTGTGAAGAAATATAGGAATACACAATATAGTCATTCAAAGTCTTCATTATAACCATTCAAAGACATTATAACAGAACTGGTAGAAGCCTTCTCATGATTTTTTAAAATTATTTTAAAATTTAAAAAATAATTTTTAAGTGAGAGATGTTTTGAATAGTTTTTGGAGAGACAGTGCCTTAAGAGTGACAGCCAGATCACCTAGCCATGCAAATGATAAACTATGGATGGAAGGTGATCAAGAAGAAAAAATATATTTTGAACTAGAACTTTTTGAACTATGATGCTTAAGAATTCCATCTCAAAATATCAACTGACATAATACTAGAAGTATGAGCCAGTTGCTTGGTAAGACAATTGGAGAATTATGGTAATAATTATGGAATGCACCAAGAATTGTCTCATAATACTAATCATAATAGCTACTATTTATCAAGCACATATTACGTGCCTGGCATTGTTCTTGTTGCTTTACATAAAAGATTAAAAATCCTCACAACAACTCCGGGAGGTAATATGTGGAAACTGAGGGCGCTCATGTAATTTACCCAAGGTCACACAATTAGAAAGCAGCAGAGTTTGACTTTGAACCTAGGTTTTTCTGACTCTAAAGCTTGTGCACTGTTCACTGTTCCTTAAAGCACTGGAAATGAGTACCTTATCTTGGATATTCTGGTACATGACTCTAGGGTGACAAAAAAAAGTATAGCCAGTAATAGAAAACTGTTACTGATATTATACTGACCTGCTTGTAGGTTCCATCTAACAAGGTGTCCAGGTGTTGAAGAGGGGCAGGAGTTTTATCTTTGAATCTTGCTAGTAGCCGGCGTTGAATGGCCCGAAATTGTACAGCTCTCTCAGATAAGAGTTCTTCTAATTTTTCACCATTTATCCGTAGCTGCAATGAATAATTTCTTAAATTGAGATTAAATGGACACAAAAAACATCTTTAAAGAAAAAATACACACAATGATAATAAAAGTAAAAGAGTAATGAAGAAATTTAAATGCATTATAGAGTTAAGGGAATTAAAACAATGTGGTATTTGGTACATGAATCACTAATTCACAGATAATACAGTGGAACAGATCAAATGGAAAATTGTAAAAGTTAACCAGTATCACTGGAGGAAAAACAGATCATTTAATAAGTGTTTTTCAATAATTGGTTACATGGGAAAAAATAGAAATCTTTTCTCATTCTTTACAGCAAAATCAATGCAGAGATTAAAAGTTTAGACACAATAAAAGCACCAGAAAAATCAGAATTTTTAAAATGATCTTGGTATAGGAAAGGCCTTTATTAGTGTAAGTCAAAAGCTAAAAGCCACACCCACAAACAAACACACAAACACACCCCTGATAAATTACTAACTAAAAAAAACAAAAACATTTAATTCCACATGATTTTAAAAAATTATAAAGAAAATAGGACAAATAGCAAACTGCAAAAAATAACAGCAATAACTACAGAGACAAAGTCATGCCCATATCTAGAAAGCATCTACAAATCAATGAGAAAAAGACCACAACCTAACAGAAATCAGTAGGAAATCAGCAACAATCCAATAGAAAAATGGGCAAAGTTTTACATAAAAGTTAATACAAATACCTCTTAAACATACGCCTTTGACCTAACAATCCCACTTCTAGAAATGTATCCTAGAGATATGCTTGCCAAAAGTAATGTATATATCAGGATACCCATTACAAAATTGTTTGATCTATTGTTATCATAGTAAGACATTATTAATAATCAAAATTCCCATCAATAGGGGAACTGGTTAAATAAGGAAGACTATTCTGCAAGACTACTATGTGCTGATATGCAATGCTGTGCAAATATGATAAATGAAACAAAGCAAAACAATACAAAATAGTATGTATAATGTGCTACCATTATTTTTTATTTAAAAAAAAGAAACCTATATATTAACATAGTTGTGACTGCATAGGATATTTCTAGAAAGATATACAAGAAACTGGACACCAAACACTGCCTCCAAAGAAGAGATTGAGTGGCTGGGGAATTAGAATCCTAAATGACTCTCTTCACTGTAACCCATCTCATTTAAATTAATATTGTTAAAAGAAAGCGGCCGGGCACGGTGGCTCACGCCTGTAATCCCAGAACTTTGGGAGGCCGAGGCGGGCGGATCACGAGGTCAGGAGATCGAGACCATCCTGGCTAACACAGTGAAACCCCGTCTCTACTAAAAAAAAATACAAAAAATTAGCTGGGCGTGGTGGTGGGCACCTGTAGTCCCAGCTACTCAGGAGGCTGAGGCAGGAGAATGGCGTGAACCCAGGAGGCCAAGCTTGCAGTGAGCCGAGATCGTGCCACTGCACCCCAGCCTGGGCGACAGAGCGAGACCCCGTCTCAAAATAAATAAATAAATAAATAAATAAATAAATAAATAAATAAATAAATAAATGAAAGCAAGCTAGTCAAAGTCACAGGGTAAAAGGGACACTTCATAAGATTAGGTCATGTGAATCACTAACTCAACTTTACAAAACAGTAATAAACTAGCTGAAATAAACATCATATTCAAAATGCTCAGAAGTCAAACATATCGTAGTCTACATTTCTAGTAACAAACCAAATTCCTTACCCTTTCAGTGCATGCATTCTACAATTACATATGAAATAAAAGTAACTTGAAATTTTAACTTTTTTAAAGTGTATTCATGTATTTTGTCTTTATTTACCCTTCAGTTTTGAGAGACATTTTCTTCTTTTTATTTTTTTATTTTTTTATTATACTTTAATTTCTAGGGTACATGTGCACAACGTGCAGGTTTGTTACATATGTATACATGTGCCATGTCGGTGCGCTGCACCCATTAACTTGTCATTTACGTTAGGTATATCTCCTAATGCTATCCCTCTCCGCTCCCCCCACCCCACAACAGGCCCCGGTGTGTGATGTTCCCCTTCCTGTGTCCAAGTGTTCTCTTTAGAAGCACTCAGTAGCTAATTAAATCAAAGAATATTCCCTTGAGCAAAAAAATACCAAAAATTAAGTAATAAAAATATTTTTAAATAAAGTTTTTAAAAGAACATTAACCTAATTATCAATAATTCATTCTTCTAATTGTATAATTTACTGCTATAATTTATTTCCTGTAATAAAAATATTTTAAAATAAAGTTTTTAAAAGGACATTAACCTAATTATCAATAATTCATTCTTTTAATTGTATAATTTACTGCTGTAATAATTTATTTCCTAAATTCTTGATACACTAAAAAATTAAAAAGATGTTCTCAATACTCAGACTATCAACCAGGTTATCATTCCTTTGAATGTGTAACAAAGCAGCAGTGATTGAAATGTTTTCACATGTCAGAATTTCAATGCTTAACAAATATCTGTTGATCTCAGAGCCAAACCCTGGTCCAGGCACTAGAAATTAAAGCAATGAATAATACAGACAAAAATTTCTGCCTTCATGAAATTTACACTCCAAGGCACACTTGGATTCCAAAACCCAACTGTATTCAAAGTTTAAAATCTTACTAATGGCTGAAAGCAGAGAAAGGAGATAGAGAACAAAGGAAGCATAACAACGCCCCCCTTAATTTATGTGTGTAACAAATGAAAGTGCCTGTCATTCACCATATTCTCTAAGTCCCTCCTCAGAAAAGACACTCCCCTGATGTAGAAGCTCCAAGGAGTTACTTACTAGCCAGAAAGTATAAAGGGAAAATTATATGTCAAACTTATTAGTCAATAGTATCTAGTATTCTCTATTTCAAATATTACAAATATATAATTGGTATAGTCTTTCCATGGACCCTTTCACAAATCACTACACTTAAGTTTCCAACAGCGAAGCAAGAATTTCTTAAAATATATCCCAAGGAATTGCAAAGATTCTCATTCCATACGATACCTAAACATACTCTTACAGACTGTGTCAATTTTGGTGCTACAATTTGACCAAAGGCATGCGTTCCTAGAAAATATTGTCATCACAGATCCTCATCATAGATGAGGAATTATGACATAATTATTCATAATTCGATTGTATACACCTGAAATTTTCTTTTTATGTTCACACTACATTAAAGAAGTCTTCATAGCTGAAAGTCAATGCTCTTAGAATGTTCAATGGTTGGCTGAAAAATTATATGACTGGTAATTCTCTCTCTCTCTCTCTCTCTCTCTCACACACACACACACACAGACACATGCACACACACTCCTAAACTGAAATGTAGTCCCAAGAACCAATGCTTACTTGGATAATGTTCAAAATTCTCTCAAAATTCCCCTCTTGTATTGTCTGTAGAGTGTTTATAGACTATGTAAGTGGAGCCTGATGACTGGAATACATGGGACTTTTAAAAAAACTATGACTGTCACTGTCAAATCCACTCACAAAACAAATATTTGGCTAGTCCCAATCATCAAATCAATCTTCAAAAGATGAAGACATGTCACCATTGAAATACTCAAGAGAATCTAACATAGGCTCTGAAGGCACTTCCAAAGAAGAAATGCAAAATATTCAGAGCAACAAAGTTACTGTTAGAACACATTTATTCATATATGTAATCATTCAGCATTTAGTAAGCACCCACTGTGCCAGATACTGGGGAATATTTTAAGTGTTAACCCTCATTCAGATGCAGAAGTTCTGGTATGCTTGTTAAAAAAGAAAAAGAAAAATCACTTTACTTTATAATCACACCTCATTTATGGCCTGCTAGAATTAGTTAGCCAAATGGCCTCCGATAAGCTCAAATAGTTTTAACACTGGGTTATTGGGGTCAAGGGCTAAGTCTCCATGTGGGAGAATTAAATCAGCTCTGTTCCAGGGCCAGACGACATGGTTAGCTCCAGGCAGCCATTCTGTAAATGTCTGTAATTGATCACAAACTGGGCAAGTGGGCAGGAATGGATTCACGAAATCCACCATCCACATAAGAAAAACAACTAGAAGCACATAGCCTAATGGCATGCATACAGAATCCTTCTATAGCATCTATTTCTCTTTCATATATTTAAGGATTATAGATGATGTGGGTTATGATCATACATACCTCAAAATGATGATCAATCAACTCAAAATATTCTTGAAGGGGTATAGATCCCGAAAAAGAACATGCAAAATCTTTGACTCCCTGTTTTTCAAAATATTCTTGAAGGCGAAGAATAAGCTCATTGGTTATGAGCCAAAGATCTTCAAATTGTTCACTCTGAATGCGATATCGTTCTGAGAGAAAAAAATTAAGGAAAAATGCTTAGTAACACAGAATTACTAGATAAAGCTACATGAACTATCACTAATCCTGACTTTAAAAGTTCAAAGATTTCATTTTTGTAACAAAGATATGATTACACTGGCTTTATAAAAATACTTTCACTGTTTCATTGCTCCCTGCATCAACCACTTAACACTTTCAAATCTAATTCCAAAGGTAGGTGGTCACAGTGGCAAAGTGTAAAGCATGGTCCTTTTTGTTATATATCTTATAATAGGCTTCAGTACAATAAAAACACCCAAATTTGGGTCCTTTAAAAAGGCCTGTACTTAAAAAGAAAAGAGCCATTGCAAGAATACAATTTGTTATCATTAGTATCATTTCAAAATACTGAAGTAAAATTGATTCTATATAAAATTCAATACCCTGGATACTGCAATCAGCATAATTCACTGTAATCATGATCAAAGCTTTCTATTTTTCTAATAGTTATTTAATTTGAAGAGAGATTTTGCAGTCAGACCCTTTTCTAAATATAAATCTTGTTTCCCTTTATTCCCTGAGACCTCAGCTCCACTACTCCAAGATGACCAATTTCTAGCTATTCTCTACCCTGAAAATGATGACAACAATGGTGACAATGATGGTAAGAGAGGTGGTAATAACACCTATGATAAGAACAGCTATTATTTGTTGGGCATAAACTGTGTACCAAGAACTGTGATTACAATAGCCCCTTTTTTATACAAAGGAAAATAAAGCACAGAGAGTTTCACAGACTTGCCAAAGATCAAAAGCAATTAAATGCCAGTGCTAGAATTAATAGTTCATATCCTTCTGCCTAAATCGTACTTCTTCATCAGGACCTGGCTTTAATCTCATCTACTCAAATCTTGATTTCTCTGATATCCATGGGAGCTCAATCTGCACCAGCCACATTTTAAGCACTTTACATTCACTTTCTCATTTAAACCCTAACAGCCCTATGAGAGAAATAGTGTTACTAGCCAGTTAGTAAGAGAGCAGGCACTGGAACACTAGATATTAATCTTAACTGCCTCATAACATTGTGTCTTCCTGAATTTATATAGAGACTTACTATGTCTACAGTTCACTAGGCACTTAACTACGTAAAACCATGCATTCTTATATAACTTCCAAGATTATTACATTTGCTCCCTTTAAAGGAATTTATACACTTTTTTTTTTTTTTTTTTGAGACAGGGTCTCACTCTGTCACCCAGGCTGGAGTGCAGTGGCATGATCTCAGTTCACTGTAACCTCAGCCTCCCTGGTCCAAGTGATTCTCATGCCTCAGCCTCCCAAACAACTGGGATTATAGGTACCTGCAATGACACACAGCCAATTTTTGTATTTTTAGTAGAGATGGGGTTTCACCATGTTGGTCAGGCTGGTCTCAAACTCCTGACCTCGTGATCCACCCACCTCGGCCTCCCAAAGTGCTGGGACTACAGACATGAGCTGCCACACTGGGTCAGGAATTATACACTTTTTTGAGATCTAGGACTAAGTCCTCTATTCCATTTAATTCAACACTTATTGACCATCTATTATGCAGATGTCATAAAGAGACACACTGGGAGTACAAAGATGAACTCAGTCTTCTTGCTTAGGGAATCTAAGATCTAGCTAGAGTAGCATGATACATGGACATATAAAATATTTCTTTATGTTCCCCATGGTAACTGTGGTAAATTTTATAAATGCAATTACTTCTTCGGATTGGTTATTAGGACTTCAATTTGTCATCTCCATCCAGAATTCAATAGTATATCTCCTCTCATCCCTAGTCATTCCCTTTCACAATGATAAAGAATAAAATATACTGGGTATGCCTGTCACAATCCATGCAAACACACTGGTCTTTGCTGCTGAAGTCATACCCCATTCTCCTTGAAGCTTCACCACCCCTCCCTTCACCCCAGTCTTATTCTGGATGCTGAGTTCTGCCCATAATGCTGATTAGGTGTTTTCCTTAATCAAAGATAATACTTTTTAAAATAAATGCCACCAAATATTTACTTTTGTAAATAAATGACACTGAAGTTTTAATGTTTTAGAGATAGTACAGTTGTGGCGGGGCAGGGGTAGAGAGGTAGATGGGAGAATAATGATGATAAAGTACCGTATAAGAACCTTTTAAATCTAGTCTTATCCACACTAAGCTTGAGATCCAACATATTAACTCTAGATTGTATTTATTTACTTTCATTCATTTACGTAACTCAGTGCAAGACACTGGGGATAAAATCAGGAATAAGGGAAGAAGAGCTTCTGCCCTCAAGGAGCTCCCAGGAGACTTGGAAAGAGAGCCTGATAGCAGAAGACTGAATACTGCTTCTGCCATCACTCTTCTGCCATCACTGATTCAGGACCAATCATTAGGGCTGACCTTGCCACAGGGGTGCCAGGACCTCCCCGCAAGAAGATACACTACCATTTTCAAGTATAGGAAGGCCTATCACATAACAGAAGAATTAGACAACAGCTAGAGAGATGCAAAGGGCACAATACATGATAAGAACTATATTAACAATGATAGATGCTCATGGCTGCCTCAGGAAAAACTGCCATTAAAAGTGTTTTTCAGGCTCTGAACCCCCTGGTCTTTGGTATTTTCTTGAAAGTCCACCTGTGAGTTGCAGAACTCGGTGTGAAAGAAAGATCATTTCATGAGGTACAGACCTGTCTCAGATCTTGTACCAGGATCCTTATTTTTATGTGTGTCTGTCCATCCTAGGCAGCCCACATCTAGGCCCAGGTAACACCCTAGGCTTCTAGGGGGAGCTGAGTTTGGCCAGCTGTATCTCTTTTCACAGCTTTGTGATCTCCCAGAACACTGGCTTCAAATCCTGTCGCACCAGGCCTTGTGGATGTAGCAGATATAGATGAAAAAGTTGCACACTGCAGTGATCCTGGCCTGAGAAGACAGTGAGATGTGGTAGTGGCTCGCAAAGTCACAAAGCCAGATGTGGTGGTGGTGGCAGGTATGGGCCAAATTGCTCAAGACACATATATTGGCACTGCCACAATTGACCACAGTTACCCTCACTATAGGCAGCTTCTGCAGAGCCACAGGCTTGATAGTGAGTGTGGTGTCCCCCATAGAGGCCTACACCTGTGGCAAGAGATTCTGCACTGTGAAGTCCAGGCAGGGGTCCATATCCTCCCACTACACCCTTTGCAGCAAGGAACAGGTCTTGTCCAAGGTAGGTAATTCCTTCCAGGCTTGGAACTCTGCCAATAGTGTCACATCCACCTCCTTGTCCAAGGTGAGGGCATGTCTCACAGTGGGGCACAAGGCCAAGGAGAGGGCACTGCTGGTGCTCTTAGGTTGGCAGTGGGCCTTGCAGGGCCCACCCTTAGTGGGGCTCAGCAGGTGCAGGTGGAGCTTGTAGTTGGGAGAGGCTGGTGTGGACATGATGACCAGTGTCTTCAAGCTGTCACCTCTGCCTGCAGCATGTCTATCTTTCCCCATGCCTCCGCATTCAGCTGCTTTTCTGACACTGCCTGCTGTATGCTGGCTTCCCACACCATCTTGTGGGCTTCCTCAAACAGGCTAGTCATCAGCTCCTCCAGCTCCCGTGCAGCTGCTCCTGCACTAGGAACAGCTGCTCACAGTCTTCGCCCTTCAGCTGCAGCTCCTTGTGAGCTTTGTGCAGCTTCTCCTTCAGGAGCTCAGAGCCCTTCTTGTGAATTCCTATGGAGATCCTGCAGGAATACCTGCCAAAAGCATTAGAGAGCTTCCACCAGGTTCGTAAGGTTGAACACGATCCTTTACAACTCCCAGATTCTGAAATTTCTGCTTTAATATGCTCATTTCCTTTCACGTATATGTACCTTTAAATAAAACACTTAAAACAATGCTTGACATATTAAGCACTCAATAAATGTTACTTATTGTCATTATTGTTTTCATTACTTTCCCCAATTTATTATAAAATAAAGGGCAGAGATATCATAAATTTCTTTGGACCTACACAGCACCCAGCTAATCAAGTAACTTTCACATAGCAGATACAAAACAACTATCTTTAATAAAATATGTTTTCTTTAGCATACGATTTACTGTCATTTCAAATATAGCTGTAAATTTTTACAGAAATTTCACAGTGCTAATTTTTCAAAGAAAATTCAATTCATTCAGTTTCTAGAAGGATTCTGAATAAGCTTCCACATGCAGATAGAAAAAACTTGGGGTTAGCCTAAATATATACAAAGAATAAAATTCTTTATATATGAAATAAAATAGAGCTGTAGAGAGGAATTTATTCCATTCAACTATAAATTTTCAGTGAAAATGTATTACAATCTTAAAAAAGATAAACATAAACAACTAGGATTATTATCACACGTTTAAAGAACTGTATCATCTGGCCCCAGAAGTAAAAAGACACATATATAATTCAAGGTACCTGAATGAAGTAAAGGAGCAAGCCATGGGGAAATCTATGGAAAGAGCATTGCAAGCCAAAAGAACTGTAGGGACAAAGGCACTGAGGCAGAAATGTGTTTATAAAACACAGACGAGGAACGTAGTACGTCTGAAGTGCAGTAAGCAGTTTTTATGTTGCACTATAACAAGACATTATACCAGCTTCTGTTAAATCACCCATGTAGGTATTGCAAAAACATCTGGAAACAAAGCATGTTCAGGTACGTCCAGGCAAGCCTATCCGCCATAAGTTACTGTGAAAATTGATCAGAATTTATCACTGGGGAAAAAACATGGACATGATTCTCAGCAGAACACCAATAGCATGCCCAAGCTCAGCTGGCCAGAGCTGAGTTCTTGATGAGGAAAGACAAACCCAATTAGGACCTACTCCAATACCTCAGTGAAACTGCTAGGCTGAGTCTTCACTCATAGCTTACACTGGGCATGTGTGTTGTATGAAAGAAAATGGGGGATGCTGTGGGCTAACCAAGAAAGGCAGCAGTGCCCCAAACTCTTCCTCCAGCGAAGTCAAGTGTCTGCCTCAGCTGCCTATGGAGCTCCTTCCTTTTACTGTCCTGACAAACAAAAAAATCTCTGACAAAATGAAATGTGAATAAGTCTAAGCTTTTCTCTTCTCCTTTTATAAAAATTTGGATTACCTCAACAGGGGCCTATGAGCTCTCCGAAAGGCCCATCTCAATCCCCCCATATTGGGCAAAGACTTCCCTCTCTAAAGATAAAGTAACAGAGAAACATCACATGCAGTAGGTTCAAAGGAAAGAGACAAATCAAAGGGACGAAATTCTCTTTATAAAAGAGAGGTAATAGAAGATAATTCTTGTTTATAGTTTAAATAAGACTCAAGGTAACACTGCATCTATTCATTTATTCAAAAAATATTGCTGAGTGATAAGTGCTAGGGAGATAATAGTGAACAACACATACATGATCCTAGTCCTCATTCTAGTGAGAAGGGCAGAAAATAAACAAGTGAATAACATATGAAACAGACCTATGAAAATACTGTGATGCAGAAACAAAGGTGCTGTGATAAAGACAAATGGGTGGCCTTTCTTGAGATGCTATGGTCGGGAAAGGCCACATTGAGAAGGTGACGTCAGTGGATAGTACTAATGGTAATAAGGATGAAAATAATACAAGCAGCCAAAATTTACCTAGCACTTACAATGCATCAGGAAATTATTATGTGCTTTTTAGGGGTTATTTCATTTGATTCATATATAATACTACAGTACTATTTTAGGGCCATTTAATAAATTTTTTAATGGTTATTTAATTTTTCCAAAGTCATTCAGAAGAATTTTAAGCTAGAGCTGGGATCTAAACTATCAATTTGAGTCTACACCTCACATTCCTAATGATTTTGTACATAAAGCCAAGAGCCGAATCAGGAACACAATCCCATTCATAATTACCACAAAAAGAATAAAATATCTAGAAATATAATTAACAAGGGAGGTGAAAGATCTCTACAATAAGAATCTACAAAAACACTACTCAGATAAATCAGAGATGACACAAACAAATGGAAAAAACATTCTGTGCTCATGAACAGGAAGAATCAATATCATCGAAATGGCCATACTACCCAAAGCAGTTTACAGATTCTATACTATTCCAATTAAACTACCAATGACAGTCTTCAAGAGCTAGAAAAAATTATTTTAAAATCCACATGAAACAAAAAAAATATAACAAATAGCCAAGGTAAGCCTAGGCAAAATGAACAAAATTGGAAGCATCACATTGCCCTACTTCAGACTATACTACAGGGCTACAGTAAACAAAACAGCATGATACTGGTACAAAACCAGACAAATCGACCAACAGAACAGAAGAGAGAGCCCAGAAATAATGCTGAACACCTTCAACCATCTAATCTTCAACAAAGCTGACAAAAACACGCAAATGGTGCTGGAATAACTGGCTAGCAATATGCAAAAGATTGAAACTGGACCTCTTCCTTACACCACATACAAAAATCAACTCAAGATGGGTTAAAGACTTAAATGTAAAACCCAGATCTATAAAAACCCTGGAAGACAACCTAGAAAATATCATTCTGGGCATAGGAATTGGTAAAGATTTCATGACAAAGACACCAAAAGCAATTGCAACAAAAGCAAGTATGACAAATGGGATCTAATTAAACTAAAGAGCGTCTGCACAGCAAAAGAAACTATCAACAGAGTATACAGATGACCTACAAAATAAGAGAAAATATTTGTAAACTATGCACTGGAAAAAGGTCTAATATCCAGAATCTATAAGGAACTTACACAAATTTACCAGAAAAAAAAAGCAACCCCATTAAAAAGTGAGCAAAGGATACGAACAGACACTTTTCAAAAGAAGACATACATATGGCCAACAAGCACATGAAATAATACTCAATATCACTGATCATTAGAGAAATTCAAGTCAAAGCCAAAATGAGATACCATGTCACACCAGTCAGAAATGTTAATATTAAAAATAAGTCAAAAAATAACAGAGGCTAGCAAGATTGCAGAGAAGAAAGAATGCTTATACACTGCTGGTGGGGGTGTAAATTAAGTTCAACCCTTGTGGAAAGCAGTGTGGCAATTCCTCAAAAAACTAAAACATAACTGCCATTCAAGCCAGCAGTCCCATTACTGGGTATATACCAAAAGGAATATAAATCGTTCTACCATAAAGATACATGCACTCATATGCTCATTGTAGCACTATTCACAATAGCAAAGACAAAGAATCAACCTAAATGTCCATTGACAATAGACTAGATAATGGAAATGTGGTAGGGATACATCATAGAATACTGTGCAGCAATAATAAAGAACACGATCATGTCCTTTGCAGAAACATGGATGAAGCTGGTGGCCAATATTCCTAGCAAACTAATGCAGGAACAATAACAACAACAAAAAAAAATACTGCATATTCTCACTTATAAGTAGGAGCTAAATAATGAGAACACATGGATACAAGCAGAGAAACAAGAGACACTGGGGCCTACCTCAGAGTGGAGGGTGGGAGGAAGGAGAAAATCAGGAAAAAATAATTTTCAGGTACTACACTTAGTACCTGGGTGAGAAAAGTAATCTGTACAGCAAACCCTCATTACACAAGTTTACTTATATAACAAACCTGCACATGTACCCCTGAACCTAAAAGTTTTTTTAATGTAAAACTCATAATAAACATTTAAAAAGGTGTGATATTTTCAGTAACTTTAAATTTTTAGTTTCTGTTTCTTTCTTAATTTTTCATCAACATATACAGAAGAAAAATAAAAAACAATTTTTCTGGAATAAAAAATTTACCATTAGGATGGGCACAGTGGCTCACACCTGTAATCCCAGCACTTTGGGAAGCTAAGGAAGGCAGATTGCCTGAGCTCAGGAGTTCAAGACCAGCCTGGGCGTGAAATCCCATCTTTACTAATATACAAAATAATTAGCTGGGTGTGGTGGTGCACACCTGTAAGTCCCAGCTACTCAGGAGGCTGAGGCAAGAGAATCAGTTGAACTGGGAGGCAGAGGGTGCACTAAGCCAAGATTGTGACTGCACTCCAGCCTGGGTGACAGAGTAAGACTCTGTCTCAAAAAAAAAAAAAAAAGAAAGAAAGAAAGAAAGAAATTTGCAATTAGTCTTGGAATTTATAAACACAACAACATTTTTTGCTTTTTTTAGATTACCAAAAATCCAAAGAATCAATGAGTCCAAGATTTATAAAGTATTATTTTGATTACTAAACATTTTCTCAGTGTTAGTACTCCAAGATGGTTAATACTATCCCTGGAGACTTTCCAGAGTTTATATTTCATGGAGGGAGAAATGAATTTTTCTATTTATAATATAACATAAAAGAACCTGTATTTTAAAACGTGCCCTTGAAATATTAGTAATCAAAATAGCTGTCAAAATGAACACTCAATTTGTTTATCTCTTTTCTTTTGTATCTTGCAATAGTAGCTCAGTGGAAATAACCACTTCAGTTTCCAGATAAAATAAATTTAGATGATCAAAGCCTAGACAATTTCCATAACACTCTATTACAAATGGAGAAAAGAATATATTTAATTAAGGAAGGTAAAAAAATGCATCACATCAGTCTTTATGTGTGTCAGAACATCTTCTCAAGTTCATCAGTATAATGCTTGTATTCGTATCATAAACAGTGAACTATACAATTCATGCTATTTGGAAATTTTGAAATGAGAGACAGAAAAGCAGATGAATGCTTTTTAAACCAAAATGTTGAGGAAATAACATAAACTATTTCAATAGGTTTTTTTTTTTTTTTTTTTTTTGAGACGGAGTTTCACTCTTGTCGCCCAGGCTGGAGTGCAATGGCATGACCTCGGCTCACTGCAACCTCCGTCTGGCAGGTTCAAGCGATTCTCCTGCTTCAACCTCCCAAGTAGGTGGGATTATAGGCAGGTATCACCATGCCCAGCTAATTTTGTATTTTTAGTAGAGATGAGGTTTCTCCATGTTGGTCAGGCTGGTCTCTAACTCCCGACCTTAGGTGATCCACCCACCTCGACCTCCCAAAGTCCTGGGATTACAGGCGTGAGCCACCACGCCCGGCCTTTTGGTAGGTTTAACATTTTAAATATACAACCTCTTCAATATTAGCAACTAAGGATTGTTTCTCAACGCTTACTTTTCAACAGGCTTTTTCCAAGCTAGATTTATATAATATTCTCATTGTCACTTGATAATATTGCTAAGAAATTTTAAAATAAATATTAACAGTAATATATTGCTGAATCACTGTATAAGTTAAACTATTCTCGGGGCATGAGGTGGGCATCAGTTGACCTTAGATTTGGTTATTATACTTGTCCCTAAGTTTCCTGACCTCATTAAAGGACTGTCACAGAGCCCTTACCACATGAACTTTCAGCACACAAGAAAATTCACTAATCCTTTGAAACCTCATGCTTTATCAAGCATCAGGATATACTTTCCCCTCTTCCTAGAATGACCTCCACTTGATAGTCTCCTACTCCTTCCTCAAGACCCTCTACAAACAAAATTTCTATCGAGTTTCAATCCTTTGGGATATAACAGCACTAAAAAACATGCTTCTATAAGCACATCAAGCATTCTATTATTGGTTCTCTTTACCTGTTTGTCTCTCCCATTAGTGTAGGAGCTCCACAAGAGCCACAACAGTGTTTATACCTAACATGTCTGCTGAATGAAAAGGGAATAAATGTATTGTCTACCAAGATGAAGTAAAATAATACTCCCACTTCCTTTTTCTCCAGGTACTTTGTATAACACAGTTCAAGATGACATATGATTTCTTTTGGAAGATGCAAAAGAAATCCTATTTCAAGGCCCAACCATTTTTCACATATGTGACTACAATCCTTCTATTATACCTGAAAGCAAAATAATCAAAATGGACCAAAAAAAGGATTTTTAAACTTGACCTTATTCAATTCAATCACTCTTCCTAGCATGTTAAAAATCTTTCAGGATATTGAAACATCCGATGTATTAGTTACCTTTTCCATTTTTCAAACACCTACCTAAGGCTATACCAATTTGCTACACATTAGGTATACTTTATCCAAAATGCTCAGGACCGGAAGTGTTCTGGATTTCAGATTTTTTCAGATTTGGGGATATTTGTATTATATACTTAAGCAGTTTGGCATTCCAAATCCAAAAATCCAAAATCCAAAATGCTCCAAACTTCCAAACTTTTTGAGCACTTTGGATTTTGAATTATCAGATTTGGGATGCTTGACCTGTATTTGCAATTTGTCAGTGTCACTTTGTGACACTGAGAGTATGTGTCTATTCAGCATTCTTTGCAGATTATCAACTTAGCAAGACACAGCATTCTAAGTTGAAAACTCCCTCCAATCTTGGAGAAAACTTCTGCGTTGTCTTCTATCATCGAATTATTTTGATGAAAAGCTAAATGCCATCTTGATTCATATCTTGAGTAACTTGTTTTTTTTCTTTCTAATCTTTAAGAATACGCTCCTCAGTGCTCTAAAATTCCACAATGCTTTGTCTGAGAGGGAGAGAGAAAGAGAGAGTGTGCGTGTACTTTCTCATTCATTGTGCTAAGCATCAAAACAATACAAAAGATCAACAAAACAAAGAGCTGGTTTTTTGAAAAGATAAAGAAAATTGAACAAACCTTTGGACTAAAAAAAAAGAAGGAAGACTCAAATAAAAGAAAAAGTAGAAATTACATCTGATACTACAGAAATACAAGGAATCATTAAACTGTTATGAACAACTATATGCCAACAAACTGGATAACTTACAAGAAATGATAAATTCCTGGATACATAAACCTACCAAGATTGAACTAGGAAGAAATAGAAAATCTGAACAGAGCAATAACGAGTAAGAAGATTGAATCAGTTATACAAAGTCTCCTACCAAAGAAAAGCCCAGGACTTGAGGGCTTCACTGCTGAATTCCATCAAACATTTAAAGAAGAACTAATAACAATTCTACTCAAACTATTCCAAAATATCAAAGAGAATGGAATACTTTCAAATTTCAATCTATGAGGCCAACATTATCCTGATAACAAAATCAGATAAGGACATAACAAAAGAAGAAAACTACAGGCCAGTATCCCTGATGAACAAAGATGCAAAAATCCTCAACAAAATACTAGCAAACCAAATTCAACACAGCACATTAAAAAGATCATTCACCATGATCAAGTGGGATTGATTCCAGGGATGCAAGGATGGTTTAACATAAGCAAATCAATAAGCATGATACATCATATTAACAGAATGAAGGGCAAAAACCATATGATCATTTCAATAGATGCAGAAAAAGCATTTGACAAATTCAACATCCTTTCATGATTTTAAAAAAACTCAATAAATTAGGTACACAAGGAATGTACCTCAATACAAACAGGCCTTTTCAATATCCACAACTGTGATACCTCATTTTCTTGAAATCTTTGTCCCCATTGGTCTTCTCTCCACTTTAGCAATCCAGTCCCCCAGTGATGAGCTTGCCATTATCAGAATCTGCAATCTCTCTGAACTCTTGTTCTCAATATCTGATCCATTCTCTGACCACTACCTTTTTTTTCCCTTTTATTTTTTAACCTAGTTCACTTGCTCTATAACTCCTACTACTTTACTTCCTCAAACTTTCAAGAATTTTGATCAGGTGAACCCATTAATTTTTCACCATGTATCAGTTTTCTCTAATCGTCACCGATTTCCTTACCATCTCAGATTTGGTAGTCCATTATGATAATCAGTCTCATTAAAAACATTTTATCTGTAATTCTGTTTTAAAATCTGAGCCCTGTTTTTAGTTGCTTAGATGCTGATAAACAAATCACTTCCAGGGAAAATCACCTAAAAAGGATGGCTGGTTTCAATTCAAAATGTAGGATCTCAAACTCTAGATGGAAATTCCACAATGCCTATTTCCCTCATGAGTTTGCTTTCTTATTTTCTCACTATTTTTTTTCAGATTTATACATTATCAAAGCTCCTTTATCTCTCCACTAACAAATCTACAAAGTCTCCCTAGGTGTACATACGATCCCTCCTGTTACAGAGAAGTTACAAAGGCCTATTCCTCAAACCCTCCCGCAAGCTTCTGCATCCCATCCCCTCTCTCTTCTTCACGGACTTATGATCCACTTCTCTTTCCTGATCATCAACCTCTCCCACTGAACTCAATCATTTAAATTAATGTTCAAACATGTTCTAATATTGCTCATTTAAAAACAAAATACACACCTCCTTCATCCTACATCTCAATTCTGAGTTACTGAAATTGGTTGCTCAATCCTTATTGAAAACACTAGATACTGAAAACTTGCAAAACTAGATACTCAAAATTTATCCTTGGATCAGGCTGCAGCTTAGACCACACTGATTTGGGCTCAGGGAGAATTATATTTAATAAATGGAGTTTTATCATTATTTTCTAAAGTTCTGTGAAATTTGTTTCTCATAATTACTTAAGCATAATCTTTATAATTATATAAACTATAGAGATATTATTAAAGGAACTGTCTTTTTGAATATTCATAAGCGAAATTTCATCTTTGACTCAGCATCAGTAAAGGGTGTGCATCTCCTCAACAAAAGGTTTAATATTTTGAACACTCTGAAAATGGAAACAAAATGATTTCTTATTATTTTAGGTGACTAGCACCTTTTTGATCATACAGTATGTATTTCTGAGTATTAATCTTATTTCTACCTTTATTAGTTTCCTGCTCTGATTTTCTCTTTCTGATTTCTTGAAATACTTATTTTCTCTTTTCATATTTTGGATACTTTTAAACTCTTCTAAATTCTTTAAGAAGCAAGTAGAACAAGGCAATGTACAAATAGAGACAAAAGATAAAAACAGAACCAGAGAGAGGCAAGACCAAGAAAAGTACAGAAACAGAAAGGGGCAGGAGAGACTGGGGAGAGAGAGCTAGCAGTGTTTGTTGTATATGGTAATAAGTCACTATGTGGATCTGGACCTTAGGAAAGCAGCGTAAGAATATACACGTATTTACATAATAGCATATTTTTCTGAAATCCCATTATACTGAATCACTCGAAATTATAGACATCCACGCAGAAATATTTTGCAATATTAATTATAAAAACATTTGATCTCACAAAAGTAGAACTTTCCCGTTATTTTTAATTTAGGACTGTGATAACAGTTTTCAGAAATGTTGCTAGCATATTTTTCCCAAATTTAAGCACTACTTTTTTTTTTGAGACAGGGTCTCACTCTGTTGCGCAGGTTGGAGTGCAGTAGTGCAATCTCAGCTCACTGCAGCCTCAACCTCCTGGGCTTAAGTGATCCTCCCACCTCAGCTTCCAGAATAGCTGGGACTACATTCATGTGCCACCACAACTGGCTAATTTTTCTTTTCTTTTTTTTTTTTTAAATAGGGACTAGGTCTCACTATGTTGCCCAGGCTGGTCTTGAACTGCTAGGCTTAAGCGATCCTCCCACCTTGGCCTCCCAAAGTGTTGGGATTAAAGGGGTAAGCTGCTACACCCAGCTACTATTCTGCTTTCTAAAAATATAATCCTACTCAGTTCCCCAGGGAATTTGGTTTGGTGTCTGAGACAATGAGCTACACCTTACTTTTCTCTTGTTTGCTTTGACTGGTCTATACTGAATCAGAAAAAGGAACTAAAATCGCCATACAGCATACATGAAGGCTTGGTTGATTACCAAGCAGGTTTTAAAAAGAGATGAATACACGGAACCCACAGAAAATACTATCCAAGAGTCAAGGACAATTCTATGTGACTTATGAATCATTTGACTGTTTACTATGGAAGAAATACTAGGTTCTTTCATTTGTAGGATTTTTCTGTAAAGCAGATTGCTGGACTACAATTAATACTAGGTACCTTTCAAAAAATGAAAAATGTCAAACACAGATTGGGTACAAATTACTTCATTCCTTTCTTAGGAATGAATACTCTGATAAAGCAGTAGGAGCACCAACATCTGCCTCAATCTCAGAAAAGTACACTCTCCTTATACCTATCTCTCTCCATCACCATAGGCATCTCCTAGGTAGGATTCTGTGTGTCACTGTAGCCAAAAACCATCATAGAATTGTAATGACTATTATTCAGGTTTCAATTTACACAGTTTATTTGGCTCCTTGTTTAAAAGGTCCTGTCCTATTCCATTATTTGATTTTGTGTACCTACACTATGCTAAGTCAGGGAATTGCCATACATTCAGACAAAGAGAATAAATCAGATATATAATTGATTTTTGGTAAAATTTAGATAGCAGTAAGGTAATCGTGGGCAACATCAGGGTTCTACTTGTTACTTTATATTAAAAGTTATAAATAAAATACATTAGGATATAAATATATTCATTTGCAAAAATTTTTGCCTTTTTTAATGGTCTCATTTGCAGATTCATTATATGGCACCATCAACTGCAGTCAAACAAATGTGTACAATTTCCCAAAGAAATGTTGGCATAACTTTTTTAGTTTAACCAAGGATAACTGTTAAACTAAGAGAAATGCACCAAAATGGTTCTACCATCCAACTGGAGATTAAAGCTAATCAAAGCAAAATGGTGCTATGTACTTACAGTTAGCAATATTGAACTATACATTTGAAATTTTAAGTGGATAGATCTCATGTTAAGTCTTCTTATCAAAATAAAATGATTTGTTTTTTAAAAAATGATGCCAATGTAAAGAATACTGCAATCATGACCAATCAGAAAAATCATGAAAATAAAGAATCTCCTCTTTCTTCTCAGAGTTGTTATTTCTGTGACCTATTATTGAGTCTTCAATAGTATCTGAGTCTATTTTACCAGTCACCAATTGACATATTCCAGAAACTATTATGATTTTAGCCATAAAAACATTGTTACAGTTTCTAAATGGGATGTCTGTTCCTCCTGCTAATACTTTTCTTTTTCAAAAACAGATGGCCTTATTGTACTCTTATTATTAGAAAAGCAATAACCAACTACAACTGCAAATGCATGGGTAGAAAGTGAAAGCTCACCAGAAAAACTAGAGTTTTTTTTTTAATTGGAATGTCCTGAGCCAGACTATTTCAAGGGGGTATGGGTGTGTGTGTGTGTGTGTGTGTGTGTGTGTGTGTGTGTGTACTTTTTTCTCTCAATACAGATTCGTTAAATACTTCCTTTCTTAATATCTTACTTTATTCCCATGAAGGTGTGTATAACTCAGTAAGCTCAGTAGCTTCAGTATACTACATATGTCAAGAGCTAGTTTTACATTGACTAGTTTCGACTATTATTCTCGCATACATAAAGCAACCAAATCAATAAAGCATATTTAAATTCAAACTTGACTATATAGTTACTACACCTTTCTGCCTACTGAAATTACACTCAGCAAAAGCTATCCACTTTCACTGTCATCTTTGCCAATGTCCAAAATGAATAAACAAGAATATATGCAAACAAAAAAATTCCAAGTTCTAGGAGTTCCCAAATCTAGTTCACCATATACCTACCTCAAAAATATTTTTCATTTCTTTAAATTCCTCTCTTAGACTCTTCTTAGCTCCAAGACAAAAATTACATACACTCTGATAAAGTGAATATATCAGTTACATATCTGATTTTTGGTGAAATTTAGATCATGGTAAGGTAATCTTGGGCAACATCAGTGTTCTCTAATAAAACACAATCCTCACTTCATAACTTTCACATCCTATCTACTTAATATCATGGCTTTTAGTTACTGAAATCTAAATGAACATCACCCTTTGCAGGAATTATTGATGTGAGTATCCTCTGTGATGTGGTATCCTTAGAAAAAAATTTAAAAAGCAATGATAACATGGTTTTACTTACGAGAAGTTTTGGAAGCAAGAACAGTAATTCGAGCACCTCCTAAGAAGTGAAAACCCATTACATTCACCTGATCATCATCTGACTGACTGGCAAAACCTACAAAGAAAAGAGAGAAATCACCTTATGTAACCAGAAGGCAAAATGAACACATTTGAAATAGGAACCTTAGTTGAATGATGCGTGTTTTTTATGTCACTAGTCATGTATAAACTCCATGTGTGAGCTATAATATATTCACCTTGATTTCCATAGTAGCTTCCAATTAATGAAATTTCTGCCTTACACTAAAACTCTGGAGTCATTTAATTTCATTTATTCTAATGGTTGATTCCACATATGAGACAGAACACGTGCAAGATGAACTTAGAATATCTTTTCATGCCAGATAGCAAGGAAGCTATTACCGAGCCAGTAGGGTTTTATGAAAACAACTTGAAAGCCAGCTTAAAGAGACTACTACTGGCCAGAGATAAAAATATTAGAGTATCAAAGAAAATAATAATTGCAATGGAGTAAAACACATCAAATATGTTTAAAGGCATGAGTTCATACAGAGACTTAAAAACAAAATAAAAACAAATGGTCACTATTGGATGATCCTAGAGAATCAATACTATTTATTTTAAGCTCTATTTATTTAAAATATTTTAAAAATTAGTAATAAAGGGAAAGAACCAAGCATTTATCCTGAAAACCCTACTCAAACTGCACCATATAACAACTACTAAAGGAAAGGTTCTCTCTGTAGAAATAATCCAGCTAAAAAATGAAGAAAGTGTGAAAGAAACAAAATATCTATTTTTCAGCCTGTAGTGAACTAATGGATCTCAGCATTGGATATCAATGGCTGTTACCATCACACACAAAAAAAGACAAACAAATATTATGTGCCCTCTGTTTGCTGAAAGTCTATACTACCATCCATGAAGAACTCCGGCCAGAATAGTCAATCTTGACTCTGCTAGCTGTAGATCCAACTTACCAATTTACAGACAAAGTGACAGAGAAAAGAAATATTAGGCCAGGCGTGGTGGCTCATGACTGTAATCCCAGCACTTTGGGAGGCCGAGGTGGGCAGATCATGAGGTAAGGAGATCGAGACCATCCTGGCTAACACAGTGAAACCCCATCTCTACTAAAAATACAAAATATTAGCCGGGTGTGGTGGCATGCGCCTGTAGTCCCAGCTACCCAGGAGGCTGAGGCAGGAGAATCGCTTGAACCCAGGAGGTGGAGGCTGCAGGGAGCCGAGATCGTGCCACTGCACTCCAGCCTGGGCAACAGAGTGAGACTCCATCTCAAAAAAAAAAAAAAAAAAAGAAAGAAAAGAAAAAAAAAAAGAAACATTAAACATCATCACGGGGGTAAAGGATGTCACCAAGATGGTAAAGTAGGGGACACTAGTCTTCATCCCCAGCAAAAAAATTAGAGAGAGAGAAAGACAGCTATTCAAACACCATAATAGCCCTGTGGGAGCTCAAGGGCCCATGTAAGAAGCTGCAGCAAAACGGAACAAATGGCTGGTTATATCGGCATACCTAAGATGCCTACAGATGGCTAGTGACAAAGAATAAAGGCAACAGCCTATTGGTGACAGCCGTGGAGTGGGAACTTCCATGGTTCCCAGCAGCCTGCTTCACAGAAGACACCAGCATCTTTTGCCACTGAGGTAACCAATAGCCATTTCCACCAGGGAACCCCAGAGAGGAAGGCATGGCTCCATATTCCCTTGCTCAAGAAGTAGCTGCTGTTGTACCACCCCAGAACCAAAACCACCACCTCTCCAAACCTTGCACATTCCCCTAACCCCCAGGTCACAGTCACTTCATGAATGTGCATACTTCAGACACTGGCTCTGTGGCTGCACTATGCCCATCCATGTCTCAGATACCAGAGCTACCACCAGAGTGAGCCAGCTCACACCCGAGGTCCTACAGCTAAGGTCTCTCTGCGTATTCCTATGGTTCAGTCATTACATCACCTGCCATAGAGGACAAGGTCCCATCCTGTAACCCAGAGCCAGAGTAACTGCACACATCCATGCTCCCATCTCGGGCTCCCCGGCTGTTTCATAAACACTAATGCCTCACATACCATCACCAACACAGCAGTGGGGGTTCCTGTGCCCCAGGCACTGGTGCCATTACCACCCAAAGCCCAGAACCAAAGTCCCTTTACACATACCCATGCTTCAGGACTTGGCTCCATGGCATCTCCATAGGTACCACTCATCAGGCACTGGAAACTGGCCCACAAGCCAGATAGAGTGCCAAGAGGGATCCCCTTGGCCATGATTTCCCTGGTGGGAGAAAAAGAGATTGGGAGTACCCTAGCATCCACTGCCATTAAAGATCCCAATAGCCCTCACTATTGCTGAGAACACTCACAGAGTTGGCAACTGAGGATACCAGCAATCTTAACCAACACCAACCACAGCTAAGAGAGCTGCAAACAGTTTACATTGCTATGCCCTTGCCAGGGCCAGAACCTCTACATCTCATACTGCCAGCACCCTTGACCTTCCCATAGAAGAAGGTCTTTCGTACCAAAATCAGCACACGAAGTTGGAAAAAGGAGACTGATCCACCAAATGTGCCGGCATCAAAGTATGGCAACAAGA